>NC_000005.10:51984807-52609807 GCF_000001405.40 Homo sapiens | reverse complement strand
AACAGAGAGCCAAATCATGAGTGAACTCCCATTCACAAAAAATAATTTTTGATAGTCCATTTTGTGCTAGAAACTATTTTCTATAGTGTTATCAAAAAATGAAATATAAAAAAGTCTAGGGAGTGTTTGTAAGGTAAGTTTGTCTTTATTCCTAATAGAAGGATTGAGGAAGGTGTTCCTGAGGAGGTCATATACCAGCATAAGTGAGGGAGTGACTCTTGGGTAGATTTGGAGGTGGAGTATTGCAGAAAAAGAAAAAAAAAAAAAAAAAAAAAGGAGCAGCCAGTGCTACAAAACTAAAATGGAAGTGAGTTTAGCTTGCTCAAGAGTCAAGAGAAGGCATGTGAAGCTCCAGAGGATCACTGGGGGACAGGATTTGGGTTACGGGAAGAAATCATATGAGATTGGAGATACTGGTAAGGACCAGATAATGTAGGACTTTGTCGATCATAAACAAGCAGCTAGGATGATTTTATTAGTCTGTTCTCATGCTGTTAATAAAGGCATACTGGAGACTGGGTAATTTATAAAGAAAAGAGGTTTAATTGACTCACAGTTCCACGTGGCTGGGGAGGCCCAACAATCATGGCAGAAGGCAAAGGAAGAGCAAAGTTACATCTTACATGGCAGCAGGCAAGAGAGCATGTGTAGGGGAACTCCCCTTTATAAAACCGTCAGATCTGGTGAGACTTATTCACTAGCAGGAGAACAGTATGGGGGAAACTGATCCCATGATTCAATTATCTCCACTTGGCCCCGCCATTGACACATGAGAATTACTACAATTCAAGGTGAGATTTGAGTGGGGACACAGCCAATTATGTCCTAAATAGGACATAGGATAGAAAGTCCTTGAAGAAGTTTGTGTTGGCTTGTGTTGTGATCTGATTTATGTTTTCAAATGCCTCCTGTGGCTCCTCTGAGGTGATGCCCCTTTTGATGACACTACACATGCCTTAGCTTGTTCAGACCTATGTTTTTTCACCTTATTATTTATTTCTTTTCTTACCCTCATTTCCCTTAAAATGCAGAGACGTATGAATATAACCATAAATTGAAAATGATTCTTTGATTTTATGTGGTATCCATTTAACTATCTTAGAAGAAGGGATTCTGTTTTGTTTTGAAAGGTCTCTAGATAAGAAATAAAACCATTATCTGCCAGTCTCATGCGAAAGACAGATTTTTGTTTTTATATATCAAGACACTTCTATATATCAAGGATCTCTGATTCCAAATGGTATTTATGTCATTATTCATGACAATCAATTGGAAACTGACTCTTTGCTTGTCTAGGGAAACCAGACTCTTCTCCTTTAAGTCACCATGACTTTTCAGATTTACTCCTGCCTCGTGGCAGGAATAATCAGCCAGAGCAGAATCTAAAAGCCCAACATTTGTCCAGAAATTTTCAGAGAAGAAGGTAGTGTACTCTCATTGAGAATAATTGAACAGAACTTAGAAAAACAACAAGAACAACAAAAAACAATAACAAAAATTTAAGAGGCAGTGAAATAAGGGGTCTCTGTGAGTGCAGCCAGAAGATGGAAGACAGCAGAGCCCAAGAGGAGAGCAAAATATGAGAGGAAGTTAGCTAAATGCGACAGCAAGACCTGGAAAGAAATGTATAGTTTAAGGAGGACTTTTCTCCTAAAAAGATGAAAGTAAGAATCATGGAACATTTCATACTTGATAATGGGTCACACTAAGGTCATGAACAGAAAGAAAATTTTTCTAACACAAGATATCATTATAAATTGCAAGGAACTAGGTATTCAATAAATAAATGTACAAGGAAATCATAATAAAACTGGTCAGAATATTTGCAAATGTAAAACTGAGATTTCAAGCAGGTTTTATTCATAAATGGAGATAGTTATCACTAATTACACTTCAATTTTGATACTTTACCTATTTTGAGCATTCATGTTTTACCCTGTATCCTTGAAAGGTGGATTTTATATCCTCTTTTGCAATATAAAATATCTTCATTTGTTTAATGTGTTCTTATCTCTTTGAATCATATAAGCTCTGATTCAATTAGGTAGATGGTGACTCCTGGGTTTCCTTCAGATTTATGGAGACCTATTTATCATTTTTAAAACAAATCAGATAAGGAAAAGTCTGCTCAATGAAACACAGTAATTTATCATTTTCTGGAGAGGGAAATTTGTTTGCTATTTTGTTACTGCTGTGAATCCAAATTATCTTACAGGTGTTTTAAAGATCTGTCTAGATCTGATAAGTCCTTTCTATTTGGAGTAAATTGGTTCTATCCTCCCAGAGAGAATAACTGCACCATATGCTGTGACTCCTCAGAGAGATCAGTCAACCCTGGGCATATGAACATGAAATACAATGGGCTGTTGAACTGAGAGGAAGTAGGAGTGTCTTCAGAAGCAGACAGTTTTCTAATAAGCAGCTGATTATTGGTTATTATTTTTGACCTTTGGGCTAATCATAAAGGAGGCTATTAGCAGGTAATGGATTAAATAAGGTGACTCATATTCATATAATTTCTTTAATATGAAGGAGGAAAAATAGACTGTGGTAGATCAACTGTTGTCAAATCTTTATATAACACATGAAATGCTCTTGAAAGGGTTTCAGGGCCATAAACTTTCTTTTGATTAACGGTGAGAGACTCGCAATTGCTTTTCTCTTAATTGGAAGCATACTCTTAGATTTGAAAATGAAAATTCAGAGATGAAAAGAGGTGGCTGCTGAAGAAACTAACACTCTTGAAGGATAAATGAATGTCTGAAATCATACAACTAGTTAGTGTGACTCTGGCATGAAAACCTGGGTCTTCCGAAATGTATTCTGTGATTCTACTGATGGATGGTTGATCTTTTTTTTTTTTCCTTTCATTCTTGCCTTAGCATACATATCATCATTTGTATGCTTGCTGTGCCACTAGGAACGTTAGCTCTCAGCGTTATATGAAAAGAATAATAGCAAGTGCCAGAGGAAAGATGGATAAGGATATCAAAGAGGTCTTCAGATGCTATTACATACCTTAACAGAATGAAAAAGTATGGTAGATATATAGTAGTAAAAAAAAAACACACAACAATTATGTTTATCCTTTTGCCTTTCAGACAGAAAAGTATCTCTTTCCTCTTCCAATATTTAAAATGAACAGTATATAGAAACAATTGATAGGTAATTGTTGGCAAGTGCTCAGGACACTTAAAAATCTTCTCTGTGTTCATTTTTTCAGCGTTCTAAATGGTCATGCATAGGAATTGATTCTTCTAAATCAATTCTGTCCCTTATTTATTTTAACAATTATTTCCAGATATTGGTATTACAGTTGTCTGCCTGTTTCCTGACTATAACTATGTCATTGGAGACCCCCTTTGGAAAGCTAAGCTAAGCTGTCATGGCGCATCTGACGAGGGTATGAATGAGGACAATACTACAACACCCCAAAGTTACTTAAAGAAGCCAGGATAGTGGAAGCTTGAGGGATTTTGCCCAGAACATAGCATGTGCTCTGTGTTTAGCCGCAGAGCTCATTATTGGATGGACACCCCCTGACTGTGAGCAATTTTTGTTTCTTGAGGCCTGCTGATACTGGCTTTGGTTCTGTCATTGATTTGAACATAATCTGTGTGTTGCATCTTTATTGGATTGCCATGATTCATTTAAAAGGAAATGTTTTTGATCCTTGCTGACTGGCTTTCACGATGGGATGGGGTAGGTAGGGGGTTGGTGAGCAGCCTGAAAAAAAAAACACTTTCAATATTGCTCTCGGGTTTATGGCTGGAAGGGAGAACAGCTAAAACACATTAGTCCTTTTGCTATTCAGAGGTTTGACTGCTTTAGCTAGGGGGCCTGGATACATGATCCATTTTCTGTTTCCTGTCCAGCATCTATCTGATGCAATATGCTCCATGTCTCTTTTCATTAACTGAGACCTATATGATGTCAATTGAGAAAGACAGTAGCTGATGTTATGAAATACTTGCAGTGGCATAACAAAGATCTGTTATAAAGGCCTTTTACTTTGTTCCACTGTATATTTTACTATTGTGTTTTATGCCTGCGGCTTGGCTGTATTGAAAGAAAATATTTCAGCTGGGCCCTGCTGGTTTTTTTTTAAAACTTGCTTTTGAAATGCTAGATAACAGTGAGCTCAATCTATGGCAAACTCGTGACATTAACAAATGTGAGACAAATAACCTCATTGAGGCACATGACAGTGATGCAAACATTTTACTTGAAACCAAACCTATGAACAGAGACGTAATCTGCTCTAAGAGTAAGTGAGGTTTGGTTTAACTTTAGTGTCACAGATAGAGCACCTTTGATGACTGGAAATTATATCCTGCAACATAATGTGAGGTACCATCATATCACAGGACCCCCCAGCAGGGTTGATTCCAAAATGGGAGAGGTGACACCATGTGCTTAAGCAAAGAGAAGAAATATGATGCTTTACTGTTACTCATGTTAAAATGTGTATGGAGTTCAGAGTCAAAAAACTCATACTCTTCCACCTTTCTAGTGTATCTCAAGACCAGATAATATGTCATTCCACAATCCCTCGAACAAGTTGAGATGAAGTTTAGTTCTCTACTGCTAGCTCATATTATTGAGAGAGAGAATGTGAAAATCTAATAATGTAGCAATAATCTCCACAATGTGAAACAATGCCAACAAAACAAAATTGGAAGCTGGAAAATGGTTTAAAGAAAGATATAATGCTGAAAAAAAAAAGATCCCAGCTCTAATGAGATACGTTAATTGAAAGAACTCTGATTTGCGTTTTCTTTGTAATTATATTTTAATTATATTTTAATTATGAAATTAATTAGTATGTATTATAAATGGAATGTGAATGCCTTATCCATGTACAACCACGGCAAACATGAAGAAAATAAGTATTAAAGGAGTTCCGCACACTAAATTTATGTTAGAAATTCAGGGAGTTTTAAAACAA
Organism: Homo sapiens; assembly: GCF_000001405.40. Lineage (NCBI taxonomy): Eukaryota > Metazoa > Chordata > Mammalia > Primates > Hominidae > Homo > Homo sapiens. Next base: position 52,604,859 of record NC_000005.10, on the reverse strand, counting down.
CGTAATAAGCAATTACTTATACAATTGGCATCACCACTTGATAATATGAATATATTTTAAAGCAATGTAATTAGCAATATTAATTTAGCCTTACTAGTGTTTCTATTTTCTCACTTTTTGGAGCAACGCAGAAAGTCTTTCTAAAAGACAATTTTTTTTTTTTCAAGAAAAATCTGAACTTTCCTTAACGTTGGGAAGAACAATAAGCTCCTGATGAACTGTAGTCAGGATACTAACAACTCAGGTTTTGTGACTGCTCAACAGCTGCTTCCAAATGATACAATTCATTTGATATCCCTTAAGGGTAGGGTGGATTAATCCCCTCTTAGTATCTGAACTATAGATCATAGTGTTTAAATATGTAGATCTATTATTAGCAAAACCTATGCACGAAACTTTAAACATCATTTGAAGGGGTTAAATTTATTGGCACCTGCTTCAAGGATTAGGTCATTGGTACAGTCATTCCAAAGTCTACATTACTTGTAAAACTGGCCCATGAATGAAGATTTTAGTTATCTTGTTTCTATGGAAACCAGCAGTAATTGACACTGATTACTGAACTCAGGGAAAGTAGAATCTGAAAGTACATTATAAAGAAGGCACCTCTATAAACTATAAAGGTAAATTAGCTGCCAGAAATAACCATTTTATGTTTGGTTTATTATCCGTGTAAAGTAACTTTCTATACATAAAGCCCAGTTTATGTGCAACAAGGTACTAAAAGGCTACTTTCTCTTTTCCCAGATAATGTATCTATTAAGGTGTGAGTCTGAGTGTCTGTTTTTTATGAGTAAAAATGGTGCCAAACTGATACTTTAAAAAAATGTCAGATGCCAATAATGGTCTACAATTTCAGAGTCCAGGCATACAGCGTCAGCCTGACTACTCTTCCATGTATGCGTTTGAAACTTATTACTTGAGGCTAAACATTAAACAGGATACTCTCCTGAGTTCATCTACTGGCAGCAGTATGATCGAATGTAAACTGTCTTCACTAAGGCCTCTTGTCTATGAGTATGGTAGGGGGAAAAACTGAAATCACCAGAAAATGAGCATTCAACCAGTGCATTTAAGGTTAAGCACATTTAAATTTAAACAATCTTAATAAGTAATTTATTTTAGTTTTCTAAATAGGGAAGAAATGAAAAGAGACAGGACTAGAGTGACCAATATGTAAAACATACGGTTACAGCAATTTTTAAAGAATGGTCCATGAAACTTTGGGAGTCTTTAAGACCCTTCTAGGGAGCCCAAATTTGAAAACTATCCATATAACAACACTAAGACATTGCTTGCCTTTTAATTAGTGGTGGGTTAAACTGATGGCCCATTAGCACACATCAAAGCAGTGGCATGAAATTATACTACAGTCAGTGTATTTCCATTGCCATGCACTAACAGTTTTAAAAACTTCCATTTCAACAGACACGATAAAGTATAACATTATTAATTTTATTGTACCTTGACCATTTAGTAGGTCTGTTTTTAGTATTCTGCAAGGTAAAGTGTGAAGTATGCATAAAATACTTGTGCTACATATTACGAAGTGGAACAAGCCAAGCTGAAAAGGCTACCACATATTGTATGATTTTGATTATATGACATTCTGGAGGAGGCAAACTACAGAAACAATAAAAAGATCACTTGTCAGAGGTTAGAAGGGAGGGAGAGCTTATATGCACAGCTCAGAGGAATTTTAGGATACTGAAACTATTCTGTATGATATCATAATTTTAGATACATGCCATTATACAATTGTCTAAATCCATAGAATAGACAACACCAAGAGTATGCCAGAATGCAAACTATGGACTTGATGATAATGATACATGAAAATAGATTCATCAGTCATAGCAAATGTACCACTCTGATGTGAAATTTTGATAGCTGGGGAAACTGTGTGTATGGGGACAGGCAGCACATGGGAACTATGTATTATACTTTCATCTCAATTTTGTTGTGAACCTAAAACTGCTCTAAAAATAAAGTCTATTTTAAAAATCACCTATAGGTAAAATTATCACACAAAATTCAAGATGGAACAAATAATCTTTATGTAACAGAGGAAAAAATGTTCATTGATAACAGCTGTAGATTTCTCATTGTGACTACTCCTTAGAAAACTACCACTTAGTTTTCTAAAAACTAAGTAGTTTTGCTGAACTACTAAAACAAATATCCACATTTTCTGAAAAATACATTAAAATACTCCTCTCTTTTCCAACTACAAATCTGTTTGAGGTCTGATTTTCTTCATTTATTTCCATCAAAACGACATATTGCAATGGATTAAATGTAGATGCAGGTATAAGAATACAGCTATTTTCAATTAAGACATGTTAAGGGAATTTGAAAAATAAAAAATGAAAAAATGAACAACAGTGCCATTCTTCTCATTGTTTTTAAAAAGTGTTTATTTTTCTTAAAACAGTTATTTGGGTTACCTGTAAAGTGTTATTGTCATTTCAAAATGAAATAATGTATAAATATTTTTAAATGTCACAGTTTTAATTTTGAACGTCTCAGTTTTAATTTTAAATAAAAACTATATAAACCAAAGATCTTCAGAGTTCTCAAAAATTTTATTAAGGGTGTAAAAGTGTCCCCAGACTAAACACATTTGGGAACTCTGGAACTGCAGTAAAATAATGCTTCTTATTGTTTAACCAAAGTTTGTACCTTATTAATTCAACTTCGTACATTTATTTATGCTCATTCTCTTAATTGCTCATTCTCTTCAATGACTTGGCATTCTACAAATTTAATAATTAATATAAGTTAGCTCAGTTTAGTAAAACTAACCAATCTTTTACATACTTGTTTCCCAAGCTGCCTGGAACAAGATCTGCCCACTTGCATAGCTGTTTATTTGGCTAACTTGTTTTACCAAGAGGATATGTGTTACTCTTCCGATTATGAGCTTTAAGGTTAGTGCTTTTGGAAAAGTAAACATCATTTTTACTTTTCCAGGTAAATACTGTACCTTCTCAATAGCATACAGAGACTCTAAGCATATTATGAAAATAAATAAGTATTAATATAAATTCAATTGACTAGTTTATATTGTGGAACAAAATACATAAGGAGACAAAATTATTCAGTTTATACAAAATGAAAACAAAATCCAAACACGTGACTAAAATGTCAGTCAATAGCCAGTATTAATATGTATGCCTCAGTCAAACCTAAGAACCATTTTTAGACAAAAGACATCATACATGCTACAAAATCATAATGAAAGATGTTTTTTCTAGCCTCCTTGATTTAATTTAATCACTTCATATTTAAGGGGAAATTAACACTAATGGGAAAATAATTTCTTTAAGATATTTATTGTCTGAAGTCTGCCATTGTTAATGAAACACAAAAGGAACAAAAAGCCAAGCTGAAAGTCTGTGTTCACCTTCCTTCCTCAAGGATCCTAAGTGATTTATAGCTTTCTCCTTTTCCTTCCACCCTCCCTCCTTCTTTTCCCTTTACTCCTTTCCTCCCTCTGTCCCTTCCTTCTTTTCTTCTTTTTTTCTTGCTTTGCTTTTTCTCTATAATTTTGACATTACATGAATTGTGCCTATCAAATTCTTAATAAAACCAAATTTCAGTTCAAAAGGGATTAAACACTATTTAGTAATCAATTGAATCATTTTACATGCTCATTTAAAGTTGGTGTAGAGTATCTTTCCATTTTCATGCCTTTTTTGATTTCATTTTAACTTGGAGGACAAGCTACTCTAGCATATTATTTTTATTTTTGTGAGGTTCTCTATTCACATAATCTGAAATAAATTATTTATAAATATTGAATCAAGCTTAAAAAATTGTAAGTAATAAAATGGAACTAAAATTTATCCCAGGCCAACACCCATATTTTACAGATAAGGAAACTGATGGCATGTGACTTACCCAGGACCACAGAGCTAATAAATATGAGCAGAATGTTTAGAACTCAGGCTGAAATATGTTTATCATTTTTACTATAGATAGTAATTATCAGAGTGGTTGTAGAAAATATTCAGCATATATTGAAAAATATTGTTAGTAAAGGAAAATTTTAATTTAATTATTAAACAAGTCATAGACATAAACCAGCCCTATCAAACTATGGGAGAGCTACAGCGCGTGACTTTTCTTCAAATCTGGAGAGATAAGACATTCTGGGCACTGCAAATGGTGGATCAAAGTGGTGCTGGGCAATTGTGAGAAGCATTTTTAAGTAAGACTCCAAGCAGAAATAGCTGCTTCCCACTGAAAGAGCTTTAACTTCCTTAGGCTCACCACTTACCACTATGGCAAGTTTAGGAGGTAGATTCTCCAGCCCTAAAACAGCTTCTAGGAGCAGAGATTTAGAGAGAGTGCACTGCATTGTGGTACAGTACTGCATGGGCAGAACCACCATCTTAACATACTGGAAGGCAGCAGCATCTTCCTAAAAGGCGGTTTAAAAACCCTTAATACTTAGTTACTGTGCCTTTAGTCAATGCATAAGCAATAATTAAAACTTAAAAATAAGAGTCTGAAGAAAGAAGTGGGCATCCTTATTATGTAGCCAGAACTTGTGGGACAATAACAGTATTGGAATCACAGAAGAGGATCTGAGAGGCATCACTCCAGAGGCCATTTCTGGGGCCAATCTTTAACGATTTCATCGCCAATCCCTTAATGAAGAAGAAATGAAAAATCGTAGTAAGAATCGACTGTGTATTTTTCATATTTGCTATACGTAAATATACTAAAATGTAAAATATCTTTGTAAAAATGAGTTTAGAAATTATCAGTAGATCTTTATACTGTTTTCAGAACAAATTCTTCCAGTCATTGAGGTACATATTCAGGTATTGGGATCAGTGGATTTTGCCTGAACATTTGAATCAGGATTCTGGTACTCGGAATGGGTAAGGATTGATAGCATCTGCTCCTTTCCCATTCTGAATCATTGGCTCAAGTTCTGTTTACCTCTACCCTTCCGTAAAGAATGCCACTTGTTCCGTGTTGCCTCTGTGAAGCTCTGCTCTTTAAGTGTTAATTATCCCAGGACTCATTGTTTTGATAATTTCACTCTTCATCAAAATATCATATATCGCAAGCATGCAGAAAACAGCTTTCCAGATGGCAAAAAAAAGCCTCGATGAGATCCTAGCAGAAGCTATTTGAAACAATCCCAGAACTTCCTTGTACATAACAAAGCATTATTTTCAAGAGTTGGTTTTGTCATTGCTTTTTGTTTTCTGTAAAGACTGCTTGATACAAAAGGTCAAGGTATCAGCAAAACGTAGACAGATTTTTGCTGAATGACATAAACCTGTCAGAATGCTGAGCTTTGATGTTCCATTAAGTGATCGATGTAGATTACTGACTTTTGGCTAAATGCTACTCAACCAGATAAGGTCAATACCTGTTAGTTCATTGATGGAATAATTAATCAATCAATACAGGATGCTTGAAGTCAGGGAGAATTATTGCCAGGCTTGTATCTCCGGCTTTAGTCACAGAAATTATTTAAAAACATCCTTGCAACATTAACCCGCTCTGTGCAAGGTTTATTGTAGCATTACGAGCACAGAAGGAAAGAAAAAAATTCCAGTGAGCAGCACTTCTTGTAACCTTGAGCTCCCCAGAAGGAAAAGCTTCTAACAAGCTGAGTGCATCATCATTAGTTCTTCCTTTCACATCATCGCACTCTGCTTGTAAAATAATTACATGCAATTTTTCTATTTTACAGTTGGACCACATGACTCCCTGTTCTTTTGCACGGCAATTCACCCCTCCCCCAGACTGCCTGGTTGAAGGCTGGAACTGCTCACCTTTAAACATCTCAGCCGGAGGCTTTTATGGTAGCTGGTTACAATATTTCCTAAGAGTTGCAAAATAATCCATCTGGTTCACAGAAAAATTCTCTCTCCTCACTATTTCCTATTTCCAATGCAACCAAAATTTTTCTTCTTAGAAATGCAGAAAGCAAGGATTCTTTGTATTTTCAAAGTTGCATATGTTGTCATTTATGTGAACTCGTGAGTTTAGGACAATTCATAACACTTCTTGCTAGAGGTTACCACTGGTTCTCATTACTTACTGGTTATAATTCTGTGAGATAAAAGCATCTTTTCTGTATAATTTTATAAATCACTATTACTTTTTTGCAAAACTAATGACAATACTTTTATTCATTTTAATAAATAATTATCACATGTGTAATATGACCAAGGCATAGTAATGATCTTTGCTCTCAAGGAGTTTAGACACACAACCAACACTTTGGTGCATTCCTGGTTTCACACCACTTGTATATCTCTCACTCCATTTAATCCTTCCACATCCATGTGAAGTAGGTAGCAGAAGGATTATTATTGCAATGTATCCATTAGGAGAAACTATAATAAGATTTACTTCTCGCTAAAGTCAATTATTTAGCAAATAGCCTGGGTCCTTAGGAAACTAGTGTGGAAGTGTTGGCAATTACTACTTAGATGATATAAACAATACCCCCAATATGACATAGCATGAGGATCTCTACTAGCAATAAAATCCCTTTGTGTGAATGGGATTTTTTCATGTAAAAACACAATAAATGGAGATAAAATTAGAGACAAATTAAGTTAAAATATGACTGCACATCCTAAACAACCACACTCAGCTGAGCTTTGCCTAGACAAGCCTTGCACACATGTGCCTGAACTTGTATCCACTTCCACACATCCCAGATTGTCCTCATCAATACACGAGCGGAACCAAATGCCCTCCCTGCAAATGAGATGACGGTGTCAGCTTCAGAGTTGAGATAGGAATGGGAATTGGGTTTCTTAGAGCCACCAGTAGCCTAGTAGAAAAGTGACCTCAGGACATGCCTTGCAACTGGTTGGGACATGTAAGGACACAAGTGTGCATGTTGTTCTCAGGACAGTTGGTGTGATATATGGAAGTGGATCTTCTGCATTAGGCATCACTTTTCTGGGAGGTCTGGAATTCCATCTCCATGCCTGCCCACATGCGTTCAAATGAGCTAGTGTGTGACTGTTATGTGAATGGTGAACTCTGAGATGTGATGCTTCATTGCCATGCATAATCTGAATATTCATGTTTTGGGTTGGGTTGCCTTCAAAGTCAATCTTGACTCTTTGTTACTTCTCTCTCTCTTAGGTAGGGTCTATCTTCCCTCCTCATGAATCAGGGTATTTTCTGTGTTGACGCTGCAATGTAAATATGTGTAGTTTTCTGGACCCAGACCTTAAAATAAGGGCAACTTCCCTGGCAGACCTTGAAGCAGTCCCTGTGACAGCCCTAGAACAACAGATAAAAAGTCTGACTACTCTGAGACCATCATACTGGAGAGGCCAAAAGTAGGCTTTTTAGTTGACAGTGCCAGCCTTCCAGCCATCCATGCAGGTAAAATGAAAAATGGAATCTAGACAAGGAGGTAGTAAGAGCAATGGCATAAGGGTAAAAGAAAGATGAGGTAAGAAGCTTGGAGAAGGAGGCTGCAGAATGAACAGAGACAGATCACCGGGACCTGGGATGCATTGCTGCCTCCTGGAACTTTGCATCTCAGGCTGTTAGGTGAATAGAGGGATAAAGAAAACTTATTTTTTCTTTTAATTATATTCTATTTTAAAGTAAATATATTAACAAAAATTAATAAATGGATTTGCCTTCAGATGGCCCCATGTTATCTTTGTACTGTCCAGCTGGGGGTACTGAAGACCTGAAGGCCTGTTTGTAGCCAAGATACTTTCAACACCATGGCCACAAGGCTCCATCTTGGCTTTGCTGACTTTATCTTCCAGGTTTCAGGAATTACCCAATAACAATGGCCTTATTAACATATTAAAGGGTAAGAAATTTCTATAGGTATGTTTGTATTGTAGGATTCTTTTTTCTTTTTCATAGGAATTTATAAACTCTTGAGTACACTAATAGTCTTTCTGTTTTCTTTATGCTTAATTGACAAATAATAATTTTGTCTGTTCATGGGGTACAATGAAATATTTTTATTTATGGTCTTTCAAATAGCAGTTTCATGCTGCATATATTACCTGGAGTAATAATTCAAAATTATTAAAGTATGAGCAAAAATAACACCCTGAAGTCCGGGCACTATGGCTCAAGCCTGTAATCCCAGCACTTTGGGAGGCCAAGGCAGGTGGATCACATGAGGTCAGGAGTTCGAGACCAGCCTGATCAATACGGATAAACCCCATTTCTACTAAAAAAAATACAAAATTAGCCAGGTGTGGTGGTGCATGCCTGTAATCTCAGCTACTGGGGAGACTGAGGCAGGAAAATCACTTGAACCCAGGAGGCGGAGGTTGCGGTGAGCCAAGATCGCCCCATTGCACTCCAGCCTGGGCAACAAGAGTGAAACTTTGTTTCAAAAAAATAAATCAATAAAAGTAACACCCCAAGCAGAGACCTTGAGCACATTTTCCTGGCCCTAAGCTGCCCGTCAATGTTTGAGTCATTATTATTTTACTGAAGACCTTATTAGAGATGGCAGTACACCAAGAAGCTTAGAGAATATTTGTTTTTATTGTTGTTAACTGTGCATCTAGTTCATTAGAATATATCTGTCAAATAAATATAGCCCTCTCAATGCAGTGGATTTTTATTGGAAACATGTTTAAGTTAGATTATGTAGAAAATTTACTGCCTTATTTTTAATAAGATCTAAGCCCTTTTGAAAAGGCATATGGTAACTGAAACATTTATTTCAATCCATTATAATACAACAAACAAGCCTTCAGCATCATCTGTGTGTCACCTATCAAGCAGTGGATTAGGTGCCAGTATGGCAAATAAGAAAGATCTACAAGACTTGATCAATCAGTCCATTTCACTCCTGGAGTTCGAATGGAGTGGAAGAGGTCAGGAGATTAAAAGACTCACACTAAACTCTACCAAAATATTATAAGACATTCAGTGCTATAGATCCAGATCTTAAACTGTCATGGAATGTACCCGTACAGGAGGGATGACTTTTGCTTAGAGTGGATCAATGAAGGCACCTAGGGATATGTGCTGTTTGAGTTGAGCTTTGAGTAATTAAGTCACTGGGTGTGGGAAATAAAAGCAGAACACACACGTATCAGGCTGTTCTTGCATTGCTATGAAAAACACTTGATACAGGGTAATTTATAAAGAAAAGAGGCTTATTTAGTTTATGATTCTTCAGGCTACAGAGGAAGCATAGTGCCGGCATCTGCTCAGCTTCTAGGGAGGCCTCAGGACACTTACAATCATAGCAGACGGTGAAGGGGGAGCAGGCCCATCACATGGTGAAAGCAGAAGAGAGGGAGAGTGGTGGAGAAGGTGCCACACACTTCTAAACCACCAGATCTCATGTGAACTCAGAGTGAGAGCTCACTTATCACCAAGGGGATGGCCCAAGCCATTCATGAAGGACCTGCCCTCATGATCCAAACACCTCCCACCAGGCCCCACCTCCTACATTGGGGATTACAATTCATCCTGAGATTTGGGTAGGGATAAATATATAAACTATATCAATACATGTTTGCAGTCACTAATATGTTTGGCAGAGAAGGCTGGGCCAAGGAGTGACAATAGTATACCTTCCCTAAAACTGCTTGTGAAAACCCTACATGGGGCCAATACGTGTATCAGACATTTGTCAGTCTCGCCCACTTCCCGTGGCACTCACCTTTATGTGCACACTCTCACCTTCTTATTGCACACATTGGACTCTGTCTGGAGCATCAGGACATATTAGGCCTGCAAGCAGAGCAAGCTGCAAGTGTCGTCTTAGTACCAGAAACAGCCTTCCACCCTGAGCTGCATTCCACATGTCCTCAGAGGTCTCTGGGGGATTGAGGCTCAGTTATCCACAGTGATAACCTGTTTGTTAATGAATTTTTTTTTTCTTTGACGGAGTCTCGCTCTGTCACCCCCGAACTGGAGTGCAGTGGCGCAACCTCAGCTGACTGCAATCTCTGCCTCCCGAGTTCAAGTGATTCTCCTGCCTCAGTCTCCCAAGTAGCTGGAATTACAGGCACCTACTACCATGCCCAGCTAATTTTTGTATTAATAAAGACAGGAGTACATCATGTTGGCCAGGTTGGTCTTGAACTCCTGACTTCATGTGATCCACCCGCCTCAGCCTCCCAAAGTGCTGGAATTACAGACATGAGCCACAGTGCCTGGCCTATTAATGAAAGATTTATATTGACTTCCTTCTCTTTTCTGTCACATTTCTCCACTTCCCTACTAGTGCTTTCTGTGTTCACCTCCTATTCAAGTTACCTATCACTTTGTAACGAATTACTCCAAAACATAGTGGCTTAAAACAATAATCATTTTATTTTGTTCACAATTTTGTAGATGCAGAATTCAAGCAGGACCCCACTGGGTGATTCTTCTGTTCTGTGTTGACTGAGGTCAGTTGGTAGTGTAGTCAGCTGATGAATTGGCTGGTCTATAGGTTTCAATATGGTTTTACTTGCATGCCTGATGACTTGGCAGGGATGGCTGGAAGGCTGGCACTGTCAACTAAAAAGCCTATTTTGGCCTCTCCAGTATGATGGTCTCAGAGTAGTCAGACTTTTTATCTGTTGTTCTAGGGCTGTCACAGGGACTGCTTCAAGGTCCTTTGTAAAGATTCCCATCAGGCACCATCTTGTGCAGAAATCCTGACAATGTTAGATGATATGTCTCAATGCTTTCATAATATACTGTGTATGACTTTGTGTTTATTACATTTTTACAGCTTTTTTATGGCATAATTTACATTCTGTGAAATTCACTCATTGTCAATGTACAATTCAGTGATTTTTTAGTAAATTGCAGAGTTGTACAAATACCACCAGAATCCAGTTTAGAACACTTCCATCACTCCGAAAAGTTCCTTTGCCCCATTTTCTATCAATTTTTGATCCCATTTCTAGCCCCAGAATGATCTGTTTCTGGCTCTATAGATTTAACTCCTTGCTGTATTTCATGTATGAGGAATCATACAATATGAAGTCTTTCCGTCTGTCTTCTTTCACTTAGCATTTTTTGATGTTTATTTATATTGTAGCATGTATCAATAGTTTGTTCCTTTTGTTGCTATATAGTATCCCCTTGTAGGAATCTACCACATTTTGTTGATCTCTTCACAAATTGATGAACATCTATGTCCACTTTGGGGCTATTAAGAATAATGCTATTGTGAACATTCACATCTAATCTTTGGGAGAATGTATGCTTTTATTTCTCTTGGGTGGCTATCTCAGAGTGGAATTTCCAGGTTGTATGGTAAGTTTGTGTCTAACTTTTTGAAAAACGCTTTTGTGAAGAGGCAGTAACATTTTACGTTCTCACCAGCAATGCATGAAGGTTCTAGTTTCTTTGCATCTTTGACAACATTTGTTATTGTCTGTCTTTTTATTATAACTATCCTAGTGGATATGAAGAGGTATCTCATTGTGGTTTAAATATGCATTTCCCTAATGACTAATGTTGAGCGTTATTTTTGCATTTGTATTAGGCATTTTTCAGGGAAATGTCTGTCTATATCTTTTGCCAATTTTTAAATGAGCTTTTTTTTTTCCTTCTTCTTATTGGACTGCAAGCGTTCTTTACATATTCTGAATATAAGGTATTTATCAGATATTTGATATAAAATATTTCTCCCAGTGTGTGGATTATGGTGTCTGTTGAAACACTAAAATTTTAATCACATTGCTTTACAACATTGTTTTGTAAGTCAATCTTTACTAATATCTTTGAGGGCAGAGGCTGTGTACATTTATTGATATGCTAGACTATTCACACAGTGCTCATTAAGAATTATTGAGAAGCTGCTTGGGCTAAGCACCATTCTAAATTCTTTGAATAGATTAACCCTTTTAATCCCTACAAGAACTCTATAATGTAGGTACTATTAAGACTGGAGTTCAGCAAATTAAGTTACTTCCAAGGTCACATAGAAGAGGTAGCAAGACTAGGATTCAGCATCAGGTGGTGTGACCCTGGAGCTCAGGCCATAGATCTGAATATGACTCTGCCCCTAATTAGTGTATTTCCATGGGAATCACTAGAATTGAAGCGTGCAAATATGTACTTTCTTGCTAATTTACTAATTTTTAGATAGTGTCATACACTCATCAGACTCCAGGAAAAAAGCACAGTTTAAGTCTTTTGAGAATGAGGACCAGAAATTGTTACCACTAAATTCAATAAGAAGAGCAATTACAGGGATCTATATGATCACCAGGATTTAAGCTTTGTGATCATTTTCAGTTTCACAGAAATTATGAAAATGTTAAAAATCTTGTAAAAGGTTGTCTCAAAGTCTTTCTTTTGGAGAGCAATAATTGCAGGGCATTGGACTTGTCTCAGTGTCTCAGACTCCTTTTGAAGTGATAGTAACTTATTCCATAGTATGATTATGAGGAATAAGTAGCAGTTGTTATTAAATATATTATGTTTTATAAATATCAGCTGTAAAATTCGATTAACTGTACTTTATTCTCAGGATAAGGATTAAACAAAAGATTTATGTAAAGGGCTTTTTCTAGTGTCTGGGAGCCAGTTGAGTGTTCAAAAAAGTAGCCGTAATAATTTCTGCACTTTTTATCAGCCACGTCTTGCTTCCTTTATGTTCTGCTTTTGAGTTTTCTGATTTAATAAGCATAATCTTGTTATGAATTTACTCAAATATGTTTACTTTTGGCAAATACCCTTATGAAACCTGCAGGGAGACAGCCCTCTCAGGTAGCCTGGTTTAAATAGATTGGAGCCTTAGAAAAGTTTATGAAATAAAAACTTTGAAACTCTAAACCAGCTTCCTATTCCATAGAATTGGCAATGTGTTACCTAAATGAAATACTAACATTTAGTATAAGTAGGTTTTTAAGTAAAAGCAGCCATTCATCTCTAAATATAGAGTAACTTGTACTTGAAGTGATAAAATTCTGTTAAAGCAAATGCAAATATTTTACTCAGTGAATTCATAAAGCCATTCTTATATTAAATATTTTAATGAAAATTCAAAATGGATAACTCAGAATTAAAAAAATTATAGCGTATATAAGATTTCACAATATTTATTGGTTTGTTATTTTCATATTCAGACTTTCATCATTCACCAATTTTTTAAAGCAGTGTTAAGACACTTCAGAAATGCAACTATATTCAATTTGCTTGTATTTAAAACACAAAGAAACAAACAAAGTAAGCCTATCACTGTGAAGGGGTGAGGAAAAGACCATTTATAAACATTGAAAATCAAATGTCAATGCTGGTAAGTGTGGGAACAGCTAAAGTCAAGTTGCCACACTGGGAATCATACCCCACAAGTCCCAGAAATTCATCAGAGTAGAGAGCACTAAATAGCACGAGTGCTATTATAATATTATAGTGGAAAATTGACTATCTTTTTTGCTGTCTGAGGCTGTTGTAAGTGTGTAAACCTTTGAACATAGTGACAGTTTTAAGCCCCTTAAGGAAATCAGAATTGATAGTAAAATAGCTAATGGCCAGAAATCACTTCCCACACCCTTGGCCTCTGCCTTTCACCTTCCTATTAGGCTAACCCTTGGAGCACTGTCAGAAAGAGGTAGAGCATATTCCACACAGTCTGGGATGAAGCGGCAGGCATTTGGAAACCCTGTGCAGAAAGTGATAGGCTTGTGTTCTGCTTTCACCCTGCCATTGACCACAAAAAGACAAGCTCCTCATCCAAACTTGGAACTTGCCCGAATAAGGGACCCATAATGCTATTCAGTATGACAAATATCACTCTCCATTCTGCATTCTCTTTTTCAAAACGGAAAGGCTTTCTCTCTCTTATAAAAAATGTGTTAGAAAATTTACTATCCTGATCATTTGCTTGACTATTAAATTTTGGTATAAAATGCATTAAGTGATTTGATTGACACACTGCAGAGAATAAACAGGTATCTTTGAAACTTTCTAAAAGCTTGTTTTTGAATTAAAGTTATGTTTTACAATTTATATAGATTCAATGGATTCATATTTTAATATTGGTGTAACCCGGTCAAATAAATTTCCCAGACACCTGGAAATGACCTTGATAAACTTCACCCATTCCTGAGTGGAAAGTATTTATTTAAAAGTCTGATTTGTAGACTGTTTTGCACAATCGATTGTTGTATCAGAAGAGACAAAAGTGGTGCAAGCCCCCAAATCGAAATTGCTTAACATATTTATTTCTTATTCGTACGAAGTCTGGTACCAGTCCACGACTTTTCAGAGCAATTATGTACCCATGCTTAATATTCCTCCCACTCTCTGCCCAAGCCGCTAACCTGTCACAAGTGTCGTGGACCACATTGCCTCCATAGCTGATGCTTCGCAAGAGTCACCTGGATGGTCTTGCCTCTGCACTTCTATGCTTTGGCCAGGAATTCACATCACTTCCTCACATATCCCGTTGCCAAGACCTAGTCTTGTGACTTTGTTTAACTGCAAGTGGTTGAAAATTGCCTGCAAAGGGAGGAGAACTGTGTTTTGATGAAAACATGTAATATTTATTACCACAAGTTTAAATCCTAGTCTTTCTTTAGCCATTGGAGAGAGCTGGATCAAACTCTGTGCTGGAATGAAAGATGAGATGATTATTTAAAATCATTTATCTTTTGGTGGAAATACTATTTTTGAGAAGAAAGTGTTATTAACCGTAAATTACCACAGTGGGGTCACTTATTTCAAGTTGTAGGGCTAGTGGCTATAGTTGTGTTCAAAAGTGTCGATCCCAAGAGCACACTGCAAATAAACCACCAGCATGTTTATCTCCACTACAGAGTGTGCTTCTTAAGGAAATCGGACACCAGTGGTTCATTCTCAGTGTGTCTCAACTGTCTGAGTTCCTCTGGACTGAAAGGATGAGAAGTGATGCTTAAAAAAAGAATCAATGACGTATTACTTTTTTAATTTTTTTGTATTCTTACTTGTATATTGTGAAAATGCATGGGATACTTTGATACATGTATACAGTATGTAATGATCAAGTCAGGGTAATTGGGACATCCATCAACTCAGACATTTACCTATTCTTTGTGTTGAGAACATTGCCATCTTCTAGCTATTTTGAAATATACCATAAATTATTGTTAGTTATAATTTCCCTACTGTACTATCAAATACTAGAACTTACTCATAGTTACCTTGTGATTTGCTTGTTAAAAATAGTAGGACTCTGCAGGGTGTGGTGGTTCACACCTGTAATCTGAGCACTTTGGGAGGCCAAGGCGGGCGGATCACGAGGTCAGGAGATGGAGACCACCCTGGCCAACATGGTGATACCCCATCTCTACTAAAAATACAAAAACATTAGCCGGGCTTGGTGGCGGGCGTCTCTAGCAGCAGCTACTCAGGAGGCTGAGGCAGGAGAATCGCTTGAACCCGGGAGGCGGAGATTGCAGTGAGCCGAGATCGCGCCGTTGCACTCCAGGCTGACAACAGAATAAGACGCCGTCTCAAAAATAAAAATAACATTAAAAAGAAGTAGGGCTCATGAGAGTCATCTAATTTTCTAAAATTACTTTCGAAAGCAATTTTATAACAGAGCATTTTGTGAGCATACTGATTTGACCAGGAAAAGTTGAATAATCTAACAAATATCAGGAAAATATATTTAAAAGTTTAGTATTTGCCTATATGCATTATTTTCTGAGTAGCAACATAAAGGTTAAAAAACAGGATCTGGATTTCGTCTCCCATAAAATGTCAGTTCTTCATTGTCTAGAAAACATACTTGGTTTATGACAGCTTGGCATTTTGATTTTTTTTTTTTTAAATTTACCTGTTGCTGTCTCTTCTAAATTTATATATACCCTAGAGAGAAGTTTCTATTTTATGTGAAATTATCACTTTTTTCTAATCTATTGCTTCTCTGCTCCTTTTAATTTTAATGATATTTGGGCAAGATAATAATGTTATTCAGATAAATAGGTCATGTCCACAAATAGGTCATGTCTACAAACAGAAAATTTTATAATGAAATATTGTGTTAATATTGACATGAGAGAAAAAATGTCATACCTAACTTTTGTGGATTTAGCTGTAAGTCTACAAGGTGCCTTGGTATATAAACTTCCTGGGGACCTACACAAAGTTTTGAAACCTGTAATAAACTATTATCTGTAAAAGGTAAAAAGTCAAATCACAATGTAAATAAATAAACGTTTAATAACATGCCTATGAACACTATGGAAAATGACCTAACTTTAGTATTCAAAGACACTTCATTAACCTTGGAAATTTTATAGCTTGGATTTAAAATTTTATTTTTGTAAGAATTTCTTACTCTGTAGGACAATGGCTAAAAATTATAGTCAAAAGTAAGTTAAATGAGCTATTTAAGCCAAATAATTTCAAACTAAAGTGTCTGTCAAATACTTGTGCAATAAAAAATTATATGCATCATAGGGTATGATATGTTTTGATACATAGTAAGTAATCTGAACTTCCTTCTTGAGAAAATAGGCAAAGAAGAGCAAATTAAACTCAGCAAAGGAAGAAAGAAGGAAATATAAAAGTTCAGAGTGAAAATCAGTAAAATAGATGGTAGGTAAATGATAGAAAAAAAACTGAAACCAGCATCATAACAAAAAATTGTACACTATGGTCAAGAAGGATTTATCCCAGGAATTCAAAGTTGATTTAAAATCCAAAAATCAATTTCTATAATGCATTGTATTAATAGAATATAGAACAAAACCTATGTGATTATCTCAATAACTGCAGGAAAATTCCACATCCAACAAACTCCAAAACCCGTTAATGAAAATTGTCTCACACTAGTTTCTTATGGGAGCTTCCTAAACCTGCTGAAAGGCAGCAAATATCATATTTAATGGTAAAACTGGGAAGATAACAAAGACGTCCACCATCACAATATATATTTAAAATTGTATTGAATTTTATTGGAAGTGCATTTCAAAACTACAATGTGATACCAACTTATATCCATTAGGATGGCTGTCATTTAATACTAAAAAAAAGAAGAAATAACAAGCATTAGCAAGGATGTGAATAAGTTGGAACACTTGCGCACTCTTGGTGAGAATGTAAAATAGTATAGCTGCTGTAGGAAACAGGATGATTTCTCAAAAATTAAACAAAATTATCATATTATTAATCAGTTCCACTCTTGAGCATATAGCTAAAATAATTGAAAATAGGGCCTTGAAGAGATATGTACATACCTATATGCATGCCATTATTCATATTTGCTAAAAAGTGGAAGCCACTCAAGTGTCCACAGATACGTGAATGGGTAAGCAAAATAAAGTATATACATGCAATGGAATATTATTCAGTCTTAAAAAGGAAGAAAATTCTAACATATGCTATAACATAGATCAACCTTGAGGACATTATGTTAAATGAGACAGTCACAAAAGACACATATTGTATAATTCTATTTATATGAGGTACTTAGGGTAGTCAAAATCATAGAGAAAGACAGTAGAATGGTTGTTGCAGGGGCTGAAGTGAGGGGGAACTGGAAAGTTATTGTTTAATGGTGTAGAGTTTCAGTATTACAAGATGGAAGAGTTATGGAGATGGATGATATTGATGATTGTGCAACATTATGAATGTATTTAATGCCACTGGACTGTACACTTAAAATAGTTAAAATAATAAATTTTATGTCATGTGTATTTTAACTTAATAAAAGATAGGTGGAAAACTGAATTGGATTTTATAGTCAATTCAGTCCAGCAATAAAATTACTTTCATAATCTAATTTTTCAGATTGTTCATTGCTAGCACATAGATTTACAACTCATTTTTGTATATGAATCCTGTATCTTGAAAACTTGTTGAATTTATTTGTTAGTTCTCATAGGTTTGTGTAGATTCCTTAGAATTTTTCTATACATAAGATCATGTCATCTGTAAATACAGATAGCTTTACTTTTTATTTTCTAATCCGGATGTTTTTTATTTTATCTTCTCACCCCATTACTTTAGTAGTTTAGAATCTCCAGTACAATACTGGAGAAGTGGTTGAGAGCAGACATTCTTGTCTTATTCCTGAACTCAGGGAAAAGACATTGTCTTTCACCATTAAATAGGATAGTAGCTATAGGTTTTTTCTAAATGTCAGTTTTTCAGTTTCAGGGATTTTCTTTCTTTTACTTGTTTGTCAAAGACTTTTATAATGAAGAAGTGTTGAATTTGTCAAACACTTTTTCTGTATCTATTTACTTCGCTGTATGTTTTTTGTCCTTAATTCTATTAATATGGTGTATTATATTCATTGATGTTCAGATGTTAAATCAGCTTTACAATTTTGGGATAAACCTCACTTGGTCATATTATCTGATACTTTGTTTGCTGCTGAATTCATTTTGCTAATTTATGTTAAATATGTTTACATCTATATTTATAAAATTTTTTAGTCTGTAGTATTTTTTTGTTCTTATGTATTGCCTGGTTTAATATCTCTGCTTTGAGGTCAGGGTAATACTGGTCTTACAGGATGAGTTGGAAAGCATTCCTTTTTTTTTTTTCCTATGTTTTTTGGAAGAGTTTGTGACAAACTGATGCTATTCCTTCTTTAAATATTTGATGGAATTCACCAGTTAAGCCATACTCTTTTCTTTATGGGAAGTTTTTTCATTACTAATCAATCTCTTTACTTGTAATAGGTCTATTCTTATTTTCTGTTTTTTTCTTGAGTGAGTTTAGGTACTACGTATCTTTCTAGGAATTTGTCTATTTTATCTAGGTTATCTAATTTGTTGCCATGCAGTTGTTCATAGCATTCCCTTATAATCCTTTTTATTTCTATAAGATCAGTAATGATGTCCATTATTTATTTCCTAATTTTATCAATGTGAGTATTTTCCCATTTTTTTCTTGATTAGTGTGACTAAAGGCCTGTCAAATTTATTGGTCTTTTTAAAGGCTCATCTTTGGTTTCATTGATTTTCTTCACTGTTTTTCTAGTTTCTATTTCATTACTTTCATTCCGACTTTTATTATTTTCTTATATCTACTTTGTTTTTAATTTATTCTTCTTTTTCTAGTTTCTTAAGTTGAAAGTTTAGGTTTTATATCTATTAATTTGAGATTTTTCTTGTTTTGTGATCTAGGTGTTTACAACCACAAGACCTCTCTACCCACTGATTTAGCTGCAACCCAATAGTTTTGATGTGTTGTGTTTATATTTTCATTTATCTCAAATTATTTTACTTCTGTGATTTATTCTTTGACCCATTAGTTACTTAGAAGTGTGTTTTAAAATTTTCACATTATTTGTGAATTTCTCCACTTTTCTGCTATTGTTAATTTTTAATTTCATTCATGGTGGTTGAAGAAGATACTTTGTATAATTTCAGTTCTTTAAAATGCACTGAAACTTGTCTTATGGCCTAGCAAACAAACTATCCTGGAGAATGTTTCATGTGTATTTGAGAATGTGCCTTCTGCTTTTTTCAGGTGAAGTTTTTCTATCAGTATCTGTTACTAGTTAGTTTATGTTTTTCTTCAACTCTTCTATTTCTTTGTAATCTTCTGCCTAGTGATTCTATATATTATAGAAAGCAGGGTATGAAAATCTTCCTATCATTGAATTGTATATGTCTCCCTTCAATTATGTTATTATTTGCTTTTTGTATTTTGGGGCTATTTGTTAAACATGCATACAAGTTTATAATTATTGTGCTTTCCTGAAATATTGACCCTCTTATCACCATAATGCATCAATCTTTGGCTTTAGTCATATTTTTTTTTGGCTAAGTATATTTTGTATGATATTTTTAGAGCCATTCTGGCTCTCTTGGCATTTTATAGTGAATCTCTTTCCACTTTTTATGTTCATACTATTTGTGTTTTTAAATTTAAAAGGAGGGTTTTTTTGTGGCATATAGTTGGGTCACCTTTTAAAATCCATTTTGCCAATCTGCCTTTTTATTTGAGTGCATAATCTATTTACATTTAATCTAATTACTGATAAAGTCAGATTTACATTTCTTTTTTATTAAAGAAGCATTTTCCATTGTATCATTTTAGTTCCCTTATTTTTTACCACATTTTGAGATATTTTCTCGGTGGTTGCCTTGAAGATTACAATTAACATATTGATTTAAAACAAGTTATTTTGTTTTAATAGAACATTAATGCCAATATTATAGCAAAAACTTGCTCCAATATAGCTTTGTTTTTCTCCTTTTTCTTTCTGCTTTTGCTATATAAATTATATTTTTATATAAGTATAAAATATCATTTTATAATTATTTATTTATATAGCTTATTTTTAATCAAACGGGAGAAGAAAAGAGTTACAAACAAAAATACATTTATGTGTCTTGTGTTTACTTACATAGTTGCTTTACTGCTGCTCTTCATTTCTTCATGTAAATATGAGTTCTACCTATTGACCTTTCATGTCAGCCTAAAGGATAGCTTACAATGCTTTTTATATTAGGGCAAGTCTATTAGCAAATAATTCCTTTCTTTTTATTATTATCATTATTTTTAATCTGGGGATGTTTTAATTTATCCTTTATTTTTAAAGAATAGTTTTCTGGATATTTAATTCTTGGGTGATATTGTTTTTCTTTCAGCATTTTGAATATGCCCCATTGCTTTCTGGCCTCCATGGTCCCTGATAAGTCAGCTGTTAATCTTATTGAGGATCATTTGCATGTGATGAGTTGCTGATCTTTTGCTGATTTCAAGATTCTTTGTCTCTGACTTTCAACAGTTTGACTATGGTGCATTTTGACATAGTCTTTTTTAGTTTATTCAAGTTGAAGTTTGTTGAGTGAGCTTCTCTGTTGTGTTTATTAATGGTTTTCATCATATATTAAAAGTTTTAAAAGGATATTTTAAGCTAATATATAATATATTATGTATAATATATTATATACATTTTTATGATTATTACAATTAACATATATATGTTATATATTATATAATATACATATATTATATATTATATTATGTATATAATATATATAGTATATGTATATGTTATATATAATATATACATAATATAATTTCATTCATATATAATATTATATAATATAATTGCTCTTTTTAAAGGCTAATCTTTGGTTTCATTGATTTTCTTTACTGTGTTTCTAGTCTCTATTTCATTACTTTCTTTACTGTTTTTCTAGTCATATATTATATAATATATATTATATTATATACTAGATAGTTTATGTTTTTCTTCAACTCTTCTATTTCTTTGTAATCTTCTGCCTAGTGATTCTATATATTATAGAAAGCAGGGTATGAAAATCTTCCTATCATTGAATTTTATATGTCTCCCTTCAATTATGTTATTATTTGCTTTTTGTATTTTGGGGCTATTTGTTAAGCATACATACACGTTTATACTTATTGTGCTTTCCTGAAATATTGACCCTCTTATCACCATAATGCATCAATCTTTGGCTTTAGTCATATTTTTTTTTGGCTAAGTATATTTTGTATGATATTTTTAGAGCCATTCTGGCTCTCTTGGCATTTTATAGTGAATCTCTTTCCACTTTTTATGTTCATACTATTTGTGTTTTTAAATTTAAAAGGAGGGTTTTTTTTGTGGCATATAGTTGGGTCACACATATTATATATATTATATATGTGTGTGTGTATATATATATGTATATATATATATGTGTGTGTATATATATATATGTGTGTGTATATAGATATATATCCTTTTTTTCCTCTCTTTTCTTTTGGAACTCTTTTTATGTCTATACTGGTATGCTTAATTTTGTCCCACAGGCCTTATTTTCTATTTTTTCCCCCTGTTTTTCAGACTTGGCAATATCATTTCACTCACCTTCAAGTTTGGTGATTTTTATTTTCTTCTGCCATCTCAAATCTACAAATGGGAACCTTTAGTGAATTCTTCATTTTCTTTCAAATCCAGGATTCCTATTTAAGAAACAAATCTTATTTGCCTCTATATTAACATCCTCTGCTTTAGCTTTCACTTTTTGCTTGAACAAATACTTACAATCACCAGAGGTAAGAGATTAGGGCTTGATCCGGTTTTTCTTGAGCAGCCCTGCATATAAGCATGGCCTTCCAGGTCCTCAGGAATTTGTTAGAGCTTATCAAAACTCCCTATGGGCTTCTTATTCTCCAGATTGTCTTTTTAAGGTTTTTGGCCAGTCTGCTGTTTGCCTTAACTGGTATTACTGCCCTAGGCAGAAGAGATATTAAACAATTGCCACTGATCATTTTGACCAAATTCCCTTGCCATAAGCTTTTTTATTAAATGCACTCTGAGTCAGGGAAAATAAAAACATTTCAAGAAAATGGGACTTTCCAAGTGGCTACCAGACAGGTCAAATAAGTACAATTTTCTGGGGATGGGGTTTCTAGGGGACCTCTAAATTCATTCTGTCCTCTGCAGTGGCCGCTAGATGGCTCGTTTTCAAGGCTACTATGGAGCTGGTGAGTAGAAAATGGTAATGCAGAAAGTTAAAATGCCGCAAACTTGTAGTTTATACTGAAATGCAGTTGTTTTTCCTGAAAAATACTCCTAAGATTGTTACAAGTTTTCATTGCTCTCATTGGAGTGGGATTTCTGAGGTCCTTACTTCACCATTTTGGAAGTACTTATTATATTTTTAAGTGCTCTGGATTCATAATTATTCCATTTATTAATGGATTTCATTTCTTCTTGAATAAGTTCTACATAGAGTCCTCTGATTTAGCTTTCAAAGGTTGTTTCACAGCACCATTATTTCATACTGGGATTACTTTTCTTTGCATTCCCATTGCTGTTCTTTAATGCTTTCCTCTCCTAGATTACTTTTTGTGTGTCTTGGTGTTTCCTTTCTTCAAAATATACCTGGAGATCATTTTCCTGAGTTCTTACCTGCTCAAACAGGCCTTTATATTTTTATTAAACTTGGCTAATAACTTATCTCTTAAAGTATAAAATTTTTGATTCAAATTCCTTGGGTGAAAATTATCATTTGAGATAATACAATGAGTTTACTCTGAAAGTAAATATACACACACCTTTCCAAACATAGAAGTGATATGCATGTGTATGTGTGTGTATATATATAGTAGTGTGTACAATAAAAAAATCCAAACAAAGATGGACATTTCAACAGGACAGAAACTCAGAAAAGGTGGCGACAGCCAGAGGTGGTAAATTCATCATTGGAAAATGAAGGACATGTAAATACCCTAGAGAAGATATTGAACATGAGCTATTTTCATTGCTTGAAGCCTTTGACTGAATCAGAGCTGTCACTCCTATGAGAAAAGACTTAAAGAATAAGCTTGAGCATTTAGAGGGCTTCAGTTAATATGGTTGCTTAGTTGCTGCCTGGACTGCCAGGAGAAGACAGAGAGAGCCTCTCAACAAGAAGCTAGAGTAAGCCAACTGCAGTATGATTTGAAAAACTCAGTATTCCCCCAGGAAGAGTAATCATGACCATATAAGTCACTTTTCTGATGGGAGCCCTTGGGAATTGTGTGGAAACCATAAAAACCCTGCTATTCTCTCTTGAGAGAAAAAATCATAATGCTGAAGAAAAGCTTTAAGACGAAACTATCACAGTAAATGAGAAAATGATATGCCAACCAACAAACTCAAGTCACTAAAATAATAGTTGCTTAGAAAAAGCAAGTCATCGGGCAAGCTAAAAAATTAATAAAAGATTTCAAGTAGTTGGAACTGGAGCTCTGCAGGGCCAGATCCCCAGCTGCAGGGCCTAGAGGCAGTGGTGATACTAGCAATGGTGGTGGTAGTCTCCTGATGGAGCAGCCAGGCCCAGATCATGCTGTGCTGGTTCACCACCGTCATCCTGTTGGCTGCCTTCCCAGGGCTGGGAATGAGTGTTGCTTTACTGGGACCCACATTTCAATATTTTGCCACAAGTTTGAACCAAAATATTAGTCATCTTCCTTTAATTTTTGTGGGCCCTACCTTTGAGTGGCTCTGTGATTGGTGGAGTTCTTTTTGACATCATGATTTTTTTTTTTTTTTTTTTTTTTTTTTACTTTTGAAAGTGTCAGTGTTGGCTACCACAGTTTGTCTTTATCTTGTTTATTTTTTCAAGACAGCTCTATTACTGATTGTCATGATGTCTATCTTTGGTACTTCAATTTGCATTCTGGATACAGGTGGTGATGTCCCTATCTTGGCTGTTTGAAGAACATAGGATCTCCACATATGTAGGCATATTACACTTCTGTTTTGCCTTGGGTGCCTTTTTGGCTCCACTGCTAGCTAAACTGGCATTGGGTACGAGAGTGTCTGTGAAAACCACGCAGTCTGACTTTCACCATCCTGCACTGACGCTGACTCAGAATCTCTGTTTGGAGGACCTGAAGTTATGTGTTTACTGTGGTCTTATGCTCTGAACAGTACTTATATTTTTGTAGGTCCTATCTTTGTTTTTGCTCTGTTTTTAAAGATAAGCTCAAGGTGAGGAAAAGCAAAAGCATCTGCTCAGACATCTCAAAGAACTAAATATCACAATGCCATTTTTTGTCTCCTTTTTCTGTTCTTCATTTCTTATGTTGGAGCTGAGGT
This sequence comes from Homo sapiens, assembly GCF_000001405.40. Taxonomy (NCBI): domain Eukaryota; kingdom Metazoa; phylum Chordata; class Mammalia; order Primates; family Hominidae; genus Homo; species Homo sapiens. The sequence goes on along the minus strand of NC_000005.10, from coordinate 52,580,372 downwards.
AACATATAGCTCCTACATTTTCTCATGTGCAGCCATTCACGCTATTGTGAAATAAAGTGAGGCTACTGGGTTGAACTCCATCTTCTGGGGGACCTTTATGTCCTTCAGGGGACTGGTAATGTTTTTTGCTACATTTTACATCCTGGAACCATGATTGTGTCAAGCAAGATTGGCAGCCTGCCTTCATCTTTATATCTTGTGCTTTTTGGCAAGAGCCTGGTTTGTCTTTGTATAGTAATTCCAGTGTATGGGGCCCTGATGGAAACTACATTTTCCAGTGGTGCTTCTTAGATTGCACAGTACATGATCACACATGAGAAATTTGCAGCATTTTTTGTAATCAGTGCTGTCCTAGAAGAAGTGGCTACTTCTGTAGAAATTGGATTTTTTCCAAAGAAAATACCCTGATTTGCCTGTAGTTCTGTATACATCTGTTTGGGCGTATTGATAGCCACTGGTGTTTTATTTCCTGGGATGTATGAATTAGCCACTTCACCTCTTAATCACCAGAGAAAAGTAAACAGAAAGAGTGAGGTCCAGATACTTTTGCTCTCCAGGTCTGGGCTAAATGACTATGAGGAAGAGAAATGAAGAGGAAGATGCAGAAAAATTGAATGAAATCCATTTTGAAGTGACTGAAATGAATGATAAAATGAAACATTCTAATAGGTACATCTAGAGATATTTTGATAGAGGCCACAGCTGAAGTCTCTGACCAATCCCTCTCAAACGTTTTGGTGTTTGAGTCCTCCTTGGTTAATACTGGCAACTCCCCTGTGAGGCACTTGTCAGAAACCGGGATAACAGGAACTGTTAGTTAGAGAAGATGGATTACTCATTGACATCCTTGAATAATCACCACTTCTAATGAGGCCATTCGGAGGAGAGCATTAGCAGCTTTTCAAATGCTTTGGGGATCAAAATTTCTAGATCCAATGATAGCAAAAGCTAAAAAATTGTAAAATGTTCCATAATTCCCAGAGTCTTCCATAAATAACCAAATGGTGTCATACATGTACAATAGGATCTTGTTATTAGGCTAGTGTTTGGCATGTGGCTGATTAGGAAATATTTTATGGTCTTCATCTCTCAGAGCATGCAAATAAGGCATTTGTTTTTGAGAAGCTGGGTATTGTTTTCATAAGTCACTTATTGAGGGGTAATTCTTGTGTAAGATAAAGGAGAGAGTAAGCAATAGTAATCAGTGCAAACCTTCAGATACAGGTCTATGAAAGAGGAGGGGGCAGGAAGAAGGACTGTATAGAAAGTGTCTTAAACTGAGGTATAGCTGGTATTATGTCTCAGCAAACCTAATAGGAAATTCTAGCATAAAATTGCCTGTAGAGGAGTCCTGTTATGATCAGAAATGGTTACACAATAGATGCCCCATGTTGCCTATTCATTGGTTATGAGCTTTCCAGGAAGAACACCAAATCCTAAAGATACCTGCAGGCAGAGAGGTTCAGCTCATTGCACATCCTGCAACAAATTCCCTCTTAAAGACGGAGCAGATTATATACAGAAAATATGAACGCAAACAAGTAGAAATTAAATAAGTTTATATGCATTTGAAATTAATCAATATGTAATCCTAAATATGAAAAATATAGCATTTTAAATAATATAAACAAGTGAAAGAGACTCTCTAGATTGGATGCAGGTGAATAAAGAATATGTAACTAGAAAAGGTATTGCATAATTAACCACGTAAAAATGTATAAAAATACATTAGAAAATAAGAAAAAACTTACCAAGTTTCCACCTAGAGATGATAAAAAGTAGAGCCAATGGAACCAAAGACGTTGAAAATAATAAAGATAATAATAGAAATCAATGAATTTTAAAACAGGAAAATAACAAAGAAAATCAATAAAAATAAAAAGCTGGTTAGTCACTAAAATCACTAAAATTGATAAACTACTAGCAAGGCTGAAAGAAAAAGAGATAAAATACAGATCATCAATATTAGGAATGAGACAAAAGATATCACTACAGATTCCTTTCCATAAGGAAAAATGGGAATATTAGCAAGAACTTTATCCTCATAAATTCAACAACTTAGAAGAAATGGACCAATTTCTTGAAAATAAAAACCATCTAATACTTATTCCAATATATCTCAGTGTTAAATGCAAAAATTCTCAACACTTTATTAGAAAATTAAATTTCACAATGTATAAATATGATTATACCCAATGACCAAATGAGATTTATTCCAGCTAGGTGAGCTAATTTAATATTCATAAATCAACAAATACTTTCTATCATATCAACATGCTAAATATGATCATGTCAATTGACAGAGAAAAAGTAATCACAAAATCTAACACCTGCTCATGGTAAAACCTCTTAGAAAGTTCACAACAGAAAGAACTATGCTAACCTGATAAAAGAACATCTACAAAAATATCTAAATTTAGCATCATACACTTATTTTTCTTTTTTCCAGAGATGGGGTATCATTCTGTCATCCAATCCTAAGCACAGTGACACAATAGCTCATATCAGCCTTGAATTCCTGGGCTCAAGCAATCCTCCTGCCTCAACCTCCCAAGTAGGTGGAATTACAGGCACAAGCCACCACACTCTGCTTAACATCATACTTAATAGGCTGAATGCTTTCCCTGTAAAATCAGGAACAGGCAAGGGTACCCACTCTCAGCACTCTTACGCAACATAGGACTAGAAGTTCCAGATATTGTAATTAGGCAAGAAAAATGAAAAACGTACAGATTGGAACAGAAGAAATAAAATTGTATTTGCATATTTCATGATATTCTACAAGAAAATCCCAAGAAAGCTAAAAACCAAAACTTCTAGATCTCATATATTCAGCAAGGCCACAGAAAATAAGAATCAACATATACAAAATAAGATCAAAATATACAAAATCATATACTTTACTTTATACTTTATACTTTAATGAATATGTTGGAACCAAAAATAAAAACAGTACTATCTATAATCACTTCAAGGAAAATAAATATCCTCATGTATAAGCTCAATAAAACATGTATAGGATCTCTGTGTTGAAAATTACAAGTTGATTCTGAAAGAAATGAAAGAAGATTTAAATAAATTGGGAGACACACTATTTTATGGATTGGAAGACTTAAAACAATAAAGATGTCAATTGTCCCCAAGTTGATCTATAGGGTTAATGCAATTCCTATAAAAATCCTAAGAATATTTTGTGTAGACATAGACACATTTATTCTAAAATTTATATGGAAAGACATAGGTCCCATAATAGCTGGACAAAGAAAAAATTGGGAGGAATCACTCTACCCTACTTTAAATCTTAGCATTAAATAATTAATTATTAATTAATTAAATAATCCTACATTAAATGATATAGTATGGTGTTAGCTTTGGCAGATGGTTAGACACATAGATCAATGGAAAAAAAAGAGAGAACCCAAACTCATACATATATGCCCAACTGATTTTTGATAAAGGTAAAATGAAAAAAACAAAGCAAAACAAATTAATCGAGAAAAAAAAGCTTTTTCTACAATTGGTACTGGAACATTTGAATATCCGTAGACCAAAATAATAAACCTTACCCTAAATTTCCCACTTTGCACAAAAATTAACTCAAAATAGAGCACGGACTTATATGTGGAACAAAAAACTACCAAACTTTTTAAGGAAAAAAAGGGGAAAATGTTCAGGATCTAGAGCTTGGGGCTACTTGATGAAAGCACAGTCTATAAAAGAAAAAGGTGATAGTTTACATATATCTCATTCAAATTAGAGAATTTTTCTTTACAAAAGACGTATGAGGGTGACAAGAAGAAAATATTTGCAAATCATTAGCACCAAAAATACATTAAAAATTCTCAAAATTCAACAGTAAAACAAACAATCCATTAGAATATGAATAAAATACATATATAGACACTTTACCAAAGAGAATATATGGATGGCAAATAAGCACATGAAAAGATCTATTCACCATCATAAGACACGAGGAAAATGAAAATTAAAACCACGTGAGCTATCACTGACACCTATCAAACTGAATAAAACCAAAAATAGTGATAATCAAATGATTGTGTGGATGAAGAGAAAGTGGATCATTTCCATTTCTTATGAAAGTGAGTAGTGTTACAGCCACTCTGCAGAACTATTTTTCAATTTTTTAGAAAACTGAACAAGCAACATACATTTGGCTCAGCAACTGCACTTTTGAGGATTTATCCCAGATACATGTCAACCTTATTGTCACAGAAACCTGTACACAACTTCATTCACAGTCAAAAACTGGAAAACGTTAAGCTGCCTTGAATTGGTAAATAGTTAAACAAATGATGATACATCCATACCATGGAATACTACTCAGCATAAAAGGGAATGAACTGTTATACATCCAACAAGTTGGGAATTCTGCTGAGTGAAAAAAGACGGTCCCAATACATTACATGTTGTGCAAATCCAGTTTATAAACATTCTTGAAATGACAGAATAACAGAAATGAAGAATAGATTAATGGTTACCAGGGGTTAAGGAGAAGAGTGGTTTCAGGTCGGGGGAAGGGAGATCATTGTGGCTATACAAAGGCAACAGGAAGGGTCTTTCTGATGATAGAACAGTTTTATATCTGGACTCTATCAATGTCAGTATCCTGGTTATGTTATTGTACTATAGTTTTGCATGATATTACCGTTGGAATTACTTGGTAGATGTTCCATGGCTCCTGTCTGTATTATTCTGTTATAATAGCATGCAAATCTATAATTTATCAACAGGAAAAGTTAAAAAAAAAAAGCAACAGGGAGAATTGAGTAGATAACCAGGATTTCCAGAAGAGATTTTAGAAAACGGTAAAGAAACATTATTAGAAAAAGAATAGTGGCTTAGAATTTTCCAGATCTGAAAATAGAAACGAGTCTTTTGACTGAAGAAATCTAGTTATTTGCAATATGGATGAAGACTAATGAATACAAATCTAAAACTTCACAATTTCAAGGATATAGTAAAATTTCAGATTTCAAACTTAGACAAAATCTTAGTTCCTGAGAGCAAAGGCAGATGAGGTAGAACTGAATATCCCTTATGCTGAAGGTTGCCTTCTCAACACCAGCATTTGACTGGCAGACATATGCAACTGGATGCCTTTGTTTTGGGGCTAAGGGAAGAAGATGGTTTAGTATGTAGACTTTCACTTAATTATTTTGTTTTCAGTAAAGCACCAGAGGCTTCAGCTCTGCCTGGTGCCCCTGAACCACAAGTCCTGAGTTCCTGTGCTTGACTCTGGAATGTAAACTTCCAAAGTTTGTATTGCAGGAAGAGTAGAAAAGAGGGAGGTAGGGACAGGCTAAACTGCATGGAGTTAAAAATCTGAGATTATTTACTGGCCATCTTAGTTTTTGCGTTGCTATAAAGGAATACCTGAGACTTGGTACTTTATAAAGAAAAGAGGTTTATTTGGCTCTTATTTCTGCAGGCTGTGCAAGCATGGTATCAATATCTGCCTCTGGAGAGCCTCAGGCTGCTTCTACTAATGGTGGAAGGAGAAGGGGAGCCATTGTGTAGAGATCACATGACAAGAGTGTGTGTGTGTGCGCACGCATGCGTCACATAGAGAATGAGATAGAGAGACAGAGAGAGAAAGGAGGTGCCAGGCTGTTTCTAACAGCCAATTTTCATGGTAACCAACAGAGAGAACTTACTCTTTTCCGTGAGCATAGCACTAAGCCATTCATGAGAGATATACCCCTATGACCCAAAACAGCTCCCTTTAGGCCCCAACTCCAACACTGAGAATCCAATTTTAACCTCAGTTTTGGAGGGTCCAATATCCAAATTATGATACCTGCTTTTAAAATGTATTTACACCCAATGTTCATTTTTTAGCCTAACCTTCAACCTGACATTGCTGACAGTTCCTGAGCCTTGGGGGTTCTGGAATACAGAAAGACTGCTTCTGTCCCCTCCTATTGCTTGCTTAGGTATTGGATCTTTTAAATCTGTCACAGCCCATGCATGGCATTTTCCAACTTCTAAATTGTTTTTTTGTTGTTGTCTTCTTTTATTGTCTTTGAGAGTTCATGTCTAATAAAGTCCCATCACTATCATTTTAGTGGCATTTGACAAGAATTAGATTTACTTTCTGAGCAATTCTCCAACCATGCTCAAGCTATAATTCACTTAAACAATTATGGTGATCACTTAAAAGGTCTAGAAACTCTTCCTTTTCTCTGGTTGCTTCCTTTCCCACAGCAGCCTGTTCTTTTTTGGATGCACTATCCTTACCTATCTCTTTGAGGTTATCAGTTTAAAACATTTCTAAAGTTATGACCCTTTTTTTGTATTTTATCTATTTCCTCTGCTGTCAGTGGTTTATCTCTTTCACTTATTGGTTTGTCCTCAGATGCAATTGTAAGTTTATTGTCCTTTTTCCTTTCTTATTTTCTACTTTCCTTTTGATTTGTTTTTTCTTTATAAGTTTTAAAAAATAAGGTAGGAAGGGTTTGCTAGTTAGCACAAGTAGCAGGTGGAAGATCTGTTTACTTAGAATGCCATTCTCCCAAAGAGGAAGGCTACAGTGGATATCTATGAAGTGGATGGTTACTGTTGATGATAAAGAATAGACAGACTTGCTCAAAATACAGAGAGCTCTGCTCTGGGTTAGAGGACCTAAGAGTTATCATAGGTATACTCTGCCTCTCTCATCAGGCACAACACACATAATGTTTCAGTAAGAATAAATGCAATAATTTTCCTGCTAGCAAAAGAGGAAGAGCACCTTACCTAGTCCTTCTTGAAACAATTCTTTAACTAACCATCATCACTGATGCCCAACAAATAATTTTGGCTCCATATTTGCCAACTTAAAATTTGGATATTTTCAAGGTCAGTCCAGGGTAGAATTTATTTAGGGAGAAGTCTTCTGCCGAGTGTGTTCCCTAATGTTCCCTTTATTTTTATGTTACTTCTAAGTAGAAGTGGAATAACTTTATACATTATTCAGAAATGTGTAAAAAGTTCTGGTTTGCTAATTAAAAAGATAATTTTATTTTCATTTTGATAAGATTAGGGGGTGGAGCGTGAAGCAAGCTCATATCCTCAAACCTCCATCATGAATCAGAAATTATTTCCTTTTTTTTTAATTTTGCAAATCCTACTCATCCTTGAGGATATAGCTCAGATTACATCTCTATGAAGTGTTCCCTGATCTTCCCACACTGAATTAGGGTTGCTATTGCTGTTGCTGCACAACTTGGTTACATTCTGTTACTTGACACTTGGTCTAGGAACTTGTCTCTATGTATCTTTCTTGCTTCTTCACTTGAGAGCTTTTGGAAGGTATAGACTGTACTGTATTCATTCCTAAATACTCAATGTTTAACACCATTCCTATTGTAAGATTTATGAAATGAATCCATGACAACAGAATAGCCAAAATCCTGTGTCTTAAACTTCTGCCTTACCTAGGCAAGGCAAATATAAATCATTTATTTGTTTTCTAGGGATTCTGTGTACCTTTTGAAAGCTATTTAGTGTATGAATATCTGCAAAGCTACTTATTTCATTTCTAGCAGAGTGTACTGTGTGCATATGTATGTGTGCATGTGGTTTTATCTGTAAAACATCTATAATATGAAAAGCTAAACTTCTATTTGGACAGAGTATCTGTGATATCATTACTGATTCACAATAACCAATCGGCTTTTTAAAGAACATTTCAGCAAAGTTATAGTACAACATTAAAATACATGATTTTGTGATTTGGCAAATCACTCTGAGAAACTTTTCCTTATTTATGAACACCTTTTATAGACTTAAATCTATTTCATGCATGTTTATTAATATTTTTACCATGAAACACAATTAAAATTCTAAATATGATTCAATGTGCAATAAGTTTAAAATGGTTCTATCCCTTTGCTCAAAAATGTTAATCTCAACTCTAAATGTTATTGTTGCACTTGGTGCATGTGCACCTATCACCTAAACTGTGATTTATCCAGCTAAAAAAGCTTCTTGTAGATAATTTAGCTTGGAAAATTTTTTGTTTTCTTAATGATCATACAAAGTATAACACGCTTGTTCCAATTTTCAATTATATGGTATATGAAATCACTATCCCCAATCTATAATTCAATAGTATATTTAAAGTAAGTGAGTTTAGATAAATGGATCATCTAACTTATGATTAGGTTAGTGAACAAAATTAAAACTTCTATTCACAAACACTAGAATACATTCTGCAAATAATGTAGGTATTCCAAACAACTTCAGCTTTCGAACTTATGCATACATTTGAACTTTCCCTTCTAAAGGGCTTAATAGACCGTCTAAGGCTTTCTAAATTATATAGCATTTGATGTGAATTTGAGTGACCCTTCAATCCAAGAATTGTAGACAATAAAAATGTCTATTGATTGGCAGATGATATAATGATTCTTTTACTACCAACTCCTAGAAACTGTCTTGGAGAAGGGTTATGATAAAAATCGTGGCCTGGGCATATGATCTGAGAGGATAGTTAATGCTTCAGTCAGAGTCCAAATCAAAACCTAATGACTCTTTTTTACAGGACCTATGTAGGAAGGCTGGTTAATATTATAAGTCATGACCTAGTAATCATTATTGTATATTTTCCAGTAGACGTTTTTGAGTTTGTTTCTTTCTAAATAGACATGCTTCTCCTGATTTTCATCCCATCTACAAATAATCTGAAATCTCAGATTTGGTGCCTTTGCAGTCTCACATGTGTTTGCTAAACTCTTTTCCAATCTGTAGAAATAAACCATAACTATCCAGGGTTTTTATCTTTCACATTCATTGATCACTTCCTTCATTTCTAAAGAAACCAAGGAAAGTATGAAAGTAGATAAAATTTTGTGTTCTCCTAGTCACTAAGTAGCTACTATTTCACCCATACTTTTCTAGATTGGTTCAGTTTTAGGTAGTTTGTGAATCTGAATGTCTAATGGCTATTGATTTAAGGAAGAGTGGAGGAGAATTCAGAGGGAATTTTTTCTCTTTCATATTCATGGGATGTGCATTTGGCACATAATCACCTGGATTCTGGTCCTCAGTTTGAGTAACATTACAGGAGGCCTTCAGGGCCCAATCTGTTAGGAAATGTTATTTGAAAATGGATGAAAGTTCACTCTGCCTCCTCAGCTGCTTCAAAAGCACAATTGTGCATTTTTTTCCCATCCTCCACCTATCAAAATGCTACTCATTCTTCAAGTCCCGGCTCAGATATTACCTCTGTGTCACCTTCATGGAAATAAAGATAGTTAATCAGTCCCTGCACTCTACTGTTATTAAATTTAAAGAAAATCTCTGCTTCATAAAAAGTCAAGAAGAGCTGAGAAAATCTTGAAGAAGAATAACAAAGCTTCTGTTCCTATACCTTACACCACCAGACAACACGATCTTTTGTAAAGTTATAGTGATTAAGACAGTATGGTATTGATGTAAGGTCAGACAAATAGACAAATGGAATAAATTTGGAACTGAGAAACATACATTCACAAAACTGGGCACCTGGTTTATAATAAAGGTGACATTGCAGGGAAAGGATAGTATTTTCAAAAAATGTTACTGGTTCGATTGAATATTGACATTAAATAAATCAATCTTGATCTTAAACTATATTAAAAAATATATTCCTAACTAAATATAAAAGTTTTTTAAACTAAGCTTTTAGAAGAAAGGTAAAATACCTTCATGACCTTTGGGTTAGACAAATGTTTATTAAATAAGACTTAAAGAGTGCTAACCATAAAGGAAATATTTGATAAATTGGACAAAATAAAACTAAGAATTTCTTAGTTAATAATTAATTCATTAAAAGACATCATTAAGAGACTGAAAGAGCAAGTCACCCTGTTGAAAGATTTATCTAAAATATATATTTGGCAGAGGACTCATATTCAATACACGATATAAATAACTTCTGAAAATCAACAGGAACAAGGCCAGAGAAGAACATAGAAAACACCATGGGCAAAAGAGCTGAACATGTACTCATAAAAGAGGCTAACTAAATGACCAATTAACATATTTAAAATTGTTCAACATCATTAATCATCTGGAAAATGCAAATTAAAACATCAATTAACATGCTACTATATACCAGAATGCTTAAAATGAAAATCATCAGTGAAAACAAGTGTTATTGATGATGTGAAGTTATTGGAACTCCAATAAACTGCTGATGGAATTGTAAATTGATATAAACTCTTTAAAAAATATTTGGCAACATCTATTACAGATAAACATATGTGGACTTGTTGCAAATCCCTTTTTACATATATATCCAACAAAAATACACAGGATGTTCACCAAAAGATACGAACAAGAATTCTTATAGTATTACAACTCATAATGGCCCCAAACTTGAAACAACTCAATTTCCATCTATAGTAAAATACATAAATAAAGTATGATGTATTCATTTAATGAAATACTATACAGCCTTGTAGTAATTCAGAGATGGACTGAATTGCAACTACTTACCAATGATGAATCTTAAAAGCAGATGAATCTTAAAAGCTGAATGACATAATTGTATTTTTAGAAAATCCCATCGTCTCAGTCCAAAATCTCCTTAAGCTGAGAAGCAATTTCAGCAAAGTCTCAGGATACAAAATCAATGAGCATAACCCATAAGCATACGTATACACCAATAATAGACAGACAGAAAGCCAAATCACCAGTGAACTCCCATTCACAATTGCTACCAAAACAAAAAATACCTAGGAATAAAACTTACAAGGAATGTGAAGGACCTCTTCAAGGAGAACTACAAACCACTCCTCGAGGAAATAAGAGAGGACACAAACAAATGGAAAAATATTCCATGAGCATGGATAGGAAGAATCAATATAGTGAAAATGGCCATACTGCCCAAAGTAATTTATAGACTTAATGCTATTCTTATCAAGCTACAATTGACTTTCCTCATAGAATTGGAAAAAAACTACTCTAAATTTTATATGGTACAAAAAAAGAGCCCACATACCCAAGATAATCCTAAGCAAGAAGAACAATGCTGGAGGCATCACACTATCTGACTTCAAAGTATACTACAAGGCTACAGTAACCAAAACAGCATGGTACTGGTACCAAAAAAATATATAGATGAATGGAACAGAACAGAGGCCTCAAATAATACCACACATCTACAACCAACTGATCTTTGACAAACCTGACAGACACAAACAATGGAGAAAGGATTCCCTATTTAATAAATGGTGTTGGGAAATCTGGCTAGCCATATGCTGAAAACTGAAACTGGAGCCCCTTCCTTACACCTTCTACAAAAATTAACTCAAGATGAATTAAAGACTTAAATTTAAGACCTAAAACCATAAAAACCCTAGAAGAAAACCTAGGCAATACCATTCAGGACATAGACATGGGCAAATACTTAATGACTAAAACACCAAAAGCAATGGCAACAAAAGCCAAAATTGACAAATGGGATCTAATTAAACTAAAGAGCTTCTGCACAGCAAAAGAAACTACCATCAGAGTGAACAGGCAGCCTACAGAATGGGAGAAAATTTTTGCAATCTATCCATCTGACAAAGGGCTAATATCCAGAATCTACAAGGAACTTAAACAAATCTACAAGAAAAAAACAAACAACCCCATTAAAAAGTAGGCAAAGGATATGAACAGACACTTTTCAAAAGAAGACAGACATTTATGCATCTGACAAACATGTGGAAAAAAGCTGATTATCACTGGTCATTCCAGAAATTCAAATCAAAACCGCAATTAGATACCATCTCATGCCAGTTAGAATGGCTATCATTAAAAAGTCAGGAAACAACGCATGCTGGAGAGGATGTGAAGAAATAAGAAAGCTTTTACACCGTTGGTGGGAGCATAAATTAGTTCAAACATTGTGGAAGACAGTGTGGCAATTCCTTAAGTATCCAGAACTAGAAACACCATTTGTCCCAGCAATCCCATTACTGGGTATATACCCAAAGGATTATAAATCATTCTACTATAAAGACACATGCACATGTATGCTTATTGTAGTACTATTCACAGTAGCAAAGGCTTGGAACCAACTCAAATGTCCATCAATGTTAGACTGGATAAAGAAAATGTGGCACATATACATCATGGAATACTGTGCAGCCGTAAAAAAGAATGAGCTCATGTCCTTTACAGGGACATGGATGAAGTTGGAAACCATCATTCTCAGCAAACACACAGGAACAGAAAACCAAACTTTGTATGTTCTCACTCATAAATGGGAGTTGAACAATAAGAACATATGGGCACAGGGAGGGGAGCATCACACACAGGGGCCTGTCGGGGGGTGGGAGTTAAGGGGAGGGATAGCATTAGGATAAATACCTAATGTAGGTGATGGGTTGGTGGGTGCAGCAAACCACCATGGCACATGTATACCTCTGAAAGAAACCTGCACGTTCTGCACATGTATCCCAGAACTTAAAGTACAGTAAACAAAAGCATTGTTGACTACTCAATTGGCATCATTACATAAATTCAAGTTAGTGAAAAGAGAATAATTCTTCACCTTGTGATGAATAAATCAGTCAGGCCATCTCACAACTTTACGGAGTTGAAAATTCCTATCAAATTCCCCATTCTCAGCATTTATGAATGTAAGGGTTCTTCAATCAGTCTTTAGATAGATAAATTGACCAAAATCTAGCACTAAACTAATAGATAAGTTCAAGGCACAAACAGCTTACATTAAATTACAAGTGGCTGATTGATTATTATTTGATGACTAGGACAGTTTTCCCTCAAAAAAATGTTTTATGAAAACATACTATGCCATAAGGAAGCAATTTATGCTATGAAGAAATCATAGGCCACATGATTGTTCTAGGATATATTATCAGCAATTATGTTAAATGTATTTCACATTAAATAGATAAAATTATTATTTATTGGTGTTTTTCTTCCCAATAGTTAATAGTAGTCTATTTATCACCATTAATAAATGGTTCGTTTTTTATTGACTAAAATTAATCAATGACTAATAACTAGTAATTAATAGTATTTAATTGTTATTTGATGATAGATAAGTTTTTTTCAGACAAAAATGAACCCTTTATGAAGATATGCCACTTGAAAAAAATGGATATATCTCAAATCTCAAAGATTATACAAATTTCTGGTAAAAATTGATTAGCAATTACATTAAATGCATTTCACATTAAGAAGCTAAGTAGCATGATTACTTGTCTTTTCATATGCCAATTATTTTCCCATGAGAAGTGTCACTTGGTTAGTCATAGAAGAGAACTATTTATAAAAAGATAACTTTGATAAGTAGACTGAAGACACATGGCACATAATAGGGTCATATGGACCCCTTTGAAGCTGGTTTTTCAGGCCAGAGTTGTTGTTAACCCTAGTTAACTCATCCAAATTACCAAGAAATTAGGGGACAGATCTGGGTTCGTGAAACCTTATAATCTTCCTCCTAGTGTTTGGGCCATGAACAGGAGTGTGGACCTGGGAGGTATTTTCTATCTCTAAGTAACTGAGGCTGGTAGACTTTACTCCTAAGTGGTGTTCTAATTTCAAGAATTTTCACGGACAAAGCCATGTTCAATGGTTTGGCAAGTCAATATCTACCACTGTGGCAGTAGGCACTACTCACCTTCCACCACTCCTGAAGATCATGTCATCCTAGGAACAACCTCCATGTAGATAGAAAACAGAAGAGTACATAAAGAAAATGGTGCTGTCCAATATTCAGTCATCTGTAACCCATACCTCCCTTTGGGTCTTCACACAGTTCTAGGTGAAAACGCCTGACCCTGCTTCCTCCAAGAAGCACCGTACATCTCCACCAAGACCACTGCTCCATTTTTTACTCCACTCTGCCTTACTATTTTCCCGTTCAGTTCCATTTCCTAGAATATATGACTTCCCAGAGTAGATTTTCTAACATAGAAGAAGAGGAGTTGCCTTCAAATCTTAAGGGTGCCATAGTAACTGATTTGTACTCAAGAGCCTTAGATTTCTCCAGTGGGATCACTCACTGTTTGAAACCCCAAACAAGGCCATTTTCAATGAATACATACACACGAAATCATAGCAAAGTTTCTTTAGTTCTTTACCTCCCAAGCAGACTTTTTCATGTGCTACACGTGAAAAGAAAAAAATAGATTCTTCACATCTGCCAACACGACTGGGAAATATTTAGGGATATTTACTTGTAATCTTTTGTTATTGTATTTCCCTTTTTGCTTTGCCCTCAGTCAAGCAGGCTCTTGCATCCCATGTGAGTAGTATAGGGGTGATTAATGTGTGAGTGTGTTGGGGAGGACACCATAGCTAGTCCACAAGCCTCCCTCCTCACCGTCCCTCCTTCTTTAACTTGGGCTTTCAAAGCCAAATGCCTTAGGAAAACTGAGAGGGTTTGTGTAGGAGGTGAAAGAAAGGAGGTGAAAGAAAGGAGGTGAATAGGTATAGAGAGTACTTTGGAGAAGCTTTCCAAGAAATGGAGGAGATGAAAGCTTTAACTCACACTAGACTGAGATTCTTCTGGGCTATGAGCTGTGAGAGACCATTGGAGAGGATATAGTTTGTAAATCCTGAAAACGTATGAGAATCAGCTTTGTCTTTTGGCAGCTTAGTGAGTAGGCAGCAGAACTTCAGGAAAATGGCCATCTTGGCAAGGATGTCTGTGTTCTCACTGTGGCATTAAAGTATTAAAACCTGTTGACTTTAATGTGGCCATGATAATGGAGACAGAGGGTGTTTCAGCAGATAGAGGATGAACTAATGTGCAAAGGATTCTCTCGCACATAGATGCCTTAACACCGAAGATTCTAGAACCCGGACAGGACTCTGAGGAGGAGTGATGATGAATAAGGCTTTGCAAGCCAGAAATTAATTAAGTTATAGAAAATAATTTGCTGTTTCTTACTCAATAATTAGCTTGGTTTCTACATGTTAGACACCTGGACCCTCTACCAGCCCTCACAGATCTTCTTCTGGATCAGCTGCAGAGTTTGCGAGTGTTCTTGAAACTGGCCATTTGGGCAGTAACATAACCTCCCTTAAAATATGAATGTGTGGAATGGGAAACATCAATCAGGTACTCTACGAATATAGCAGTTTCTAGACCCAAAGAAAATCACACTCAATTATCTCAACTAATTGCTGAGATTTCCTGTAACAGCCTTGCTCTTTGCCTAACCAGGATACTCCCATTCACAACAATAGTTTCTACTATTTTACCTAAACCTCCAGCACCACTGCTATGTAACTGTGAGGACTGAATTTTGCTTCAGGTAATAGAATACTCTAACAACAAGAGCTTAGACCATATAAACATTTAATTATTGTAAGTAACAAGAGGTGTGATAGTAGAGGATGGTTGTAGCAGCTCAGTGATGTTACATGATCCAAGCTTTTCTGTCTTTTCACTTTGTCCTACTCAGAGGATCAGAAATGTCCCTGCTCACAGCCACAGTGGTAGCCAGAATTCTAAGCCTTATCTTATCTAAACCTCCCACAGCAGCATTTTAGGTAGAAAACAGGACAGGAAGGCAAAGACAGAAAAAGGAACATTTTCTTTATCACTGCTATTCTGTCCACCAGCCAACTTTTTTTCAGCTTAGTGACCCACAATTGGGTTATGTACACACCCTTTGCACAAATCCTTGGGCAAAATGGAATATTCATGACTACTAAATAGGATTTATTCCTTGGGGCTGATTACATCATCACACAAATGACACTGGGGCTCTCCTAGCAAGAAAGAAGGGAGTAATGCTTTTTGAGTAGTGACAAAGAGTTGCTACCAGATGCTGTGGCCAGCAATTTTTTGGACAAAATATATTCTGTATAATAGGGCTGCCAGGTTATCTTGCTCTGCATTGAGAAGCATAAAGAATGCCACAAATAGAGCTGGCATATATGACTCTTTCCCTGACCTATGGACACCATTTGGCCATGCTAGGACCAGGAGGGCTGCTGCTTTAATGGCTTCAGATGGTGGACTCCATGATCTGCTTTTACTTCTTTACTTCTTTTCTACAGCCACTGTACTCCATGTATTATAACCTGTCTTTTAAAACATTAATTCTTCCCATCAAAACCCTGCCTTCCACCATGAACCCCTATAACCAATGTGATGTCCCAAGATGGGAAACCCAAGTTCTCATAGAAAAGGAGCTAAATTTTGGCAGCTTCTTGTATGTTTTGGGCGAGGGATTTGGGGTTTGTAATATTAAATCCTGTTTCTGCCCTTTACATAGTTCCCTTTGCATCCTGATATTTTCTCTGGCACCATGCACAAGAAACGGTAAGTGACATCCTTGTCTCACCGCATCCCTAGCCTGCCTCTGGTGCTCTGTGCCTGTGCATTTTTCCCTCCACACCAGTAGTCTAGCAAAGAATAGAAACTGCAGGTCACTCTGAGCCAAGTCACAGTTGTGTTTTTATGCCAAGCCTTGAGAGAAGGGTGTTGTGGGTTTCACTTGCCAATGGCAATAGAAATTGATTGCAGGCAGCAGCCAATAACTAGGGAAAAAAAAAAAAAAACTCCACCAAGTAGCTATAGCATTAAGGAATGCTGAAATGTTGATCGCCTGTGGACTTTTCAGCTCTGCTGGAAGTAGCAGGATCAGCAGGAATTTTTTTTTTTTTAATTAAGGGATCTTCTATATACTTATGTCTCTTCTGCTATATTTCATGTTTTGTCTTTAGTTTACAAAGTATGAAGCAGTAAAAATTGCTTTACTGTCACTAAGAATCTGGAATTACTTCATAGAAATTATACCTGCTAACATATACAACTTGTAAAATCACAACACATTTACTTAAACCAGTATATCTTTTTCAGAGCTCCAATAGCCACAGTAATCATTGTTTCTTCCTTAAATTTTTCACCATGGCCATTTGCCCATTGATGCGTTTATTTGTATTTTAAAGTACTCCAATCTCTTTCACCACTTTAGATTGAGTTTTCAGAATGTGATCTTTCCGTTGCTATGTGAATCAGAACATGCTGGTTATATGCAAAGATAATATGAATGGCACAAATATAAAGTTTAGTTTTGCTGTCAGCCTAGCTCCTCTGGAATTGCTAATTTCTCTTGACAATTATGTTACTGACACTTTCTACCCATCAAGGAGGAGTTTCAATCCTAACTAACTCTAAAGTGTCATTCATATCTTTCTGTATATCTTTCTTCATTTAGATATTCCACTCCCCCAACATAGCAAAGTATAATCAAATGGACAGCAGAAATGACTAGATTAAATTTAAAACAAAGCAACGCACAACCACACACAATCATATTAGAAATAGATAATAAAAACAAATTCGGATTTTCTTTATGTTCTCATTTTTGCCATTATTTGTTTAAACATTGTACAACATATCCTGAAATCAGCAAATGTAGTCTGGAGAATCCTACAAGCACTGCATCATTATTTATTATAGCAGTAAATTTAAATAGAAATCAACAACAAAAAAGTAATAAATAAGAGTGTTGTGAATTCTGTACAATTTGTTAATTCACTTCACAGGACTTTTCCACTGTTTTTAATGCAGAGTGAAATTTACTACTGCCACAGTGGAATTGCTAGAGCCTTATAGAAAACAACATATATGCTTAGCTAAAGACTTTTATCTAATAAAGTAATTTGAAATTTTCATTAGATTCTGGTTTCTGTGGCAGCAAATGTATGCAGTGAGGTCATTCTGTCTAGACAAAGTCTATTTAATTTCTTACCCCAAATCAAACAAATTAGTTATCTATAGATCTAGGCTTATTCTACAACATCCAATATGGTTCCTTGCACCTGGGTATTTTGACTCCTACAACGAGATCACACAGCTTTATTTATACCTCATTGCCCTGATGGCCTTCCAGCCCAATTTCTAGTTTATCCAGAAATTTTATTTACTTTTAATAATATAACCTTTGCCAATCAGTTGATAATTTTTGTTTGACAGCTGCGTTGAAGTATTACATTACTTTTGAAAAATAACAATAACGGAATTGAAATATATTTATGAGTTTTTAAATAGATGAAGGTTTTAATGGTGGCAAATATTTATAATTACTAATATTTATTTGGTTAACTAGTGTTTTGATGTAGGCATCTAAGTGTAGTAGAATAATAGTAAGTTGGCTTGCAAAATATCACCTAAAAGGGAATAAAGATTACTGATCATAAGATTTCATAAATTATATAAATCTTTTATTGATTTAATTTACTCACATAAAGTTATATATAAAAATATGCTAGTCTCTGCTAGCATATGGAATTTTTGGTCCTAGCTCTTAGCATGTTTTATTGAGGGCAAGATTTTTGGAATTTTCTGTTTATATGGAAAAATTACAGCAAGGCTTTTGTTCATACACAAAACTGCAGTCGGTAATTTGTCCCCTACTGTGGAAGAGTTTAATTCTGTGGATAAGATTTTCTTAAACTCCATTTCTTAATATGATCAAAAACTAAGTTTTTCTCAAGCAAAAAATGGTTACTTTTTAATTATGAGGATTTTGGCCACATGTTTGTCTTGCCTGAAGTCCACTTAACTGCTTTGTTTGTTGCTGCTTTGAGTTCCGATTGTTGTTGGTATTTCCTAGTATTCTGAAACCCTGGGCTATTTCCGACTAAAATTACAATGTGTAGTTATTAATTTCATCAGATTTGCAAGGTACATCCTTCTAAAAGGGCTTGTACTGTTGAGAAATATAATCAGGTTTCAACATTCTTATGACTTTTAATATACACTGTATTTGGTTGTTTTTTGTCCATCTCAGCAAAAGCGTATACATATATTTAATTTTATTGATCTTATTTTGTTCTGTTTGGCGCCAGATATAATTTATAGTTGTTATGACTGAAGTTTAATATGTTAGGTCATGCATTTTTGTTGGTGTTAGTTTTTCTGGTCAGGGAAGGAAAGGGTGATCAACGGTAGGATCAACTAAGCTTTGTTTGAATTTATCTACTCTTTAAAGACTCTATAGCCTCATTCAATATTAGAGTACTACATTTGGATGATAGTAATGTGCAAGTTTAAACATTATTGTTAAAATGGGTATAAACATAATAAAAATTAAAATATACTCAGAAATTTCCAAAAATCTTGCCTTCAATAAAGCACATTAAGAGCTAGGACCAAAATTTCATATGTTAGCAGAGATTAGTATATTTTCATCTATAATTTTATGTAAATAGATTAAATCAATAAAAGAGCTATATAATTTATGAAATCTTATAATCAGTAATCTTCATTCCTTTTTAGGTATCACTTTTACAATCCAACTGACTGTTATTCTATGATAGTTAGATGCCTATATCAAAACACTTGCTAACCATATGAATGTTAAAAATTATAACTATTTGCCATCATTAAAACATTCATCTATGTAAACTCATATTCTTCCTAATTATAGTAGGTTAAAAGCTTTCCTAATTTTTTGTAATTAAATCAATCATTATTTTTATACTTCAAATTTGTACTTATGTAATTATGACAATTTATAAGGCTACATAAAACCTAAAATATTGATTATAAGATTACTGTTTTAGCTTGTGGGGTTATCATCTAAGCTGGATTTGTATATTGAGATGAATTATACTTTCATTTAGTATGCTGTTAAATAATATTTTGCTAAATAACATTTTAATTTTTGCATCCATTAAATTAAAATAAATATCCTTTTTTTTTTTAGTAACAGGGCATTTGATAATTGAGTGCTATCCCTTTGTTTTCTAAGCAACGTGGTAGTGGTAAGATACAGACAATAGTAGAATGCCTGGAATCAAAAGTGGTATTGTTCACTTATTTATTCCAAAAGAGGGCAGCAAAAGTCTATTTTATATAATCTTCTGCCATGTGCAGATGCCTTCTGGTCAGTGGTTATTTTTGCATGACTCATTCTTATTTTAAAATCAAATATCCCTTTCCTCTACTCAAAATACAAATTGAAAATAAATAACAAAACCAATTTATTGTGAAAAATATTTAGAAGAACATAAAAACAAAACATAATCTTACCTGAAGCAGGTAATTTATCAAAAGAAGAAAATTCTGCCAATTGTCATGGTTTTCTTTGTCTCACTCTTATCAAATGCAATTAAAACTGGAATCAAATTGTTTTAGCCTTCATTTATTCTATGTTCTTATCACTACATAGTCACTGAAAAAATGTTTATCTAATTGTACATAAAGCATCAACACTGTATTTCTGTTATAAAATTATTGCTGATTTTTAAAGAATAATTGTAATTTTAAACAAAATTTTGGCATCAAAAAATGAGGAAACCTTTTGACTGAGAAATCAAATGTGATTTCAGTCAAACTTTAGGTGCATAAGTTACTGCTCTAATGATGGTTAACTTGAAATATGTTTCTGTTTATCTTTATTTTGTTGAGTTTCTCCTTAAAGAAACATTGAACCCTGAACTCACATTAAAAGAAGCATCAGAAGATTGGGCTTCAAAAATTTCTTCCTTTCTTACATACAGTTTTTCAGGCTTCAACTTTTTATGCTTTAGCTATGTGAAAAGTTGTCCTTTCATTTTTTTAATAAAATAATCTTAAAAATATTGAGCATGCAATTAGATGGCTTTCAAATCTTGGAATTGAAACTAATGAGAAGTAGGAGAATGAGGGTTGCAAAATGTCTGAAATGTCAACTATCTTTAAGTTGCTGAAAAACAACATGAATTTATAGTCATTGGCTAGTACTTTCAAGAGGAATGAAGGAAAATAAATAGGGAAAAGAGAGCATATTGTGCTGAAGTAGACTTTCTTCATGACAATGTCATCCTTTGATAATTGATATGGTTTGGCTGTGTCCCCACCCAAATCTCAGCTTGAATTGTATCTCCCAGAATTCCCACGTGTTGTGGGAAGTACCCAGCAGAAGGTAATGGAATCCTGGGGGCTGGTCTTTCCCGTGCTATTCTTGTGATAGTGAATAAGTCTCACAAGATCTGATGGGTTTATCAGGGTTTTCTGCTTTTGCTTCTTCCTCATTTTCTCTTGCCGCTGCCAGGTCAGAAGTGCCTTTCACCTCCTGCCATGATTCTGAGGCCTCCCCAGCCACGTGGAACTGTAAGTCCAATTAAACTTCTTTTTCTACCTGGTCTCAGGTATGTCTTTATCAGCAGTTTGAAAACAAACTAATACAATAATAGTAATGAAATGCCAAATTTCTCACACATTAACTTTCTCTATTTTGATTTAATTTTTTATTTGGTACATTTACAACTTCTGGAACCATCTTATCTTTCATAAGTAACTACATCCTAAGCTTTTTACTTGGTAATGGAAAAAGCAATTCATAGACAACTTCATGCACTAAGTATTGCATGTAAAATGATAGCATGGTATGTAGCACACTGTAAGTACTCTTTATTATTATTATTACTTTATAACTATCATCTTTTCTTATCTGAGCACAGAAACGCACTTTCATAAGTCATCCTGCAGAATGTTTCTTGACAAGCATGTGTTACGTTAACGGGAGATAATGGGATAGGATTACCATGAGCTAGCAGGTGTGTTTGCACAGCCCAATGAATCCATATTTATAGACAACATTTATTGAGCATGTATTATGTGACAGGCACAATGCTAAGTATGTTATGTGTATTATATCACTTAATCCACCCAGGAGGAAACTGAGGTTTAATAGTAGAGTGATTTCTTGTTGTGAGGGAAAAATATTGATCTGCATAACTTTTAGGTGAAAAAGAACTAATTCAATGCAAATAGTGGAGTTGAGAGTTCCCCAGCCTTATCTTTCTATTCTGGCCTGGGTTTTTACTCCACTTGAAGTGCTCAATGCCTTCTCATTTTTCTCACTTTTTTTCTTACAGCTTTCAACCTATGTTCTCAGGAAAAGATCAAAGTGTAGCCCTATACTCTTTAATGTAATTTTAAGTTACTATGTTACTTTTCCAATACTTTGCATTTTAAGACATCTAGTATTGTGGATTGGAAGTTTTGTCATCAGTTAAGGGGCATTCTGATATAAATCAATAGATGGGAGAAATATTGGGTGGTTTGGGGAGGGTTGTGGTGGCAGCAAGCTGGACTTTCAGTATTTTCCAGTCACAACATATGTACAAGTACCCTTAAGACAATAGATAATTGCAGTCCACACAATCAGGCCTAGTAGCCTGGGCTATAGTACATGCTTAATAAATTGTTGAACGGGTAAAAAAATACATATGAAACATTTTACACATATTGACTAATACAACCCACACGATAATCCTGTGAAGTAAATATTGTTCTTATTTTCATTTTGCAGCTGGGAAACCTAAAGCCAAGAGGAGTTAGGAGGCTGCCTAAGGATGGTAGAGGGAATATTACAAATCTTGGCATTCTGGCTCTATAGTCTAATGCTCTTCACCTTTGTTTTCTGTTTCTCACTTTCTGTCTCTTTCTGTTTTCCAGAGTTTCATCCATCCTTGGTATTCTTCACATCTTAATCTCTACTTTCTATGTAAAGGATATCATATTATTCCTTGGTCATGACTACTAATTAAAGTGCACAAATTTAAATTTCTGTATCAACTTGCTATTGTATTTTCAAGCATCTACCAACATCACATGGGTCTCCCAAAACTTCTCAACCCCAGCAAGTCCCAAGCTGAATTTATTATCTTCCCTGCCAAGCTATATTCTTCTTTTTTTCATCATCCACTAACCTATCAAATATTTAAAAAACTTATGGTTGTATGTGGCTCTTAATTCTCCCTAACAGCCTACATCTGTTGAATTGCCAAATCTATCCTTTTAAGGTCTTTACACCTGTCTTTTTCCCTCTCCTTCTCTACTGCTAAAATCATTATTCAAACCTTCATCTTATATCACCTCGATTATCACATGACTCTTTTAATTGCTGTCACTGACACTGTCTTTTCCCACTAATTCTTTTCCATAGTCTGTCACCATTGTTATCCGAAAAATTATTCTCTCATAACTTTACCTGCTTTAAAACAAGCCATCAGCATCATGCCATTACCTACAAGATAATCTTCCTTTTGTGGCATCTAAGACCTTCCACAGAAGTGAGGGGTTCCTTTGTCAGCATCTTCTTCTGCCTCTTCTCCTGCACGTCCTCTCCTCCAGCCCAACACGGTTTCACGCTTCTCTTGGTGTGCTCCTCTTTCACATCCCTGGACCATTGTTCACTCTCTTTCTTGCCTTTCCTGCCTTTGGTTTGCTCTTGTACTCCTAGAAAATTAATTTATCTTTATAGCCCTGCTAAAATTCCATGGATTATTTTCCTAATACCTTCAGGAATAATTACTGACATTCCATGGCATTTGAAGTTTTAATTATTGAATTTTCATTTTGAGATGTTTGATGAAAACAAAAATAGGTAACACATAAGAAATGAAGAAGAATTATAATTGAATTGTAATTCCATCAAACACCTGATGAACTAGATTATGAAAATTCTTTTGAAACTACCTGGATGTACTTCCTCACTGCCACCAACTGCCTCCCATCAAATTTAATCACTATGTTGAATTTAGTGTTTATATTTCTTTTGCTCTTTAAAATAGTATAACTAGGAATGTATGTGTCTTTAAAAATATAATGCGTATATTTTTGAGTCTCATTCAAATCCTATCGTATTGTATATTGTCTACCGCAGTTTCTTTTGCTTACTCAAGACTATATTTCTAAGATTCTTTGGATATTGCCTATGGGCTGAGGGTAATTCATTTTCACAGTTGTATTATATTTCATTTTAAACTATGTCACATGTATTTGTATTTTTTTTTCTGTCTTTTTTTTTGAGATGGAGTCTTGCTCTGTTGCACAGGCTGGAGTGCAATGGCGCAATGCAACCTCTACCTCCTGGGTTCAAATGACTCTCCTGCCTCAACCTCCCGAGTAGCTGGGACTACAGGCACCCGCCCCCACACCCTGCTAACTTTTGTGTTTTTAGTAGAGACGAGGTTTCACCAGATTGGGCAGGCTGGTCTCGAACTCCTGACCTTGTGATCCACCCACCTTGGCCTCCCAAAGTGTTGGGATTACAGGAGTGAGCCACCGCACTGGTCCTATTTGTATATTTTCTTAAAGGTAAATGCTTGAGTTCCTTTCAATTTTTAAATATTATGTTATGAGCATTGTTGAGCATTCCAGAAATGAACATGTGCAATAATTAGTTTAGGGCATATATCTAGCGGTGGAGTTGCTATATGTAAGACTACATGCCTATTCAACTTTAGAAGAAAAAGACATTTTTTTTCCAAAATGGATCTGTCAGTCTCCACTCTCACCAACAGTGTGTATTTCCTCATTGTGGGAAATTTACATGCTGGTATCCTCCAATAAGCAGTGACCCCTCAAAGTGAGGGACTATATCTCATTTTCCCTATTATCAGCTCAAATACCTAGACCAGAGCTTGGTGCCTAGTAGGTGCACAGCAAATGTTAAATGATTACATATACAATAGGTTAAGCACCATTAAAAAAATCAAGGAAATAGAGATGAAAGCTAAGGACAAGTGAGGAATTTGTTTATTACTCAATTTAGGCATAATTTTAATTTAGCCCGAGATGTTTTACTTTTTCTTCCCTCATGAAATGGTACTAAAACCAGTGAGGCACGACTGAAAATTAAATTTGTCTTTTCAGGAGAACTGCTATTTAATATTTGCTATTTTACATGGAAAAACTCATTTGTGTTGTGAATATTTTATAATATTTGTCAATATACTATTTTGGCTCTAGAAACATTTTCTATTCATATTACTTGTGTTTCACACACACACACACACACACAAATCCTATTAGGTTTTATGGAAACTTTTTATGTAAAAGTGTGCTTTAAAAAATGTTCTTTTATTCTGTTTCTTAGTCTTTTTAGTAAAGAATATAACATAGGTTAAAAAGAGGAAGTCCTCAGCATTTATAAAGCCTTGCTTTCCACAAGTGCACTTCTATAATAATATTAGAATAATACTTGCCCTACACTCCCTGTGAATTGAGAGATTTGATGAGATTGCTCTTTCGACCCATTTGGCTGATGAGAAAATGGAGTCGTGAGTCAATAATCAGCTTTGTTCATGATGTGGCTCTTCTGGCTTTGGTCTGGTACTCTATTAATATCAGTCACCAAAAAAGAAGATTTTTTTATTTCTTTTTCTAGATTAATATTTTACCGAGTAGCCCACAATCACCGCTTTACTGATCATCTCATCTGTACACAATTACATGATGTTTTAAGATTTTAAGATGTTGGTTTTCAGCTGATTTTGTTTATCTAAAAGAGTTCTTGTGGCTTTTCCTTGTATATAGCTTACAGTTACTTTTTTCTTAAGATATTTTGAATTCTGAAACAGTAATAGATATTTTATTTTCTGCCTGTGTATCTTACTTTTTATTGCCTAACACTATTTACAGTATGCATACCCTCTAAAACATAGTTTAGTGACAAACAGAAGTTAGGAATTTTTCATAAATTGGGAAGAGACTTTAAATATAGGTTTCTGTAGGACTAAACCACTGGCCATTTTATGGCAATGGTGCTCCAGGAGAATCCCCAGATAGTTCTAAGTGTAAAAGAAGAGAGATCAGCTTATCTCACTAAATTGCACTATGTCTTTTTAAGATACTCAATGCTTTTCATTTTCATTTAAAATTGTTTCTGATTAATATTTAAATAAATGTAAACACTAGTTTTTACTAAGGCTAATTGTGAAATTGAATACTCCTCACATAGGGAGTTTTTAATGTTTGCAGAGGCATTTTGTCAGCAGTTTTTGTGCTATTTAAAAGATCAGTGTCTAATGGGATTAAGTTGGATAATCAAATAACAAACTGAGATCTGGGTACATGGTTTGATGCCTGTGGAGTACTTCTTTGATGAATATAAATGAAAAGTGTCTCGTGGTTTGGAGTAGAAGTCACCATGCCACTACGCATGGTGTTTCTGCTAAGTCAGCACCTTGGCATGAAATTGAGACTCAGATGGAGAAGTGGACTAATATGAGAAGAAGAAACCTGGCAAGGTTTCACTTTAGTGGAATGGAAAATGCTGTGTGATATTGTGAGCAATGTTGGATTTGGAAATTTTGAAGAAAACCATCTAGTGCAGATATTCATGGCTTAAATCAGGTTTTAGTTCCTTAACAGTCTGTATCCTGAACTAATTCTTTGATCAATAATTTGCATAGCCCCTTGCTTTACTTTCCTTCTAGATCTGGCCTATTTTTCCTTTCAATAGGATAGGAATATGCTGTCTATGTTTATAGTGTCATGTTCTATTTTGCCCTAAGAGTTCTTTTTTAGTGTTTATTTTTTCCAAAAATAGTTATTTGCCTACTCACTGTTTCTTCTTTTTAATGAAAGACATAATGTAGCTTTAAAATAATTTAAATTATGGGAAGAAAAATGTTCATCTATTATCACATCATACTATTATTATATACGCTTATATACTGTAGGTGTGTATGTAGAATAGATATAATAGTTGTATACAGAATGTATTTTTTAATATGTTTTTCACTGAACTTTTTATTAAGCTTATTTTCCCATGATTTAATTTTTAATAAAATCCAAAATATCCCACTGAGTGAAATGTTTAACAGTTTAATGGTTATTTCTAGCCATTTGGTTTTATCCTTTCCTGATACTTTGTGTTCTTTAACTTCATAGCATCCAAAGATGTGGTTACTTATTAGAATTATCTCACAAGCTTGCCGTAGGATATATGGTGACAAAAACAAAGGCTTTCTTAGAAGTATTCCACCTCTTTGTAAAATACTCTCATTTCTATCCAGCTCTCTCTCTTCTAATGATAGCCTATACAATTACTAATGTTTATGTATGTAGTGTTCCTGGGGAAAAAAAGGCATCTGGCAAATCATTAGTTTTCAGAAGTATTAATTTAAAGTACAAACTTTACAGAAAAGTGGAAGAGATGGTTTTCTAATGAATTCTGTATATTGTGTAATCATGGCAGCTAAATTGTTTAAGGTCAGATAACTTTCTATTACCCAGAAAATAAGCTTATGCAAGCAACCTTACTCTCTCTTTTCAAGTCTAGTCAGAGCCCTAGTTCTTGTCTCCCATTCAAAGGATGTATAAAACTTCACCTTCAAAATGGGCTGAAGCTAATTTATGATACTTTGACTCTTCTTGTGGGTTCTTCATATTCTTACCACACACTTTTTTTGCATGTCACACTAGATTCTAGCCTACATATGCAATATGGTATGGAAAGTTATCTTTGTAGGAAAAGAAAATTATATATAAGAAATGCAACTTAAAATGACTATTTTATTTTCCTCCTGGGCATTCACAATTGGTACAATTTTATGGAGAACCAATTTATAATGTTTCATTAAGCATTTCAATAGTTTAGATAATTATTAATTCAATATAAAAATTGTTCCAGAAATATGAGTTGGCTTGACCAGTCCGTATACACTTTTACTAACCACAATGGTAACATGATAAATTTTTCATACATTTTGTGTTTTGAAATAGATTTTTCTTAAGTGGAAAGAAAACAAATGAATCTCTATTGTGTATAACATCATGCTTCAATCTCTGTCTAATTTATCTGGTTTATGTCTGCTTTCAAAACAAGTAATTGGGCACACATTATTTCTTAATCAAAGCACAGTATTATGAATTAATTTCCAAATAGTCATAATTTTTGTTGGTCATTTTTGCTGATTTTGTTCTTTGAAACTGACTTTTTTTTTTTTTTTTTTTGAGATGAAGTCCTGCTCTGTCACCCATGCTAGAGTGCAGTGGTGTGCTCTTGGCTCACTGCAACCTCTGCCTCTGGGTTGAGGTGATCCTCTCCCCCTCAGCCACCCAAGTAGCTGGGACTACCGGTGCACACTACCACACCCAGCTGATTTTTGTAATTTTAGTAGATACGGGGTTTCACTATGTTGGCCCGGCTGGTCTCCAACCCCTGACCTCAAGTGATCTGCCCACCTCCGCCTCCCAAAGTGCTGGGATTAAAAGCATGAGCCACCATGCCTGGCCAAAATTGCCTATTTTGATTTTATTTTAGATATATAAATATTTTTGGTGGTTTTATTTGAAGGGGAAATTTTGCCAAATAAGTAGGTTTGATTAAATATATCTGAGTTAAAGTAATGTAGAGCTAAAGAGATTGTGCAGAATTAATCATATTTAATTAAGGCTTCTACTATTTTCTCCTTTATCTCTCTCTCTTAATTCCTCTTTTTCTTTTCTCCCTGTATTCTTATGCCAGCCTACTCTTTCATTTGCTGGCTGTTAGACTGGTATAGTCAGATATTTCACAAACTGAGTAACAGGGTTGTGAGAAGCTTACAAGAAAGCAGGTGTGGCAAATTTACGTTGTGCCTCAGAGCTGTATTTTGAGGTATATCTTCATTATTAATATTAAGGGTGATAATGTAAGCTAGGGCTACATTTCACAGATACACCCTTTCATCCAGGATATAGCCATGGAGAACAGATACAAATATATGTATATTTTCTTAAATTGTTTTACCCACACATAATTCTATCATTATGCAAATAGATGCCAGAAGAATAGAAAAAAGAAAGAAGGTACATGACGGGTTTGAGAAATTAAGGATCCTGGCAAATTCTTTGTCACTATTCCCACTGTTAGGTGAGTCTTAAATATCCACCCACTTGAATCTGGGCTGGGCCTGTGACTACTACTTTGTGAATAAAATATGTTAGGAATGACATTGTACATGCTCTGAATATGTAATTTAAAAAGACAAGCAGCTTCAATTTTCTGCTTCTTGAAACCTAGCTGCCATACTGTGAGAAAGCCCAATCAGCAATGAGGAGGGGCTCATTTAGAGGATAATTGAGAGTCCTTGCCCACAGCTCTTGCTAAGCTCCCAACCTACAGACAAATTAACTTTCTAGACATATGAGTGAATCATCTTGGAAATTCACCCTCCAGCCTCAGTTGAGTGGCCCCAGCAGATGCCATACACAGCAGAGATGAGCTGTCCCTTCCAAGTCCTCCTCACATTGCAAAATTGTGAGCAAATAAATGATCATGTTAATTCAGCCACTATGGTTTTGGATGCCTCATTATGCAAGAAGAAATACCTGAATCCATGGGAGCTGATACTGTGGAGGTCAGATAATTCAGCCTTTTAAAAAAGCTGTGTTAGGAATCTTTGTTTTGATTCAAAGTACAAAGGGAAACCTTGGCAGTGTCAGAGGATCTTATTTGCATTTTAAAAACATTGCTGTGACTCTTCTGTGATAAGTGGATTGGAAATGTCATGGTGAAAGAGTAAGAGTGGATCTATGGAGATCAGTTATGAAGCTATTATAGTTGTCTGGTGAGAGCTGATACAGGTTTGAGTGCAGAAAGTGGATATAGTAAAAATAGAACAGAGTGGATGGGTTTGGCAGATATATCTGTATTAAAAGTGAAGGGATTGATGGCAATGACACTTTGATAATGTTGATAATGCAAAGATATCTTGCTATATCTTGCTCCTCTTTTAGTCATTGTATAGTCTTTCATTTAATCTGATTTGCCCAGTTATTTATTTGAGAATAAACTGTCAATGACTGAGGAGCTGGGTGGATCAGAGAAGATTCCTATATTCTCTGACAAAATGTGTACCAATACAAAGTCCATTGCATCTCAGTCTAAATCTGCCTTTCCTGTGAAGTATGAGAGGAGAAGGAAAGAGGAGGAAATGTGTGCTATTCTGACAGAGGAAAGCCATAACCCAGTTTGGTCCATGACACATATTGGTTGGTTTAGTGAATGCTGCTTGTAATCACAGCTCATATAAATATATAGGATGTGTATTTTGGAGATTAGATAAGAAGTTTTTCCAGCAATCCAAATATGGGTTTGTGCATGAAAAAGTGAAATTTTGGTGAAAGAGGTGAAGCAAATTCTGAATAAACCCAGAGAGAGTACATAATTGCTAACTGTTATTCCAGATGTTTCTCGGAATTATTTGGTCATTTACTTGAGAAATCTATATACCTATTCAAACATTTATTGAGTATTCTATTTGCAAGGAATTGTGTTTCTCATTGTGTGTGTGTGTGTGTGTGTAGTCAAGAACCTTGACTACACTGGTTCTTCATGATGTTCACATATTTACAATCCGGTGAAAGAGATACAATATTTGAATTTAACAATTTGAATAACAGTATAGTACAAGCAAGATGTGTTCAAAAAAACAGTTCAAAAAATTCTAACACTTAGACTCATTTCTAGCCTGAATTTTCTCTTCAAAAGAAGCTTTAAACATTATTGTTAGTAAGCACTTAATATTTTTAAATTTCTACCAGATCACCATCTTTGATATTTTGAAACAAATCCTGAAAAATGCTATTTGCTCTGAATCTAGTTAATCTCTTGCTTAGTGAAAAGAGCCATGGGCCAAAACACCTGAGTGTTAGATCACTTGCTATGTCACTGACTGATTTTGAGACATTGGACAAGTCATAATCTCCCTATGCCTCTGTTTTTTGTGTTTGTTTCCTTAATCCTATAACTATCTGGCTTAGTTATCAATCAAGATTATAGAGTAGATTAAAAGAGATGGCAGTAAATGTGAAGTACATTCAAAGGCAAAAGCTCCAAATAATTATGGTTAAAATAAATCACTTGTATTTATTTTTAAAAAAGATGTCATATATAAAGTACCTTATATATAATGTAGGTGTATGTATTTGTTCAGGTAACAGTGAGTAGAATCAGATGTGAGTGTTTTTTACTTCTATGTATGAGACAGTGCTTTACTAAACAACCCCCCTTTTCATTTGGGTTAAAGTGTAGAACAGAAGAAACTAATAATCACGATTGGAAGACATAGAATAGGTAGAGATGGACAAGACTAGAAAAGCTTTCTGCCTGTGTGCCTTCTTATAATGCTGTTGATGAGAACAAAAACTTATAAATGTGAGGAAAATTTCTGGTTATTCGATTAACTTGGTAGAGTAATTGAAGAAATTAAGAGTCTTGTTGCCTAGCCTAAGAAATTGCAAGCCAATAGCAATACATCAAAGAATCTGCAGTTTGGGCATGGGTAAGGTAGCACAACTACTGCTAGAGACTTAGAAACTTTCTTTTTTCAAACTCCTCTCTGAAGATTTCTGGCTAAGCCACACAGTGGATTAGCTAAGATAGATGTTACCTTTCCTCTTTTCAACATAGAAGAGAAGGCTTTTCAGCATGGTATCATTGCTACTTCTTTGGTCATATTTGGGAATTTCTAGATAACCTGTTGGGGTGTTTATATTCATGTGAGCTTTGATTGAACCATGGGATAATAGTTTTTAAACTATTTCATTTTACTTTACTACTAATAAATAGCCTTGATGCCAATTTCATTAGGTACAATGGATCTCATAATTTCAAAGTGAGCACTTGTTTTCCATATGTATTTTACTCCAAGTTTTTAAGTAAAAACTAACAAAGCATACAAAGTTTCAGTTATGTAAGATGAATAAGTTCTGCATTAAAAGGGATTCCCATCCCTAATTTACAGCATGATGACTATTGTTACAAATACCATACTGAAGCAGAAAATTTTCCCTGACCCCTTTGCAGGTGGAAACTGGAGTACACAGACACTAGAACTAGCTGGCCGCTTCTGAGCTGGCAGGGGTGGACTCCACTCTCTGGGTCCCACTGTGTTCCACCTGTCTCAGGAGTAGGAGTGCAGGTGAGTAGGTGCAGGAGCTGGGGTGAGTGCTTTTGGACACCACAGGAGGAAAACTCTGTGTGGTCCCTGTGGCAGCAACTAGCAGGGGAGAACCCATGATACCTGAAGCCACAGAGGGCATGTGTTACAATACTCTTTTAGCTTTGCCATCCATGGCTTAAGTGCTAAACAGCTCAGTGAGCCATCTGCCTTTTTGCATGAGGCAGTTGCTCTCCACCAGCCAGGGCAGAGGGTCAGTGTGACAGCCTTTAGCATCTGCACCTGTGGCACCCGAGTTCTTGTTTGGCATCCAGAAAAACCAAGTTGCACGAATGAATTGAAGGGTGGTGAATGAAGAGGATTTTATTGCTGATGAAACTGGCTCTTGGCAGGATGGGGAGCTGGAAAGGGGATGGAGCAGGAAGGTGATCTTCCCATGAAGTTTGGCCATCCCCAGCAGGACTCCTCTCTGAATCTGTGTCTCTGAAGTCAAGCTGCTTCTCTCCAGTGTCAAACTGTAGTATCCAACATCCAGTTGCTTCTTTTCTTCTCCTCTTTGCAAGTGGTTTCTGGGGTTTTTATGGGCACAGGATGGGGGAAGGGGTGGGCCATGGGTGGTTTTGGAAAAGGCAATGTTCGAGCAGGAAAACAGAAATGCATGTTCTCACTTTGGGCCATGGCTCCAGGTTTGATGGTGGGGCCCTCACTGGGAGCCACCCTCTTCTGCCCAGAATTTCCCTGCCTCCTGACCGTATCAATATTATATACTTGGAATTTACTAAGAAAGCAGGTGTTATTCTCAACACACACACACACAGACACACACACACACATCCCTACACAGTAACTATGTGAGGTGATGACAGGTTAGTTTACTTAATTGTGGTAATAATTTTACAGCATATACATGTATCATCAAAACATCATATTGTGCACTGCAAATATATACAAATTTTGTCAAGCCTCAATAAAGCTGAAAGAAAAGAAAAAAGCTTAAAAAGACTGTCACTTAGTCACATTATGATGGGAAACATGTTATTTTACATGTTACACTTTTTTTTTTGCATCTAATATATTTTTGCATGAGCGGCATACCATTCTTACTTCACTCAATGTCCAGTAGGCCCACCTGGGCTTTCCCACATCTGATAGGAACAACATGAGTTTCACTTTATATGATACATCTGTAACAACTAAATATACCATTAAATAATGGGAACCATTCCCTTTTCTTCTCCCGACATACTTTTTAAAGAGTTCTACAGTTTGCTAATGTTCTTAGTAAGGGGGTTCGGCAGCTCTTGCTACCTAATTGGGCTACACTTTTCATGTGACACATAGAAGATGTTATTTTTCAGGTAGAAAAATGACACCACAGCTAAATAACAGGAATTTAACCATCAAGACTGGGGACATGAAATTATGTGTTTTCCTACAACAGTTGATGACACCATTAGTACTTGAAGTAGAAAAAAGAAATAATACTCTTTGCAGACCTTAAGTTGGTAGAGAAAGAGCAAGTTATATTATTTTCTGAAAAACATTACTTTTCCTTCTGCTAATCAGAAGTAAAAGTCTCATGTCTGTAGCTCACAAATTCTGCTGAAACAGCTGGACAATATCTATCTGACGACAGAACAACCATCGGCTGGAAATATTTGCAGGATATTTAGGCACTCTAATAAGTTTAAACCAAATATTTATCTCAGTTGCAATCATGGAAACAAATGGTTATCATCTGGAAATGTTTTCTACCAAAATATTCTTTTTTTCCAACTATATGAACACAAGTATTAGGTTTTTCTGAAAAAATATTTTATTTGAAAAGTTCTTGTCATTTTAGACTCTTTTTATTGAATAATCTTTTTATGAAGATATTGCAGTGGCTCCACCATAGGGGTATATTTTTTTTTGCAGCTGTTCCTATTATCCTAAATAGTACAAATCTAAGAAATTTTTACTATTGAGAAATGGCTACTCAAATTTGTAAATTTAGCCTGTGACTTCAGAACTTTAATTCTAAATTTGTTGGCCAATATAATTAAATGGGTAGATTTGTTCTAATCAGCTGATCAACCTAAACTATTGTAGACAATACTAATATCAGATTTTGTTTGTTTAAAGTCAACATTTCAAATGTAAAATCAGGTCACAGGCAGCAAAGTGACTTGTCTCATAAATCATGGAGTAAAACTTACAATTCTTGTCCCTGATTCACTGTAATAGAATTGCAGCATCCTCTTAATTTCTTGTTTTAAAATTTGCTTGTATTGTTACATTCCTTTCCTTTTACTGAAGAGATTCACAGTATATCATTGTTAACCTCTTATTAACAATATTTATTCCCATATGGTGTCTAGATCTGATTAGTTATAGACTTTGAGTAGAGATTGTTTGGAGAATAAACAAGCTTTTCTCAATCTGGTTTTTAAAAGTACCTCATTAGGAATACCTACGTATGCATTTTTTTTCTCCAAGATATTAATTATTTTGACTAGTATAAGACTCTCATTATCTAGTCAACTGGCATGAATCACTGAGAAATAAGTATATTACAACATTTAGCCATTATTGACCAGAAGAAATTTTAAAATAGCATGTAAGAGGTTGTTGCCATCATATCCTATTAAAAATTCCAAATATTCATTTCTCTTCATATATGTCCTTGGATTTCAATTTAGAGAAAGAATTTACTGATGATAATTTGTTCCCCTTCCTTATCTGATTAAAAAATCAATTCTGATGCAGTTTCATGCATGCCTGTGTATGTGTGTGTGTGTGTATATATATATATATATATATACACATACATATATATATATACACATACATATATATGTAAGTAAGTTACAGTTAATACTGTGCACAACAAATGGAATGGAAGCATTGTCTCCATTAGTTATTATTGTCACTCAAGTAATTTGCTAAAATGTAAGTTTTCTATTAAAAGAGAGTTAAAATTTCTCATCTGCTAACGAGGCTAAAAGAAGACCTAATTTTTTGCAGACATGTTTTTAGTTTAGTAATATTAAAAGACAAATTATTAGTCAATTAGTAATCAAAAGACTCATTTTACTCTGGCTGTGTTTTTCCAAGTTAAATTTATTTATTTCCATAAAAATACAATAATTCAAGGGAAGATAACAGTATAGATATTACATTTATCTGGAGAATTGTGCAAAAATACCCGTGCTTGCACCCCACCCCAGAACAAGGGATTCAAAATCTCTGGGGATATGTTCTAGAAAAGAATAGTTTTCCATAGCTCCCTAGGCTATTCTAATGATCAGCCAAGTCTGAAAAAGATTTCGTTAGGCAGCCTCTTTGAGTTTTCCCTTGCTTAATTTCAATCTTTTTTTCTTGTCTTATCAGATATGTATCTCCTCTGGCATAGAATACATTGTCTTTTTCTTGTCTAAATAATTGCAGATCAAGTACACCAGAGAAGTAAAAAATAAAAAAAATTGCAGAAAGACCCACTACCTTCATTAAGCCAGACTCTTCTCAAATTTTAACTCAGAAAATCTTATGCAACTAAGAATATAAATATTTGATTTTGGTGTAAATTTATTTGCCTTCAAACCATAGAGTTCTTGAATCCACCCATTCTTAAAACAAGAACAACAAAACAAACAAAAAGAAAGATGAAAACTTAACCAATAAGTAGGAGCTTATAAAATGATTGCTACCTGATTAATTTCTGCCACTTGAAATTACTCCTCTTTATGGAAATCGTTTTTCATATTTCACGGTGAGCAACTATCCTAGCGTGCTGAGGACTGAGGGGTTTCCTAGAATGTGGACTTTCAGTTCTAAAATGAGCAAAGTCTCAAGCACACTGCTACAGTTGTTCACTCCACTTCCATTGCTTTAATTTAAATTTCCTCACCCCAGCTCCTTGAACAAAGGAAAGCCTAATTGCGAGGCTTCCTCTTAATCCATGTAGATTTCAGAAATTCTAAAAGTGAAAAAACTATTCTTCCAACTGAAAAAAAGAGCATTTTAAGATTTAATGCTTAGGAAAAGTAAAACAAGAAGGTTGAGCTGGTTGTCTAAACTTTCTCCCAGCTGATATATTGTGTTCTTGAAAAGAAAAAGAAAAACACTACTTTATGCATCACCTGAGACTTTACAGCACGACTTAGAGTTTGGTAACAATCTAGCCAGACCATGATTATATATCCTAATTAATTAATTAAATTGATTCAATAAATACTGGGCACCACTGGAGGTACAGAAGTCGTTCAGGCATAGTTCTTGCCTTCAGAAGTTCACAGTTTGGTAGATAAAGACCATCCACATTAGCCAGGGACTCTTGGTAGGAGGCAAGGGACATGCTCTTAGCAGGTATAAATTATTAAAAGTAGTTGCTATACCGGTCTTTGTGTCCCCCACATCCCCCGTTCTTCAAACAAACATAACTTTTTATCGGTTTCTGTGTTTAATTTTGAAGGAGTCTAGACTGGTTACTTTGGCAACCATTTGCAATAATTTTGCTTGACAAGGACTTTGCTGTTCCCATAACAAGAAAACATTGCCAGGTTACCTGTTGTTATCTTTTGCTGATATTTGTTACTTGATCATATCAGGAGTTTAAGAGAACGGTGCAAAAAAAAAAAAAAAAGGAAATTTCTTCAAGGCGTATTTTGGTAAAATAGCCGAGAAAGAAATGGGAAAGAGGTGCAGGCTTTCCATTTTGGATTGTAAACTGTTCAAAATTTTCAGATGACAGGAGTTTCAAATATAAATCCTCTCCTTACCAGGTATGACAAATTCAGTAGGCTATTGAACTTCCCTAAGCCTGTTTCTCATTTATGAAATAGCTGCGGTCATTCTACCTCTTTTATGGAGTTGGAAAGATTAAACGCAATAATTCATGGAAAGGATTTAGCATGATTCCTAGCGCATAGTTAAAACACGACAAATATGTGCATGCACTAGCATAATTGTGAATCCTCTGCGCCTTCCTTTAGTGTGTCCTAAGGATTACCAAGCCTTTTTGTGCTTAACAGATATCAAATAATTAGACATGATCTACAATTTTCTATATTTCCACAGTCTTTTGTAATTTATGTGCATACAAAAATTTATATGTGCATGTATATTTAAGTACTTGAAATTTAAGTTTCATTTTTTAATACCATTATATATAAGCTTGGCAGTAGTAAGGCATACATGTAAATGCAATGGAAGGCAACTTAGTCTTTTCTTGTAAAGACAGAGAAAGCCAGGTGCACCAGAGCAAAGGAAAGCTCCTGGTTCCCAAAAGCAGACACGGACTGGCTGCTGTCCAAGAAACAGGAACCAGGGGTGCTGAAGGGGTGAATGGCAGCTAGTGAGGCAATGCTGGTGTTCTGAGTCGGGGATTCTGCTGCCATAATCTCCATAATTATACCGTCTTCTGCCTTTTTCGTAGAACATGGTACCTATAGCCCCATTCCTTGGATTAACAGGAATTGGAATTAACAATGCTTCAGTTGTCTTATTTTTAAGATGCCCTCCATAAAAACCAGCACAAACATTACCTTTTAGTTTCCTAGCTATCAAGTTTTAGCAGGGTGTTATTTTTGGTAGCAAAAGGCCTCTGACATTTCTTAAGAATTGCCTTCTTTTGTTGCATCAGCCTCAGGTCACTGGAGAAGAATAGAGGCTTTGAGGTTGACAAAGATGAAGAGGTGATTTGTGGGCCAGTGCATCAAAAAACGGAGCAGGTGTATGTGAGAGAAGCATCCTTCAGCCTGATACTCTGCACAGATACTTCTTTCTTTCAAGGAGTGCAGAATGTTCATGAAGCATAAAAAGCTTTCAGTCTGTTCCTGACGTAGAAAAAATAGCTCATCCTAAAACAAGAGTTTCCCCTAACTGCCCAGTTTCTCCATCTAGAGTGAAGTGGTTGGATAATTGAATTTAAATGAACATAGAAGTTGGAAAGGATGAAAAATAACTTTGTTGTGCCATTTGAAACTCCAAAGAAGATAGCTTGTTGTTTTGGGATTTTTTGTTTGTTTGTTTTGTTGTTATGAAATGAAAATATCCTTTAAATACATCCTGATGAGAATTTTGTGTTTTGACAGTGGAAAAAAATCAGAGTTTTAGAAAATCCCTAGCTTACTAAAATAAAACTTGGGGAGGCACACTAGTTTACGTTATTAAATGAATGTCTGTAGCCTCAAATAAAGCAAAAGAGCAGATGGATTATCTGAGAATAAAGACAATTCCTTTTACTTTTATGAACTAATATTAATAAGTGCTCCACCATAGGAACTGATTCTCTGTTAAAATGTTCTGATTTCCTCTACGGTCAGTTTCACATTTGTACAATACAACAAACTGACTACTTATAAACATTCATTAATAGAGAATTTTCTTACTCAGTGTGTCCTGTATGGCTTTTACCCAGCTGTGTGGTTTCTGTTTATTTTTCTATCTCCAAAGACTCTTACCCATTGTGACATTTGTCTTCATGTAATTTTATCCTCAATTTGGCTGATTTGTCACTAGAGATCTTCAACAGAACTAAATGACTGTGTCTTCTCCCCATCTTTCAGGAGACTATGTTAAAATACTCTCATCTTGAGCTGCCTAGGTAAAAAAAAAAAAACCTTACCTTGGCACCTGGTTATATATTTTTATCTTTCATTAGAATATAATATGATGCTGCAGTATGTCAAGCTTCTCTATAATACAAAACATGTATTTTTAACACTGTACTCCTAGGTTTCAGGAACTTGAGTTTCATGGTAGACAAGAAGAATTGTACTAAATCCCCCTTCAAGGATCGATGAAGCATCTGTAAACAGAGATTTATTAAGCCTCTAAGAGAATTAAGAACAAATCAGAAGCTAAGGTGTGGAGATGCCAGAGGAAAAAAACTACAGTATTATTTGGAAAGACTAAAGGGCATCTAGAAAACTATCATTCAATATCAACTCAACCTCTTTAAATTGTGTTTGCAAGTCAAAGTTTATATTTTCACAGCATATGCATTGGTAAGAGTCTCAAATAGGAAAATTGGGTGAATCATTTTCTTTGAGCAAAACCTCTACCTCATCAAGGGAATGAGTTTTATGCCACCAAGTTTATTCTTTTTATTCTCTCTAAGTTTTAAGTATAAAATCAGTTTTCAGTGATGTGCTCAGGCTATGCAGCTTTTAAGAATGTTTTTTTTTTTTCCAAGGGGTCATCTCATTTGGGGCATAACTGCAGACTTTACTTCAGTATAATTTCATTCCTTCTTGTTTTACAAAGCCACAGGTTAAATTCAACATGACAGTGTGAGTGATATGCTTGCTAAATTTGCACTAACATATGCAAATTTAGGGAGGAATTATTTATCAGGGAGTAATATGTTTAAATTTTTTAATAAAGGAAGGCCTAATAAGCATAAAGAAGAGCTGTGTATGAAATGGGTGACAGATTGGATCATTTGCTAAAGGAAATCACCTCATCTAGAAATTCTAGTGCCCCAGAAAATACTATGCATGTAGAACTTACCTTCTTGATTTTGATAGTAGGAACACAGTACAGTGAAGACCTCTTTGGCCTTCCAGTCAAATTTCTGTATTGTGATTAAAGAGGAGGAGGCATCCAACCCAAATGCGTAGGATTGTTGCCCTTTTACTCTACCTCCCTAATTCAAATTGAACATGTCTGTCATTGGCAAAAGTCAGAAAGACTTTCCCAAGGGACCAATGGGCTCTGTGTTTGATCTAAGCTGGTTGCCCCTGTCTGTAAGGAAGGTTTACCAAGTTAATGCTTATCTACTGCTCAAACATCTTTTTGTATTTCCTTTTCTGAAGATTCAGATCCACTGTTTTACTCTTTCTTGGTCCCTGAATAGGAAGATAATTTTCTAAGAGGGCTAAGTCACTCCAGCAAAACCATTTGGTTTGAAGCTGATGATTATAAGCTTATGCTTCCTAGCACCTTATAGTTTGTAAAGAGCTTCTACACGTATCAGTTTGCATTGGAGAGTAAAAAACAGTTCTCTGTCTCTCTCTTTCTCTTTCTCTCTCTCTCCATATATATTATATATATATGATCATATACATTATATATGTTATACATTCATATACATAATATATGATATACATTATATATGTTATATATTCATATACATAATATATGATATATATTATATGTATTCATGCACATAATATGCAATATGCATTATATGTATTCATATCCATAATATATGATACACATCATATATTCATATCCATAATATATGATACACATCATATGTTCATATCCATAATATATGATACACATCATATGTTCATATCCATAATATATGATACACATCATATGTTCATATCCATAATATATGATACACATCATATGTTCATATCCATAATATATGATACACATCATATGTTCATATCCATAATATATGATACACATCATATGTTCATATCCATAATATATGATACACATCATATGTTCATATCCATAATATATGATACACATCATATGTTCATATCCATAATATATGATACACATCATATGTTCATATCCATAATATATGATACACATCATATGTTCATATCCATAATATATGATATATATCATATGTTCATATCCATAATATATGAATATATTATATATATTCTTCCCTTCAGACCATTGTGTCTATTCATTTTTATTGTGAATAAAGATTGAAGTGTTTCCTTTTTATTTATTTTATTTTATAATTTGTAATTTTTAAATTTTTAATGGGTTTTTGAAGAACAGGTGGTGCTTGGTTGCATGAATAAGTTCTTTAGTGGTGATTTGTAAGATTTTGGTGCCCCCATCACCTGAGCAGTGTACACTGTATCCAATGTGTAGTCTTTTATCCCTCACTCCCCTTTCTCCCAAGTCCCCTAAGTTCAATGTCTCATTCTTATGCCTTTGTGTCCTCATAAGCTTAGCTCCCACTTATGAGTGAAAGCATACAATGATTGGTTTTCCATTTCTGAGTTATGAAGTGTTTCCTTTCTTTTGATGATACTTAGTCATGATTTTGTCTGGTTTGTTTTTATTCTGGTTTCTCTATTTACTTCACATGGCAGTAGACAGGTCTTCAGTTTTAAAGTAAAAAAGTGGGAGAACATGGGCCAGTTTATTTCTATATATATAATTATGTGTTTTATATGTATTGTTTGTACTGAATTATCTCTTGGTGTAGCATCTCTCCGAGCCTGTGGAGGTCACTGATTCCTCTGGATAGTTCTATCACCTGAGGCTTGAACCAGGCAAAATGATGTCTATTCTTTTTCCTATTTTTCTTTTTTTTTTTTGATGTATTGATGAATTAATGCAAATTCAAATTGTTGATTTTCTAATGTGAACTTTTCATTATGGTTTTTTTAATTTTATTTTTATTATAATTTAAGTTTTAGGGTACATGTGCACAACGTGCAGGTTTGTTACATATATATACATGTGCCATGTTGGTGTGCTGCACCCATTAACTCATCATTTAGCATTAGGTATATCTCCTAATGCTATCCCTCCCCCCTCCCCCCACCCCACAACAGGCCCCAGTGTGTGATGTTCCCCGTCCTGTGTCTGTGTGTTCTTATTGTTCAATTCCCACCTATGAGTGAGAACATGTGGTGTTTGGTTTTTTGTCCTTTCGATAGTTTGCTGAGAATGTTGGTTTCCAGCTTCATCCATGTCCCTACAAAGGACAGGAACTCATCATTTTTTATGGCTGCATAGTATTCCATGGTGCATATGTGCCACATTTTCTTAATCCAGTCTATCATTGTTGGACATTTGGGTTGGTTCCAAGTCTTTGCTATTGCGAATAGTGCTGCAATAAACATAAGTGTGCATGTGTCTTTATAGCGGCATGATTTATAATCCTTTGGGTATATACCAAGTAATGGGATGGCTGAGTCAAATGGTATTTCTAGTTCTAGATCCCTGAGGAATCACCACACCGACTTCCACAATGGTTGAACTAGTTTACAGTCCCACCAACAGTGTAAAAGTGTTCCTATTTCTCTACATCCTCTCCAGCACCTGTTGTTTCCTGACTTTTTAATGATCGCCATTCTAACTGGTGTGAGATGATATCTCATGTGATTTTGATTTGCATTTCTCTGATGGCCAGTGATGATGAGCATTTTTTCATTTGTCTTTTGGCTGCATAAATGTCTTCTTTTGAGAAGTGTCTGTTCATATCCTTTGCGCACTTGTTGATGGGGTTGTTTGTTTTTTTCTTGTAAATTTGTTTGAGTTCTTTGTAGATTCTGGATATTAGCCCTTTGACAGATGAGTAGGTTGCAAAAATTTTCTCCCATTCTGTAGGTTGCCTGTTCACTCTGATGGTAGTTTCTTTTGCTGTGCAGAAGCTCTTTAGTTTAATTAGATCCCATTTGTCAATTTTGGCTTTTGTTGCCACTGCTTTTGGTGTTTTAGACATGAAGTCCTCGCCCATGCCTATGTCCTGAATAGTATTGCCTAGGTTTTCTTCTAGGGTTTTTATGGTTTTAGGTCTAACATGTAAGTCTTTAATCCATCTTGAATTGATTTTTGTATAAGGTGTAAGGAAGGGATCCGGTTGCAGCTTTCTACATATGGCTAGCCAGTTTTCCCAGCACCATTTATTAAGTAGGGAATGTTTTCCCCATATCTTCTTTTTGTTAGGCTTGTCAAAGATCAGATAGTTGTAGATATGTGGTATTATTTCTGAAGCCTCTGTTCTGTTCCTTTGGTCTATATCTCTGTTTTGGTACCAGTACCATGCTGTTTTGGTTACTGTAGCCTTGTAGTACAGTTTGAAGTCAGGTAGCGTGATGCCTCCAGCTTTGTTCTTTTGGCTTAGGATTGACTTGGCAATGTGGGCTCTTTTTTGGTTCTGTATGAACTTCAAAGTAGTTTTTTCCAATTCTGTGAAGAAAGTCATTGGTAGTTTGACGGGGATGGCATTGAATCTATAAACTACCTTGGGCAGTATGGCCATTTTCACGATATTGATTCTTCCTACCCATGAGCATGGAATGTTCTTCCATTTGTTTGTATCCTCGTTTAATTCCTTGAGCAGTGGTTTGTAGTTCTCCTTGAAGAGGTCCTTCACATCCCTTGTAAGTTGGATTCCTAGGTATTTTATTCTATTTGAAGCAATTGTGAATGGGAGTTCACTCATGATTTGGCTCTCTGTTTGTCTGTCATTGGTGTATAGGAATCCTTGTGATTTTTGCACATTGATTTTGTATCCTGAGACTTTGCTGAAGTTGTCTATCAGCTTAAGGAGATTTTGGGTTGAGACGATGGGGTTTTCTAGATATACAATCATGTCATCTGCAAACAGGGACAATTTCACTTCCTCTTTTCCTAATTGAATACCTTTATTTCCTTCTCCTGCCTGATTGCCCTGGCCAGAACTTCCAACACTATGTTGAATAGGAGTGGTGAGAGAGGGCATCCTTGTCTTGTGCCAGTTTTCAAAGGGAATGCTTCCAGTTTTTGCCCATTCAGTATGATATTGGCTGTGGGTTTGTCCTAGATAGCTCTTATTATTTTGAGATACATCCCATCAATACCTAATTTATTGAGAGTTTTTAGCATGAAGGGTTGTTG
The DNA here is from genome assembly GCF_000001405.40 of Homo sapiens. Classification (NCBI taxonomy): domain Eukaryota; kingdom Metazoa; phylum Chordata; class Mammalia; order Primates; family Hominidae; genus Homo; species Homo sapiens. Next base: position 52,537,166 of record NC_000005.10, on the reverse strand, counting down.
AATTTTGTCAAAGGCTTTTTCTGCATCTATTGAGATAAACATGTGGTTTTTTCGTAGGTTCTGTTTATATGCTGGATTACGCTTATTGATTTTTGTATGTTGAACCAGCCTTGCATCCCAGGGATGAAGCCCACTTGATCATGGTGGATAAGCTTTTTGATGTGCTGCTGGATTCGGTTTGCCAGTATTTTATTGAGGATTTTTGCATCAATGTTCATCAAGGATATTGGTCTAAAATTCCCTTTTTTTGTTGTATCTCTGCCAGGCTTTGGTATCAGGATGATGCTGGCCTCATAAAATGAGTTAGGGAGGATTCCCTCTTTTTCTATTGATTGGAATAGTTTCAGAGGGAATGGTACCGGCTCCTCCTTGTACCTCTGGTAGCATTTGGCTGTGAATCTGTCTGGTCCTGGACCTTTTTTGGTTGGTAAGCTATTAATTATTGCCTCAATTTCAGAGCCTGTTATTGGTCTACTCAGAGATTCAACTTCTTCCTGGTTTAGTCTTGGGAGGGTGTATGTGTCGAGAAATTTATCCATTTCTTCTAGATTTTCAAGTTTATTTGCGTAGAGGTGTTTATAGTATTATCTGATGGTACTTTGTATTTCTGTGGGATCGGTGGTGATATCTGCTTTATCATTTTTTATTACCTCATTTGATTCTCCTCTCTTTTCTTCTTTATTAGTCTTGCTAGCGGTCTATCAATTTTGTTGATCTTTTCAAAAAACCAGCTCCTGGATTCATTGATTTTTTGTAGGGTTTTTTTTGTGTCTCTATCTCCTTCTGTTTTGCTCTGATCTTAGTTATTTCTTGCCTTCTGCTAGCTTTTGAATGTGTTTGCTCTTACTTCTCTAGTTCTTTTAACTGTGATGTTAGTGTGTCAATTTTAGATCTTTCCTGCTTTCTCTTGTGGGCATTTAGTGTTATAAATTTCCTCTACACAGTGCTTTAAATGTGTCCCAGAGATTCTGGTATGTTGTGTCTTTGTTCTCGTTGGTTTTAAAGAACTTCTTTATTACTGCCTTCATTTCATTATGTACCCAGTAGTCATTCAGGAGCAGGTTGTTCAGTTTCCATGTAGTTGAGCGGTTTTGAGTGAGTTTCTTAATCCTGAGTTCTAGTTTGATTGCACTGTGGTCTGAGAGACAGTTTGTTATAATTTCTGTTCTTTTACATTTGCTGAGGAGTGCTTTACTTCCAACTATCTGGTCAATTTTTGAATAGGTGTGGTGTGGTGCCGAAAAGAGTGTATATTCTGTTGTTTTGGGGTGGAGAGTTCTGTAGATGTCTATTAGGTCCTCTTGGTGCAGAGCTGAGTTCAATTCCTGGATATCCTTGTTAACTTTCTGTCTCATTGATCTGTCTAATGTTGACAGTGGGGTGTTAAAGTCTCCCATTATTATTGTGTTGGAGTCTAAGTCTCTTTGTAGGTCTCTAAGGACTTGCTTTATGAATCTGGTGCTCCTGTATTGGGTGCATATATATTTAAGGTAGTTAGCTTTTCTTGTTGAATTGATCCCTTTACCATGATGTAATGGCCTTCTTTGTCTCTTTTGATCTTTGTTGGTTTAAAGTCTGTTTCATCCGAGACTAGGAGTGCAAGCCCTGCCTTTTTTTGTTTTCCATTTGCTTGATAGATCTTCCTCCATCCCTTTATTTTGAGCCTATGTGTGTCTCTGCATGTGAGATGGGTTTCCTGAATACAGCACACTGATGGGTCTTGACTCTTTATCCAATTTGCCAGTCTTTGTCTTTTAATTGGAGCATTAGCCCATTTACATTTAAGGTTAGTATTGTTATGTGTGAATTTGATCCTGTCATTATGATGTTAGCTGGTTATTTTGCTCATTAGTTGATGCAGTTTCTTCCTGGCTTCGATGGTCTTTACATTTGGCATGTTTTTGCAGTGGCTGGTACCGGTTGTTCCTTTCCATGTTTAGTGCTTCTTTCAGGAGCTCTTTTAGGGCAGGCCTGGTGGTGACAAAATCTCTCAGCATTGGCTTGTCTGTGAAGTATTTTATTTCTCCTTCACTTATGAAGCTTATTTTGGCTGGATATGAAATTCTGGGTTGAAAATTCTTTTCTTTAAGAATGTTGAATATTGGCCCCCACTCTCTTCTGGCTTGTAGGGTTTCTGCCGAGAGATCCACTGTTAGTCTGATGGGCTTCCCTTTGTGGGTAACCCGACCTTTCTCTCTGGCTGCCCTTAACATTTTTTCCTTCATCTCAACTTTGGTGAATCTGACAATTATGTGTCTTTGAGTTGCTCTTCTCAAGGAGTATCTTTGTGGCATTCTCTGTATTTCCTGAATTTGAATGTTGGCCTGCCTTGCTAGATTGGGGAAGTTCTCCTGGATAATATCCTGCAGAGTGTTTTCCAACTTGGTTCCATTCTCCCCGTTGCTTTCAGGTACACCAATTAGACGTAGATTTTGTCTTTTCACATAGTCCTGTATTACTTGGAGGCTTTGTTCATTTCTTTTTATTCTTTTTTCTCTACACTTCTCTTTGGGCTTCATTTCATTCATTTCGTTTTCCATCGTGGATACCCTTTCTTCCAGTTGATCGCATTGGTTAATGAGGCTTGTGCATTCATCACGTAGTTCTCGTGCCATGGTTTTCAGCTCCATCAGGTCTTTTAAGGACTTCTCTGCATTTGTTATTCTAGTTATCCATTCATCTAATCTTTTTCAAGGTTTTTAACTTCTTTGACATGGATTCAAACTTCCTCCTTTAGTTTGGAGAAGTTTGATCGTCTGAAGCCTTCTTCTCTCAAGTAATCAAAGTCATTCTCCATCCAGCTTTCTTCCATTGCTGGTGAGGAGCTGCATTCCTTTGGAGCAGAAGAGGTGCTCTGGTTTTTAAAATTTTCAGTTTTTCTTGTTTGTTTTTTCCCCCTCTTTGCGGTTTTATCTACCTTTGGTCTTTGATGATGGTGACGTACAGATGGGGTTTTGGTGTGGATGTCCTTTCTGTTTGTTGGTTTTCCTTCTAAAAGTCAGGACCCTCAGCTGCAGGTCTGTTGGAGTTTGCTGGAGGTCCACTCCAGACCCTATTTGCCTGGGTATCAGCAGCGGAGGCTGCAGAACAGCGGATATTGGTGAAGAGTAAATGTTGCTGCTCGATTGCTCCTCTGGAAGTTTTGTCTCAGAGGAGTATCTGGCTGTGTGAGATTTCAGTCTGCCCCTACTGGGGGGTGCCTCTGAGTTAGGCTACTCATGGGTCAGGGACCCACTTGAGGAGGCAGTCTGTCCATTCTCAGATCTCAAGCTGCATGCTGGGAAAGCAACTACTTTCTTCAAAGCTGAGTTGGAAATGCAGGAATCATTCATCTTCTGCATTGTTCATGCTGGGAGCTGTAGACTGGAGCTGTTCCCAATTGGCCATCTTGTCTAGACCTCCATTATGGTTTTGCATTTGCATTAGAAAGCCACAAAATCAACATTTTTAAACAGGCTTCCAATAATGGTGATTGTCATAATGAAAGTTTCATTTGAGGTCGAGGTTGTTTGACTAATTTGATACTTGCTTAGAATACTTGCCTATTTATTCTGTATTCTGTAATTTTTGTAAGAACCAGTTATATAATTTCATCTTAAAAATACAATTGCTTTTTAGGGGCCAACATCTTTGTTCAATAAAATAAAGGCATTGTGGCAGATTTTTCCTTTATCTCAGATATTAATATTAATTCAGTTAAACCAGAAAACCTACAATGTATTTCATTCATGAAATAAAATGTGCTGCTTTTATAGTGCTCTCACAAGATTTTTAAATGTCAGTAACTCAAAAATAAGGGTAGTTTGCTCTGTCTGATACTATGATTACAGTATAAGCACAGTGTTTCAGCATTTCAGCACCTTGTAATACTCTGATAGAATATTTTGAGGGAAAGTCCTTTTTTTTTTTTTTTTTTTTTGGTGACGGAGTATCGCTCTGTCACCCAGGCTGGAGTGCAGTGGCATGATCTTGGCTCACTGCAAGCTCTGCCTCCTGGGTCCATGCCATTCTCCTGCCTCAGTCTCCTGAGTTGCTGGGACTACAGGCACCTGCCACCATGCCCAGCTAATTTTTTTTTTTTTTTTTGTATTTTTAGTAGTGACGGAGTTTCACTGTGTTAGCCATGATGGTCTCAATCTCTTGACCTCGTGATCTGCCCACCTCGGCCTCCCAAAGTGCTGGAATTACAGGCATGAGATACTGTGCCCAGCTGGGAAACTCTTTTTAAATGCAGCTATTTCTTCTACTAAGTCTGTGAGCTTCTTGAGGGTAAAGATGTTGTCTTATTTACTTGTTATTCCTTTGAGTCCTTTATTAGTAACAATTGTGGTCTAGGAATAGCAATGATTATAAGTAATAAGAAGTAAGTAAGCTTAATTTGGAAAAAAAAATAAGCAAATTTTTCTTTTTAAAACCACTCCACTGTAAGATTATTTGGATAACTTTTTCTCTACATGTGTTTGTGACGTTTTATTCTTCCTTTCTCCAGTTACAAGATAGTGGACTTGAACACAAGTAAATAAATTAATGGGATGCTACAATTCTAACTTAAAGTGCTTAGGTTCTGGTTGGTCTTCTGAGAAGTTCATTATCCACAGAAGGTGACTAATATGGTTTGACTGTGTCCCCACCCGAATCTCATCTTGAATTGTAGCTCCCGTAATTCCCACATGTTGTAGGAGGGACTCCATGGGAGACAATTGAATCAGGGGGGCAGTTTCTCCCTTACTGTTCTCTTGAATAAGTCTCACACGATCTGATGGCTTTATAAGGGGAAACTCCTTTCACTTGGCTGTCATTATCTGCTTCTCTGCCACTGTGTAAGATGTACCTTTTGCTTTTTACCATGATTGTGAGGCCCCCAACAACCACATGGAACTGTGAGTCCATTAAATCTGTTTTCTTTATAAATTACCCAGTCTCAGGTATGTCTTTATCAGCAGCATGAAAACTGACTAACAAGTAAATTGGTACTGGGAGAGTGGGGTGCTTCTATAAAGATACCCAGGCATGTGGAAACAACGTTTGAACTGGGTAACAGGCAGAGGTTGGAAGAGTTTGGAGGGCTCAGAAGAAGACAGGAAAATGTGGGAAAGTTTGGAGCTTCCTAGAGACTTATTGAATGGCTTTGACCAAAATGCTGATAATGATATGGACAATGAAATCAAGGCTGAGGTTGTCTCAGATGTAGATGAAGAACTTTTGGGAACTGGAGTAAAGGTGACTCATGCCATGTTTTAGCAAAGAGACTGGCAGCACTTTGCTCCTGCCCTAGAGATTTGTGGAACTTTGAACTTGAGAGAGATGAATTAGGCCATCTGGAAAAAGAAATTTCCAAGCAGCAAAGTGTTCAAGAGGTGACTTGGGTGCTGCCAAAAGCATTCAGTTTTAAAAGGGATATAGCATAAAAGTTCAGAAAACTTGCAGCCTGATGATGTCATAGAAAAGAAGAACCCATTTTCTGAGGAGAAATTCAAGCTGGCTGCAGAAATTTGCATAAGTAACAAGGAGCCAAGTGTTAATCACCAAGATAATGGGGGAAATGTCTCCAGGGCATATCAGAGACCTTTGTGGCAGCTTCTCCCATCACAGACCCAGAGGCCTCAGAAGAAAAAGTGTTTTTGTGGCTGAGGCCCAGGGCCCTCCTGCTGTGTGCAGCCTACCAGCCACTCCAGTCACGGCTAAAAGGGGCCAATAGAACCCAGACTGTGGCATCAGAGAGTGCAAACCCCAAGCCTTGGCAGCTTCCACGTGGCATTGAGACTTCAGTTGAACAGAAGTCAAGAACTGAGGTTTGGGAACCCCTGCCTAGATTTCAGAGGATGTATGGAAACCCCTGGATGTCCAGGCAGAAGTTTGCTGCAGAGATGCAGCCCTCATGGAGACCTTCTACTAGGGCAGTCCAGAAGAGAAATGTGGGGCTGAAGCCCGCACACAGAGTCTCCACTGGGGCACTGCCTGGTGGAACCATGAGAAGAGAGTCACTATCCTCCAGGCCCCAGAATGGTAGATACACTGACTGCTTACACCGTGTATCTGGAAAAGCCTCAGACACTCAACACCAGCCCATAAAAGCAGCATGAAAATGGACTAATACAGTGACACTTCCTGTAATTCTGATTTCATAAATTACATAGGCAGCATTGGAACATTTATTACCTATCTGTATTTTTTCCTTTATAATTTGACTCATAACCATTACTTTACATATACTCGGCTGGGGGTGCAGGCTGGGCGGAGGAAAGAGAACATGCTCTTAATTCAGTTACAAGTCGGTTTTGGAAGTAAAGTGAAATGACCTCCAGATTAGATGAGTTTTAGAACACAAAATTGAGTCATGAATATTTGTTTGTCAAAGAGCATTGACTTCTTTGTAAGATATAGTTCAGGGTGTAATTCAACCAGAGAGTATTTGGGCTGCATATTTGTAACCTTAAGTGGATTCTTCAGTTAGTATATAATCTTTTAAGGAAAATTTGGAAGATCTCCTACATTTAGTCACCAACAATGGGATTGAACTACACCCAATCAAACCCCATTATTACACCTGATCAAAAAATATTTCAATATGAAGTGAGAATCCTGTTGAGAAAAGACAAGACAGGTAGGGTTTGCATGTTTAATATCTACTAATCTACATTGCACATAGTCAGATTAAGACACACAAGGTTATGTAGAATTTTAAAGTTTAAAAAACACATCCAGGATATATTTATTGCCATCCTTCTGTCTGAAGGAAATAATACTTTTTTATTATAAAGAAGGCAGAACATAATTCCTCAGAATACCTTATGATAATCCAAGACAGTATGAAACACTCTGATCTTTAAGGGGGGCACTTGTGTAATCAGAGTATATGTATTTATTTTGGTTTGTATGAAAAACATAGATATTTTGAGGTCTTTTTACATAGTTACTTTTGTTCTGTAAATGGCACCCTGAAATATGGTGGAGAATTTCCAAATTTTAGTTTTCTTGTCAAAAGTGACACTGTGTTTATACAATAGTCAGAGTACCATACAGAGCAAAGAGCAAACTACTTCTATTTTTGAATAACTGATATTAAAAAACCTCAGGAAATCTTTATACAAGAAATGAATTTTATTTCATCAATCAAAGATATTTTAGTTTTTCTGGTTTAGCTGATAAGATTAACATGTGAGATAGTGGAAAAACCTACCTCAATGCCTTTATTTCATTAAACAAGAGTTGACAACATAGAATCTATCCTACAATTAGAAGAGACCGCCTTTGGTTTCAGTGACATAATATTGGATTTCAGTGTCATTATTTTCCCAGCTTTTATGTACTAGTTAAGCCAAGCAAAATTGCTACTGGAAGTTAGGCTTATTTTGACAGTGAATATGCACTAGATTGAAACAAAGCCTTTATCTTTCAATCCGCAATAAGGGATCAGACAAGCAATAGGGGTTGTTGTATTTCTTATATAATGATGTCTTCAGTGCATAAAAGTTTCGTATTTCATTTACTAATATTACCCATTGGCACTCATTTACTTTAAAAATGACCCACATTTTACTTTTGGAAGAAAATTTTCAAATATATCTGTGGTATCTAGACATAAGTAGCTGACTTAAATAATTATTATTGACCTTTTTGAGTAGCTATGACTTTAGTAAGCTTATGGATTCAGTTCATTATTTATTATTATTTTTAGTAAAGTTCAACGCAACCTAAAAGACAGACACAGTGAATGTGGGTATCCTGTTTAGCCAAGGGCTGGGCTGACAGTGGGTATATGAGAGAAAGCTGTGCTGGGAATGGTTTGTACTCCCAGAGTTTGTTGTAGCAAAGGAAACATGAGATTTTCTGTGGACCATAATTAGGATATAAGGAAAAAGACAGGTACTTGAGCTCTGGAAGAGTTATAGGTCCCAAACAGGGAGTGGCTTGTGGGCTAGACCTTTAAAATCAGGGGCTGAGGGGGAAACTAAATAGCTTTCTAAAGAAGAAATCTCCAGTTAAGAGCTCTTTGTTAATGAGTGGGCTCCTGAAGAATGAATAATGTCCTCTATGCAAAGAAGATCCAGTGCTGGATGCCCAGGCAGCCACAGTGCCTAGAACCCAGTGGCACTGTCAACTGAGACTTTTCTTGTTCTTACCTCTCCTTTCCCAGTGACAATTCCTTTGGTACAAAGCGGTGGTCTAGGTAGAGGGAAAAATGGTACCTAGATACAGGACAAGGTAGAATAGACAAGAATCTAATCACACTCCCTTTTTCATGACAGGATTTGAATCAAGAGCCATGATTTCATGTTATAGAAAACTGTACATTCTTCAATTAATGAAAATGAAGAGCTTATTGACTAAATATTATTGAAGAAATTCATTATCTGTGAGAACACGAAAAATTTGCGACCTATCCCAAATTTCAAGCAAGCAGTGGAGGAGAACTAACTTGACAGCATGTTGAAACATGCAATGGAGAAAAAGTGTAAGGTCAATGGAGACTGCTATTTTTTGGTGGAGCAATTACATTTACAGAGCATTTTGCAATGTACAAAACTTTACATGAAAATTTACAATTTGTATTCTTTTGAGTTTCTTATAGTCACTAGAAAGGTAAATAAGTCAGGGTTTGCCCAATGTCCCATCAACTCTAAATAGTAAAGGGAAGAGGAGTTCAGATGTCTGGCTCCTAGGCAATCTCTCCAATCTCTCTTCATTTCAGTTAGCTGCTTCTTCTGACTACCTGTCTTAATTTTCTCCATGCTGTTATTCTTTCACGATATGCTTACCACATTTGATCTAACACTTAGTATGGTGTGTGGTACATAACAGGAGCTCAATGAATACGTACGTGTTGAATGAATAACTGGATGAATGAATAAATAAATGAGTAGATAAGTGAGTGTGTTCATTCGTGTTCAAGACACTGGAGTCTGAGTTGGTGGTTACATTTAGCACCTTTAGCAGGGTTGCTCTAACATACCTGATACATACTTTCTTTCAGAAGATGGCAATTTGGATCATTTTGCCTCTTTTATTCTATGATTTGACAAGCATTGAGTTTTTTGAGTACTATTTTTTGCTTTGTTTGAGGATGTTTATTTCATTTTGAGAAGCTAATATCTTGTAAGGATGGTACACTGGGAATTACAAAGTGATCTGCAGTTTTATTTTCCTTATATTTGAGTTTAAGAAATCTCCTAAATAGGAAAATTGAAAAGAAACTCTTATAGTTTTACATGATACATGAACCAGACCCCTCTATTTCATAAGCTACTCTTATACATGCTATCTTCATAATTAGTTTCTTTATTATCAGACATTAAGAAAAGTTTGGAAGGCTCAAAAATCTTCCCTGATATTTTTCATTTTCTACAACAGTAGGCTCACAGTGATCTAGGTGATGACATTTATGAATCCTGTATGTAGTTTTCAACTTCCCTAAGAAATATTTACATTTTTTCCAACTTAGTTTATTCACTTGTCCTGCTCAATGTGTTGGTATAAATATGGATTTAATTCTCATTATATTTTCACTTTGGGCTTGTCATTCTGTGCTGAATTGGAATTTTCAATCTTAATGCCATACATGAATATTTACATGGATTGTTGGATTGCAAAAAGGAGCTGGAAAAGAAACTATCATCAGAGCAAACCGACAACCTACAATGGGAGAAAATTTTTGCAACCTATCCAATTAACAAAGGTCTAATATCGAGAGTCTACATCTATGAGGAAGTTAAACAAGCTATAGGAAAAACAACCCCATTAAAAAGTGGACAAAGGACATGAATAGACACTTCTCAAAAGAAGACATTTATGTGGCCAACAAACATGATAAAAAGCTTAACATCACTGATCATTAGGGAAATGCAAATGAAAACCACAATGAGATACTATCTCACACCAGTCAGAATGGCCATTATTAAAAAGCCAAAAAACAACAGATGCTGGCAAGGCTGTGGAGAAATAGAAACACTTTTACACTGTTAGTGGACATGTAAATTAGTTCAACCATTGTGGAAGACAGTGTGGTGATTCCTAAAAGACCTAGAACCAGAAATACTTTTTGACCGAGTAATCTCATTACAGGGTATATATCCAAAGGGCTATAAATCCCTCTATTATTATTATTATTATTTGAGATGGAGTCTCACTCTGTCTCCAGGCCGGAGTGCAGTGGCGTGATATCAGCTCACTGCAACCTCCACCTCCCAGGATTAAGCAATTATCTTGCCTCAGCTTCCTGAGTAGTTGGGACTACAGGCGCACACCACCACGCCCAGCTAATTTTTTTTTTTTTTTGTATTTTTGGTAGAGACGGGGTTTCATCATGTTGGCCAGGATGGTCTTGATCTCTTGACATCATGGTCTGCCCACCTCGACCTCCTAAAGTGCTGGGATTACAGATAAGAGCCACTGAACTTGGCCATAAATCATTCTATTATAAAGATACATGCACACATATGTTCACTGCAGCACTCTTCACAATAGCAATGACATGGAATCAATCCAAATGCCCATCAGTGAAAGACTGGATAAAGAAAATGTGGTACGTATATACCATAGAATAGTATGCAGCCATAAAAAGGAATAAGGTCATGACCTTTGCAGGAACAGATCGAACTGGAAGTCATTATCCTCAGCAAACTAACACAGGAACAGAAAACCAAATACTGCATGTTCTCACATCTAAGTGGGAGCTGAACAATGAGAACACATGGACACAGGGAAGGGAACAAAACACACTGAGGCCTGTCAGTAGTGGGGAGTAGAGAGGGAGAGGATCAGGAAAAATAGCTAATTCACACTGGGCTTAATACTTAGGTGATGGGTTGATAGATGAAGCGAACCACCATGGCACATGTTTACCTATGTAACAAAGCTGCACATCCTGCACATGTACCCTGGAACTTAAAATAAAATAAAAATAAAAGAATAAAGGAGCTGGGTTGTTGGATTAAAAGAGTTGTTGGATTCAAAAGAAGACAGGCAGGACTGTATGCACATGGTAAATGCTGCTAGGGAAACAATTCCTTAGTAAACATTTTTAATTGTGGTTGAACATGAATCAAGGTAGTTTTCACAAAGAAATAGTACCACTAGAATGAATGTATAGTATTTTTTAATATAAATGCAGAATGATACCGTGTGGACTATGCACTTCAGCAATAACTTTTAGTAATTGCAATCATATCAATTCTGCAGTTAAAGGGATTGCTTATGTGTCCATTTTCATATATACTAAAGGGTGCATTCGATCAGTGACTTTTCACACAATAACTAGATGACCCTTATCTTGTAGTCATTATTTAAATAATTAATGAGTTTATATACTTAACAAGTAAGCATTGATTCATTGTGGTATAGGAGAAAAAGAATGTAGACAGATTTAGTTTTAATTCTTTTTAAACTACAAAATTTGGAGCGAATTACTATCAGTAAGCATCAGTCTCCTAATGATAATAATATTTATGCTGTATGTGTAAAATATTAGGTTAAAAATGATTACATCGGGTAATTCAAATTTACTATGCCCATAGTAGAACTGATTATCTCTGAGGGATGCTTGAGAAAATCAGAGGTGAATTTTTTAAACAATAAGGTAGAAATTTTAGGATACAAAGAAATCTAGAGACCAGCGAAAAATATTTATTCTACTCCTATTTTTTTATTCTATGCTCAAAACAATATTATACAACACCGAGGTGTTAACTCACTGGTTTTATCCTTCTTGTTATACATTCTTAAGGATAGTAATTCTTTCTGGAATTTAAAGAGACTTGACTTCCCATTTTTGAGTATGGGCATATTATAGAGTTTTCCCCATCACCAGTTCATTTTGAAGACCCTGCAGAGGACTTTTTACCAGTTGACCACTTCCCGTAGGGCAGAAGTGACTGACCTTCAGGCCAGTTTAATGGGCTATTCTTTCACTGTTCTGAAGTTGTTTTTGAAAAGTATTTTCTTACAGGTAATTTCCTTTGGTAGCAAGGTGAATTTCAAGGAAGGGACACAGAGATTTGGGTTGAGAAGAATTTACAACCATAATTTGATATTTCTACATTTTAAATTCCCCAAGAACAGGAAACATGATTAAAATATGATGAGAATTAAGGAGCATTTCACAGTACAGGGAGTCAGCCAGATTATCATCTTTCCCCCAAGTATTTTTATACTCAAAGTTTTTTGGTGTAATTATTTTTTTATAATCCCTCAGACTAAAAACTTCAGGGCTATCCTCAACTTTTTGAGACCCTACATCTACATCTAATTGGTTGCCAACTTATGCTACTTTAAATCCCTGTACTACCATTTATTGGTTATATGAAAGACAAAAATCACTACCTTCGGGTCATGCATGTAATAAAATGTGACAGTGAAATCATCCTCAGAAAGTGGTATAAATGGCATGGGTCTATAATCTTATAAATGTGCAAAGATTTTAGAAATCTTACTTCAGCCACATGAACTCTGTTTTAAAAATATTCTACATAGGTATCAGCTTGTGGTCTCCACAGAAAAATGGGGGTAAAGCTTGTGTTCAATGCTTTATAGAGAATAAAGGGAAGTGAAGTAGAATAGGAGAAAAAGCAAATAAAAGATGGTGCTTGCAAACTGGCTAGCATCCTGACATAAGAAAGACTTGCTCCTAGGTCGCAGGTTATGTCTTTACAGAGTGTTTGTGGGATCCTTGAAACCTTGAATAGTTTATCTTCTTGTATTTTGTCTCTCATTGAGCAATGTTAACTCTCCTGTATCTGAAGATTATGTTGCCCAGCCCTCTCAACCACTCCCAGGCAGCTGCAATGAAGCTCAGAACAGGACTTGCCAGGCACTGGAATTGCTACAATTCCCACTAAGGTGGGTGAGAAGGAGGCTGTGACAAAGTATGGCTCTTGACCACAGCTAATAGTATTAGGATATGAAGCAATACAGGGAAAGACCGGGGTTCCTCAGTGCCAAGTGAATTAGGAGGGGCGTGAACTGTGTTTGCTACAACATCAATTCAGGATTATATTATTTTTGACATGTTTGTGATCCAGTAAACTGAATTTTGCCAACACAACAGTCTGTATCATCATTGCTCATTAAATGCCAGAGAAGCAGGAAGAGAAACAATTAGGGATGTTGATTTCTAAGTATAACAAATGAAATAATGATGTTAGAGGAAGACAAAGGAAATGGAAATCAGGTGAGTAGTTCACTATTTGCTGTGCAGTATGGAAACACTTTCTGAATGCTAGTTACCGGTTTTCACAGCAGAATGCATTTAAGCAGAAGATAAACATTAACATGATACTTCACCACATTTAAAGACATCATTGTTGGGCTGGGTGCAGTGTCTCACACCTGTAATCGCAGCACTTTGGGAGGCCAAAGTGAGCAGACTGCTTGAACTCAGCAGTTCAAAACTTGGGCAACATGGTGAAACCCGGTCTCTACTAAAAATACAAAAATTAGCTCTGCCTGGTGGCATGCGTCTGTAGTCCCAGCTACTCAGGAGGCTGAGGTGGGAGGATTGCTTGAACCAGGGAGGCAGAGGTTGCAGTGAGCCAAGATCATGACACTGGACTCCAGCCTGGGAAAGAGGGTGAGATCCTGTCTCAAAAAAAAAAAAAAAAAAAAAAAAGACATCATTAGGACAATGAAAATGTTTAAATATTAATAAAATTCTCTGCAAAAATGTTGTCAAAATCTTCATAAGGAAGATAATCTGGAAGCTCAATAAAGAGAACTTCAGTGATTCAATGCTTTCCTCCATTTTGATCAACCCAGTGAAAATCAGGATGTATTATTTTATGTTTTTAATGCTGTTCTATGCCATTTAATAGCAGAAACTTAAGTTTGGAACCACCTGCTGGATGTTTGAAACTAATGTTTTTCACTACAGTTAATAAAAAAATATTCAGGGGACTTAGTAACTCAGCTCATAAAATAACAAAAAATCAATTTTAGAATAAGTATAAAATGAAACCATTGTTTTCTGGGATGGACTATTGTGCAGAATCATTGCGAATTTTGTTCATAAATATTAATTGGTCTGTCACTGTATATATATATATGTATACATACATCATTTCCTCATTTGCATGTATATATGCAAAGACAAGGTGAATTAATACAGAGTAGCTGCTTAGTTTTTAAAATATTGTACAAATGGAAAACTAAAAACCATTCAAACTAGATCAATTGCATGCAAGATATAAAATAATCTACATTTATTTGAAAGCTACTATGTATAAAATAATGAAGTAGGCTTCAAACCCAAAAAGAAAGTCATAAATTAGTATGGCTTTCATTAAAATACTTAAGGAAATTTTTAAAAAACATGAAGTAGACTTGTCTAAATTGGAAAGAGGATTCTAATATCTAACATATATATGTGTTGAATGCCACTAAATTTAAGAACATTTTTGGAAAGAATGTGGCATATTTTATATAGAATAATATCGCATATTTTTATATAAAGAGAAAGAGTACTCATTTTAGTATTTAAAGCTACATTTATAAACACATTATTCACCTATTGCTAGCAATAGTAACAGGGATATATTTCTGGTATTGTGTTTAGTAGTACACCAGTACAATTTTCCACACGGTTTTGTGGTGTAGGTCTTCCTTTGTGAACTATACTTGTTAAGAGTGTCATTGGAGAGTGCAAACGAACCTTCCAAAATCACAAATATATGGGACAAGGTCAACATACATTTTTGTTGAGATTATATCAATTCACATTCATGAATAGGAAAAAGAATGAAATGGTGAAATGAAGTTACAATTAGAGGAGCTAAACTTGGTCAGGCTCCTACGCAGAACTTGTCTTCCCAGTCAACCTTGGTTACTAAACAAATTTCCTCATATTTCTGAAAATTTCTCACCTCACATCATTGTCTACTCTGAAATTCCACTTGTTTTTTGTTCATTCAAACTGTATTTATTGAATGCCTAACGTATGTCAGGCACTCTACTAAGAGCTACAAAAGATAATAAAATGACTACCAAGTGCACCTCTGACCTCCAGAGATTTAACTTTCACTGGGGAGGAAGGTACATGTAATTCTTGGGTGACGTTTCAGGACAATTCCTCGTTTATATTATATAGTAGTATAAAGTAGTTTCATAGTTGCTTTCCTCATAGCTCAAAATCCTGCTATTGTTTGTGATTAATATTATGGCCTACTTTTCCATCTAAATTATAAATGTTTCCAGCTAAGGGACTAAATCAGAGATGTCAATTCATGGTTCCAACCCGCAGCCCTTTCTAAGCAGACTGGGTAGATTCTGTCCTACCCAGAGTCCCAGTCTCTAAGGCAGAGCGTTTTATATACCTCTGCATACAAATGTGTGCATTGCTTCCTGCCAAAATAGTTTCTGTATTGTCAAAGGAAAACAAAGAAATACATATTTCATTACTAGTGTAATGTGCAAGAATTCTTCCATGTTGTATTTGCACCATTTGGTGAATATCTGTTCTAATTTCACTAGTGCAGTCCAAAGTATCTCACTTGTTCTCAAGAAACCGGTTCTGAAATCTATGAAGGTTGCAGTTCAAATTGCAAGAAAATTTACGGCAGTGACAGAATAATTTGTGACAAGCTAACTAATCAAAGTGCCAATTTCTTTTCCTTTTTCTCTATTCTGATCTCATGTCCATTCACTGAGGAAATATCTGAAACACAGAATATCAGCAGTTTATTTGTTAATAATAAACAGAAACCTTTAGTACTCGATCGACCAAGACTTGATGAGGAAATTCAGACACTAACTGGAGACCCATGTTAATGAGTTATAGAGGTTGACTTGATATGTCGAGTATGTCATCTGACTTATTTTTAGTAATAGCTGAAGCTGATCAACTAGTAAACACTACATAGATATTTGCATATGTGGCAATTACTATACAAATTTAAAATTTTCAATTGTTTATTTTAAATACTTCATGTTGATGGATTACTGTTTTATAATAGATTAACATTAAAATGTCATTAATGACAACTAATTTTGTTTTTTAGACAGTATATCACTATTGTCCAGGCTGGTCTCAAACTCCTGAGCTCAAGCTATGTACCAGCTTCAGCATTTTGACTAGTCAGTGCTATAGGTGTGCACCACCGAGTTCAGCTTCAGCTAGTATTTTTGAGAGATTGTTAATTCCCAATACAATGAAAGATTTATTGATAGTGTCTCATTTACTACTCACAACACTGAAAGGACAGTACAATATTACTTTTATTTTATAGATTAGAAATCTGAGGTTTAAATAATTTAAATAAATTCCCCAATGTCACATCCTAAGTGACAAAACCAAGAAGTAGACTCAAGATATCAGTATTTAGAACATGAATTTAACTTCTTAGTTTGGAAAAAATAAATAAAACTCACAGAAAAGTTATAAAGGTAATGCAACTATCTCTCATAGATATTTCACCTAAATTCTCTAATTATTAAAATTTTGTCACACTTATTATATCATTATCTCTTTCTTCACACATGTGCACACACACACATACAGACATTAGTGGTATTTAATTTAATTGTTGAACCATTTGATAGCATGTCACCGAAATTATGTCTCTTTACTCCTAAATATTTTACTAGGTATTTTCTAAGAAAGACATTTTCTTTTCTCTTTTTTAAGTTCCAAAATCAAATTTGTATTTATTTTTTAAATTTGTGGCAAAAATATACAACATAAAATTTATCCTCAAAACAACCTTTTAAGTGCACAGTATGGTATTGTAAACTGTAAATAAAATGAACTACAAACAATCTTTAAACTCTTCCATCTTGCATGACTGAAACTGTATACCCAGCACCTCTCCTCTTCCCGGCACCCAGAAACCACCATTCTACTTTCTGTTTCTATGAGTTCAACTATTTTAGATACCCCATGTAAATGGAATCATATAGTATTTATCCATCTATCGATGACTTATTTCACTTAGCACAGTGTCCTCAGGGTTGTTCTATGTTGTAGTATGTAAAAGAATTTCCTTCTTTTTAATAGATGAGTAATATTCGTTTGTGTTTATATACCACATTTTCTTTATCCATTCATCCATCAATGAACATTTAGATTGTTCCCACCTCTTGTGTATTGAGAATAACATTGCAATGAAGATGGAAGTTCAAATATCCCTTTGAGATCCCAATTTTAATTATTTTAGATAAATATTCAAAAATGAAATTGCTGTATCACATGGTAGTTCTATTTTTAATTTTTGGAAGAAACTCTAAACTGATTTCCATAGCACCTGAACCATTTTATATTCCCATCAACATTGCATAAGAGTTCTAATTTCTCCACACCCTTGCCAACACATGTTTATTTCTAGCTTTTTGTTTGTTTGTTTGTTTTGAGACAGGGTCTCACTCTGTTACCCAGGTTGGAATGCAGTGGCATGATCTTGGCTCACTGCAACCTCTGCCTCCTGGGCTCAAGTGATCCTCCCACCTCAGCCTCCTGAGTAGCTGGGACTACAGGTGCATGCTATCATACCCAGCTAATTTTTGTATTTTTTGTAGACAGGGTTTTGCCATGTTTCCCAGGCTGAGCTCAAATTTCTGGCCTCAAGAGATTCACCCTCCTCGTCCCAAAGTGCTGAGATTATAGGTATGAGGCACCATGCCCAGCCTTCTATTTTTGTTTTTGCTTTTGTTTTTAATTTAAATAATATCTATTCTAACAGGCATGAGATGGTGATATATTGTAGTTTTGATTTGTATTGCTTATATTATTAGTTATCTTAAGCACCTTTTCATACACATTTTGGGCACTTTTTAAACCTTTTTTTGGAGAAATGTCTATTCAAGTACTTTTCTGTTTTTACTTTTTTTTTTTTTTTTACTATTCAGTTATATGAGTTCCTTGAATGTATTGAATACTATTAAATTTTTAATAGTTTTTTTGTAAACATTTTCTCACTCTCTAAGTTGCCTTTTCCATTTGTTGATTTCTTGTCTTTTTCTTTTTGCTATGTAAAAGCTTTTCAATTTAATGTAGTCTCACTTGTCTATTTCCCCATTTGTTGCCTGTGCTTTTGGTGTGATGCCCAAGAAATCATTACTAAGACCAATGTTATTGTATTAGTCTGTTTTCATGCTGTTGATAAAGACATAACCGAAACTGGGAACAAAAAGAGGTGTAATTGGACTTACAGTCCACATGGCTGGGGAGGTCTCAGAATCATGGAGGGAGGCAAATGGTACTTCTTACATGGCAGCCACAAGAGAAAAATGAAGAAGCAAAAGGGGAAACCCCTGCTAAACGCATCAGCTCTCATGAGACTTATTCACTATCACGAGAATAGCATGGGAAAGATCAGCCCTCATGATTCAATTACCTCCTCCTGGGTCCCTCCCACAACACATGGGAATTCTGGGAGATACAATCCAAGTTGAGATTTGGGTGGGGACACAGCCAAACCATACCATTCTGGCCCTGGCCCCTCCAACTCTCATGTCCTCACATTTCAAAACCAATCATGCCTTCCCAACCTTCCCCCAAAGTCTTAACTCATTTCAGCATTAACCCAAAGTCCACAGTCCAAAGTCTCATCTTTGCCATGTCAAAGGGACATGGCAAGTCCTTCCACCTATGAGCCTGTAAAATCAAAAGCAAGCTAATTACATCCTAGATACAGTGGGGGTACAGGTATTGGGTAAATAAAGCCATTCCAAATGGGAGAAAGTGGCCAAAAAAAGGGGTTATAGGACCCATGCAAGTCCAAAATCCAGCGGGGCAGTCAAATTTTAAAGCTCCACAATGATCTGCTTTGACTCCAGGTCTCACATCCCGGTCGGGCTGATGCAAAAGGTGGGTTCCCATGGTCTTGGGCAGCTCTGCCCCTGTGGCTTTGCAGGGTACAGAATCCCTTCTGGCTGCTTTCACTGGCTGGCGTTGAGTGTCTGCAGCTTTTTCAGGCGCATGGTGCAAGGTTTCAATGAATGTACCATTCTGGGGTGCTGCAGACGATGGCCCTCTCCTCGCAGTTCCACTAAGCAGTGCCCCAGTGGAGACTCTGTGTGGGGGCTCTGGCCCTGCATTCCCTTCCGCACTGCCCTAGCAGTGGCTCTCCATGAGGGCCCTGCCCCTGCAGCAAACTTTTGCCTGGGCATCCAGGTGTTTCCGGACTTCTTCTGAAATCTAGGCGGATGTTCCCAAACTTCAATTATTTACTTCTGGACCAAGAAGTCTAACACTTGAGCAAGTTAGGGGCTAACACAAAAGCCACGGTGGCACAAAGAGGGTGAGGGC
Source organism: Homo sapiens (assembly GCF_000001405.40). Taxonomy (NCBI): domain Eukaryota; kingdom Metazoa; phylum Chordata; class Mammalia; order Primates; family Hominidae; genus Homo; species Homo sapiens. The sequence continues at coordinate 52,517,935 of NC_000005.10, read as the reverse complement.
CAACGTGCTCACAGGCGGGGGGCGAACTGTCCCCAGTGCGACATGGGTGGGTCACGCAGTGGGGCCGGGGGTCTCTCAGCCACGCACGCGAATGGCGGAGTGAGCGCAAGGCGTCAGCGGCAGTGTGGGGTACCCACCCAACCCGTCTTGAAACATTAGACTCCGAGTTCTTCAGTTTTGAGACAGACTGGCTCTCCTTTCTCCTCAAGCTTGCAGACAGCCTATTGGAGAACCTTGTGATTGTGTAAGTTAATATTTAATAAACTCCCCTTAAAATACACACACACAGACACACACACACATCTATCCTATTAGACACACACATCTGTCCCTCTAGGGAACCCTGACTAATATAGTTATGCAGCCTTTTCTCTGTTTGCTTGTATGAGTGTTATAGTTTTAGGTCCTCTGTTAAAGTCCTCAATCCATTTCGAGTTGATACAAAAATCTTTTCCTTCTTTTGCATGCGGATATCAAGTTTTTCCATTGCCTTTTGGAGAGACTTTCCCTACCCATTGTGTAGTCTTGGCAACATTGTTGAAGATCATTTGATCTCATATGTGTGACTTTATTTCTGGCTCTATATTCTGTTCCATTAGTCTGTATGTCTGCTTTAATGCCAGTCCTATACTGTTTGAATACCATAGATTCGTCATATGTTTTGAAATTAGAAATTGTGAGATCTCTCATTTTGTTCTTTTTGAAGGTTATTTTGACTATTCGAGCTTCTTTTCTGGCTCCATATGAATTAAAAATTTTTACTATTTTTAATATTACTATTTATGTTAAAAATGCTAGTGTGATTTTGATAGGGATTACATTGAATCTGTAGATCATTTTTGGTATTATGGACATTTTCACAATATTAAGTCTTCCAATCCATTCATGTGGAAAGCCTTTCCATTTATTTGTGTCTTCTTTAGTTTCTTTAAGCAATGTTTTGTAGAGTTTGGTGTCTCTTTCACCTCCTTGGTTAAGTTTATTTCTAAATATTTTATTCTGTTTAATTCTATTGTAAATGGGATTATTTTCTCAATTTCCTTTTTGGATTATTTGTTGGTAATTGATAGAAATGCAACTTATTTCTGTATGTTGATTTTGTGTCTTACAACTTTGCTGAATTTATTAATTTCTAAAATGTTTATTGTAGAGTCTACATATAAGGTCATGCCATCTGTGAATTGAGATAATTTTACTCCTTTCTTTCCAATTTGGATGTTTTTATGTTTTTTTCTTGCCCAATTACTCTGATTAGTACTTTCAGAACTATGTTTAATAGAAGCAGCAAAAGTGGGCTTACTTGGTTTGTTCCTGATCTTAGAGGAATCTTTCAGCTTTTCACCATTGAATGTGATGTTAGCTTTGAAATTTTATATGTGGCCTTTGTTATGTTGAAATTATTTCCTTCTATTCCTACTTTGTTGACTATTTTTATGAGAAGAGGATGATGGATTTTGTCCAGTAATTTTATAAAGCCATAGAGATGGTCATATGATTAAAATTTTTTTGTGGGTACAAAGCAGTTGTATATATTAATGGGATACATGGGATACCTTAACACAGGCATGCAATGTGTAATAATCCCATCATGGAAAATGGGATATTCATCTCCTCAAGCATTTATCCTTTTTGTTATAAACAACTCCATTATGCTTTTAGTTATTTTCAAATGTACAATTATTATTGACTATGGTCACCATATGCTATCAAATACTAGGTCTCATTTGATTTAACAATTTTTATTTTACACTGATTAACCATTCTCACTTACTCCTAGTCCCCTCATCAACTACCCTTCCCAGCCTCTGGTAACCATCCTTCTACTCTCCGTCTACATGGGTTTAAGTGTTTTGACGTTTAGATCTCATAAATAAATAACAACATGTAAAGTTTGTCTTTCTGTGCCTGGCTTATTTCAGTTAACGTAATGACCATACCATTGCAAATGACAGGATCTCATTCTTTTTTATGATTGCATAGTATTCCATTGTGTATATGTGCCATATTTTCTTTATCCAATCATCTGTTGATGAACACTTCAGTTACTTCCAAATCTTGGCAATTGTGAACAGTGCTTCAACAAACATGAGAGTGTAGATATCTTTTTGATATACTGATTTCCTTTCTTTTGGGTATACACCCAGCAGTAGTATTGGTGAATCATATGGTAGCTTAATTTCAGTTTTTTGAGGAACCTCCAAACTATTCTCCATAGTGGTTGTACTAATTTACATTCCCACCAACAACTGTTGTACAAAAGTTCCCACCAACCACTGTTGTACAAAAGTACTGTGTACAAAAGTTCCCTTTTCTCCACATCCTTGCCAGCATTTGTTATTGCCTCACTTTTGGATATAAGCCATTTTACCTGGGGTGAGATAATATCTCATTGTAGTTTGATTTGCATTTCTCTGATGATCAATGATGTTGAGCACTTTTTCATATGCCTGTTTGCCATTTGTATGTGTTTTTTTGAAAATGTCTATTCAAATCTTATGCCCATAGATTTTAAATCAGGTTATTACATTGTTTCCTATTGAGTTGTTTGAGTGCCTTATATATTCTGGTTATTAATCCTTTGTCAGATGGATAGTTTACAAATGTTTTCTCCTATTCTGTGGGTTGTCTCTTCACTTTGTTGATTGCTTTCTCGGCTGTGCAGAAGCTTTTTAACTTTCTGTGATCCCATTTGTCCATTTTTGCTTTGGTTGCCTGTGACTATGGGGTATGAAAGAAATTTTCACCCAGACCAATGTCCTGGAGAAGTTCCCCAATGTTTTTTGTAGTAGTTTTATAGTTTGAAGTCTTAGATTTAAGTCTTTAATTCATTTTTATTTGACTTTTGTATATGGTGAGAGATAGGAGCCAAGTTTAGTTCTGCTGCATATGGATGGATATCCAGTTTTCCTAGTAAAGTTTATTGAAGAGACTATTCTTTCCCCAATATATGTTATTGGTATCTTTGTCAAAAATGAATGAATTCAGCGTAGGTATATGATTTTGTTTCTGGGATCTCTATTCTGTTCCATTGGTCTATATGTCCGTTTTATGATTTTGCCTGTTTTTTGTTTGTCTTGTTTTTTGGCTTAGGATAGCTTCAGCTATTGTTTTTTTTTTTTTTTTTTTGGCTTCATGTAAATTTTAGGATTGTTTATTCTATTTGGGTGAAGACTATCATTGGTATTTTGATAGGGATTGCATTGTACCTGTAGATTGCTTTGGGCAGTATGGACATTTTAACAATATTCATTATTCCAATCCATGAACATGGAATATCTTTCCATTTTTTGGTGCCTTCTTCAATTTCTTTCATCAGTGTTTTATGGTTTTCATTACAGAGATCTTTTACTTCTTTAGTTAATTCCTAGGTATTTAATTTTATTTTTGGCTATTGTAAATGGTATTAGTTTGTAAATTTCTTTTTCAGATTGTTCACTGTTACATGTTACTGATTTTTGCTTGTTGATTTTGGTTATCTGATTTTTATCCTTCTTTCTGTTAATATAACAAAAAGTTTCACAGCTACTAATATTTCATATTTTGAACCATTCTTGACTCTTCTGGTATAAATCTCACTTGTTCATGGAGTATATTTCTTTTCACAAACCATTGAATTTGTTTTGTTGGTATTGTGTTGAATATTTTTATTCATCAAGGATATTGTCCTGTAGTTTTCATTTCTTGCAGTATCTTTTTTCCAGTTTTGGTATCAGGGTCATGTTAGTCTCATAAAATTGATTTAAATGTTTCTTTCTATCTAATGTTTTGGAAAAGTTTGAGAGACATTAGTGTTAATTCTTTAAATGCTTGGTAGAACCAGGGAAGTCATTTGATGTTCGGCTTTTTTGTTATTGTTGTTGGAAGGTTTTTATTATGAATTCAATCTTCTTACTAGTTATAGGTATGTTCAGATTTTCTATTTCTTCATGAGTAATCTGGTATATTTATTTTTTCAGGAATTTGTCATTTTCTTCTATCATTATCTAATTTGTTAGAATAAATTGTTCATAATATTCTCTTATACTTTTAATTTCTGTTGCATCAATTGTAATGTCTCTAGTTTTATTTTTATTTATTTGAGCCTTTTCTTATTTTTCTTAATCTGTTGAACAGTTTATAAATTTTATTGATATTTAAAAGAACGATTTAGTTTCAATGATTTTTAAAATTGCTTTTCTGTGCTCTATTTTGTTTATTTCTGTTCTAACATCTACTTTTTTCCCCTTTTGCCCACATTGAGCTTAGCTTGTCTTTCTTTTTCTAGTTCTCTGAAGTGTAAAGTTAAGTTGTTTACTGAAATATCCCTTTTTTAATGCAGGCATTCATCACCCTGAATTTCCCTTTTGGTACTGCTTTTACTGCCTCCCATTAGTTTTTGTATGTTGTGTTTTCATTTTTACTCTTCTTAATATATTTTCTAATTTGCCTATTTATTCCTTTTTAGACCAGCTGTTGTTCAAGGGTATCTTCTTTCATTTCTACGTGTTTGTGAATTTTCCCATTTTCCTTCTGCTATTTATTTAGTTTAATTCAATTATTTGGTCAGAAGTTATGCTTGGTTTGATTTCAGTCTTCCTAAATTTTTTAATACTTGTTTTGTGAACTAACATGTGATCTATCCTGGATAATGTTCCATGTGTGCTTGAGAAGAATGGGTATTCTCCTGCTGTTGGATGGACTGGTCTGTGTATGTCTGTTCAGTACATTTGGTATATAGTGCTGTTCAAGTCCTTTGTATTCTCATTAATTTTCTGCCTAGATAGACTGTCTATTATTGAAAGTAGGCATTGAAATTACCTACTCTTATTGTGTTTCTGTTTATTTATTCTTTAATGTTGTTAAAGTTTGCTTCATATAGATAGATTTTCTGATATTTGCTACACATACACAAATACATATATAAATACACACACACATATAATTATATTTATTATATCTTCCTAGTGACTTGATCTTTTTATCATTATATAATGTCCTTTGTGACCTTTGACAGTTTTCAACTTAAGTCTCTTTTGTCTGACATAAGCATGGCCATCCCTGCTCTTTTGGGTACTAGTGTATAGAATATCTTTTTCCAACTTTTACTTTTAACAAACAGTCCATCAGGCAGACCACTGAAGAGCCAGGATGCTGGATGTATACTCTACTTTTCACCCTCCCTGTGGAGGCCTCAGATTGTCTGCCTTCCCCATTCATGCTGAGTTATACTGATGACAGCAATCCACTTGCAAATTTCCTGTGTTCTCAGTAGTATCCAGGTATCCAAACTATCAAACTATGCTGCTTCCCTCAGAGCTTTGTGTGAGGCAATACAGAAAGGACTACTTCAAGCTGCCCTCCAAAACCTGGAATATTGGAGGCATATTTCACTCTAACTTTCCCCCGAGAAACAAACCATATGCCAGGGCATTCTCTCTTGGTGCTGAGCTGGACTGGCTCAGGCAGGTAGCTGATGCAAGAAGAGCAAAGTGAATTGCTCCTTACCCTTTTCAATGGGTAAAGCTTTGGCTTTGGCCTCACCTGGGGTACTGCAATATTTTTGTATTTTCATAAAGGTATTTTGGTCCACATATTGTTCTTGAAACAGTGTTTCTGTGGGGGTATGAGGGCTGGGACTTCTAGTTGCATTTTGCAGACATCACTCTTCAAGAAGGACATTTTATGTGATGCGCTGTATAATTATCAATTCAATAATTTTAACGTTGATATAATATTATTATCTAATATATAGTCTAAATTCAAATTTTAACAATTGTCCATGAAAACTCCCTTATAGCCTTCAGACTAATTCTTTATTCTGCCAGACTATTTTGGCCTTTCTGTTTCTTTTGTGACAGTGACATTGTAGAGTACACAGACCAGTCATTTTTTAAACAATATTCCTCAATTTGAGTTTAACTGATTGTTTTCTCATGATGCAATACAAGTTTTATGGTTTTTTCAGGAGTGCTGAATGCTTACTAATTGTATCTTTCTTAGTGCCTCACATCAGGAGGCACATAAATGTCAGTTTGTACCATTATTGATGATGTCAATGTTGATCTTGGTTGAGGTGTTCACCTGGTTTCTCCATTGTAAAGTTAATATTTTTTTTCTTTGAAACTAATAAGTAATACGTGGGACATATCCTGAGATCATGTAAATATATCATCCATTCTCAAATGTTATCCAATGCATGCATTGGTAATTCTTCCTTGAATCAATTTATTACTATGATGGATAATTCTTTTTAAAAACCTACTGTATTAGTTTGTACAGGGTACCATAACAAAATACTACATACTGGATAGTTTAAACCACACAAGTTTATTTTTTCACAATTCTGGAGGCTAGTTCATATTTTCTGAGGCCTCATCCCTTGGTTTAAAGATGACTGCCCTCTCTTGGTCATTCCTCTATGTTGTTTGTGTCCTAATTTTCTCTTTTGATAAGGACACTGATTATTTTGGATTAAGGCCTACCCTCATTTTAACTTTGAAATATCTCACTGAAGATCCTGTCTAAATACAGTCACATTCTGGGACTCTGGGTGTTAGGGATTCAACATATGAGTTTTGGGACAGACAATTCAACTGATAACAGCTGTCACTTCATATATATATATATATATATATATATTTATATGTATATATATTTATATATATATTAATATGTATATTTATATATTTATATATATTTATATGTATATTTATATATATAGTAATATACTGCAAGAAAGCTCTTTTCCTTTCCCCTCATTTATATATCATACATGTATATATTTTCAGTATAGACTCATGGATTTTTTTAAATCAGCGGTTTTTGAAATCCATTACTGTAATTTTTCACTTTTATGCTCAAATTGCTCCAGATTTGGCCTGTAGGAACTGTTTCAAGCTGACTCTTGGATCATTTTTTACATGACCCCCTAATTTGTCACACCCTTCCTTATTTCCTAGAACAAAAATATATTATAGAATCATCTCATACTTTCTCTGCCCTAGTCCTAGAATTAGCCACTTCTCCAAGGAATCTTGGTTCATTTTAGTGGATAACGGCATTTACAAACCAAGGTATGAACTAAGTCATATATTCTTAAGCACTATATGAAAACATTGTGAAAGCATACAAAATATGAATAATGCAAATGTAATTAAATATTGATTAGATAAGTACATATCATAATAAGAAAAAATTCATTAAAACGTGGAATTCAAAAGGGAAAATGATAGACGATATCTGTCATAATGAAAAAAGACTAAGAAAATAATCTGTATAAAATAACTTGGTGGTACTGATAAATATGTTTCAAATGTAAATATTAATATTTGCAGAATAACTCAGAATACTCACCCTATGTATCTAGGATACAGAACTAAATAGTAATCTCTTTCTAATTGCTCCCCTATAAAGTCTTCAAAAAGATTCCTAATCTGCTTTCTTGGTAAATCAAGTTATAAAAGACCTTTTGAGTAATGTTCAACATTCAGGACTGAAATGAGAGAACAAATTCAAATACTGATAGACGAGTAGGGAATATTGCTGACATAAGTTGTAAATAATGAAAATACTGACCAGCAAAGAAACTCACCCATCTAGGATCTGTCTGAAAGCATATTGATTCTTGAGTACATTAATCCCTTATAGAGAAGAATTAATGTCAAAGAGTGAGTCATGGGCCAAAATATAAGGTACTTCCAAATGCGTTTTCAGAGCTTACAGTGTGCTCATCGGCAGCAACTCCTGGTTGTTAATTCAGATGCTATCTATAATCTCATCCCATGGTGCATCAAGGAGAAGAAAATACTTTTTAAAAACTCTTTATTCCACTTCACTATTTCAAGACAGAAAAGTACCAATTAGTGCTCTGAGGAGTAATTTTAAAAGAGAAACATATATTTTAAAATTACAATAGCTCTAATTTATTGTATCAGGTACTGTTTATATTGTTGCACTGAATTTGTACAACCACCATATTAGGAAGCTATTATTATTTCTATTTTATAGTTGTGGAAAATTAGTTCTAGAAGTGTTAAGTAACTTTATGAGTATTATACACCTCTTAAAACCCAGATCAGGATTCAAAGTAAGAGATGCTTAACTCAAAGATCTCTGTATTTCACTATTATCCACCACTGTCCCTCATAACATCTAGTTATTTATCAATGGTGTAAAATCATTAAAACTAACTTAATGATCCTGGAAAATTCAATTTGGTTGATCACCACCTTGATATGGTTTTAAAGTACTAGTTACTAAAGTATTATCAGTGACTTCTGCTTCCAGGAAGATGGAGTAGATGTACTTTTACCTATTCCTCCCACAAAGAACAGCTAAAAAGCCTGGACATTATGTAAAAGAGAAACAAGAAGTCTCTGAAAGTTTAAAATAAGTATATAGGCTGCTTAGAAATCTTGAAACCTGCGCGACAACATAGAGGTGAGGTAAGTGGGTTTTCTTTTTCCTTAATATATCCCAGTTTGGGTGCCAGAAGAGCTGGAAACCCAGAAATGCCAACAGGAGTGGGAGGCAGGTGGGAAACTCAAGGAAAGCCTGCTTTCCTTAAGAAAAGAGCAAGGAAAGGGCCAGCCCAAAAAGACAGAAAATTTTTAGATGGTAACCGCTCTACTCCAGCTAAACCACAGTAAATACATCAGTTCCACCCCTACCGCAACCAGCAAAGGCCAAGTGGGGAAGCTAGGCTTTAATAAAATGCCCCAAACCCTCCATAGAATATTGTCAGAGACCTCTAAGTGGGGAGCTAGACTTTCATCCCAGCTAGCAGGTAATGAGGGCCTGTACTCCATGGTGTTAGTAAAGGTCAAATGAGTAGTCTGGACTTCTATGACATCCAGTGATAATTAGGTATCCCTCACACTTCCTGCAGGGTGCTGTCAGAAAGGCCTAGCAGAAAGTCAGGACTTTTGCCACAACCCAGCAATAATGAGATTATCTTACCTTAGTGTTAGTAGATGCCATGCAAGATGCAGTGATGAAACCTTCCTACCCCTTCCAGACAGGTATATTAATGGATGACTAGTGAGAAACTTGAATGTAAACCCAAAAGCAGAAATGAGAAGCCTCTCTACCCCAGCATGTCAACGAAAGCCATGTGCAGAACCTGAACTTCCATCCCGCCAGTCAGTAACAAGGCAGTATACCACTTCTTCTATAGTAACACTGTCAGAGGACACCTGCTCTAATGGAAGATTCAAATGAGATCCAGAGTTTCATACACCAAAATATCTATATTTCAATGAAAAATTACTTCTCATACCAAGTATCAGGAAAATCTCAGCTCGAATGATAAAACACAATGAACAAATGCTAATACTGAAATGACACAGATATTATAGTATGTGACAAGGAGATTAAAACAGCAATCCTAATAATGCTTCAATGACCATTTACAAATGTGTTTGAAACAAATGATAATAGAAAGTCTTGGCAAATAAATAAAAGACATAAAGACAAAAACAAATGAAAATTTTTGATCTGAAAAATGCAATAATCATAGTCTTTTTTTTTTTTTTTTGAGGTGGAGTCTCGCTCTGTTGCCCAGGTTGGAGTGTAGTGGTGCCATCTCAGCTCACTGCAGCCTCCACCTCCCAGGTTCAAGCAATTCTTCTGCCTCAGCCTCCCAAGTGGCTGGGATTACAGGCATGCGACACAACACCTGGCTGTTTTTTGTGTTTTTAGTAGAGGTGGGGTTTCACCCTGTTGGCCAGGCTGGCCTTGAACTCTTGACCTCAAGTGATCCACCCGCCTTGGCTGCCCAAAATGCTGGGATTAGAGGAGTGAGCTAGCAAGCCCAGCCAATAATCATAATCCTTTAAAAAATTAATGTATTGGCTCCACCATAGAAAGGAGAGGACAGAGAAAAGAATTCATGCAACTTTAAGCTAGAACAATAGAACTTACTATATATGAGCAACAGAAGTCAAATAGACAGAAAAAAAATGAATAGAGTCTAAAGAACCTGGTGGGTACAAGAAAAAAATCTAACATTCAGGTTATTGGAGTCATGAAAGAAGAAGAATACAGAGATGATGAAAAAGTACTAAAAAATAAAATAATGGCTGACAACTTCTCAAATTTAGCAAATGACACATAAACTTATAGATTCAAGAAGCAGATTAAACCCCAAACAAGATAAAACCAAAGAAATTCATCCCAAGACATACCATAGTTAAACTTCTGAAAACTAAAAACAAAACAAAAATAATCTTAAAAGCAGCAGAAGAGAAATGACACCTTACCTATAGGAGGAATAGAGTTTACATGACCATGAATTTCCCCTCAAGAACCAGGAAGGTCAGAAGGAAGCAGCACAACATTTTCCAAATACTGAAATAAAAGAACTGTCAAACCAGAAATCTGTACCAGCAAAAACATTCTTTAGCAATAAAAGCGAAATTAATCATTCTTAGATAAAGGAAAACTAACAGAATTTGTGGCCAGGAAAACTATTCTAAAAAGCAAAAAAGAGCTAAAAGAAGTTATTTAAACAGAAATAAAAGAATAAATCTTTTTCAAGATTTATTCAAGAAGATTTATTCAAATTTTTCAAGAAGAAATCTTGAAAAATCAGAAAGAAAAAACAATAGAAAAAGCAAAAATATGGGTACATACAACAGAATTTCTTTTACCTCTTGAATTTTTGTAGATTATGTTTGATGGTTGAAGCAAAAATTGTAACAGTGATAAGTTTCTCTATGAATAAATATTTAAGACAATCTTAAGACAGGGAGAGTTTTAGAAATAAAAAGGAGTTAAAGTTTCTACACTTCATTTGAAACCATGCAATATTGATACTAGTAGACTGTAGTAAGTTATGTGTTTATAATGTACTACCTAGAGCAACTTCTAAAAAAGATATATGAAGAAATAAACTCAAAAACACTACAGATATATGAAAATGAAGTACTAAAGAATGTTTGAGTAGCCCACAGAAAGGCAGGAAAAACAAAACAGAGAAATAAAAAACAGGGAACAAACAGAAAAAAATATCATGGCAGACTTTAGCCTTAACAAATCAATAATTACATTAACTCTAAATGGTCTAAACGCACCAATTAAAACCCAGAGATTGGCAGAGTGTATTAAAAACCAAATGGAACAGAAACAGGACCCAATTATATGCTCTTTCTAAGAAATTCATCTCAAATACAGGTTGAAAATCCCATGGACTCCTCTTTATAGGAATATGTAATTATTGCTAATCTATATAAAATGGAGAATAATTTTTTTGGCAAAGAAATTAAATTGTCTCTTAAAACAATGCTCCATCACATACTGAAAGAAACATTCACAAGGCTTTTCATTTGTTAGACTCATTTAGTTTCCAGAAATAAAGACTTCAAGCCAAAAAAAAATAATGTTAGCATTTAAAGCCCGCAATATTAGGTAAAATGTGAATACGGATGTTTACAGTGGGGAAAATGATATTTAAAACATTCTGAGTACCTAAGAATAAATTGCTGCTTCTATTTGCCAATTCAGGGCATTTGACATTGCTCCTCAGGATGACTTTGCTATTGGAAAATTTCATTCTCACTTGCTGACAGGCAGGTATAATCTCATCCTAACAACTCGCTAGCATTTAGCTGTGCTCTAATATTTATGAAAGACAAATTTTATCCACATATAAATCAGTTATATAACAATATGTACTATCTTTAGGATGTTTAAAAGATTTACAAAATCAGCCTATTTCACTGTGTCAAATGGAGAAAGCGATACATCCCTGTGATAAATAACTAGATACACAAAGGTCTCCTGGAGTAACTAAAAGCAGAGCTTTTAATAATTTTTTTACAAAAAATGCCTGAGATCTCAACATCTTAGAAATATAAAACAAAAATATATGAAATAATTACAGTTCCTCTCACCTGTTTTTTAAGTGTATATCACTGTGCTAACAAAAAGTACATTTTAATAATAAAGATTCACATTCAATCTATATGTAATTCAAGTAAGGCTATTATTTCTTTAGATAGAAATACAAAGAATTAAGTACTTTTTACCATAAATATGTTGCTTGCTGTTCTTTTTCCATATTAGAAAATATAAATACAAGTTGCAAATGAAATAAGTACTTTGTAGCATATGTAATGTGAGAGTATTTTATTTCCCATTGCGCTGAAATTTCTCTCCCTTGTTTTTATAGTGAGATTTTTTTCATCTTGTACAAATTATACCTTATTAATACTTTATTTTCTGATTACATTATATGTATTAGTTTAAAGCTTTAATTTTTTCTCAATTTAGATTTTTATTTTCATGCTTTTGATTTTTTTTCTTATTTCTTTTTTTTTTCTTTTCAAGAGTTAAAACCTGGGTGTAGTTTTTAATAGTAGATCTCCATGCTTCTATAAATGTAAAATAATTAAGTTTATCATGTGGAAGGCTAACTGGATGTCTCAGAAAATAACCTATTTCTGGCCACGCCTAGCTGCTAAAAGAGTCATTGCTGATACCTAGCTTAATGATTTTTTATTGGTGCAAGCTTACTAAATTGTTAGGATTTGGTCTGTGAAAGTGGCAGTCTCTTGTAAGAACAAGCGTGTTATCCTGAAGCTTGGCAAAGACTGTCTAACTTGGTTGACGTTAAGGCCTCACTAAATGCACTGTCATTTTTGTTTTTCTACAGGCAAAAGGACTTTTGAAAAATTCATTGCAGCTCTGCGAAATTGTTGTCAGAACAAATGCTTCTCAGAATAGGATAATTTTTCCAACTTTCTTAAATTTGCCATTTGCCACATATCTGATTGAGAATGTAATGCTTTGCTACATTTTTTTTTCCGACAAGCGTATTTGTTGGAGAAAAGGTCCATATTTTGCAATTGGTTGATACAGCTTTTAAGTTTCTTCTATGCTGCAGGTGTTCTATTTCCTTCCTTCTTTCCCTTCCTCATACTCCTTCACTCCCATCCCCCGCAATTTAATTGTTGTCTGTCATATGGAGTGGCCTATAATTAGGATGTTGCTAACGCCATACAATTGTATTATTTAAGATGTTCTGTTTTCCCAAATCTTTCCCGTAAAATGCTTAGTCAAATTCAGGTTTGAGATTTATTTATTTATCAGTTTTATTTTTGTTTTAAAAAGACGAAAAGTTTCATTTGTGGTAATGTGGGTTTTCTCAGGAAGCCCACAGTTTTTGGCTGTTTCTCACTTTGTGAGGCTAGCAGCTACTGCAGATCATCAAATGCATCCTTTATTTTCATTAGGGGTTGCAAAATGGAGATTTCTAATTATATAATTCCTTCTCTGTTTATTAGCTGGAATATTTCTATAAAAAGAAACTTCACCTGATCAGCTATTTGGTTACCTGTGGGCAGAGTTTTTAATGGAAAAAGAAGGACAAATGCAAGATTCTGTTTCATATTTACCAAAAATCAAAGTTTAACTAATGGACATACCAGTGGACTCTCCTTAAATTGAGAAAAGAAAATATTGAATATGACTTTTCTTTTCGTCCGAATAAAAAATTAAAGTTTTCACCAAAATTCTAAAAACAGACCTCACAAAGTAAAACCAAGTGGATTTTAGACTGTTCTAAAAGAAAAAAATCATTTTCATTCTCAATTATATCGTTGTTATTGATGATTCTGCTTTCTGAATGTGAGTCAGCCTTTTGTCTGGAGATAAAACAGTGCTACAGTGCCTTCCACCAAATGCTTATCAAACTTTACATCAAGAACTGTTTAAGAAAACTAATATTTCTTTTTCTAAGCCTTCTCATGTTCCAGTTTTTAAAATTTAGTTACAAATAATTTGTTCAGTTTAAAAATAGTTTGTTAGGATCCGCAGGCTTTTTGGTTAGATAGCAGTGTTGTTTATGCCTTAGATAAATGACAGTAGTTCTTTACTTGGGATAAGCCATAAATCTTAAATTGTTGATGCTACACGAATATAATTAATCATTTGTAATCACTGTAATTTTGAGAAGATATATCAGCCCAAGTGCAGTGATAACAAATTTACAAATGCTTACAAGTCTATCTTGGCTCTGTTCTGAAAATGTTTTAGAGAAGCAAAATTACACGTTAAGAAATAGAAAGCTATCTGCTAAAGTTTTGCAATAATTATGCGAAGATTTTTCAACTTTCCACCTCAAAATACTTTGTATAATCTAAAATGTAGTGGTATTTTCTCTTTATATAATCTATGACCATCAATACTATAGAAAAAACCTATTTGTATTCAGAACCTCAGTAGTCTGAAAATGGTGTATAGTTATTCGTCTTTTTTATTTACAAAGATTGGAACTAATCGGTATGTCAAGTTGGGGTATAGTGTACAAAATCTCACAGAGGTTTTCTATTTAAGCTTTATAATAAATTGTTACACTACTGGCGGCTATCACTTCATAAAAATGCTTAGTATTCAAAAGTATGCACTGCAATTTGAATATAAAAACTAGTTATTTTTATTCGTGTGTGTGTGTGTGTGTGTGCAAACACATGAAAGCCATTGTAAGAATCAGAAGGCTTACATACCCACTGTACCCTTTAGCAGCATGTCAAAAGAACTTTTAGCTCAGTTTCTGAGGATTTCTTTCTATTACAAATATGAAAGTAGGATGTTAAAAATGGTCTGAAATTTAATAATAAAAAAAGCTAACCAAGATGGTGTTCTGCTTGATGACTCCAGAGAGTAGAAAGAGATTATGTTAAAGCATAAATGGAGCTTTAACATTTTTAAATCCAGAAGGTCTAATCTAATCTAATCCTTTTCAATCCAATTTTTTAAAATGCAGCCTAGACATCAGATTAAAGCATGTGCTTTGCTTTCTAGGCCATTTTAAACAGACTCAGCATCTGTGCTTCTGACCCTCCGTGCAGCAGTTTCAAAAAAAGTGATTTAAAAGAAACAAAAATAGAATCAATCATATGTATATGTGTGTGTGTGTGAATACCTGTGTATATATGTATGTATATATATATGATTTTGTTAAAACTAATTAAAGAATTATCACTATATATATCTATATGAACAAAAATGGGCAATTAGATTAGAAGAGAGTTTGTAAAGATAAAATTCTGCAGTGTGATTCAATAGCTCCTGCTTCACCGCCATGCCTAGTGCCAGTTGCTGCTTCAATTCATCTCATGTCCACTTTCCACTGGAGCATTAGAGGCCTTCACATAGTTTAGCAGAGCTGGCTCCGCTTTCAGCTATTTCTAGTTTGCTTGAATTACCCTTTATGTGAAAACTACTGCTGAGTTAATTACCTTTAATTGATTTTCTTGCAATTCCCCAGACAACACAGGCCCAGAGACCTCAGAGGCTCAGTCACCCGGCCTCCTTCTACGCTGCAGACTGATCTTTAAAAACATAGCATATTGCTGTCTCCTTGCATCTTTCCATGTTCATTACTGAAAAAAAAAAAAAAAAGAATAAAATTTTTGCCACGGGTCAATTCTTAGGATTGTCCTAAAAACCTTTTTTCTCAACTTGGAATTAAGATCTATTTACTTGAGTAAAAATGCAGAACTTTTCTATCATCCTTTCTTGTGTTGTGCTTTATTACTAAATTTAAGCCCATTGTTTTTCATGACTTAGCACTAAAACAATTTACTTTATCAAAGTTTGCATTAAATGTTGTTACCTCCTCTTGCAGCAGACTGTGAGACTGCTCTTTTAAAAAGATATATTTACTCAAACTCAGATTTTTAGAGAACTGGGTGATTCTCTTGCTAAATATTTGAAACACTTTCTGAAAATAATTGAACAGCCTGTCAGCAGCCATTCACTGGTTACAGAATAAGTACAAATCTCCCATTTCAAAGTCCGAGTCTAGACCTATGAAATATAATCTGTAATTAGGGGCTTTCATAGTGCTTTGTTCATTCTGCTAATATTGACTTAATGTGGCATTGTGTTCAGTTAGATACATGTAGATTTTCTCTAAAACTTTGCTATTCAAACTGTGACCTGCATATCAACAGCTATGGCATCACCTAGGATCATAAGAGTGAAGCAGAATTTCAGACCCTGCCTTGGACTACTGAATAAGGAATCAACATCTTAATGAGATAACCCAGGCAAATTATTTGCACGAAGTTTAAAAAACGGTGTTCTAAAATACTGTCAACTCTTTGAAGACAGCTAACAGTATACCCTCCATACATATGCATTGCACTGGACCTTAGTATCCAAGCCGAAGAGTTTCTGAAAAGTCATAACCCAGTTCCAATTTCTGGGTTAAAAATGAAATATTTGTTAATTATATATATATGCATATATATGTATGTATGTATTATAAATGTATATGTAATTTATAGATAATTTTAAATATAATTCATGGGAAACAATTCCGCAAAATGCTCAATATAAAAAATGTCAATAATATGTATATAAAGTATAATAATACAACAAATAAAATATAATAAAGATAACTGCAGTGTTTCAACCGATTTCCTACTTTACTTATTTCTGTGCATCTATGGAACATACTTCTTAGTCTGTACGTGAGAATAGCATAGAAGGAGAGTAATTGATGTGACAAAATTGTTAACAAAGAAACTCTAGACAGAGAGTTTATTTGTCAAACTACCATCCTGATTCTTTCCAGACAGGTAATTGTTTCCCAAACAGATGTAATCTCAATCCTCCAACACATTGTCTGCTCTATTTGAAATTTAGATTCCCAAATTTGTCATTTTTTGTATTAAAATGTTTCAACGTTTCCTTTTGCAAAGCATTTATTCTTAATACACTGTCAGCACTTCATAGTACATCAGCATAGGCACATGAGTGCCACAGCTGCCTCCACCTAAATTCACTGCAGATGCTCCTTGTCTGAATCAGAGCTCTTCGGATCTCCCCTCTGCTGCACTTCCTATCTCCCTGAAAGGCACCACTGCTTTCCAGTGTTCCCCTCCCAGCCTCCATTCTCACATCTGGAGGTCAATTTAGATTCATTACTCTCCCATTTCCTTACTCCAACTATAAATTACTATCTATATTCTGCTATTCCTTGACTAATTTTTGCTGACAGAGTCATTGTTCAAGAGAGTGCCTCTAATCTTAACACTCCATGGCTTACCATGTTCCCTGGCTCTTCATAGCTTGTGGGATAGAATTCAATTTTCTGACGAGCTATGGGACTTCTGAACTACCCTGGTCCTCTATCCTCATTCTCTTGGCCCCATTCCCGCACATATCCAAGTTTTACACTTATTCCAAATTACTTGGAATTCCCCAAGTACTCTCTGCTTTTCCTCTTCTCTGTGCTTTACTCGTACTGACTCCTATGTAGAATCAAAAATAGTAGAGAGGTGCCTGAAAAAACCATCAGCCAGGCCTGGGTTCCCTCCAGGTGAATGCTTCCACTGACTAGTTTTATGGCTCAGGTCAGTTTACTCATTTCCATTTATAAAATGAGGATAATAAATGTATCTCAGATAGTGTGTAAAGATAGCATGTGAAGATGCTATCTTTTATATATATTTTCTATCTTTTTATATTTGCTATCTTTATATATATATATTTGCTATCTTTTAGCAAAAGATATATTTGCTATCTTTTATATATATATTATCGATATATATATTTTTATAATATATACACAAATAAATATAATCTGTGTATTTATACACATTTCTTTGTATAATAAACATTCAGTATATTTTGGAAGCATTGTTATCATTATTGTAGTCTAAAATTCATGTTTCACATCATATTTTTTGGGAACTTTTCTTTCCTCTTAATCTAAATTAGAATTCCCATAGCTTCCAGAACACATCTTTATCATAATATTTATTACCATGCATTTTTATAACCTGCACTCTTTTATATCTCCCTTTAAATAAACTAAACAATTTGAGAGGACTGTGCCTTTCACTTTTCAAGGTAAAAGCTTAGTATAGTACTACCTGGAATAGAAACTCAATAAATATTGGTTACTCTACATTGTAATTTAGGTGTATAAGCTGTTATATTATTCTATTCTCTCACTGCTATAAACAAATACCTGAGACTGGGTAATTTATAACAAAAGAGATTTAATTGGCACACAGTTCCACAGGTTGTATAGGCAGCATGGCTGGGGAGGCCTCAGGAAACTTACAATCATGGTGGAAGGCAAGGGGAAGTAGCATGTCTTCACATGGCCAGAGAAGGAGGAAGAGAGAGAGTGGCGAGGTGCTACACAATGCTAAATAACTAGTTCTCGAGATAACTCACTCTCACCACATCACCAAGGGAGATGGTATAACCCATGAGAAACCACCTCCATGATCCAATTACCTCCCATCAGGCCTCACCTCCAATATTGGGGATTAAAATTCAATGTGAGATTTGGGCAGGGACAGAGACCCAAAACATATCAGCTGGACATCTCAAAAAATATTGTAAAGCCTCAAACATATATTACGTAATGATTTATTGAGTCACTGACTGAATTCTAAAACATAAAATACAAAATTTCATTTGGAGATACATAAATATTTTCCCTAAAAATGTTTTATTTAAATTTCATAATGCTAGATACTCCTTTAGTACATGGAGTGAAAAATAAGAATATCAATAATAATCACATTATTTTATTCTTTAATTTTAGTCATCTCTGTCTTGGAAAAAAATGAACATTAATTTAAACATTTGGAATAGTCAAATGCTTACATGATGCCAACCCACCATCTATACATAAAGTATTATTGAGAGACAATAGGGACTATTCTCTCTTAGTGTTTGATAGAGGAACTGTTGCAGTTCTAATGTAGATTTTACATCTCTGGTAGAGGTAATGAAGAACACAGCCTTTTGTTTACTGTGAATAGCCACCCTATTGCCACTGTAGACAAATATCAAAATTAACTATGTGTATAAAAACACTTTACAGATTGTTTTCAAAATGGTTAATTTCTTCCAAAATGTTTTAATTTATTCACCAAGAGCAAGAAACACTGGGGACCTTTGGTTCTGTCTATTAAATTTAACCAGCTATCTTCCTTTAGCTATCATCTAGCTGTCTATCTATCCCACCTGAGGTAATTTGAAGGGGGATAAATAAGAACTAATGGGAAAATAATATCTAATAATAACTAATGGGAAAATCATGTTGAAAGCCTAAGGAGGTGGGGGAGGGAGAAGGACTTCAAAGAGAAACAAAAAATCTAGACCACATAGGAAACTGTATTTCCTGGCTCAAAATGGTAACTGAAAGTAAGTAAGCAGATAAAGGAGGTCCATTTCTCTCTTAAAAGATCTGTGGAATAATAGGAAAGTCTTTGAAGGAGTATGTAAGCTCTATTCCAACAAGTTCTCTCACATAAAAAAGTTGATAAGAAGACACTGAGAAATGTGAAAATGCCAGTCATCTATGACTAGAAATAACTCTGATTAATTTTAATACATTTTCCTAGGTATAGATGCCCAGATAAAAAAAAAAGTCAAAGTAATGTGAGAAATACAAATATTTTGACCCTTGCAGAACATCTTTGCATACTTGTATCCAAAGCACCTTCATCCCCACTGGCAGCTTGACAACACTCCAAATTACCATCTATTAATTAACTCAGCTGTCAAATTTCCCGTCCATTTGCCACCTGCACTGCCTGCTGCCAGGCAGATGACAATAAAATGTAAACTTAAACTCTTGAAGAAGATTTTAAAATGTTGCTGAATAGAGGAAAACACTATTATGTTGTTCAACTACAAAACACTCCTGGGCAGAAGTATCCTCAGGTAAATAACTGCATAGTTGACTTAAGGCAATGAAAGCCAAAGGCTGAAATCACTGTGGTTCCCTTGACTTTAGGATCTACTACTTTTACCATATGAAAAGAATCAGGGACGGCCGGGCGCGGTGGCTCACGCCTGTAATCCCAGCACTTTGGGAGGCCGAGGCGGGCGGATCACGAGGTCAGAGGATCGAGACCGTCCTGGCTAACACGGTGAAACCCTGTCTCTACTAAAAGATACAAAAAATTAGCCAGGCGCGGTGGCGGGTGCCTGTAGTCCCAGCTACTCCGGAGGCTGAGGCAGGAGAATGGCTCGAACCCGGGAGGCGGAGCTTGCAGTGAGCCGAGATTGCGCCACTGCGCTCCAGCCTGGGCGACAGAGCGAGACTCCGTCTCAAAAAAAAAAAAAAAAAAAAAAAAAAAAAAGAATCAGGGACTTCTGATGAAAAAACATGGAAAAACAAAAGATCACATTCCGTTAGGTATAGTTTAGATATGATGCCTGAAGAAAAAAGTGCATAAGCACACGCTGACACTTGTATGGTGTTTTACTGGACTTGCAATGTAGAAATAATGAATTGCTGAACATTCAGGACATGAAGAAAAATTAAGTCTGCACTGTGACTGAACTTCCCTTAAAAACTCGCCAGGTAAATGTGTAATCTTTTTCTCTGCAAGCAGATCTCATTAAACAACTACCCTTAGAGTGAAAACAATTCAAAGTGACTCTTATTTCCTTGGTCATAGGTTAAAGATGTTTACTTTTCACAATCAGGCACAAAGAAGGAAGATTTGGCCAAGCCTCAAAAATCACCTTAGCTTTCCTGAATTTAAAGACTTAGATTGAGAAGAGAGGGCTTGAGAAATCAAAGAGTAAATAGAGATTACTGCTGCATCACTTGGTCAAGTTCTTAATTCTCTCCATCTGATGAGCAATGCAACAAACCACACCTGCAAGGCTTTGGCGGTGGAGAGGGGTTTGGCTCTGCAGTCAAGTGGAGAATGTGGTTTAAAAATAAGCCTTGGAAGTTCGGGGACTTTCATGAGAAATGTAATGTAATTTATTTTTCTTTTGAATAGTTTCTTAATGAGTTTTGGAACCATTTGGTCAATGCTGTGCGCAGAAGATGTGTACAGATGGTTCCACATTGAGATTAAGTATGAGGTGGGATCCCATGAATGCCAGATAACAGAAGAGTTGCTACCATCACTGATTTAGCTAGCAGCTTTGGGGATAGGAAAGTTTGGGGAGGGAATATGCGTGGAGCTGGTTTCAATCTGAAGAAGGATATTAAAGAATCATGGCCAGGACAAAGTCTTATTCCAGGTGGAATTATAGCTACACCCATTATACCTGGGAGAGGAAAATAACAAGAACGAAATGTAAACCAAAATTTAAAGCACAATCTGTTACACTTTAGGTAGAGGCAAGCAGAAAGAAGTTATTTCTCTAAGAAATGAAGTTTGGACAGAAATATGGATAAAATGGGATTTTTAACGTCAAACAATAATGGCTATTGTTGTTTGACTTCATAAATCTCATTTTATATATGTATTGAGTGCTTGCTACATGCCAAATGCTAAACATTCCACTAATTATTTTTATTTTACCTTATTTTATTTTATTTTTAAAGGAGCAAGATGGAAGCACTTTGAATTTTCTTTCATTGAGAATAACTGTTTTGTGTAAGAATCTGTATTTATAACACCAGATATTAAGATAGGCTTCCATTTTTTTTATTATTACACTTTAAGTTTTAGGGTGCAATTATTCACAATAGCAAAGACTTGGAACCAACCCAAATGTCCAACAATGATAGACTGGATTAAGAAAATGTGGCACATATACACCATGGAATACTATGCAGCCATAAAAAAATGATGAGTTCATGTCCTTTGTAGGGACATGGATGAAACTAGAAATCATCATTCTCAGCAAACTATCACAAGGAGAAAAAAACAAACACCGCATGTTCTCACTCATAGGTGGGAATTGAACAATGAGAACACCTGGACACAGGAAGGGGAACATCACACACTGGGGACTGTTGTGGGGTGGGGGGAGGGGGGAGGGATAGCATTAGGAGATATACCTAATGTTAAATGAAGAGTTTATGGGTGCCGCTAATAATTTTAGATGCACCAATTCAGTTAATCCTTCCAATAGCATTTGAAGTAGTCATAATTTTGCCCATTTTAGAGATAAGAAAACTGAGGCTCAGAGAAACTTGTTAACTGCACTGATATCACACCTCATTTGGTATAGCAGAGTCAGACCTTAAATTCAAGTGGAATGAAGCCAGGTTTTTAACTACTATATTGTATTCCTACTCCAAAGCATGCTCCTCTTGTTTTTACCAAAAATTATTTCTGTTTTTACTGTACATTTAAAATATGAAAGATTTTAAATGATTACCCCATAAAGGGAAACAGTCATAAATCATCAATGAGACTATACTTCTAAGTGGGTGAAGCAGGCTCAGAAAAGATTTTGATAGGTCATCCTATGGGTTAAGAGTCTGGACAGTGGAATTCTGACTTCTACATATAACTTATGAGCAATATTACTTTACTTTGATGATCCACTGTTTTCCCATTTTGAAATGTGAGTGATAGTGTTATAAATCCCGTGAGATCTTGGTGCAGGTAATTATATTTATGTATATACAACACTTAGTTCAGTGTTTGTGAGCAGTGATTATAAGGGCCCAACAAATGAAAGTCATGAATGAACTCCAGGTATGTTGGTTACCAGAGCTCTGCAAAATAGCTACAGGTTTGAGAAAATTATCTGAGGGCAGTGCCCTCAAACAGTGATAAAAAACTGGAAATTTCCTGAGCAGAAAAATATTGGGATATGCTTTTTAAAACACAAAGAAGCAGACAACCTGTTTCTGGATATCCAAAGTTGGTCATGTGGTACAGAAGGTGTCTAGCACATTAAGAGTTCTGTCATTGCCTTTGCATAGGCACAGACACATAGAGAAGAGCCTGCCTAGAACAAAAAGAAAAGATGGCAATGATGAGGTCTGCCCTGATATGAGATATCTTTGATTGAGTTCCTTAGAAGCAGAGACTGAGACAGGGTTTTTGGTGCACATAATTTTTGGAGGGAGGGCTCTTTGGAGAAAATAACAGAAGCAAACAGGGAAGTAGAAAGACTCTAGCAAGGATGTGGCTTCAGGTAAAGTCTACTCTTTGGCTGATGTATAAATTGCACAGCAGAGTTGGCCTGCCTTCAGATAGCGAGTTGGGATTTGGGACTTTTTGAAACCCTATATGCACCAGTCCTCGCATACTAGGGACAGGAGTGGTTTACCCTCCCAGGCATCCTTGGGTGAGATGGTTTCTGTCAGGTGAGGGCAATGCTTCAGGGAAGGTATGGTGTAAGCATTCTCAGTGGTGGGGGGATGAGTAAACTGAGAAAGGAGATGTGGGGCAGGCCAAAAACAGCCTCTATCAGGGAGAAACTACTGAAATTTACTCAAGAAATTGCAATAGTAAATAGAGATCCCATGGGCAGAGAAAATGGCAGGAGTCTATGGATAGAGGTGATTACAATGTCATGGAAGGATTTCTTTAAATCTAAGGGAATTGTCTTAGGAAAGCTGATATATCAATGGTCTCACCCAGATGATCCAGGACTCTGCAGATGTATGGGACCAATAGTTGCTGAAGAAAGAGATGGAAAGTATGGTAGCCTGGTTTATATCTGGTATATGGAGGGCAGGGCAGGGTGATGGTGGATTGTGAAGTTCAGCAGGAAAGGCATAGCCAGAAAGAAAACAGGAACATCTTATAAATTACAGTCTGGGAGAATTTAAGTTCCCAATTACCAGAATTTTGCCAAGTAAAATGATTTTTTTCAGAACCAAGATATTTGAACAGCAGTATATATTTAGAGCATTGGGATTATAAGGTAGAGGAACTGGATAGAGGATACCCCAAAATCTGTTATAGCCAAGGTAACTAATCTTTGGCTGGACATCAAAGCTGGAATCTCAACTGTGCCCTTTTCAGTCTCTTTAATGCCTGAGTGCTGTGAATTTTACCACTATTATTTTTAGATTCTCCTCAGATTTTCTTTCTGAAAATCTCATCTTATTCGACTTTTTCATACTCTTTCCAAGCCTACATAGGTATATAGTGCCTGTTTGGGGGCATATAAAGATGTTGGAGTTTATCTGATTAATTCTAGGACTTGGAAAAGTTAGTGGAGGAGTATCAGTCAGAATGTGGACATTGAGAGTAAAGAGAGTTGGGACATTTGAACATACAATATCCTTTTTTGCTTGGCTCTTTCCTTCACTGATTTTCTTTTCTTGTTCCAACTCAATACCAATATGAAAAATCCAGCAGGGCATTGCAAAATAGCCATTCATATTTTTTTTGGACTCTAGTAAATGTTATATACTACAAAGACTAGGTCACCTTAATTACTGTGATCGTTTCCTAACTCTCTGCTTTTGGTCTTGCCATCCCACTCATCTGAAATGTGCTTTCTGAAGCACACATTTGATTATGTCCTGTTTAAAGCATTTCAGTGGCTCCTCATGCCCTAGGTTCCCCTCTGACCTTATCTCTTGCTGTACTGGGTCTCATTCACACTCACTGTTAGCTACATTGAGTTCTCAGCTCTCCAGGCTATTGTACGTACTGTTCTCTCTGCCTGGGATGCCCATATCCACTTCTTCACTTGGCTAACACTCACTTTTCTTGGGTGGCTTGGGTGTTCTGTCTTCTGGAAAGCCTTTTATCAATCCCTACCCCAAACCAGAGAGGGAAGATTTAACCCCCTGGACTTCCCTGCCTTCTCACTTATAGCCTTGTATTACAATTGCCTCCTTACCTGCCTGTCTCCCTTACTCTAATTAAAAATCCTTGAGTATACATTTCAGTAACACTTCAGTTCCAAGATTATAATACATTGTAGGCCTTGAATAAATGTTTGAATGAAGGACTGTATCATCACAATTGTAGTCATAGAGCAACTTGCATAAATCAAACACGTTTCTTAGGGTATATTGTGGACAAGTTACATTAAATGATTTCATTTTTATTAATTAGTTTTCTGCTATGTGGGGCTTAACAATTGGAGAAACTTCTTAGCTGAAAGCATCCTTGTATTAAAGTCTCTTGTGGGAATACATAGCGCTTGAAGAGAACAAGTACAAGTGTATGGCTACTTATTTTCATCTTAACTTTACTAATGTAATTATAGAAGGAAAAAGAATTCATTATAAATATTAAGTGGAATTAAAATCTACCTTAGAATTTATGAGCTCCTTGCCACTTCTTTAGTAAGTAATCCTGACAATATATCACTATCTAGATAAAAAAATCATATTTACACTCTTCAAAGAGAGCTGTGATTTTTCTTGAAATATTTTTGATGACTCAGTTGAGTTGACTTGTTTCATGGTATGAATGAGGTCAACGATACAGTAGACAAATTAGCTTGATGCAGAATGGTTTTCCCCTTAGACTTATTTACTGTTTCTATAAAATAGCAGACACATATCATCAAATATCAGAAGTACGACAACACAGAGTATAGTCAGGAGGGGAAGGGAAGACATTCTGAGAGGAGTACTGGAATGTAGTTATTCATGCAATTATTTGTAAGTCACATTGTTCCAAAAAAAAGTATTCACAGTAGAATCAGTGGGGTAACCATAAAACAAGATAAATTTAAGTAAGAAAAGTGATCAAAGAGAAAAGTGAAGAGCAAGATGAAGCTAAGAATGAGATTCTTATGTAAGAAGCATTGATAAAGTCCAATAGCACACGTTGTACTCTTTTGCTTATATCAAGTGTGATTTTTTTTGAGTACAGGGTTATGAGAGGAAAAAGGATAAAACTGCTACACTTTCCTTAGTCTTTATGTCTCCTTAAAGCTTATCAAAGAGGAGCCAGCTAGTGTGTTCAACTCTTCCCAAGCCTCATTCTATAAACCCTTCAAAGTTCTTTCATGCTAAATGGAGAGGTCAGCTCAGTAAAACAACAACATAGCTTGTTGAATTGCAGTCGTCAGAGTCACTTTGGGAGGATAACATGGCAGCCAAGTCCTGTTAGTGAAAAAGGAATGCAAGGTTTTAATGACAGTGTTTTTTACTACCTGAATTCCACACACTTTGAGGTCCACCTGAACTCCACTTTTAGACTCTGCCTGGCTACCATTCTTGGAATCACTGTGGCTGTTTGCAGAAGGTCCAACACTTGTTTGTCTCCTCAAAACCTCTCCTTTCTCCATGTTTGCCTTTGCTAATGTGTGGTAAATGTGGCATAACAAAAGTACACACTGCCTGTAAAATCTATTTCCTTCTTGCCCTGCAAATTTATGCTTAAGAGGATTTAGACTTATCAATCACCTCCTTACTGGAACCACACACATCATTGGCTGTCATTTCTTTTCTTGCTCTTAACAACTATCTGAAAAATATCACTCTCCCAGAATCCAAAATTTGTAGTTAATATAGTCCAGTCCTTAACAACCTTACCAGAAGTGAAGGGATGCACTAAATTGCTCAAATTAATCATGGTGCCCACACCCGGGGAAAAGTGTAGTTGAAACACTTGAGCCATAAAACCAGATGGTACACTATGTTGATAGAAGCTGTTTGCCTAGAAACTGAAGCAGATTTGTAAACACTAAATCAATATTTGAGAGTTAGGTGCCAGCTGTTTTTCAGGATGCCATTAAGTGACTGGAGCTCATCAGCAGGTCTCAAATAAGAGGCATCTTTCAGCCTGGCCACTGCACCTACATTCCTCTGTTTCACGGCAGCCAGGTGAACATTTCAGCCATTTCCATAGGACTCGACAAACCTAACACAGATTGTCACCACACTGCCATGAGTTTTTTCTTAAGAGTTTTATTCATTTAGTGCTGGCAATAACTAACTAATGGACTGACTGTTTATTTGCTTGGCATCCCTGCCTAAATGCTCATTGACTAGTGATTCACTTGACTTGCATGTGGTTTTGGTTTAATTTGCCATTTTACTGTTGCCAGGGACCCCGGTGGTTTACACTTGCCATGCACCAATAAACTTTTTTACAATTGGAGAGATCTGTTTTGCTCCTTGATGCCACATGGCAGAGGGACCTTAAAAGCAAATTAATAATAACAGCAGTTAAATAAGCATTTTATCAAATTATTTGTTTGGGAATAGCTGAAATCAATATGTTAGATTTAATTCCAACAAGCAATAAAAAGGTTGTTTCTATGATGCCTAACCTGTGAAGCCAAACATTTCAGCAAAAGCTGATGTGGTTTTCAAGTTTTTATGTTTACTTCTGTTAAACTTGAATGCAGCTCCACCCAGATCTCATTGTATATATTTCCTGTCCTATTAAATGGAAACTCTATGGATAAAACAGGAAGTTAATGTTTATAGGAGAGTTTTGTTTGAAGTAGGGAGACAGACTTAGTAACTTTATATCTTTTTAGCACACTATATTCTATGGAAATGAAATTTGAAGTCAGAATTACTATGGGTTTTATTTTTTGCCATTTAAAAAACATTGTTCATTATATCAGCAAGTCACTTAACCCCTCAGAGTGCATCTCTTCATCTAAAATAGGGAAAAAACTCCTGTGGATTTAATAAAGAGTGATTGAAATAACATATGTAAAAACATGGTAAACTTTGGTGACTTACGCACAAATTATTATTACTATTACACATTCTATAATTGAAATATTTTAAATATGTAGTTTTAAAAAAATGCTAAGATCCTAACTTCAATAATATATACCAGATTTATGTTTGAAAAGCTGACTGTATTTAGGATGTCAGTTCATCTTAAAATAATTTAAAAATAAAGGGAAGTAAATGTATTAACTTTGGGTGTCCTCAGATTTAGCAATGTTTTGATTAAAAGACCAGTTCCTTGTTGGATGGTTTGAGGAAAAGGCTAGGGTGATAAAGTAGTTGTAAATTTATATGGCTGTCTAAATTAGTAATACTATTCCATATAAATTTGACAAGGCATTTTATGATAATATAAAATACATACTATAAACCTAAAATATTTAAAATAGTTTAGAACTGGCATTCAAATTAGCAGATACATCAGAAGAAAATAGAATAGCCTTGAACTAACACATATGACCATCAAGTATATAGTTAATCGGAGTGGAAAAAATCAGTTATTTAATAAATGGTGCTGAAACAACCAGCTACGTGAAAAAACCATGACAACAGGCTTGTAGATTCTCACCTCATACCATATGAATTCTAGGCAGATTAAGGAACTATATATAAAGTGGATATAAGAAACACAATTGGAAGAAAATACAGGTTATTCGCTAATGGTGGTAAAGAAAACTACTTTCTAAGCATAAAATTAAAACAAAAAAGATTTGTTGACCATATATAAATAAAAATTAATATGATAAAAAATTTAAACCAAATTTATGGGTAAATAAAGAACTTGACAATATTTACAATTAAGTCTAGTTTGAACAGCCTTAATTTATGAAGAACTCCTATATGCCAATAATAAAAAAGATAGTATTCCAAAAGAAACTGAGCCTAGGAGAAAAACAAACAATTCACAGAAGATAAATACAGGAAACTTACAAATTCATCCAACAATTAAAATATACATTTAAAAGAGGCATTATTTTTAAAAAGCATCATTATAACATATTCCACCTCCTAAGTTACCATATAATTTAAAATTTAATTTAAATTTTTTAAAAAATTAAACAAATTGAGACATAGCTAACCAAACAATTAAATAGAACTGTTTGATTAAAAAAAGAGACTTGAAACAATATGATTTTCTCAGTGTGCCTTTTTGTAGTTGTCCACTTCTTGTGCATTAATTTTCTGGAGTAATCAAGTAGTATTTCAGGAAGAAAGAATAAAGGAGGTATCTGAAATTAAATGTGAATAAAGTAAGCACATTCCCAAATGGATATATAATAGCTTGCTGTTTAGAAAAATATACCTTTAAAGCCAGTTACATTCTCAGTAACTCTTTTAGAAAATTAGAAAAAAAAAACCATAGAGTCTACCTAGTTATCTGTTCTTCTTTGGTTTTTCAGAAAACCAAGCTATTTTGTTGTTGTTTCTTTTGTTTTAATTTAACTGTGATTAGTTTCTCCACATAGGCAATCATCAATTACTCTTCATAGCCCAACCGTTTAGAAATGTGGTTTTCAAATACTTTGATCTCAAGATCCCTTTATATACTTAAGAAATGTTGAAGACCCAAAGGAGCTTTTGGTTGTTTGGGTTACATTGATTGCTACATATTGAATTAGAAATTAAAGCTCAGAAGAATTATTTATTAATTCACTAAAATGACAAAAATAATTACATGGTAACATAACCTAATTTTTATGAAGCATTACTACATTTTCAAAAAAAGAAAAATGATGTTTAAAAGCTGTTTAAAAATCTCTGTAATGTCTAACTTAATGGAAGAGTGCTGAATATTTGTATGTGTTTCAATTTGTTGGAAAAACTCCACTGTATTCTTGTGAAAGAATAAGAGTAAAAAATAAAATAACATCTTAGCAGTATTATATCGGGGAACCTGCCCTGATATTCATGTAGGTTCTTTTCTATTTTCCTTAAGCGTTGGCCTGCTTGAGAAATAAAGGGACAGAGTACAAAAGAGAGAAATTTTAAAGCGGGGCATCTGGGGGAGACATCACACGTCGGTAGGTTCCGTGATGCCCCGCTTTGAGATTACAGTAAAGACAGGCATAAGAAATTATAAAAGTGTTAATTTGGGGAACTAATAAATGTCCATGAAATCTTCACAATCCACGTTCTTCTGCCATGGCTTCAGCCGGTCCCTCCGTTTGGGGTCCCTGACTTCCCGCAACAGTATTATGAACTTTAATTTTGATATCATAGACCTGACTAAAGGATATCAAGGACCAGATAATACTTGGAGACTATTGGCATAGAATTTATTTAGTAACAGATGTAACTATGCTGAAGGAAAGAAGGAAACTGCATTTTATGCCAACTAAATTTTATGATCCACTTGGAGAAATGTAGTCCACCGTGATACAGTGATTCTAAAAGAAAGATGAACTGAGATCCATATAAGTTAGACAGTAGGAAAGAAATAACTGACATTACTTGAATATTTCTTCCAGGATCAATGTTATAAATAATTTGAATAGTTTCTGTGTCTCTCTTTATTTCCAAGATTCCAGAAGGGATCATCCAGTGAGTAAAGTTAACTCACTTGCTGTGCCTTGACTTTCTGTAAGTTTTGGTCCCTTTGCTCTCCATAGTCAGAAGCAGTACCTTTCCTAAAATTGAAAAGGGATTTTGGATATGAGAAGAGGAGAACTAAGAAAACTGGGCACTACTATTCCTGTTGGGGATTTCCCACTTATATTCTCTATTGTTCTACACTAAAGGTAGCAAGGGACTAGTTCCTAATTGTAATCTGTGCATTGACCTTGAATCTAATTCACACATAGAGATGATCCTCAGCTACTAAGGTTATTGACAACTGTAGGCCGGAGCCACTTTACAGAATAAAGACAAAACCTTAAGATTTGAGCAATGAACAAATCCTTTGACGTTATCCATATAACACTTTATAAATGGCTACCTTGCAAATCCTTTGGTAGTGTGCTGAATCTGAAGATATCATTAAACACCATTATGGGAAAATTAAAGTTAATTGTTGTGAGCCTGACCTCCAAGTCAACCTCCATAGGAAGGAACCACTTTCCATTCTAAACATTTGTCAAATGTTTTGTTCTCTATTATCAGCCATCTTCCAATATAAATGTTATTTGATAGAAAGAAACCTGAAGTAAAAGGTTCTTTGCTTGTATATCACTATTCATATTTGAAAGTTTAGAAACTTTCAACATATTTTTTGAGTGGCATATTTGTTGGAATGTGGTAATCCTCTACTTTGCAAACTCTTTTTTAATCGTAAATTTCTGACAAGAAGGCATGCTTAATCGAAAAGAAGGTCACAGCCCCTTTCACTTGCACCAGAGAGGTCGTTCTAACACCAGCAATTTTGAAGAGAACCATAGAAGTAATTAAGCTGCCAATAATTATAGAAGACTCTTGCGGAATAAATTGCCCTTGCCCCCTATTTATTTTGGTCAAGAAACATCTTCCAGGATTTTATTTTTATCTGTGCCTGGTACTGCAAGTTACTCTTATTCTGGGCTAAAATAAAGTCAGGGCAGAAAAATGATATACTGAAAAAAGAACAATGAAAAAAGAAGAACAATCTGTAATATGTATTGAATTTTAAAATGTAGATCTATAAATAAACAGCCAAGAAATATCAGTATTAGTTTGTCATATGACCTCTATACTCTTGGGGACCTGTTTCAGGTCACCCCTCCATGGACATTGGACAATGGTAATCATTAACATACTTATCTACTCGTGAAAGCTACAATTTTAAATCCCTGCTTTTATCCCTATTGGCTTTGTCGGGAGTTCTTAGAAGTCAGAATTTAAGTATTTTAATTATTTTACAAATAAGTTATTTAAAATAAATATTTAGACTAGTAATTCTGGGCCAGGCATGGTGGCTCACGCCTGTAATCCCAGCACTTTGGGAAGCCGAGGCAGGCAGATCTTAAGGTCAGGCGTTCGAGACCAGCCTGGCCAACATTGTGAAACCCCATCTCTACTAAAAATACAAAAAATTAGCCAAGCGTGGTGGTTGCACCTGTAATCCCAGCTACTCGGGAGGCTAAGGCAGGAGAATCGCTTGAACCCGGGAGGCGGAGGTTGCAGTGAGCTGAGATGGCGCCACTGCACTCCAGCCTGGGTGACAGTGTAAGACTGTGTCTCAAAAAAAAAAAAAAAAAAAAGGATAGTAATTCTGGACTGCAAGTAGGATTAGAGGGGAGTGCTAATCAGGATAAATATAGAAATGAGGTGGGGGTCATTTGGGAAGGAGAGTTATATATAATTTGGAACAGCATATGTAAATAGTATAATCTTATTATAATTGTATATTAATTGTATATAAGATTATAATATAACTATATATTAATTCAAGCATTGAAATATGTGAAAGTTTTTCAGTTAGGTGTTAAGATGTGAAAGTTTTTCAGTTAGGTGTTAAGACAAATATAAGTTGATTTTATTTTATTTTTCCAAAGTGGGCATGGGTTAAACATGGTTAAGAACTTTTAATTTACACAATTACAATTTTGTTTGTCCAAAATGATGTCCTGGTCATCAAAAGGCTCTGTAATAGGGACTTATTGTAATTAAAGCCCTTTCAGGCTCCAAAATTCGAGGGTGTCTAGCCAAAAGTTAATAATCATTGGAGCCGAGTGATAAGTACATGAAAATTCATACAATTCACTCTTTGTTTTGAATTCTTTGCAATTTTTATAAGAAAAAGTTACACAAATTTATGGTTATTAATGGCTTAGTAGCTTGAAACTGTCAATGATGAAAAAACTATGTCAGATGTATAAAATATTTTGGGGAGAGAGGGTAAATTCACATATATGTTGCTTCTTTTTAAAAATTTGTAAAGAGTAATAGCAAAACATTCTGTCACCAATTTTGTGATTAAGGATGAGAGATATACACTGTCGATACCTACAAGAGGATGGGCAAAACTTAATGGGGGCAATAGAGATACAGGAAGACTGGGTGTGAATATTAGCCCTGGAACAGGATAGGAAAGAGTATGTTTGAAGAGAGGGAGAGAAAGCAAAAGAAAATAGAAGCACGCAAGCATGGAACAGACCAGGGAGAAAATAAAGAATGCGAGTTAACTTCACAGGAGGAGAAATCCTCCAACTCTAAGTAGATTTTAACTACCAAGTAGACACAAAAAAAATCAACTGTTTTGAGACCTAGCACTGCTTATCCTCCAAGTAATCAAAATTTCCTCGTGCTAAATCCATGTCCTTGATCACTGGAAATCCTTTCTTCTCTGTAACTATTTACTTCTTCCATCTTCAATATCATTTTCTGGAGACACTGGGCAATTTCTGGATTATGAGAAAGCTAAAGCTGAATAACTTATTGAAATGTGGATGGCCTTTCTTACAAACACATTTATTTATTTTTATGAGGGGGTAGGAAATCCTCAGTTAGGGTAGGCAAGTTACAGAGATGTAAACATTTGAGAAAATTTTTCTTTAGATTGCATGAAGTTAAATACGCAGCTCTGTGTTTGGGGTAGGTTTTTGGTAGGTCATTGGATGAATTGAAGCTCTCATAGATGACGGGATGAAAAATAGACTTCTACAGAACCGAAAGGCTGGTTAGTGATTTGTTTTTGAGTTTTCAATGGAATTTTTGTAACAGAAATTTATTGTTTTGAAAATTTATTTACATAATTTAAAAAGTCTATTTTGTGAGTAATTACCACCAATCAATCTTTGAAGTAGTGGGTTATAAAGCAATTGTGCAACATGTTCTATTGATAAGCTTCTTTTCGGCAAGAAACATATTCGATCATATGTCCTGCTTAGAGTTTCTCATGCTCTGGTAGTATGAACTTAGTTAAAAGTTTTGAGTTCTAATCATAATGCTCCTTTTGTAGCAGAAATAATTTGTGCCTGTATTTTCAATGATCTTTCCCCTTACCATTCTTGTGTTTCGCTACCTTTCTTTTCTGACTTAATAGTTAATATACATTATTTAATAAAGATCTGCCCAAAATAAAGAAAATTCTGCTCCTATTTTCCATTTTTTTAAAACAAGAATCCTATTCTTAATCTCTATTGAGTTGAGCTATTCTCTCTGAGGAAGGCAAGACTAAATAAGATAGCAGAAGGATTCCATATGAATATCATTTGTGATAAAAGATGAAGAATACCTGGTGTAAAGATGCCTCAGGACCTGTTACTCTTTCTTCTTTCCCTTTCTCTGCCACCCCTTCCTTTCTCCCCTCCTCATTCTCCTTCTTCTTTCTCTTCTTTCCTTCCTTTCTCTCTCTGGATACCCCCTTTCTCCTTCCTTCTGGTCTCTCTTCCAGTTCTGTTTTTCTACTGCTGCATAGCAAGCTTCCCCAGACTTAGTGGTATAAAACAATGACCATTTTAATATGCTCATGGATTCTGTAGGTCAGAAATGCAGGAGGGCTGTAATAGGGATGGCTTGTCTTGTGTATGAAATCTTTAGGGGATCATCTGGAAAGATTCAAATGGCTGGAAGTGGAAGGGAAAATAAATTCTTGGGACCACAAACTCACCATGACAAAGGAAAAAGAGTTTAAGCTTGGGAACTGAATTGCTCAAATCTCCTCCCATTTTGTTCCTAAATAGATAGCTGCAAAGATAGAAGGCTACATAACTTCCCAGGGGGGTCTCCCTCACAATTTGCTCACAAGGAAAGTTCTTGTGGGCCCCAGGATCTTTACTCTAAAACAGAATTCTGTTGAATTTCACCATGACAATGTAAATAAATCAACAGCTTGTCTCACAGGTACTGGACAAAGTCATCCCTCTGCTCATCTGAGCCAAATGCATATTTGACTCCTTCCTCTATACTCTGAATACTTTATTTTAAATAAAAATGCAGATTCACTGAGTGAGATGAGTGCATTGTCAACTATTCCTCTATTCCCTCTTTTTCACATGTAAAGTAGGAATTCAGTGAAGCTGATCAAAGCTTTTATCTACCCTCTTCCACCCTATTTTCCCCTTTCCCCTACTGCCCACTCTTTTCTCTTTAAATATGGAGACCCCAAACACTCTTTGGAAAAGGTACAGACCACAGATCTTACTGTGGCTTGTGTCTCTTTTTCCTGGGAATGTCCTCAACCTTGGCAAAATAAAACTCTAAGTTGATTGAGACATGCGTCTGTCATTTTTCTTTGGTTTTGTAGAAGCTAGAATGATCTGAAGATTTTGTCACTCACTTTTTTGTTATCTATCTGAGTATGATACAGAAGTTGGCCATAGGTGGACATGAACATCTACAATGTGGCTTCTCCATGTGGGTTGGGTTCACTCCCAACATTGAAACCTCAGAATGGTCAGACCTCTTAAATGATGGCTCAGAATTGCAAGATTGAACATTCCCACAATCATGATAGAAGCTGCATATTTTATTATCTTGCTGCAGAAGTCACAGAACATCAGATCTGCCATAATGTGTTGGATGAGGCAGCCATATGCCCATCCAGATTCATGGAGAGGGGATAAAGACTTCACTTCTCCATTAGAGGAGTATCAGAAATCACACCCATGTTTTATAACTGCTACACTTCCTTTCTTTAAAAGGACCTTGAAATTTCTTATTTTGTCTGCCTGTACATATAACTGGCCTTGAAATACTTTCAATGAGGTCTGTATTGTATACCTGCAACAGAGAACTTTACCTCCTTTATCTTTGTGAAGTGAAAGTTCTCATTCAAGTGAAAGGTTAATAAACCTATTGATCTCAGAAATACAGTAAAGTTTTATTTTTTTTCTTTTAAGTACTCTGGAACAATAAGATCGAAACGGGGTAGCACGAAAGAAGGGTGGCATTAATAAATGCTGCTCTGAACCTATGATATCTGTATCCTGGCTTCTCTGAAATAGTTTTGTTAATGGATCTCATGTCCCATAATCTGGGTTGGAAGGTACACTGCCTTCAAGGAAGCTCATACATGACAATGGAGCTCATGCTGTTGAGCCACTGTTCCTTTCTCTTCAATAATCATCAAGGAATAAGCTGTAAGTTCATGAATTATATTTCATAACTAAAAAAATCCAGTATATGGACTAAATCAAAGACAGGATTACTAAAGAACTTAGTTTCCCTTCCTTTTTTCAACTGGGAATGGCATGACTGGTATATTTCAGAGGATAGCCACATGTGCTGCATCACTGAATAGAGACATAACAGCAAAAGTCCCAACATCATTTAGACCCTGTAGATTTCTCTCAGTTCAGTGATTTTGATGTTGATAGGGACAGACTTCCCTTAAAATTGAGATTATCTACTTGCCTTTTGATCAGGCTTTGTTCAGACAAATATTATTTTACATGAAACTATCAAGACTCAGTTTCTTGATTTTTATGTACTAATTTCACACATGTGGACTTTCAGAAGATTTAATGTGGGTCTTGTTAATGAACTACAACTGATTATTGGTATAGTGTCTGCCTGATGGATTATTGGGATGTATATATCCACAGGGGGAAGGTTTGTTTTCTGTAGCATTTCAAACAACTCTACTAGGTACTTAGGTGACATGTCTGTCACTTCAAACGTATTAGTGTTGAAATTGTAGCACTTCACAATTGAAGTGTATTACACACTCGAGATACAGCAAACTACTGCATTTGAATTGAATCATACAATCACAGATATTAGAGCCAGAAAAGACCTATTAGGTTATCATGTCCATCCATTGCCATTTGGCATTGTTATTTACAGTACATTGTTGCATCTAGAGTTAAATGCCTCAAACAATAGGACTTCTACTACTGTGCCAAGATAATTTTCTTTTTATTGTATTGTCTAAAGGACTTGCTTATTGAAACAATTTTTTTCTGATATTCAGCTGAAATTTATTCTTTGCTCAATTTCACTTCAATGTTGTAATACCCCAATTCTCATCCCTTAATCTTTTTTTTTCTCTTTCATCTCTTCTTATAGTAGCACTGTTTGGAAGACTGAGCCATTTAAAGGCCATATTTTAAGCCTCAAAATTGTGATTTCCTTTCTGCCCTAATTATGTGATACTTTTTTTAGATTGGCTTCCCCTAGAAGTGGACATGAGACAATCATAAGGATTTTTTCGAAGATGATCCCAGGATATGCTGGGATGTGACTAAGAAAGAGAGATGTGGAAGAAAAGAAAGCCAATACAGAGTGAGTGATCATATCAGTTGCTATTGTAGGTAAATATTTCTTAATCCTACTGTAAGTGTTGATGATTCACATAGAACATGTGTCTCAGAATTATTCCTCTGAGGGACAAGGAAGCCAGGGTTCTTACTCACCAACTCTTGTCAGCCATTGTTTGCAGGCTGTTCCCAGAAGGTCAGCAGCCTGTCCTCCACATGGCAGAATGCACTGTGGCCCATAGAGAATGCCCTCAGACCATTGAGGTCTGAGCTTTGATGCAGTACAATGGTAAGGCCTGAGAGGATCTGGGTAGAACACAGAGTCTACTAATGATTATGTCCAATTATCAATTGAAGTCTGTGTACTTTTATTTTGTTGTATAATGTTTGTAATTTATTTCCAAGTAACTGTTTTCTGTGCATAAAAGGTATTTTATTAAATAATACTAAAAGTACATGAAAGACTTTTTTCTTTCTAGTGAAAGGCAATGTTTAATTCAGGAAGACGTGTGATATAATTCCAGCTATGCTTGTTCACAAGTACAGCAACACTCCTTGGGCATTTATCTTTAAAAATATAGTCACTGAAAGGATATAGAAATACATTTTTAAACGGTAAAATGTAACTTTTGTAGAAAAAGCATGTTAATATGAACATATATGTTGACATGTCAATACTATGACTAAGTACATTTAACTAGTACACTAATCGTCACAGTTTGTTTTTCATTCATAAAGCCAATCATTTAACCAGATTCTGTTTTGTTAAATTATTTCCAAAAGTCTTACATTTCATATGTTGATGAAAAAAGACAAACTCTGTAAAGCATTTAAAGAGGTTTACTCTGAGGCAAATATGAGTGACTATGGCCTGGATATAGTATCAAAAGGTCTTTAGAACATGTGTCTGAGGTGGTTGGGTTACAGCCTGGTTTTACACAGTTTAGGGAGTTGGAAATTACAGGCAAAGACATAAATCAATACATGTAAGATATACATTGGTTCAGATAGGTGGGACATCTTGAAGGAGAGGTGGGAGGCTTACAGTTCATAGGTGGATTCAAAGATTTTCTGATTGGCAATTGGTTGAAAGAATTAAGCTTTGCCTAAAGAGTTGAAGTTAGTAGAAGGAAATGCTTGAGTTAAGGTAAGGGGAATAGTGGAAGCCAAGGTTCTTGTTATATAGATGAAGCCTCTAAGTTACAGGCTTCAGAGGAAATAGATGATAAATGTCCCTTCTGGGACCTTAAAATATGTCATACTTTTAGTTAAATCTCTTCTGGATCCTGGAAAATACCTAGAAAAGGAAAGAGATTCTCTACAGAATGCAAATTTCCCACACACAAGATGGTTTTGCAGGGCCATTTCAAAATTTGTCAAAGAAATATATTTTGGGGTAAAGTCCTTTGATTTCCTTAGGGCCTACTATCTGTTTTGTGATGCTATGCCAGAGTTAAGTTAGAATTTGATGTCTTATTGCTACAAAGAATCTGTGTTGTTAGTTTCATTATCTCCATTTTAATGTCAGTATTGGTCAGTTGTGCCTAAATTCCAATGGGCAGAGATATAACAGTGCATGTTCAGCTTCTCTTCCTGCCATGGCCTGAACTAGTTGTTCTGGTTTCTTTGGGATCCCCTTGGCTAAGAAGTGGGGTTTGTTCAGTTGGTTGTGGGGAGTAGAATTTCATTTTTGGCTTACACATATAAGGAATGATACTGAATTGTTATATTCATTCAATAACATGCTTTTCACAAAATAAGGCCTAACCAACATAATTTAGTCTCTTTAAATATGATACTTAGAGACATAGTTTAAAGTTTACAACTTTGAAACTGCCTTTGCAAAAATTAGAACAGTAAAACAAGTCTATTATAGGAAAATTATGACAGCAAAAGAGATCTGACCTAACTGATTTCATGTTGCCTTCAACTTCCAAGCTGCCTTTGTTTATGCCTGGGTATAGGCCAAGCGAACTTTGGGAGAAATTTAGTTTAGAGTTTAATTTTGAAGCAAAACTAATAACAGTCCCTTCCTGAACAAACCCACTCCTTGCTTAGGGACACAAGCTGCCTTTGTAGAACTAACAAATTAGATTGAAGATTAGAAATTATGGCTCAGGACTTATTCCTAACCTCTCCAACTGTTCCTATAGATACATCATTACTGTAAAATCCAAGATTGGCTTTTGAGGTATTTTTTAGACTGAATTCTGATGGACCAGCTGGTGCCACCCAGACAGGTAAACTGGCTCATCTGATTTTGCAATCCCACACAGGAAATGAAGACAGCAAGAAGACAGCTTTTATCCCCTAGGATTTCATCTATGATCTACCCAATCAGAATTCCCTTTCCCTAGCCTCATGCTCAAGAAATTATCCTTAAAAAACCCTAATCTCCAAATTTTCAGAGAGAATGATTTGAGTAATAAAATTTAATCATACACTTAGCTGCCTCTGAATTTATTAAGCTGTTTCTTTATTGCAATACCACTGTCTTAGTAAATTGGTTGTATCTGCACAGTGGGCAAGATAAACCAGTCGGACAATTACAACTTCTTTTCTGCTGTTGTAGTCATGAAATGTAACAAAATTGAACATATATATCCAGTTATTTGTAGATCCAGCTGTAGTGCCATATTTTCAAAATATTTGACATTTTTGGATAAAACTTTTCAGAAGGGACTATTTATTAGGATAAAACGGTTAAAGGTTTTAAATCTTTGATAATATTTGAACATTTAAATAAATACATAAACATATGTCTTCAGTTATATATTTGAGAATTCACTTTCTTTTTTAAAAAATAATTGCCTAAAATTGAAAATTTCTGGAAAATCTAGATTGTAACTTTTTAACCTCACCTCTTCAGTTTTACCTGGTCTTTATAAAATTTAATCAAATATACAAAACATTGTCTCAGAGTGACCTAATAGAAGCCTAAGAAACAAGTAAAATATTATTTAAATTAGCTAATATTGATAGTTAATGGCATATTTATTAAAGTTCATGAACTCTATTCTTACAAGAAATTTCTAATTTTCACTCAGAGCCTTTGTGATCTTATATTGAAGATAGTTACAACTAGAGTAGACATATGATTTCCAATCTCAAATACATTATATCTCATAGTACATTATAAGCAGCAAAGAACAAAGTGCAGAGGTTCTATTACAAACAGACAACACTCACAGAGAATTGAATATATTTGATAGACCAGTGGTTCTCAGAATCTCCAGAAATATCAGAAACTCAAGACATCATCCCCAGGATATCTGATTCAGCAAGGCTAAATTGCTTTCTGAGAATCTGTATTTTTTACAAGTTTCCATATGAATCTGTTGCTGTGTCCGGGGCCACAGTTTGAAAACCACTGGGATAGACAATGAAGAAGAAGGAGAAATACAGAAACTATGGGAAGTTTTACTCATGTATAAGTGCATAGAGGAAAGAAAATCCAATATAAATCACTAGGACGGGATAAATAATTGTAGGGAATCAAACGCTCCACAACAATTGATTCTGTAATCATCATTATATTTTACAAAGTAAAATAATAGCTAAAGGAATAATTCTGACTTATCAAGGATAAGTGCATAAAAATCATGAAATAGTTACTGTGTTTCAAAAATATAGCAATACAATATAATTTGGCTAATAAGAAATAAGTATAAAATTAGCTATCTGGGAAATATACCTACCCAAAATGATCCATTGTCCAAGTTTTCAGTGTGGAAGGCTGAATAATGGCCACCCCAAAGATGCCCATGTCCTATTCCCTGGAGACTGTGAATATTATCATTTATGGGTAAAAAGATCTTTGCAGACATGATTACATTTAGAATCTTAAAATTGGGAGATTATCCTGGAATATCTGGGTGGACCTTAGGATAGGCATTCACTGCAATTCAAGTAAATCATCCATACCTTTATGCTAAAACAAATATAGACATAGGCAAATACATAGATATGAATATGCCACAAACATGACAATTCACTACTGATTAGAGACT
The DNA here is from genome assembly GCF_000001405.40 of Homo sapiens. Lineage (NCBI taxonomy): Eukaryota > Metazoa > Chordata > Mammalia > Primates > Hominidae > Homo > Homo sapiens. The sequence continues at coordinate 52,477,481 of NC_000005.10, read as the reverse complement.
AAGTTTGTGTTGTTGAGTTCGCTGGGTTATTTTGGATTTTACAAGTCACAGTTTATTATATGCCTTCCATGTGCATTTATACTCATTTGTAATCAAACAAACATTTTATCTGGATTAAAGGGAGTTATTTTTTAAGGATTTAAAAGTCATTTATATTATTATTCAAAAGTTGGTAAATTGGTAAAAAAAAAATCACTATGGGAAAGTTGAAGTTTGTAGGGAGGGGATGAAAAGTACCTTTTTATAAGAAGTAAACTGAAATGGTTTAAACCAGGAAGAAATTTATCATTTTTCAAAAAAATTAATCTGGAGATGAGACATTACAGGGTTTTAAAATTCAGTGTCAAAACTATGTCACTAAGTGACCATATTATTTAACTCTTTCCTTTCTGCTATTCTCAGTTGGCTTTGATCTCAAGTTTGATCGTATGACTACAAGGTGATTATCACAGTTATAGATATCACTATTTCACATGGACCTATAATAATCAGAAGAAGGCAGTTTCTCATGTCTTACTCTGTTTTGCTTTTTAATTGAAAGGAAAACCTTTCCCATGTTTCCTAAAAACACAAATTTGTTTTTAAACTTAAAAGTATATCGGTAATTTTATATAATGGTGAATATTTGGTAGCTCTTAACTATGTACACTGCATAAACACATTTTGTCTATGCGTTTACATTTGATCATAAGGCAACACTAGTCTACTGGAAGTAACTAGCAGCGGAGGAGAGGAGAAGATGGTAGAATAGAAGAACAAGGCAATAACCCTAGGAATACAGAGGGAACAGAAAAAAATTTGTACTGCCTTGTGAAAAGTTTTCTCTGTCCTGGCCTTCAAACTACATTCTATGCCTAAAATATTCCTTATATTTTAATTTGCTAAAATTTAAATTGGCTATTATCCAATAAAGCACTTTAGAATCCCATTTCCCACAAAAGATAATCCTATTCCAAAAGAAAAGTAAGAATTAATTTCTAATAAATCTTTGCCTAAATAGTCTCTTCCGCCTTCCTCTTTGCAAATCATCTACAAAATGCATTCAAATTTTGGTTTATAATGAAAAAGAAAATTTTTAAAAACTTATTTATTTGGTTTGAGCTTTCTGTTTGGTGTCTGGCACAGAGACTACTACAATAGTTTTCTACCTGCTTTTATTATTTCCATTATTACAATACCCAATTCACCCTGCATATATATACTTAATTTATCTTTGTAAAAGATCATTATTTTTGTGCTGCTACTACTCAGATAGCTCCTAACTCTTAGTCTTTCTCCTGAAATCTGATTCTTCTTTCAATATTAGGTATCTCAAGAAATAGAACTCAAATGTAATACCTTGTCAGAAATTTGAGTCCTTTTCAAACCCCTCCATAAAACCTACCCAGTGTCCCTCCATGCCCAAGTCCCGATAACTCTATCTCCTAAGTATCTCTTCAATGTCACTTCACTTCGAATTCACTGTTCCTATGCTAATCCATCCTGCCATTTTCCCTGCTTCAGATTCTGTGATGCCAGCTGACTGTCCCACCTCATCTACTTGTACTCTTAAATCTACTCTTTTCATACAGCCAGAAGAATGTTTTCAGAAGTACCCATTTAATCGTATGCTATTTTCTTTGTCACTCCTCATACTCCATGTATTAGCCAATTCTCATGCTGCTATGAAAAAATACCCGAGACTGGGTAATTTATAAAGAAAAGATGTTTAATTGACTCTGAGTTCTGCATGGCTGGGGAGCTTCAGGAAACTTACAATCATGACAGAAGGCACCTCTTCACAGGGTGGCAGGAGAGAGAATGAGTGCAAGCAGGGGAAATGCCATCTGCTTGTAAAACCATCCGATATCATATCATGAGACTCACTCATTATCACAAGAACAGCATGGGATAAACTGCCCCCATGATTCAATTACCTCTACCTGGTCCCACCCTTGACATGTGGGAGTTATTACGATTCAAGGTTATATTTGGATGGGGACGCAGAGCCAAAACATATCACGCCATCTGCTTCCCCCATTGCTTAAAACTCTTCAAATGTTTCTGATAATTCTTGGGATAAACACCAAATTCCTGAACTTGCCTACCAGGCACTAGCTGTAAGGCCTATACCATTTTTTTCCAAACTCAACTTGATTCATTTCTCACTCTCATCTATCTTCTTAAACCACATTGGCCTTCTTTTGGGACCTTAGTCCCTAAACAGAGCAACTCTCCTTAGTTCTTTCAGATAAATGTTGGTTATCCTTCAGATAGCAGGTCAAAGTGTTAATTCTTTAAGGATGCTTTTTTTAAACCTTCTTATATAAGTTAAATTTCTATTATGTGCTCTCACATTACTATATACCTCTCTTCTTTATTTGTCATAGTCACAATTTTAAATTTTAAATTTATTTATGTGATTTCTTTATCCAGATTGTTAGTTTCATCAAGGGAGTAATTACATCTCCTTTCGTGGTCTATATTAGATACACATTTTGGGATGAATGAGGAGAATTATGTCTTTGTTCTAGATTGAATAAATTTTAATCATGTTTGCCAACCTTTTAGGGTCGCCCACAATTTACTGCTCTTACCTTTATAATCCTAAATCTCATAATGTATAAAGTAATATTTGAGAGAGAGAGGAAGCTCAGCAGAGGAGTTTTTGTTTGCCCCGAAATTTCAAAATACAGCTCTTCCAGGCTGAAGAGAAAACATGAATATAAGCATATAAAAAGATAGTGTTGGAGAACTTATAATTCTGAGATTACCCTATGTTCTTGAGTAGTTTACAAATAATTTTGGAAGAAAAGGAGCACAGAATCAGAGTTTGCAATGCACAGCAACTATAATAGTATTATGGACCCAAAGTGCCCTGAATGATATTAAAATGAAAATGTTCTTTGATCATCCTCAATAAAATTTCATTGGGTTTTATTGGAAAATAATATGTTTCAGTTGGCAATATCAAGTATTAATATTTCTGCAACCAATTAAGATACTTATAAGTTCTTGCATCCACATATGCTTAGATTTATCATATTGAGATTGTCTTCACGCTAAGTTGGGGAGGGTTGGGGGTAGAGAAGATCCTTGTTATTCCATGAGACAGAGCATGCAATAGAGACAGTCTGAGGAAAGACAGAAGACAAAAACAGTATTTTGTACCTCACATTATAAAACTTCAAATCATTTAAGGCATCTGATATTGGGAAAGTCAGAGCTAGAACAAATTTCAGGGAGCATCAATATCAGAATGAAAATGTGAGTAAGAGAAAATCTTAGACTGAGAGACATCAGTGGGTATTCTTCCTAATTTCATATGAAAGCAATGCAATGTGACTACGTAAGAGATCAAATGATAAATTTATATTTTGTATTATCATGGCCCCAGGTTAACTCAACTAACTGACCACACTCTTTTAACTTGAAGAACACTATGCTAAGTGAAATAAGCCCAGAACAGAAAGTTAAACACTGCATGTTCTCATTTATTTGTGGGAGCTTAGAAAAAGTAGATTTTATCAAAGTAAATAGTAGAACAGAGGATATTAGAGGGTAGGAAGGGAAGGAAAAAAAGGTAGGATGGGAGGAGATTTGTTAAAATTTACAGCAAGATAGGAGGAGTAAGTTATAGTGTTCTTTAGAACTGTAGGATGACTATAGTTAACAATAATATACTATATAGTTTCAGATAGCTAGAAGAAAGACATTGGATGTTCTCAACACAAAGAAGTAATAAAGATTTGAGATGATAGATATGCTAATTACCCTGATCTGATCACTATACATTATATGTACTGCAACATCACTGTGTATCCCATAAATATGCATAGTTATTGTGTGTCAATTAACAATTATTTTTTAAAAAATTGCTAAAGTAGCATCACATTGCTCCTACCGGGCTTAAGATCTGACATTTATTTTCATTCTGGAGTTTGTTTTCTGGTCAACTTAGGAAGATGCTATCCTTAAAGTCAGAAAGAATAAAAGGGGGCTCACATTTCAAAGTTGAGCAGTTATTTCTTTGGGAACGTTCTTTCTTCTCAAAGCAAAAGTTTGGATCATGATGAATTTAAAACACAGGATTGTTTGTAGAAACCAGGTATGCTCAATAAAATAAGGAACAAATTGGGAGGGCTAAACTTTTTATACAATTATAGATTACAACTCTATATCTAACATTACAGCAACATGGCAATATATATGGTAATTGCTACCTGTTCTTAAGCTGAGATGTTCAAAACGGCTGCATTATTGTTATCTATTAATAAAATGGTGGGGCACTGTCAAAAGAAAGCTTACATTTGGTGGAGTAGATCTCAGGAGAGAGTACCTGGAATATTCTGCTGATTGGTAGATAGGATCAATGTGGGTCCTATCATGACAGAGAGTGAAAATCACACGTGAAGGAGTTTAGCCACTCTGTTCTTGCAAGAGGGACTGCCTATGTTTCCCTTGCTTGTCTTTAGTACACAACTAGTAGAGGAACCCAAATTAAATTCTAGCTAGCATATGATTGGAGGTGACAAGAGGAAGTGTTGCTTTTAGCACTGCAAGCTACTATCTGATACAAATTTTCTCTTACTCCCTCTTGATGGTGGAAAGATTCCTAGCAAAGAGGAACATAAGTATTAGGCCACATTCAACCATTTTAGGTAGGTTAAAATGATCAAGATAAGCAACATGTTTTTACTCTTAGCTTTACAATTTTGATGTAGCCTTGAATTCTTTTTTATTTAATTTTGAAAGGGCATGTAATAGGTACTTTGAAACTAGGGCTCAGCATAATGTTCTCAAACAGAATCAATGTGTGCAAAATTCTATAAGGGATCCATCCAAAAATACAAATGAAACTGGCAAGTTTAAGGAACTACATTTGCTTTGAAAAATAAAACACTAGAGAAATTGACTATAAAAGATGCTAGCATATAGTTAAAATATGGCACAAATGATGTTCTCTACTGGAAAACCATGCAATTTAGTAGCATATGCATTATACCACACGCAGCAAAACTGTGGAAAGTTGTTGCACTTTCTCCAGAAATTGCAGCATGTTTTACAAAGATTTCTCTATAGAAATGCAGTTTATATCAATTTCCTTATTCAATAACTGTCTTACCATGTGTCTACTATGTACATGACCATGTGCAATGGTTGGGTGGAGATTTATTTAAAGAGGAATGAAGACAAAGTGCTGAGAGCCTAGTGAAACAGAAGGCCCAGTAAATAAATAAGCTCAAGAGGTCTTCTTAAGTGCTATAAGAAAGACCTGAGGAGAGATCTGAAGAAGCACAAGGAGAGGGCTTTCCTGTAGCTTTGGAGGAAAAACTTGACCCAGGAAAGTAATGGAGCTGGATATTGGGTGACAGGTGAAAGTTTACTAAAAAGAGAAGAGGACTGACATATCCAGTGAGGGTGGAGCCTAATAACATCTTCAATACTTCAGAAATGTGAAAATGTATAAAAAGTTGACTAGCGCAGAGGCAGTATTATTTAGTGTTATATGAGAGAATTAACTGTGAGGGCTGGATTCTCTCACAGAAAGTTTATGGGGGCTGGGGAGTAAGGAGGGGTCAGGGATTTAGGGGAGAATAGAAGAGACTGATCCCCATAAGCCACGTGTATGTAGAACACTTTAATGCAATGGATTTCCTTACAAATTCTTATTTGATCCTCATCACAGCCCTATGAGCTGAAAAAGGCAGGTGCAGGGTATTATTTCCCCCATTTCATGGTTGAGAAAACTGAGACATGAAGAGATTAGGTAACTCGCCTAAGGTCAAACATTGTTTAGTGATAGACTGACACTAGCGCAACCCCTAATCTCAACCCCTTGGTGGAACTTAACTCTGCTGGACCATACTGTCTGCAGGCTCGTACATACCCCTGGCCCTCCTTTTGTTTCAATATGTATTTTCATGAAAATCTTGAGGGAAATGATGTATCTTCTCTCCACAAAGAAACACATATACACACACATACATACACACACACACACGCAGACACACACTTTGCATGTAATGTCAGAGAATTCATAGAATCCATCCAAATTCTATAAAAGCCTGCCCTGGACAATTAAGTCCCACATTTCATAATTGCAGATGAAGATTCAAGGAGAGAGAACATCTCTAGTTGTATAACTGGGCTATACGACTATGCAAAATCATTTTCTTATAAACCTATGCCTCCATGCCCCTGGTGCAAATCCCAGGGAAATTGTTTCCATGTTGCTGCTATTACAGTTCTGGCCCTGATATGGTTTAACTGTGTCCCCAACCAAATCTTATCTTGAATTGTAGCTCCCATAATTCCCACAAGTTGTGGGATAGACCTGGTGAGAGATAATTGAATCAGGGGGATGGTTTCCTCCATACAGTTCTCTTAGTGGTGAATAAGTCTCATGAGATCTGATGGTTTTATAAGGGGAAACCCCTTACCCTTGGCTCTCATTTTCTCTTGCCACCCACGATGTAAGACATGCCTTTTGCATTCCGCCATGTTTGTAAGGCCTTACCAGCCACATGGAACTGAGTCCATTAAAACTCTTTTTCTTTATAAATTACCCAGTCTTAGGTATGTTTTTATCAGCAGCATGAAAATGGACTACTATAGGCCCTAACTGCCTATATGATGGCTCATTGCCTAGATCAATGGCCTATGCAGCATTCTTCATCATGTTATAGTCTTAGTTTTGAAAATCAGGAATCTAGATGTTACGATGTTACATAAATTGAATTATCTGTTGAAAATAATATCCTATAAATAAGATGATTTTGTCCTAAAAATTTACAAATATATATTACCAGTTTGATAAAACCTCATTCTCATATTTATCAACTAAAGTGAACAGCAGTATCACTCTTTAGATTCTAATTATTAGGAGTCTTTCCCATATTTCTTTAATTATACTTTAAGTTCTGGGATACATGTGCAGAACGTGCAGGTTTGTTACATAGGTATACACATGCCATGGTGGTTTGCTGCACCCATCAACCTGTCATCTACATTAGGTATTTCTCCTAATGCTATCCCTCCCCTAGGGCCTGACCCCAGGCCCCGGTGTGTGATGTTCCCTTCCCTGTGTCAGTGTGTTCTCATTGTTCAATTCCCACTTATGAGTGAGAACATGCAGTGTTTGGTTTCCTGTTCCTGTGTTAGTTTGCTGAGAATGATAGTTTCCATCTTCATCCATATTTTAAGTTTGGTCAAAAAATACTCCACAAAGTTTAAAAGGGTGAACTTTATTGATGTTTTTAGTTTTCAGTGTTTTAAAAGTATGAAAGTGAGGCTAACCAGCTATTTCTATTCCCTTGACTTTAGCTGTTTTACCAGTGCTAAAAAGTGGAAGCTGGCATACCTAGAAGTGTTTAAAACTTAATTTTGACTTGTGAAACCCAAAGCACCATCAACCGCATTTGGGAGAAAGAGGCTTTCTCAGAGAAGAGGAAGTTCCTCTCAGAGGAGAGTTTCTTCAACAGAAGGAATTTAGAAATCTGAACCCTGGGGCCAAACCCAGCACAGAGACTCCCTGGGCTGGCAGTGTCCTGTAAGATTCACATTCAGTGTGTCCACTTCCCTGCAACACCAGGAATTTCTCATTTTCCCCACTTTTAAAATAATTTTCACCCCTCTTTGAAAATTTAATGTAAGATAGAAATGGAAAAATGCCTAAGCAGAGTTCTTTCTGAATTTTCTGTCCATCTAGAAACAGAAATTGTTCTTAGCATGTGAAAGGGAAAAATAATCTACATACTTTAATTTCATGGTATTACTTTCAGTCATAGATTGGGAACCCTTGAACTTCTTATTATGTCATCAAATTGAACTTCTGAACTTTTTGTGAGAGCCTATAAACCTGAAAGTGAAAGCTGCATGAAATTGTTTTCCGAGGCCTCCCTCAGCGTCTGCGTAGTAGTAGCGGGCTCTTGCTTACAGAACAACAGTGCAATGGCATGACAATATCATGTAAAATGTACAGTTCTAAAAGTGTTTCCCGGGGCTTTCAGTAAGATACTGATTATTATTAGTTTTTTATTTTTTTATTTTTTTTTTTTTTGGTTAGCCTCATTTTTCTGTCTTTAAAAGTTAGAATATAATCTATCCTTTTGTAATTTGGCAGAACACATTTGGGAATTGCATAAATCGATTCAGAATGAAATCCATAAAGGGCTTTGTGCTCCTCAGAGATCTCCATGTAAATGCAATTATCTCATGGTTTTGCTACAGGCAACCCACCATGTGTCTAGTGTCACCAATCTTATTGCATACTATGGAGACTTGTATGGCATTTATAATGGCCTGTTGGAGTGAGTGTGCACTTGACATCCTTCAAATTCTTGCTTAAGTCCTGGCTCACAGAGACTCACAGGGTCATGAACAGTTTTATTCACACTTCTTTATATTTCCAGCTTCACAGTAAAGTGCTTCTTGCCCTGGGGTTGACCTTTAACTTCAAAGCTAAAATCATTATGTAACTCAAAACAGCTAAACTGATATTGCAATGAATAGAAATAAAACAGTCTTCAATTACCCTGGGAAGATTTAGAAACAACCTTACATAAAATACACACACACACATAAATATGAAATGAGTTGCATATATACTAGTGACTATACAAAGAAAGGATTGTCAAGAAGCAAGAGTGTAGAGCATAAAGACAAGATATATAAATTGTTTTCTGCATTGGAGCTTATTAACTAGTAAGTGACATTCTAAATAAAGGGAAACTAAAATAAGACTGTTAATATGCCTAGATGGTAAACTCATGAGCAGATGTTAATGTACTTCTTTGTATCCCTATAGTACTTATGAGAGATCTAGACATAATTATTTTGATGGATTTCTTGCATTAAATGTAATATTGAATGACCATGTATGCATCAGATTGTAACAATTTATAACCAGTTTGTAACAAACTGTAACCAAATTGTAACTAGTCATACTGAGTCAGATAACTATTGAATTGGAAAGGGCAAAATAACCAGGTTGCTTAAAATTTACTAGTGACAATATAAATGTTTCACAATTGGATAGTCTAATTGGCCTTAAATCTAGCCATTATATTTACTAAAAAATGAATGGTTATTGAGTGTTGACTGTTTGCAAGCACCCTTCTAGGGCGAGATATACAGTGGTTTCATGGAAGACCAAAGTTCCTGCCACCACAGGACTGGCTTTTTTTTTTTCTATTCATGCTAATATGGGGGAATTAATGCATGGAAAAATGCATTGAAAGTTATAAGTACTAAAAGATATATCATACAGAAATATTACTTGTACTGAATTATGAATATTATTTTTAATTTTACATCACAAAATGGAATCTACCAGGCTATTTCTCTATCATTTGATATCATCATGATGTAAAAATAATAATATAACCCATCCTACTCAACTTTAGTATGGTGAGTACGGCAACATCAAAGTAATTTATAGCAGCATCACTTCTTATGTACTTACTGAAGAAATAGATCAGAATACTCAAAAGAAAGTAGTAGAGTGACTTAGTAGCATATTGTGGTAGCTTTCGTTGAACAGTGCTTGGTCAACTCAAGGTCAACAGGTAGTATTTCTTAGTGATTTTCACTTTCTTCATTTTGTGAAAATGTATCAATGCCTGCATTTGTATCCTGAAACTTCCCAAAATAAATAGAAATGATGATAAGTATACTATCTAATGCTAGTCTTCTCTGAGTTTTTTTCTGCCAAATTTTAAATGACCCCACTTACTTAGTTGACTGATTTGAATTTTGAGACTATCAGGCCAGTTGAGAGGACAGAACATTACAATAGACAGAAAGCTCATGTCTGCCCCCAAATATCAACTGTCACATTAACTGTGTATGTTGCTGCTTGTCTGCCACTCCTACTAGCTAGAAATTATCTCATTGTTATTATTTCATTGGGTTAAATGTTATGGGTAATTATATGTAATATTTATATTGTATATAAAATGTGTGTGTGTGTGTGCGCGTGTATACACACACACACATATTCTCCCCTAGGAGGAAACAAGAAAAAAATGCACAAATATTATTTTGGAGATCGGAAAGAACAGATCTTGGTCAGGACTAAAAAATTTAAAGGCCTATAGGAACCAGACAGGCATTATCAATGAGAGAGATGGAATGTGAGTAATGAGATAAAGGGAATGAAATTCAGCTGTAGTGTCAAGGGCACTACAGAGAAGGGAAGATGTGCTGAGCCTGCATCTCAACTCACACAGACAGCTTCTGATGTCCGTTGCCATGTGGGAAAGCTAGCCTAGTGCTGAAAGAATTTTGGAGTTTTCAAAAGCATCCAGAGTTTATGAGGTTTGCATCTCGAATTTACGTGTTAAGCCAAACACAGTACATCTGTGGCTAAATGCAGGGCTACCGTACACCAACTTCTAGTCTAAAAGATCATTACTCAATACAGTTTTTCCTCTGGCCTCTCCTTTATCAAGTTGAGAGCTAGGAAAGGATTCCGTTTGAAATCACCTGGGGTGATGGGCCTGGGAACTGGTATACCTCAGAGAATAGGGATAGACAGCAGACATAGCCGGGAGGTGGGAGATGGGGAATAACAAAAGCACTACTCTAAGGAGAAGAGTCAATTTAGCAAGGATTTAGGGAGCTATGGGACAGCAAAGGGTACCAAGTCTGGGAGGTCAGGTCCTGGCTGAAGAGTGCTCTGGAAAGGATCCAGAGAGAGAGAAAGAGAAAGAAGATGGTGCTGTGGGAAATGCAAGAAAAGAACAATCTTTTCTACTTCACAGTTTTGCTTAGGGCTGTCACTGAGCCTGTTAGTGTGAACAGAAGAACAGAAGTTAGATCTCCAAAGAGAATCCCTTTGGCCTAAAAACATAGAAGGATTACAGTAATGGTATCCAATAATCCTACTTATGGCCACATTGAATTCCTCTAAAGATTGCAGATAATGGTTAAAGTTCTTTTCTTTTAATTCTAGGTTTTTCCTTTCTAAATAATAATTTAATAATACAGTTTCTAGGCCTAGGAATAATAAGACTTTAGTCATTGTTAGACAAAATCATGCTGAATATAAACACTGTCTATTTTCCTTCACGGTTTTATATTTGTATGCAGCATTTGTCAGCATGGCAGCCATGGCCGATGATAAAGTGCATTTTTCTGCTCGGGTGGTTAGCCCTTTCATTTTTACAAGTGACAAAATAAAAATCTGCTGAAGAGTGAACATGCTGCTTTCACTGTGTCATCTCAGCCCTGCGGGTCATTTTATTATAAAAATGTAAAAATCCAGTCAATTTTATTTAATCAGCTGAAAAGGAAAAGTGTTTCCAGGTCATTAATCAAGTGCTCCTTCTCTGTGGGACTTGTCTCTTCAGAAACTGCCATATGAATCATTAATAAAGCTGAAAAGATTTTTTTTCTTTTGCCAGCAGGTTTTTGAGAAATCTAGATGTTATTAATATAACAGAAGTAAAGTACTTTTAGGTCAACAAAGCCTTCTGTAGCCATTGCCTACAGAACTGCACCTATCATATTAAAAGAAGCAAATTCTTTACTTTCTAAATATTTAATTGTTAGAAATGTTAGGAAATGTTCAGCTGTTTAGATTGTATATGATTATATATTCAATAATTACATGTTTTCTTTAATGTTACCTAACCTTATATTTACAGTAAACTTTTATTATGTGAATTGATCAAAACATAATGAGACAGTAGGAAGAGATAATTACTACTGTATCTATAATAATAATAATGATAGTAATTAAACACAGCAAACCGCATTCACATAATGTCAAGCTTGTGCTTAAACCCATGAAAGCAAGTAGTGAAATAGATGCTTGAAATTCCCTCCTGGAAGAATTTTGCCACTTATGTTGATATTAGCTCATGGGCTTTATTTTTAAAAGGTGGTATTGACTGAAGAACCTTGTAGTATTTGACCAATAGTTCCCACTGGCATCATAGATCAACTTCTGATTAAACCCAGTCTGTTTAGGAATCATACTTACAAGGAAGCTAACTAAGTCAACAGATATGAGAGAAGGAAAAGGGAAACCATATTCTGAAAGACTATGCATCACTGTTCCACAACGCTATAGGGAGTCAGGAATAGTGGACATCAAAAAATAGGCAATTGCACTAAACAGTCCCATACTCTTTGAGTTTGTAAATTACTTTTGTGGATTTAAAATCACAAGGACCACATTTCCACTTTTTTTTCTCATTATCAGTGCAATACAAACATGCTAGAATTTATAGGAAATTTACTTCTACACTATGGATGTCCCTACCATTGGGTGATACTTACTTCATATCAGTTTATAATACTAACTTTTGAGAGTTAAATTCATTTATTTTTGCTCAAACTCCCAGAGATATCTCCTAAAAAGCAGTGAAGATGACTCGTTTATTCCATATCTAATATCTTCATTCAATATTTAATAAATGTACTCTTTACCCACATGTAATCATGTATCAAACATATATGAGGCTGGGTGTGATGGCTCACACCTTTAATCCCAGCACTTTGGGAGGCCTAGGCCAGGAGTTCAAGATCAGTCTGGTCAACATAGTGAGACCCTGTCTCTACAAAGAATTAAAACATTAGCCAGATATGGTGGCATATGCCTGTAGTCCCAGCTACTCAGGAGGCTGAAGCAGGAGGATTGCTTCAGCTCGACAGTTTGAGGTTCAAGGCTGTGACGAGCTAAGTAGGTGCCACTGCACTCCAGCCTCATAAAAGAACAAAAAACATATATGAATACCCGTCTTTTACTCTCTTAAAATCAGGTTGGATGGCTGTTTATAATACGTATGAACTCCTTCAAAAAATTACAGCATGCACATATGTATACTTAAAACATATACATACACGCACACCTCCCTACATTTAAATATCCTTTAAACAGTCAAAGAAACTCTTGGCAATATTTTATAACAACACAAGCGCATTAAGAAAAAACATACTGAAAGTTGCGTTTCTTTTTCTGTAAAATTTTGTTCTTGAATCTGAAAAGCAAAAATAATTTGTTTATTAAATATTTTTAGAAAATTGCACAATCTATTTGAAGGTCACCAAAACCAAATCATAACAATCTTCCTCAAATAAAATATAAAACAATGATTTAAAATGGAGATTTAAAAATATACTTAGAATAGATTTATTAAGAACCTCTTCGGCCGGGCCCGGTGGCTTACGCCTGTAATCCCAGCACTTTGGGAGACCGAGGCCGGCAGAACACGAGGTCAGGAGATCGAGATCATCCTGGCTACTAACACGGTGAAACCCCGTCTCTATTAAAAATACAAAAAATTAGCCGGGCGCGCCGGCGGGCGCCTGTAGTCCTCCAGCAACTCGGGAGGCTGAGGCGGCCGAGATCGCGCTACTGCACTCCAGCCTGGGCAACAGAGCGAGACTCCGTCTCAAAAACAAACAAACAAACAAACAAACAGAAAAAAACCTTTTCGTGGACGGCACATGTCTGAATCCAACCCAAGCAAAGGGGGTAAAAAAACTTTATAAACATTTACTCCTGTCCCCACTTCTCTAATGAACTGACCAGTGCCACTGAGCAAGGACAATTTCAGTTTAGTTGAATGACTCAAGACCCTTTCCCCCCATCAATTAAACTTGAACCACCAAATTTTATGAATGTCTAGTTTATGAGCCAGATATGGTGGTTTTATTGTTGATTTTATTTTATTATCTAGGCCGTCTATTAATATATAACATTACAAATATATTCTGAAATTAAAATGAGTAAATGAAAATAAAGAAATGATTAGATGGATTGATGAATGAATGGATAGACAGATAGATGGTTTGGATGGGGATGAAGTTTTAATTTTGCTAAATCTTCTGGATTCAGGGACTGTCTCTAGACAGGCTGTCAGATTTACTACTACAGATCAAAAGGTAAAGTTTAAAATTCTTTAACCGTGCCATCTATTTATCGATGCCTGCCTCAGTTTATCTTCTAAACTCCTTGTTTTTCCTCTGTGTTGGCTGGCTCATTCCTTCAAAAAAAATACTGAATCCTTACCATTTGGCAGGTATAAAGAAATTATCTTAATAGAATATTGAGAGACTGGTGTGTTTGAAGGGAAACTGAGAGATGATGTGCTTCTTTATCTGAAATAAGGCCTGCATGATTAGAAGGATCTTGTTAAGTGAATATTTGGAGGAAAAGCATTCCACACAGAGGCAATATCAAGTGTAAAGATGAGAAGTTTAAACATACCTGTCATTTGAGAAAAAGTAAGAAGGACAATGTTGCCATATCATAGTGAAAAGCAGTAAGAGTGGTGGGCAATATATTTGAAGAGGTAGGCAAGGGCTGGATCACAAAAAGCTTTATAGACTATGGCAAGGATTTTAAATTTTATGTTAAATGCCTTGGGAACACATTGGAGGATTACAAGCATAGAGTGATGTGATATGTCTATGTATTAAAAGAATCACTGTAATCTCTGGGAAAAGAATAGATGCTGTAAGAGTTAAAGTAGTCACAGTGAGACCAACCAGTTAAAAGACTCTTGAAGTAATTTTTCCCTGAGATAGTAAGCTTTTTACTATAGTTTCAAGAGTGGAGTAGAAGAGAAGTTGTTGGGTTTGGAATATATTGTGGAGATAGAGATATAAACATCATTGAAGGATGTTGAGTTTGAAGAAGGGAAAGGTTAACGATATGACATCCATTAGTTAATAGAACATAATAAGCACTCTCCTGCATAAAATAATGAATAATAGTAACTACCCTGTTTCCCAAAACATGTTGGTATGTAATAAACTGTAGAAGCATTTGATCTTTGATTAATTATATCCTTTGCACAAAGTACGGTGCTAGATCCTGGGAACACATGAATTCTGCCTTTATGTATTTTAGTTTAGATATATTAACAAATAATCATATAAAACATGTTGCATTTGATTTATGTCATACCTGCATTTAGCAGGAGTACTGAAACCAATCTTGAAGAAAGAGGGTTGTGGTCAGTCAGGCAATCCTTACGGAATGAGGTTATAGTTGAACTGAGTCTTAAAAGACCAATAGGAGTTAACAAGAAGACCTGGTGTGAGAGTGGGAGAAGGCAACCCCATTTCAGACACAGGAAGCAGCACATTCCCAGTTCCAAATTATGAAAAGCATGGCTATATGGCTATATCAGAGGTTTTAAGTGATTGTAAAATAAAACAGTATATGAGAGAGCACTTGGTATATACAGTGGTACACAAGTAAAGGCTCAGCCATTATTATCCCTTTTTCAATTATCTGAACCCCTCAGTGACTCAATCAGGGTTAGAGAGAACATAAACTCCATGAGGCCAAGTATCTGTATTCCTCAATGTATCTAAAATACCTAAAACACTGTTTAGCATATATTATTAAGTACATGACACACAATTTTTTGAATGCATGAAGAAAAAATAAATAAATATAATTGGTGTGTGGGAGTAAGAGAGATATATCTAGACCCATAAGCAGGGGCCAGATCACAAATGATAATGAACACCATGGTAATGGGTTTGGATTTAATTCTGAAAATAAATTAATGTTGAACAGTTTTAACATCTGAAAATATATTATTAGATTTTCACTTCAAAAAATCATCTTGGCAGTTCTGTAGGGAATGGAGGAAGGTTTGGTAACCATAGTACATTGGCATTGTAAATACAACCTATTATATAAGATGAACTTAGGTTTCCTTAAAAACCATGCAGTCCCCTAGCAATGTGGATAAAAGTAATGGAAGGAAAAACCAGGATTAGGCAGATCCTGTTGCATTTGTTTTTATGCACTCTGCCTCTCTTTCCTCTTGGTGTCACAGATCTTTTTTTCTTTTTCTTTTTAAACTTCTGGGCTAATGGGATAGTGATTATGTTTATAAATATATTTATCCTTGCTTATAAATTTAACATTGTGATAAATGAGAAATCATTTAAGGGAGCTTTTACTAAGTATTTTCATAGTTGCTTATCTATTTGCAACTAATAATTGACTCAATAAAAAAATTTCAGTTACTGAACTGAACTAATTACCCATAACAAGAGGTTGCATATATTATTAGTCATTTACTGAGCTATTTTGTCTTGGTTACCAATAAAATATACTTTCTATCATTTTTATTTTTTCCCATCTATTTATGTAATGTACTTTTAATTACATTTAATTTTTATAATCATATAGAATATATATCATCATAGACAAACATTTGAGCTCTTTTCCCCAATCTTATATACATCTTTCTAGAATACACAAATCCATAATTTACTATGACATTTGAACAATACCAGCTGATGTGTATATGTATTATTCGCATTAATTTTGTACTGGTTCTTACATAAATAGTATTCTCACCACTGGATTCAGTGTGGTTTAAAAAGCCTTGAACCATGACTTCAATACCTGTGTAAATTTGAGAACTTTTTCTTCATTTTTCAACTGGAAAAACTAGAACTCTTCCAGCTCTAGTTTCTTCATTTGAAAAGTGGGGTTAACACCTGACAGACCTACCATTTTTGATGAAATTGGGTATTATGTGGCATAATACATAAGCAAGCAACTTGTAAGCTCAAAAGTATTCTTCAAAGGTCTGAAATTATTAACACATTAGTGTCTGAATCAATCATTACAAATAGCCAATCTGATGACCTGAATAAAATAACTTTTGGAAAGTTTGTTTCTTGGTGCTTAATGATAATAGATTAAATTCTGGGTCCTCTAGGGGGAAGCAATGCCAGAAATGCTTTATCTACTTTAACCACTATGTAAGTCTGTAGAGAATCATTCATAATGTTGACATTCTTATTTATTCTTACCAGATTCATCACGTAAATATCTGTTAGTTAATAGTATTAAGATACCAGTTTTTAAAGACTACTTTAAGTTGTGTAATCATTGTTTCACTTGTTAGAAACAACATTATTTAGCATTATGTACTACTAAGTCTTCCTTTCTACAGACGAACTGCTTGGAGAGAATATTAATTGTTTAATTCCTTCTATGGCAAAGGAAGAATTTGAACCCTGTTATTTTCATTCCCAAATCTGTATTCTTTCTGTTAGCCATCTTAATCCATGAGTTGAAAAGAAAGTTTAAACTCCTGAATTTTCTAGTAATAGTCTGAAACTGTAAAGGTGTGGCAGAAAGTCATTTGTCCTTTGATATTTATTCTCCCCTGTTTTATTGAAAACTAAACTCCTGGCTCTAGGCTGGGTATGTGGCCTCCTGGAATGAAGATTACATTTGCAAGATTTCCTTACCATTAGGTGTGGCTAAATTCTGGCCAATGGAATATGAATCCTGCAACCTTAAAAGTTGGGGGCAGGAGGATGTGTTCCTTTTTCTTCTCTATTTGTTTCCCAATGGCTGGATGTGGACTTTACCAGGATTCCGGTAGCCACCTTAGACCACAAAACCCAAGCTATAATTTGAAGATGGTAGAACAGCAACGGAGGATTCTGGGCCCATAATAACAACGAAGCTGTCTCATTTATTCTGAGTTGCTAGCTTCTGGACAGTGAGAAGAGAAACTTCTATCTTATCAAAAATGTAAGGAAAGAGAAAAAACCCTTTACGAAATATAATTTACTGCTTCTTCATGTCCTTCCAACAAAGATTAACAGACTTGCTTTTAAAATAATCATATTTCCAAGAAGGCATTCAACATATATATTGAATATGGCAGCTATTTCTATTTGAGGTTAAATATTGTGAATGAGTAATTCTACATTAATATTAATATATTAATATTAAGATTGTTTCAAGAACAGCTGAATTATACCTAAACCAAAAGAAGAGTTCAATTTTAAAAGACCTTCCTTAATACCTGAATTTAACATATAGCAATTGCCATTGATGATAAAATAGCCAAACTCTATTATCAAAATGACAAAATATAATGAGTGCTGGTGAGGATGTGGAGGAAAAAAAAAACCTTGTATACTGTTGATGGGAGTGCAAATTAGTACAGCCATTATAAAAAAAACAGTATGCAAGTTTCTCAAATAACTAAAAATAGAACTACCATATGTTTAGCAATTCTACTTTTGGTTATATATCCAAAGAAAATGAAATCAGTTTGTTGAAGAGATGTCTACACTCCTATGTTCATTACATCATTATTTGTAATAGCCTAAATAAGGAATCAACCTAAGTGTCCATCAGTGGATGAATGGATAAGAAGAATATGGTATATATTCTCAATGAATTTCTATTCAGTCTTAAAAAAGTAGGAAATTCTGTCATTTGTGAAAACACAGATGAACTTGGAGGACATTATGCTAAGTGAAATAAGCCAGGTGCAGAAAGACAAATACTGTATGATCTAACTTACATATGGAATCTAAAAATGTCAAACTCATAGACGCAAGAGAGTAGACTGATGGTTACTAATGGCTAGGGATGGAGGGTAGGGGAAGGTTATTAGAAATGTTGGCCAAAGGGTACAAGATTTTAGTTATATAGGAAGTTAAAGAGGTCTATTTTACAGCATGATGACTGCAGCTAATAATGTATTCTTGAAAATTGCTGAGAGTAGATTTTAAGTGTTCTCATCACACAAAAAATAGTGAGGTAATGTGTGTGTTAATTATCTTGACTGAGCCATTTCTCTGTGTATACACATTTCAAAACACTGCGAGGTACACTATAAATGTATACAATTTTTATTTGTCAATTAAAAAATTAGAATATATAAAATAGTCAAATGTTTTGCTTTTTGCTTTTCAAGGGTATGGTTGTTTTGCTTAGTCAGGATGTTGATTTAAAAAATCTGTTTGTGCCAATTAAATTGCCTTCTAATGTAAAAAAGTACATTTTTTTTTCTATCCCATTTAACTTTAGAGAATTACATTTACACATTCCTTGGGAATTACAGCTAGAAACCCTGAAGGTCTTACCACGCTCTATTCTATGAGGCACACTTTCTACTTGCAACCATATACAGCAAGGCCCTAGAAATTCATTCAAGCAAGTAATTAAAGAGATAGTAGATTTAATAAATATAATTAGGTCTCCTGGTAAACTCTCTGCTTGTCATAAGCTACCCTGGGCATTATTCTAGTCTTTCATATGCATTAGTACATGGTTAATGCATATGAGATCTGCATCTCAAATAGATTCTGGAGTTTGAACAGAAATTTAGGGAACATGAAATAAGAACGTCTCTGCCTTTATAAAGTTAATATTACTTCATAAATTCTTATAGTTTGTTAGGCAGGAATACAAAGATAAGCTACAAGAAGAGCAGAAAAGCACTCTTTTAAAAATTAACATTATAAATATAAATAAGAAAACAGTTTGAATCTTTGGGATAGGCTATGATGTGAGGGTTTGACTAGCCAAAAGAAGTATCACTATAACTGAGAAGGCTTGT
This sequence comes from Homo sapiens, assembly GCF_000001405.40. Classification (NCBI taxonomy): domain Eukaryota; kingdom Metazoa; phylum Chordata; class Mammalia; order Primates; family Hominidae; genus Homo; species Homo sapiens. The sequence goes on along the minus strand of NC_000005.10, from coordinate 52,458,144 downwards.
GGTGGCTAATTAAAAAAAATAAGGACATGTGTCACTATGGTAATGAAGTACTGAATATGGAAAGCAAGAAGAAGTTGGGAAGTGAGCCTGCTTCCAGATCTGACTGTTCAACTGAGGAGAGCCCTATCTGCAGCAACAGGGAGTGTAGTAGCACGTCGGACAGTGACTGCTGACTACAGCTGTGTGTAATCTAAAACCATGACAGACTTCTGTCTTGATAAATCTCTATGGCAAAACAAACATAAATATGTGTCTGCATAATGATAAAATTACTTTCATTATAAAAGCAATCTAATCTAGACAGATAGTAGGTATTTCACTAATTTCCTTAGAAGTAAAATGATCATTTACCGTGTTTCAAATTGTTGAGAAAAACGGTATATTCTTTTCCTTCACTGAGATTTTTCACCCCTTAATTCTTATTAACCAGTGGCCCTCTTATGACTTCCTTCTTTCTACTCAGTTTGCTCCATAGTCAACCACCCAATCATGTGTTTCTAGTCCTCATAACGTCCTGTTTTATTTTTTTTTCAAGTTTTAGAAGAAGAATTTTAATGAAGTGCAGTTCCCAGAACTGGAAAAGCCTTATGTTAAAACAATTCAGTCCTTGAGTCCTTGGCTAACAACAGATTGAACTACCTACCTGACTTGGAGCTTAAGTGTCCTGGAAGACATATTTTAAAAATTTTAACACTTTTCTCCCCTTGTAGAACACTTTAAATTTAAACAAGTCTTGACTATACAGATCAAATTCATGACTGTATGACCAAACTGTGGCAGACAGTGCAAAGGTGAAGAACTGAAGATTTACATACTAAAACAGAAACAGGACAGTCATTATTTAATTTTTTAAATTCTCATTTAAATTTGCAATGTTTTGGCCGGGCACAGTGGATCAAGCCTGTAATCCCAGCACTTTAGAAGGCCGAGGCAAGCCCATCTTTTGAGGTCAGGAGTTTGAGACCAGCCTGGCCAACATGGCGAAACCCTGTCTCTACTAAAAATACAAAAATTAGCCGGGTTTGGTGGTACTCTCCTGTAATCCCAGATACTCAGGAACCTGAGGCAGGAGAATCGCTTGAACCCAGGAGGTGGAGGTTGCCGTGAGCCGAGATCATGCCACTGCACTTCAGCCTGGGCAATAGAGCAAGACTCCATCTCAAAAAGAAAAATAAGTAAATAAAACAAATTTTCAATGTTTTAAATGAATATCATGAATATCACTTAAAGTAGCAATCAACAGAAGTTAGGAGAACATAACAATATTCTTTCTCTTAGAAGGTGCAACAAAAATATAATTTTTTACACTTTTACTCCCAAACTTTTCTCTGTAGTAACGTGACTTACTCACCTATATAATAGGTTTGTTGTGAGAATCTTGTAATGTAAAACCTGGATGTTCTATGAAGCATTTTTAAACTTCTAGTTTATACCCTACTGATTCTTATTCAAATGTTTTTAAAAAATATTTAAACAACTATTCTTCTTTTCTTGCCAATATTTTAATAATTTCCAAGAGGCTTGTAGTTATAGTGACAGCTTTCCATGTTGAGAATCTCATATCATCTTGTAGCTTAAAGTTTCATGTGAGTTTTTACCGTTAGGATGATTAACATGTATATAGGACAAAATGTTAAGTCTTTACCTACATTTGTTTTCTTTACTGGTAATAGTAGTAAATACTTCTGAAATAGATGTTCTCTTAAGATCCTGTTTTTTATTTTGATCAATAAGCATAATTGCCTTGTTCCCCACACAGTCAGAGACATGCCACGCCATCCACTGAATAGTGTTTTATATGGCATTTAGCATGACTCACTGAAGCATAAAAATGTAGTTTTGATTTCAACTACATCTATTCTATTTTGCTAGATATTAAATTTACCTAAAATTGCCTCCCAATCAATTATTGAAATAAACTGCCTCAAATTCTTTTCTTCTTTTTTCAAATAAAATAAACAAATTAACTCACCTCACCCTTTGTATTGCGCAATTCTTTACTGAAAAATCATCCAGTATGGACTCTCTTAATTTCCAGTCTCTTCACTTGAATTTTTTCCTCGATTTGCTTTGATCCCAGTGTCTTCCATCTTTCTCCTAAGTGTCCAGGGTTTATGGCAGGGTAGAAAGTATTTTCCCAGGTAGTTTTCTTTCCAAATATAAGCTATGGGTAAGAAAAAATAGTACTTTATTAAACTAGTTGAATAAATATTTGAAATTGAAGATGTGCTATGTGAAATTATACCATGTGTGGTTGTGTATGTGTTCAAAATAATATGCATAAGTCTATGCACTGTGATCTTACAGCAAAAGCCTGAAAATAACTAAGTGTCCATAAAGAGAGCACTGGTGACTATACTAAGGTAAATTCACAACATGAAGCATATGTAACTGCAAAATGACCAAGGGATAGTTCTGTATTCTGTTAGGAAATGATCTTGAATGATCTCAAAGATGTGCTTTAGATGAAAATAAAAGTGAAGACAGAGTTTAAAAAATTTGACTAAGTGAAGAAAGAATATTAATATGCACATGCTTTGCTTATATTTTCAAAATGAAATAATGAAAGAATAAACTAAAGTGTAGTATAAATTGTTAACTATAGTGGAGAGAGTGAGGGACACAGGGTGAAAGAGACAGAGATAGAATAAAGACCTTTGTGTATTCACCTTGCTGTGTGTTTTTACTTTGGAATATTTTATGTTTTGCATAATTTTATATAGTTAAATCATCAAATAAAAATTTAAATACTGAAAATAAACTTAAACAAATGTTGCATATCAATTAATATCAAAAACACACAGTAAAAAAATTATTTTAAGCTATTTTAAATACTTAGTATTTTAACTTAATATCCTGGTAAGATATAAGAACAAACAGAACCAAAAAACCCTCTTAAATTTCATTTAGACAGACCTATTATTAATATGTTGATAAAACTGTCATAGGTAAAATGTAGGATAAAGTCAATATAAATTACGTTAATGTAGTTAGAAACCACTATTTTTAGTATAAAATACAGAAGATACTGTAGTCAATTATTCCTTTTTCTCTGTCACAATTGATTATTATATGCTTTTGTCCAAATTAAACTCTAATACAAACTTTTAATTTTTATAAAATGGCTTGGATTTACTTAGAAATAAGAGAGTGTATGTGTGTGTATGTATATATCCCAAAATGTTAGAACACTTTAATCTTAAATTTGAATTTGGACTATCATTATCAACTTTTGATTTTTTTCCCATTTAAAAATGTGTATTTCTTATTTCTGTCCACTGAAAAAATACGAAAGTAACAAAAATTTAGTTGCAGTGAGCATTTTTTCATACTCAGAGTGTGATATCAAAATATCATTTCCCACTCAAAGGAACAAGCTCGTTGACTGATTCCAAATCTAGGGCAGACAATGAACAGAATTAGTTTGGAACATGTTGTTGAATGTTCCAATTAAGAAAACTAACAAGAACTAATAGACTAATGTTAAATGGACACAGGGTCACCTTGAATTTCTCAGTGGCCTAAAATAAAATAGTTTGAGCATCAAAAATAATGACTACAATGTATTTAACCACACATTTTTATTTATAATTATAAATCCATAAGTTCATATGAGTTCATTATGATACTCAAAGGAAATAAAGCAACAAAATGTTTACCTCATTTTTGGCACCATTGGAGATTGCTAGGGCATCAATTCATTACTATAAGAATTTGAGAAAGAAAAAAATAAACATTTATCTGATCTTCCCGTAATGTTGCATTTCAGGATAACCAAATAGTTGAGAAAGAAAGGTTTTTCTTTGTAGAATAATAGCTAGTAAATAAAGGAAAAAATAATGTAATGAGGAAATCAATATTTACATCCCCTGATGAAACAAAGAGTATTAGTAACAATAATCATATTAGGCTGATACTACCTGAATCCAGCTTAAAGACATAAAAGTCATTATGTACTTCCAATTGTAAAGTACAGAGTACCATCCATGAAGTATCACTGTTTTCAATAAAATGGAATCTGATTAAGTCCCTGGTTTATTTAAAAAAGAGAGATCAAGAAGTAGTATCAACAATCTCATGAGGAAGAAATTAGTGAAATGTAGAGTTCGGAAATCCTGTAAGACAAATGACCTAATTCTCCAAAATATAAAAGTGGTTATTATTATTTCTTAAGGAGGTGAAACTGATAAAATAGAGGAGATTGCAGGATATAAGAATCAAATGCAATGGTTGGTTTTCTTTGGATTATGATTTGGATAGGCTAGCTTTTGAGACAGTTGGGAAACTTTAACATTAACCAGAAATTAAATGATATTAAGGGATTATTGTCTTCGTTAGAGGTGAAGATTGCATAATTGAGTGTTAAAATAGATATTATATAATTATATAGACATGTATAATGTACGTATTTTGTATATATTTCTTAACATACAGGTTTTTTTACCTCTGTCTTCCAAAAAGTCCTGAAAATGACAAGAAAGTAAAAAATCAAAGTAAATTAAAAAAAGACTTTAGTGAAATTATGTTTATACTGTTACTAATCTACATAATATTTCCCCTCAAAAATTTAGTCATATCTTCTTATAATCAAAATTAATGCCAGATGAACTTATTCCTGACTTTGCTGCATTTTGGAGGACCATTCCTGCTAAGAACTCTTTCATTGATTTCATGTTGCAGCTGGTACATTGCTGAAAGTCTCCTCCTAACACCCCGTGGCCATTCTTATGTTGAGCGGTCCTTCTCTAATTCAATACATAGATTTTATCCTGGTATCTTGTGTTAGAAAGTTGACCACAAAGAGATTTACATTTGGAGCTATGAGCTTATGTTTAGGATATGAGATTAACTACAAAAGGAGCCTGGGCCAAAGCCTCCACTTGTTTATTACTCCTACACCTAAGAGAGGGCATTGCTTAGAATCTGTACCCAACAAATGGGAAATAAGGAAATATTGATTAACCACAAATATTTTTGCTATAAATTTCGTTACCAAGTTATGAGTTAGGCTTATCTTGTAATCATACCAAGTATATTAGTCAAGTACCAAAAGAAATTCTAAATCAGTGCAATTCTATATAAATATAATCCAAACCACAAATACAAGCCACAGGTGTCATTTTAAATTTTTATGTAGCCACATTTCTTAAAAAAGTGGAAACAAAAAAGTAAAATTAATTTTAATAATACCTTTGGTTTATATATACATTTTCACTATATCCAAAGTATTATTATTTCTACATGCATTCAGTATAAAAATATTAAGATTTTTACATTTTTTGCTTTATACTAAATCTCAAAACTCTACGTATTCTATATTTATAGTACACTTCAATTCAGATTGGCTACAGCTCATGTATTCAGTAGCCACAGAAATTGTTGTGACTGTATTGGACGGCAGAAGTTTAAAGTATAGATAAGATTGTGGTAAAACATAGCTCAACTATGAGGTAACATTAATGCAACTCAAAAGTTTACATTGGTAGTGGAAAATAAACTTAGTGAAAGAGTATATTTTTAAATTATTATTTAGATTAGACAAATTATTGGGTAGAGTTATGAAAGCAACAATGAAGCAAATTCTCTTTTCTCTATTTGTCAGTATTGATTATTACAAGCATTGGTCTGAATTAATGTGAAACAAGTAATAATGAATTTCCTTTAGGTCTTATAAAATTGCTTGCATTTATTTGGAGATAAAAAGCCTATAAAATACTTAAAGTGAAAATATTTCTATTAAATCTATAGAAAAGAGAGAGAAAAACCTGAGCTGAATTGACTTAAAATAAGGCTTCTTAACCCTTAAAGTGACTAGCTTAAATTCACATGCTGAGTCAAAGGCATAGCAGGAGTTAGCATAACAACAGCTGGCATGTACTGAGTGAATGCCCACACTATTCTGTAAATGAGTACTATTGCCATCTTTATTTTACCAAGGAGGACATTTATGGAGTAATTAAGTAATTTGCACAAGGTTGTACAGTTGAAGCATTGTTCTAAAGCTTGAATTCTAACCACGATCACACTATACCACCTGAAAATTAGGTTGTAATGTAATTTGGGGTCTTTAACCCAAAATATGTAAGAAACTCATACAACTTAGTTCCAGAAAAATGAACAAAAACCACCTCAATTTAAAAGTGGGCAAAAGACCTGAATAAGCATTTTCCCAAAGAAGAAATAAAAATGGCCAACAGGTGTATGAGAAGGTTCTTAACATCATTAATTATTAGAGAAATGCAAATGAAAACCACAATGAGATATCACCTCACACACGTTAGTATGGTCATAATTAAAAAGGTGGGAGGTTACAAGTATTGGTGAGGGTGTAGAGAAAAGGGAGCCTGTGTATACTGCTGGTGGGAATGTAAATTGGTATAGCTATTGTGGAATATAATATTAAAAATAGAGCTACCCTGGGATCTAACAGTCAAGCCTCTGGGTTTATATCCAAAGGAAATGAAATCAGTAAGCCAAAGAGATGTCTGCACTCCCATGTTCATTGCAATGTTATTCACAATAGCCAAGGTGGGGAAATGAAATCAACCTAAGTATTTGTCAGTGGATGAGCTGATAAGGAAAATGTGGTATATGAATCTGGAGGACATTATGTGAGGTGAAATAAGCCAATCACAGAAAGACAATTATTGTATAATCTGACTTATATGTGGAATCTAAAAGTCAAGCTTACAGAAGGAGAGAGTAAAACGGAGTAGGGGGAAGGAGAAATGAGATGCTGATTAAAGGGAACAAACTTTCAGCTATACGATGAGTAAGTTCAGGAGATATACAGCATAGTGACTGTAGTTAATAATACTGTATTGCATATTTGAAATTTGCTGAGAGGGTAGAACTTAAGTGTGCTCAACCACCAAGAAAAAAAAGCAACTATGTGAGGTGATGGATATGTTAATTAGCTTGATTGTGATAGTCATTTTACATATATACATTTATTAAAACATCACATTATCTGCTTTGAATATAAAGTTTTCATTGGTCAATGATACCTCAGTAAAGCTGAAAAAAAAACACTCTCTTGATATTTGTAACTTTGCCTTGCAATGAAGAGAGCAAATTGGATGTAACAATTGGCAACAGGACATTTCTTCCTAATTGAACTGGGGATCCTGATTATTTTTCCTTTCACTTCAGTGGAGGCTTTTCTCTCTTTATCGGCCAAAATATCCTAATTGGTATGTTCATCTTTGTTTAATTGCTTTCTTGGTCAACAGTGCTGAACTTGTAAGGCAGTGAAGCCTTTGACTGGTAGCTGTCACCATGGAAATCAAAGGGTAAACCAGTTGAAGACATAGGGGAGCATTAGGAAAAAGCAGACTCCTGTGAGAATCATGGAACAGACATAAAGAAATAACTAAGACCTAGGGATTATGTAGCTGCAGAGAGAAAAGGGTAGACATAAGGTAGCTGCCTGTGTTAACTCTTCAGATAGCATTTGTGTGTGTGTGTGTGTGTGTCTATGCGTGTGTGGTATGTATGTATGCGTGAGTGTGGTGTATTTTAGGGGGAAGGTGGGGTAAAGTAGAATGAGGTTTACCTATATAAATCATTCTTACTGTCCATTATTGTCTGTGTTTTCCAAAAAGTCATTTTCATTCATATGCATCAGAGAAATTAAACTAGAGTGTGTGATCTCAGGCAAGGCTTCAATCTCTAAAAGTGCATGTTTTCCCTGGTAACTAAGGTCAGGTTTTTTGTTTTGTTTGGTTTTTAAGAGGCAGGGTCAGGCTCTGTCACCCAGGCTGGATTGAAGTGGCATTATCATAACTCACTGTTGCCTCAAACTCCTGGGCTCAAGTGATCCCCCTGCTTCAGCTTCCCAAGTGGCTGGGACTTATAGTCATGCACCACGATGCCTGCCTAATTTTTAACGTTTTTGTAGAAGACAGTGTCTTGCTATGTGGCACATGCTGACAGTCAGAACTTTGATGGTCTTCTCTCATCTAGTTTCTTGCAGTTTTTCCTAAAGTCCCAGAAATACCAGCAGGATAAAGAATTTTCCCAGAACTTTCCATGTTTACCTCTTGGCCAGCAGCTGGAGTCTGAAAAGTCTCTGAGACTCTTCTACTGTCTGGACTCACACTGCAGGCCTTCAGTGGACCTCTTTCTTCTCCTGTGGTTGTATTACCTCCATGATCACTGGAGAGTTCTTTCTTATCAGAGTTGGACTGCTTTCCTCTTAGGGGGTGAGGAAAAGGTTGAAACCTTTTAAGGTTTCTGAGTTTTTTCTCTGCATTTAACAGAAGAAGGAAATGACATCAACAGCCTTGTCCTTAAGTATGTCTGGTACAACGTGAAGCATATAAATTCTTTCTCAAACTCCCATTATCTCACTGGAATACAAAGGAGTTTCTGTCACCAAGAGGTCCTTCATCCATCTGGAGCATAAGACTGGAAGCTGGCATTCCAGGAATTAATAACGTCCTGTTTTATGATTTCCTGCCTGTGTTATGGGACAATATGTAACCTGACCTCCATTTCCATTTTCAATCTACATAGCTTCCTACTCACCAAGGGAGTGGTGTATGGGATCATTGGAGTCTGTCAGTCTATACTTCTTTAGTGCTCTCTCACATTTCTAACGTCCTAAGAGAGCCTCTCTCCCAGTCACATGCAACACTGTGCACCACCTAACACGTAAGAGCCATAGATGCTTAGATATTAACAAATTCCTGTGATTTATTATGAATGTGGGTGAAGAACAATGGTAGAGTAATGTGTAATCTCATTAGCTTTTGGAAAATATACAGTTTATAGTTTCTGTAGAGAGAATGTCAGAGGAGAAAGATTACATTGAGGCTAGAATAATTGGGGAGGGTACGCCTTGTACCTACAATCTTCTTTCCCAATACACACCTCAGCATGATAAATCCCAGTCAACTCTGAGAACTGCTGGGTAGATACCCCTGTTCTTTAGCATACCAATGACTAATTCCATATCTCTGGTGTTTTCCAACTATCAAAAGAAGTGTTTTCAGTCAACCTTGGTATTTATTATTTAAGTAGTAAATGATACCTTTTCAAGTCTAATAAGTTTTGTAATTTATCCTGCTTGTCGTAATCTGTATTTACAGATTATTTAAACAACAGTCAACAATGAGTACTTCAGAGTATGAGCTTTTATTCTGCCTTTTAAAATAAATATATGTACTCATTTGTGCAAATACCACTTGTTCTCCTCTGCTGCCATTTCTGTGACAGCAGTGTGCAGGACTGTTCTTTAAATGATTATTTTCTGATGGGATAACAGCCAAACAAAAACTGTCAGCTATTTCATATCCTTTCTGAAGCTATTTAGAAATACGAATTAACATCTAATGTGAAGATCTATAAATATGGGTGAGTAATGTGTTATAAATAAGTGCTTTATTTCCTTAGCTTCCCTAAGCTTCTGGCAAAACAGACTTAATCTTTCATGCCGAGTTTTTTTAAATTTTTTTTATTTATTTTTTAGGTGGATGATGTGGTTTTATGGCATTGATAGGTGGATCGAGTCATAGTAAATTAAAATGTGCAGTATTTAAAATAAGCAAAGCAAAAGGACACGAAAGAAGCTAGATAACAGACCCCCTGCGTTTTTATTCTCTGTTAGAAGAGTTACACTTTAATTAAGTTATTTCTTGGCTTATGAACTCAGAGAGGATTTTCTACTAAAAAAAAAAAAAAAAAAAAAACAGCCAGCTCACCACTCAGGGTCATAGAGGTGTCGTAGCTCAGCTTCTGATGACCCTAATGTCAAAGGGAAAGTGTCTTGCCTTTGTTCTTTTTGGATGTGGAAGAGGCAAGTTTCTGACAGAGGCAAGTTTCAATATTCTATTTATTTGTCATTTTAGCTTTTCAATGGGTGTCATTTATAAATAGCAAATCATTAATATGCTGAGTACTTTAAAGAGCTTTTAAAATCACTTGAGAATGATATAAGGAAGCTGTTCTTGTTTTCTTGCTGTGACAAAAGAATGAGGAGAAAATATTAGTCACTTGCATGTTGCAAGGGGCATTTTGTACTTTTTCACGTTCCCTTTGAATGAATGGGCTGTTCCATTGCAAACAGGAATGAAAACTGTTATTCCTGGGTCATGTAATAAAACACAGTTCTCTAGTTTCTAACAAACAACCCCTGAGTGTTTTTCACAAAATTTAATGCTTTCAGAATAGCTGAAGTATATAACATTTAATGAGTTTTATGATTTACAAGTGCTTTCACTTACATCTCTATCGTTGTAGTAGTATATTCAGGTATATATTTCTACTAGAAAAAATCAATTACATTTTGTTTTTGGCTCAATGTTAGATGATGAAACTGTGACTGAGTTAAATATGAGGAAGAAGCTGTTCTTTTCTATAGTGAAAATTACAGGTTTAACCTAGAGACACTGTTAGAGATTACTTTCCCTCTCTCTCTAGGGAATAATTGTGTATTCTTGGGGACTCTGATTACTTTGTATAGTATAATTGTTGATCTATGTGGCAATAGAAAATTTTTCAAGTTTCCTGGCTATCTGATTTTGAAATACAAGGAAACCCATAAAACATGTGAGAACACATATGAGCTCAGGAAGTTACACTAAATTTTGTTAATTTTACCTCTCAGTTCCTTGGCATGTTTGTTTCCACTACTACTACTTTAGTTCAATTTACCAATGTTTTACTTAACCAGTCTTCACACATTCACTCTCACGCCAATTTATTCTCTACTACGTTAGCCAGAATAGGCTTATAGAATGCAAATCTGACCACGCTACCCTCCATTTCCCCATCCTCCACCCCTTTAAAACTTCAACTACTTTTTATTGCGCTTGGGACAAAGGCCAAAAACCCCACAAGTCCTGCCTGCCCTATGCCTGGTCTGGCCCTGGTCTTCAGCTCTATGTATCACACACACTTCCTCTGCTTACATTTGCACTCCAGCCACTCTGGGCTTCTGGTAGTTTTCCCTAGTGGAATTTGCATATCCAATTCTCGCTGTCTAGAACACTTTTCCTCCTACTCTTTGTTTAGTTAACTCCTGCTAATCATTCATCTCTTCATTGAAGTATCTCTTCTTTTTCTGTCAAGTGTTCCCTGATTCCAAGTTGAAGCCAGTTTCTCTCACTAAAATTGTCTTTCTTCAAAAGTATGTCCTTATTCATTCAATCCTGCAACTATTTGATTCATGTCTATCTACCCAACTGAAATGCTGGAACATAAGCTCCATGGGAAAGAAACATGCTTGCACTCCATTTTACTCTTGAACTCAGCACAACATGCTTTTCACAATAGTAGGACCTGAGTAAATATTTATTGAATGAATGACTATGAATACATAAGTGAACACCTGAACCCACAGGTCCACTTCTCAGAAGAAGGTGCCTCAACGAGTGACATGTTTTGGTATAATTTTGAAGTAAATTGTGCCATGATACTTATTCCGAGATTTCTGGGAAGTATTATGGCACACAGGTGAAGAATTCAGCAGGTGTTGTATGAAGAGCTGTCCCAGCATTAATGCTGAAAGAATGACACTAAGTATTGCAGAGACCAAAAAAGGAAAAAGTGAAAAAAGAACACCAAAGGAATCTTTCAGCATCATGTCTTTTAGGAAAACCCTGCATATTTGAAATGGATGGACGAAAATCTAGAGCCAAAACAATTTCTCTTGAAAAGAGAAACTGGAGTCAAATGTAGTGGGCTTAAAGTGACTGCTAGAATGGAGCGGTAGAAAATTTCAAGCAGAAGAATAAGGGGCGGTGCAGAGAATGTGCCTCTGAAATATCAAAAATTAGCATCTTTGTACAGTGGCAAGAGGAACTAAACAGGGACTCCTCATCCCTAATTGCTCTAGATGCATTAGACTAACTTCTCTTTGTCATTCAGGAAGTATAAGAAAAAAATGAAAGCTGTGAAGGATTATTTCTCCCCTTTGTTATTATAGCTAACTTTAATAATTAGTACAAATAGTAAGTTCTCACTAGGCACTGGATGGTGTTGGAAATCAGGATATTTGGAATTAGAATTAGAGTCTTTGCCCTGCAAATAGGTCTTGGGTACGTAACACTGGAAAAGAGAGTTAGATAAGCAGAAAAGGTTATCTTAAAAAGAAATAGCTATTTATAGGTCAGAAAATATGGTGCAGGTTATGGAGTGGTTAAGATCTATAATACATTTTTTCCCCCTGGGGCCCCTAAAGCATTATGCTGCAGAGCCAGTGTGTTTGAAACCTTGATACTAAAGCCCACACTGAAGGGTTTCAGGACCTGAACACACCTCCTGTTTCAGTCTTCTTCAACTCGGCTACACCCTTATGTACTAAGTGACTTGGTAAGACAAAAATGACACCAAGAATAAAACTGAGCAGTAGTCAGTTACAATTTTTGTTTGCTTTTCAGTTGTTTTGGTTTAAAATAATTTAAAATTTCAAGAAGTATTTTGGTTAGTTACCTTACTTAATCAAGAAAATGGTTTGATTTGTGTTACCTAACAGTTTAATGTAGTTCATTAGAGAAAAATCCAGGTGTTTTTTTTCTTCTATCCAGCTGTAGTACATTAGAATGTTCCTCTCTCTGGAGAAAGTACAGTTGACTGGTACACCTTCAAATCTTCATGAAAGTGAGAAGCTATGTTAATAGTTATATTACTAAGTTGATGCACCAAAGAACACTCCAAATTGTACATCCAAAAAGTAATTCCTCAGATTACTCAGAGAGAGAGAAAGGGGCCATTATATGCAAAGACCTGTCATATTTTACCTAGTTTAATTATTCAACAACTTCGTGGTGGTGTTATAATCATCCCAGTTTAAAAGATGAGTAAAATGATGCTTGGATATGTTAAATCACTTTTCTATTGATATACAGATTATAAATGATAGAATTGGAATTTGAAACTAATTTTGTCTCAGTCCATATTCACTATAGTATATTCATTTTTTCTTGGTTTTCAAGCCAAGAATAGGGTCAGAGAATTAGGGATAACAAAATAAAAAATCTAAATAGTAGAATCTTAAAATTCCCTTACCTGATGGGAATTTCCTAACATTTTTTCCCAACATTTTTTCCCATGATTAACCCTATATTAGCAGGAAGGTAGTCCTAGAATTAAGAATGATCCATCTATAGGCATGAAGGCAGTGAAAGGACACAGTGTTGTGACCAGCATAGGGGTAAAGCCAAGTTAATAGTAGACATTTATCCCCAGAGGGAAAATGATGCATAAAAATTCCTGCTTATGCCGAAAGAAGCCCCCTAATACCCATGAAGAAATTTGAACTTCATTTGGAACATTGGGATATAGGGAAGACTTTAAAGGAAGGGAAAGATGAATTTGTTGAGTGTGTAAAAGGAAAATCAGGAAAACATATTGTCAGATATCAAAAGAGAGTGGTCATGAAGGTCAAAAGGCAGAGTGTGAGGAAATACGTTAAATGCACCAGGAGTTCAGTAAGATGTAGACAGAAAGGTACCTAAATTTGTCAACACCAATGTTAGTGATAATCTTGGAAAGGGCTGATCTGGTTTACTGAAAAAAATAACCACTAGAAATGAGTAAGTATGATATCTTAGTCTGCTCTGGCTGCCATAACAAAATACCATAAACTGACTGGCTGAAACAGTAGAAATGGATTTCTTAGGTTTTGGAGGGTGTGAAAAGCAAGACCAAAATGCCATCCAATTCATGTTCTGGTGAAGGCTCTCTTCCTAGTTCACACAACCTGCCTCCCTTTTGTATCCTCATATGGCCTTTCCTGGGTGCATGTATGTGGTGAGAGAGAAAGAAAGAGAGATCCTCATTGTATAGGGCCTCTAATCCCATCAGGAAGGCCCAAACCCTAATTAATCTAACCCTAATTACCTTCATGATCTCATTTAACCCTAATTACCTTCCAAAGGACCTGTCTCTAAATACTAAAACATAGGGAGTTAGCACTTCAACATATGAGTTTGGCAGTGACCAAGGGTGGGAGTCCGGGCTGGAGGGGGAAGGGGTGCTAACATTTACTCCATAACAATGTACAACTCATTTGAGAAGTTTTACTATAGATGAAAACAGATAATTTAAATATTGGGTGCAGAGGAGATACGAATCAAGACAGGTTTTTGTTTTGTCTAGTTTTGTTTGTGTGTGTGTGTTTTTAAGATAGAGAATAAGAGAATGATGACATGACAAAGGACTCAGCTCAGAAAAGGGATAGTAGTAGAAAATGCAGTAGAGATGGGGAATCTTTAAGAAAAACGGGATTTATCTCAGAGAGTAGGAATTTTTACTCAAGAGTATTATAGGATTGCTTGTAGTCCTGAATTTTCAGTTGAGATTCTAAATTATCCCATTTGAGATACTAATTTAAAGTGAAACAAATCCACAAGCCAGACTGCCTCAGTTTCACTGTCAGTTCTGCCACTTACTAGCAGACTGAACTGGAAAAGTTACTTAATCTCAGTTTCCTCATCTCTAATATAGGAAGAATAATAATAAAAATAGTAGCCTGCGTCATACAAGCGTACTTCCTAGAGAGCATCCTAGTGCTTCTAATAATGAAGACTGAAGCTCATGTAATTGGGTGTCTATTCTTTTGGCAATGCCCCCACTTGGCAATGGGCATCACTCTTGGCTAACTTGGTCTCCCTTATTTGTCACTCTCTAAACATCTGCCACTTCCTCCATGCAGGGGCTTGGACTAGTGATCTACCCACAGCCTTTTCCCAGGTGTCAACTTGTTCTTCTGTGGTGGGCCTATCAGCAAGTCTCTCAACTCAGCATTCTTGTGCAATAAGAACTAACACAGATTGTGAAATATTCCAGAGCAGGGCCTCCCTCTGCCTGACAGTGCTGTATCTCTACCTCCATGCGGCAATGGTGAGGCAGGATAGTCAAGAAAATGACCTTGTCCTCAGGACGCAGCAACTCTGGTAACCGTACAATCAACACAATAAGCTTCAGCATTTGCATTGTAATTGAGCCCATTCAAGCAAAGCTGTCTTCAGAGGGAAATTTCCCCTGTAGAGAACATGTGCACTTTGGTTTTACCTGTCCTCAAACTGATTCTTTGCTCAATGTAATAGTAAAAAACACACCCCTGGGTGGACATTTAAGATGCTAATGAGACATGTGACATATGAACAAACATGTACAGCTACTGCACATGTGCACCCAGAAGACCACCCAGAACATGCTTGCTAGCAACACCTCTTTCCACCTTCTTATGAATAATCATGTAAGACTCCCATAGTCTCCCTAGTGCCAGTCTTTGCTGTCTCATCCTTACGAGCAACACCCCCTGAATTCTTTCTCTCAGGGAGAGAAAATTTGCACCTAATTTAAAAAATATTATTTTCCTTTTGCAATAGATTATGCTACATCTCCTTTGCTGTGTGTCTCTAGTTTAAATTCTTCTAAACTAAGAAGACAAGAACTGAGGTCTCACATCAGCCATCAACAGCTGCTCTAATTGAAGCAGGGCTACTGGAAGCTGGACACCTCCTCAAGCCTCAAAGCAGTTAGCAGCACAGGAGACCCTTTCCTTCTGTATTTAGCTCAACTTACACAATGTGTCTTCTCTTCTTAGCCAGAATTAATTCTTCACGTATTTTTCATACAATTTCCCTTGGTATTGTAGCCCATTTAGACTTCTATAACAAAATACCATCAACTGGGTGGCTTATAATTGGGAATTTATTTCTCCTGGTTCTGGAGGCTGGGAAGTCCAAGATCAAGGCAACAGTAGATCTGGTGTCTGGTGAGGGCTCTTTTCCTCACAGAAGGTAACTTTTTGCTGTTTCCTCACATGGTGGAAGGGAAGAACTCTGGTCTCTTCAGCCCCTTATAAAGGCACTAATCCATTCATGAGGGCTCCACCCTTATGACCTAATCACCCCCCAAAGGGTCCACTTCCTAATGCCATCACTTTGGGAATTAGGTTTTAATGTACAAATTTTGAGGAGGACACAAACATTTAGACCATAGTACTTGGTAAAGATTCTCCACCCAACCTAGGGCACTTTTATTTTTCTTTATTTCTCAACTCACCTGATAGCCTCCCTTTTTCCTGACTATCCTAAGCTTTAATGGTAGGCTCTAGAGCTTGACCATCAGAGCCTGGCTATTGATATGATGGAGGAGGAGGGAAAAGAATCAAAATGCCTGTGTCAAAACAATAACCTAGATTGCAAAGTTATAATTGTGCTGACTAATCTCCTTTTCAAGTGACAGTCCCTGAATATTTTCTCAGCTCTATCCCCAGTATCTTCTGTAACCTGGTCAAATCTCTATCTTGGCAAGTGGCTGCTTAAAGTAGACTCCAGTAAGGAGTTGATGTGTACAGTATCTGGAAAAGTAAGAAAGGAAAACGCATTAAATTTCTTAACATCACTCTTGTTAATTCAACTAAAACTTATTTGTCACACTATGTATTGAACAAAATGAAAGGTAATAGGGGCATGAATATACATAAAATATTGTCCCTTCCCTGATGCAGTTTGTATCCTAGAGGCAACATAGGCACGTAAAGCCAGCAGAGCAGAGCTATGGTAGAGGAGTGCTCAGGGTGAATGCTGCTGGACCACTGCAGAAGGGGAATGTGCACATAGCAGACAGGAAGGTTAGGCTATTGGGATATAGGTTCAAGCAATTTCTGGCTATAATTTAGGTATTGGTAATTTAGGCCTGTCTATTTTCACCTAATTGAATATGTTTCTAATATCTGAATATGTATTTGAACAGAGATCTCTAGATATATAAAATTTATCATTAATGTAGTATTCAGCAAAGTTGTATAAATTTTCTAAGATCACAGTCATAAATAAATCAACCCAATCCTGGCCCATAACAAAAGTTTTTTTTTTTTTTTTTTTTTTTGAGATGGAGTCTCGCTCTGTCGCCCAGGCTGGAGTGCAATGAAGCGATCTTGGCTCACTGTAACATCCGCCTCCTGGGTGCAAGCAATTCTCCCGCTTCAGCCTCCTGAGTAGCTGGGATTGCAGGGCCTGCCACCATGCCCAGCTAATTTTTGTATTTTTAGTAGAGTCGGGGTTTCACAATGTTGGTCAGGCTGGTCTCAAACCCCTGACCTCATGATCCACCCGCCTCTGCCTCCCAAAGTGCTCGGATTACTTGTGTGAGCCACTGCGCCTGGCCCAAAATTTTATAAAGTTTTTTTGTTTGTTTGTTTAAAGTGTTCTTATCTGAAGGTTACATGTGTTCTTCTGATGTTTTTACTTTTGCTAACAATAGTCATATGCTGCATTATAATGTTTTGGTGAAAGATGGACCACATATATGATAGTGCTCCCATAAGATTATAATACCATATTTTTACTGTATCTTTTCTATGTTTAGATATGCTTTGACACACAAATACCATTGTGCTACAACTTCCTACAGTATTCAGTACAGTGACATGCTGTACAGGTTTGTAGCCTAGCAGCAATAGCTTATACCATACAGCAATAGGTTATATCTATATAAACCTAGTAGGCTAAACCATGTAGGTTTGTGTAAGTACATTCTATGATGTTTGTACAACAACAGCAAAATCGCCTAACAATGCATTTCTCAAAAGGCATCCTCATCGTTAGTGACTGCGTATGCTATTAGCCAAGACTGGACGTTGTTTATCAAATTTTAAACAGCTTATATTCACTACTAGTTGTAACAAGCACATACACAAAGACATGGGCATACACACAATTTTAGTATGCAAAGTGTACATGGGCCAAAATAGTTGTAAAATTAGACAATATCATTTACCAGCTGTGTTTTGAAAACTAATGTTATCTTAGTGTGTGTGTGTGTGTGTGTGTGTGTATCTGTCTGTGTATGTGTGTGTTTAACAAGCGAAGATTTTTTTAAAATTTTTGATTAACATTAGTCAGGATTTTAACATTAGCAGCTCTTAAGACTGATTATGCTTTGGACACCTTAGGATGTCAATCCTCTCCTCAGGCAGTCTGATGTATACCAGGGAGCCAAGAGGAAATACCTTGATTATAAACTTATCCAGGTTATTTTCAAATAATTGCAAGTAAACAGGAAGCAATGAACTGACATTCTCAAATGTTAAAAAAATGTAGTCCTATTGTTTCTGTGATTTGCAAAGTTACTATAGCAATTACTGCTTGTTTATTCAAGGGCTGCTAATTTATACAAGCAAACTTTTCTTTTTGCTTGATGAGAGCTTTCTTCTACCTTTGGCCATATCAAGATATTTGTAGTCAGGCTTTGCTATATACAAGGATGTCATAAAATAGAGTCTATGCATATCATGTAGGGCTAGTCAATTCACCAAATCCTGTACCTCTTGAAATAGGATGCACCCGCTGTTAAGGTCAGATGGCTTAGATTTATAATGGAGGGAAAAAGCCTACGGAATTTAATCTAAGTGATGGCTCACCATCTCCCCTACGTTTAGTGCCTGTCTGTGAGATGATATTAACATTGCAGCCAGACGTGAAAGTTTATCTATGACAGAAAGATACAAAATACAAAACCACATTGAAATACTGCAAGCAGTCTTGGCTATTTCATTACAAGAATAAAGTTTACAATAGTCAAAAATGCTTAGAAGATGAACAAGCATTATTAAGAACCAAACGGGCAAGAATATACGTATTTAAAATGTTTAATCACAAGATATAATAAACTGATTAAAACATCTTAAAAAGACAGGAGAAATAGAGATTCTAGTGCCCATCCTACACACATAGTATTTGACAAGCTGCTGTACTCTTTAAGAATGCCAAATTTCAGACTCATTCCTGCCCCATTCTGGAGCTAAAATCAGTCACCCTAAACAAATTTTGGGATTTCCATTTATACTGGTGAGTAGTCATCTGGATTCATAAGACCTGTTGAGCCAGGGGGAGTTCAGAGCTTATTCAGCCTGCTTCCCACTCTATTGTAAAATGGAGGTGATCATGATAATAATACTTATCACCTCATGTATTGTGAGAAATAAATGCAATAAAACATATGATGTGCATAATGTAGTGCTTGCCATATAGTAGTTAATTAATACCTAATGACAATGATCCTGTATCTGTAATGACCTGACTAATATGACTCCCACTGAGGGCCTAACCTAGCCTCATCACAGCACTCAAAGGAAGGAGCTGTTGGGTAACTGGGAGGTGTGCATTATTCAAAGAGAGTGGAGTCATTTCAGATTGACAATGAGAACTTTCACAGCTTTTATACTATCATTCTTACAGGGCGTGGTGCAAATACAAATAAATATCTTAGTTACCTTTGACAGTGGAATCTAGGTCTCTTTTATATTCCTCTTTTCATATTAATTCTGGAATAGCAGGAAAAATAAAGATCACACTCTTTGTTGAGAACATGATATAATGGTTTATGTATAGCTTAAATGTAAGTACTGATACTGTGGATCTACATGATTTAAACTTAGGATAATATTGCATTCAAAGAACCACATTTCAACAGCCACTATCTTCTGCCACTATCTCCAAATTACAAATTATTTCTTAATTACATATCTTGGGAATCCTAGTGGTAACCCTTAACAATACTTTCCTACTTTCTGTTCTCTCCTCCCCAATTTTTTTTTTTGCACCTTTTCCAGACTCTCCAGAGCTCAATTTGCTAGAGTTCCCCAGGAATGCCTTGCCTTCACTCTTTCCTGCCTCTTATTTTATCTCTCCTTCTTCTTTACCTATATAACTCACTTTCGCTTAGTTTTTTCTCTCATTTTCTGCTACCTGGGTTCTGCCTATTTCTGTCCATTCTTTACTCTTCAACCTCAAAGTCTAGTATCTACTCTAAAAATGACAAAATCTCCCTGAAGTCCCAGGGCAGGGTATGTGCAAGTAGGCATGACCAGGCTATTATCCTCAGTATTAATTAACCTAGCCTAGGAGAGAATGAGGAACAGAGATTTTCAGGATCGGGGGAAATGGGAAGAAAAGGAGATGGGGAGGTATGACATCCATGTCAATACCATGTTAATAATGCTTAGTCCTTCTATTGTCACAAAAATTGTTAAGTCTATAGGGTAGGTATTAATATTCTGTTTTTACAGATGAAGAAACTGTGGTGTAGAAAATTAACATTATTAATCTATGCAAACACAATATTTTACAAATTCAAGTCTGTCTAACTTTCTGTTTTGAGTCTTCTATGCTAGATAGAGATGTTCCTCTGAGCTAAGTGTAAACAAGTTTTACTCAAAAAAAAGTACGGACAGAAACAAAATGAGAAGTCTTATACAATAGTGAAGGAAAGAAGAAAGACATTTAAAAGGAGCCAGGTGTCCCTATGGTCTAAGTGAACAACTAATTTCAATTTGGGCTATTTTAGTTGCCTGGCTAAGTACATGAGGCTTTAATAGCTGGATTCTAATAAAAGTTTATTATGATAGTAACTTCTTGATCACTGAATATGAGAATGTCTTAAATTTAATTGTTTTCAATAACTTATCAATGGAATTCAGTGATACAAAATGTTGAGAAGGATAGTTTATATTATTTTTCAGGTGTTGTTATTGTTGAGATGGTGAAGAATCTAAAATCCTACCCCACTTGAAATCATCTAGTTAGCCTGCCATAATTTTATGGGTGGTGACAGAAGGCATGAGATTCCTGGGTCAGAGACAAAGAAATTTACTTCTTAGAGTAATAGTGGTAACCAGAGTATCAACATTTGTGAGGGTTTTCTGAGACTCAATCCCAAAAGGCAATGCAAGCGGGATATATGACACCTGTTCATGCAATGGGCAGTGCTACTGGGGAGGAATTCTGAGCATTATGAAAGAACCAAACTCTTTTATAACGGGCAGTAAGCTTACCTGACAGTAAGCCCCAGAAGAAGATATTATCTTCATTGTACTTGGCAGAAACAAACTTGCCCTTTCCTCGGAGAGAAGTATTATATTTATATTCCAAGGCTATTTTCTTTGCAAACTTTCTTAGAGGATTGTTTAGGGAAAAAAAGGCAATATTTACTTATTTATTTATTTACTTATTTATTTATTTATTTATTTATTTAATTTATTTTTGAGACAGATTCTCGCACTGTCGCCCGGGCTGGAGTGCAGTAGCATGATCTTAGCTCACTGCAAACTCCACCAGCCAGATTCAAGCAATTCTCCTGCCTCAGCCTCCCGATTACAAGCACCTGCCACCATGTCCATCTAATTATTTGTATTTTTAGAAGAGACTGGGTTTCACCATGTTGGCCTGGCTGGACTCGAACTCCTGACCTTGTGATTCACTTGCCTCGGCCTCCCAAAGTGCTGGGATTACAGGCGTGAGCCACCACGCCCTGCCAAAAAAGGTAATTTATGTCTCTGTTTACAACACATGCAGTACCAGGAGAAATCTACATAGTTTGTCTCCCAACAGTTATAAGACTATCATTTTTGGAAGAATCAATATAATCCTCAGAAACGTGCAAACTCATATGAAAGAATGGACAGAAAACTTGAAATCATAAGAAATAAATTCATAGTAGTTTTTGCTCAATTAATTCTAAGATTTTCTTCCTAGTCACTGAAGGCTTTAGAAAAGGATATCATGAGGAAATCTATTATTCTGTGGTTAAATTTGATCAAATTAATCTTGAGAGAAGTTCATATGCCATTTGAAAATCAACTATTTTTTCTCACTGACTTTTAACTCCTTCACAAGAAAAATACTTTATGAGAGATAGGTAGCTTTACTGATTTTTCAAGTGTCATGGGAGTTTAAGCTATTACCAGGTTGTGCTTAATCTTTTAAAATTGGAGTTCATGTTAGTTTCTGATTCAGAAATGTGTTGTAAATTAGTCAGAATTTACATAATGAAAAGACAATAATTTCTTTCATGATTATTTCACACAGAATTTATTAAATGTGATCGCAGTATTTAGAACATCCCAAGGGCTTGAGATATAGGCAGAGCAGGCATTCTGAGGTTGACTTGAGGCTTGGGGAAGGAAGCAGAGTATTAAGTGGCCCACCTACCCACGACTAATTAGAGACCTAGATCCCAAGTCTGCTTACTTCCAGTCCAGTTCTCCTTCTACTACATTGCAGTAACTTTTTCTCAAAAACAACAGAAGCAGAAGCTAAATTATGCACAGGAACAAAGAAAATGTTCCTGTAGTCAGGGACTGAAATACATTTATATAGCAGCATGTTGAAAACTTGGTTGAATTCATGGGCACCTTACTTGAAGAGGCTCAAGGATATAATCTCCTTCCCTAATAGAAAACCTACTGAGGAAGTCATTCTTTATGCCCCAAAGATCCAATGATGGAAAGTATAGAAGAGCTCACTAGGATTTCTATTTAAACTTGAAGTAGGAGACTAGGAAAGAGGTTGTTAGAGCAGCCATCCTGCAGTTTTAACATAAAGGTTTAGGGACTTTGAACAGATGACAGGAGCTTTCTGGGAGGTTTTTGAAGTGGTGCTATGGTTTTTACTCAGCCTTATTATCCAAGAAATGCTGGGGAAATAGACACAGATAGTTCTGCTTTTCCTCAGGCTTTAATATTATTAATTATTTTGGTTTACCTACAGGATATAAGAGACACAGGTTATTTAACAGTAAAAACTAAAACTGCAATACTGAAAATTAAAACAAAAATGAATTGAGATTAATTGCTGGATATTTTAATTAAATTCCAAATGAAGATGAAACCAAAAAAGTTTTTATTGAAAAATATATCCTTTAAAATTAAAGAAGTACAATATATGTGCCCAAGTGTGTGTTATGTGTGTATGTGTGTGCACTTGGATGTGGCCTCCGATTAACACTGTTAAGGATTTAATGTGAAAATGTCCCATCTTCTGATATTTGTAAGAATTAGTCTATCAGTTAGTTGGTTTACAACTCATACCTCATCTTGAGGGGATAAATAATTAGGTAACTAGACAGTTATCTATTAACTGAAAATAAAATGCTAGGGGCTTTAGTGAAACTGGACTAAAGAATTTACAACAACAACCTAGAGCAACTCAACTTGGTAGCACAGAGTCAAAGGCTACTCTTGGCCAGTACGTCTCTTGGAGGATAAGAATGTGGAAATGGAACAGTGACGACCACGGTAGCTTGCTAAGGTTTCCTAGGGCTGAACTTTGACAGGTCGCCAGAAAAGCGAGGTATGCTTCTAGATATCCTCTCTTATTTGATTATCACAACAGACCAGTGAGAAAAGTATTGTTATTACCTTTTAACGTACAATAATCTCGTAGTGTAAAAAGTTCCATGATTTGCTCAGGATCTGAGATTTGAATCCAAAAATCCAAATCCAATCCAATTCGAAGTCCTCTTTTTATTTAACTTCATTAGTGCTTGGATTGAGCTCTTTTACAGATCTGAAAATTTGATTCTGGCTAGGCCTTTTATTTTTTTAAATATTATGCTTAACTTCAAGTCTGGACCAGATGAAAAAACAGTGTTAACCAAAGGGTTATTTTTAAGTGAGAAAACATGGACTCTCTCTCTCTCTCTCTCTCTCTCTCTGTGTGTGTGTGTGTGTGTGTGTGTGTGAACTAGCTTTTATTTTATCTCTTTAGTGTGTTGAAATGATGTCAACACTGATTTTATCTGGAGATTAATATGTCATGTGATTAAAAATGTCTGTGGTGTGTTCTATTAGCTTAGGCTGCTATAACAAAATGCCACAGACTGCTTAGCTAAATCAACAGAAATTTATTTTCTCACAGTTCTGGAAGCTAAAAAGTCCTAGATCAAGGTGTTGTGAGGGCTGCTTTCAGTGAAGGTGATCTTCCTGGCTTGGCGAAGGCTGCCTTCTCGCTCTTTCCTCACATGGCCTTTTCTCAGTGTGGGTGAGGAGAGAGCTCTGGTATCTCTCTCTTTTCTTTATAAGGATACCAATTCTCTTGAATTAGGTCACCACTCTTATGACCTTGTTTAACCTAATTATCTCCTTAAGAATTCTGTCTCCAAATACAGTCACATTAGAGATTAGGGCTTCAACTATTGGATTTTTGGGGGGACACAATTCAGTCCATAGAGTTGTATACCCCCAAAATATTTGCCAAAAGAACTAAAGAATGCTAATTATGATGTGATATGCACATATGCTGTGTTTACATAGAAATTTATACTGGTGGAGATTTTTTATATAGTACTATTACCATGTAATAACAGAAATAATTTGAAATAGTTCCTGAGATTTAAAAGCAATTTCAAACATCCACTAATGAGATATAACAAGATACATATGAAGCAGGTTTTAACCACAACAATCAAACTCCATTTCAAACTTGCAAGAAAAACTGGACAGTGGTTAGAATAAGAAATATGTATGAAATAACATTATGACTTTTCTAACCTTAAATCTAAGAGTTCTACTTGTAAGTAGTCTAAAATTGGAATGCTAAGACCATTTTATTTTATTAAAAGTACACATAATTGATTGCAAAAATTTAGTAATGCTCTGATGTCTTAGTATTTAGAATATATTTAGAACATTTCAAATATATTGAAATTTCAAAACACATTTATCTCTTTACTGGTAGTGTACTTTGGTAACTGAATACACAGGCTATAGACTTCAACTTCAGCTTCAAGTTCTGGTTTTACCAGTTACTAGCTATCTAACCTTGGGGAATTTACTTAATCCTCTGTGTTTATGTGATCTTATGTTTAACGTGAGGATAATGAAAGTGCCTACTTATTTGGGTTGCTGTGAAATACAATGAAATAATTTCTGTTAAACACTAGGAAAAGTATCTATTTCAATTAATGTTAGTTGCTATTGATATACCCAAACAATTGATAGTAGATCATTTTTAATATTAAAATTACACATTAAAGAGTATATACATTTTTGAGCTAGTCAAATATATTTCTAATTAGATATGTCTAATCTATCTACCACTGTGTGTCTATGAAGATAATTTACAAATTTTGTTAGTATTATGGGTGTAAACATTTTTTTTTAGTTCCTCACACATTGAGAAAATGTTACCCAATGACATAAAAGACATCTCAGGATCTACAAAAACACTTTTGTGTATGATGTATACAGATTCTCTAGGGTAGTGCTAGGTAGCATGCTCTGTTATCACTGGGCTGTTCGCCTCCTTTACAATTTGGGAAAATCCTTTTTGTAGCTAGTTGAAGTTAAGAATTTGATGGGTATGAGTCCTTTACTACTGGTAATCCCTGAAGTACTATGCTCATTAACTTCCCTGAACTGCTTAGAATTGGCTGGTAGAAGCAAGTTTGCAAAACCTAGAGGTTCTCTAAGTGTTATCTAGGAGTTCTTGAGACTTGTTCACTGGCTTCATGAGGTCAAACTGTCTTCCTAATAATACTACATCTTCTTTGCCTTTTTTGCTGTATTATTTGCCCTGATGATACCATAGTATTAATCAAGGCAGTGAAGCCAAACTGTACTGGCAGTTTTATTTCAGGATGTCCTTGATAAAGGAGTAAAAATTAATAATTTTATTAGATCCTGATCCTTGATACTATTTAATATTCTGATTTTAATATTCTGTGACAAACAGGAATATTTGGAAAGCACTTCTGCTGCATACTAAAATGTGATGGTTTATTACTCAAAAAAATGTATGTGACCTCATGAGTTACAAGGTAAATTAGTCACATTTTTTTTTCTTTGAGCACTGTTTATACTTGAAGGGACAACTGACAAACTATGGTTATGAAGACTAGGATATGTGGAAGATATTTTTTTGAAAGTGAGCAAAGTGAGCCTGTCACTTCAAGGAAAGCAACTGACAGTACTTATTATTGCCAAAGATAAAAATTTCAAACAAAAATTAGAACTTAACACTTGTTTCCCCACATTGAATTTGACACTTTCCCAATACTTAAAGATTTTTATAATGTGATCTGTAGTAATATTTACAAATGGGATTTTTTTGTACTATATAATTCAACATGTCAATATTTGAAACACATCACTCAGTGTTCCGAAATTCTCCAAATATCATTTCATGGTGTTATAAAATCATGCACAGCTAGATAAAACATTTATTTAAAGTGAAAAAAGATTATCATAAAAAAATGACTAATGACTTAATATAACATGGTGTTATAGGACCAATGCGTTCGTGTGCCCACTGCACAATAACAGACCAATTACACTGAGACAGCAAGGTTTGCATCAGAGAAAGAGTTTAATGATTGCCAGGTTCTGAGGAAAGAGGCGGGAGGAGACCTTCAAATCCATCTCCCTGAGGAATTCTGGACTGGGGTTTTTAAGGGGATCCTGGAGGATGAGGGACTGAAAATTTGGGTTTGTTGATTGAGTGGGGAGAGAGGTATGAAATCATCAGGATATGAAAGCCGCATTCTCTGGTGAATCAGCTTCTTGTGGGGTAATTCAGACCAGCTGATGCACATAGTTTCACTGTTATACAGGACCTAAAAGAATATATCAGAGGGAAAACTTAATGTTTCATAATGTTCAAGTCATTATCTACAGAGCAGTTTAGGGGAGCTATAATCTTGTAATAGGGTCTATGTGATTCCAGGACAATAGGCACAAACAACTATTAGGAAGCAGGTTAGAGTATGCTGACTTCGTGATTAACGCTGAATGTGCTGCAAGCTTGGTTGATTTTTGTTTCTCCCCATCCCTTCTTCCAAGATGAATTTTATAAAGTTTATAAGGGCAGTTTCAATAGTATAAAATGTTCATCTTCTGTAAGTTCAGAGTCCACATTAGAACTAGCCATTAGAAATTACCACAGGTTGAGTTTTGGTATAGTATCAATGAAAAAATATACTCTATTTTCCTAAAAGGTTGTTAAAATACTCTTTGATTTTCAAACTATATTCTTGAGCAACATCAAATTTTCCTCATACAGTTCAACAAAGCCAGCATACTGAATTAGATTAAATGCTGAAGTAGTTGAGAAAGTCTATGTTCTATTAACCCAGACATTAAAAAATGTGAACAATGCTATTCATCTCACTATTTTGTTTGGGGAAATACAGTTATTTTAAATAAATAATATGTTATTTATATTAACATGTAATAGGTTTATTTCTGTTACTTTTAAATGAAATTATTTTAAATGGATTAATACATAAGCATTAAAAATACTGTTTTAATTCCTGAATGTGTTAAATGTCAATAGACATAACCTACATAAACAAAAGCTTTTGGGGTCCTCAATGTCTTTTAAGAGTGAGAGAGGTTCTGACACCAAAATGTTGGTAAACCTCTGATAAAATCTGAACCTTTCCTGGAAGCTAGTCCCTCAATGTGAATGTTAAAGGCTGATAGGGCTCACCTTTGTGATTTTCTGTGTTTTGTCATTTACAGGACTAATTGCTGTGTTCCTAATACATGTAGAATCTGAATGGAAAATATCCCAAGGCAACTGGCATGAAACTGGACTTTCAGAAATTTCACTTTTTAAAAATTTAGATAGATTTTTTAAAAATTTCCACCTCCACCAAAGCAGTCTTAATGTTTACTACACATTTATACTTGCAAAATGCAAGCTCATATACTGTAATGACTCTGTTTTTTGTTGTTGTCATCTTATGTAGCAGTCAGATGATTCTAGCACATTGTCAAGATTCAGATTTAAAATTTTAAATTAAGAAACCTACAAAAGATATTAATTAGTGGAAATACACCAATAGTCTTTCAACTTCAGCAAGTAATTATGTTTCCAATTTTGGAGAAAATATGTAATTTTTAATCTATAGGAGTTTTAAAAGTTGGATGGGAGCATGCATGCCCTTCTTGCCAACAAATACATTTTAACTTAAAGATGGAAAATACAGAATGTTTGGAAAATTCTTGTGACAGTCACTCTAACGAAGGTATCATCCTTGCTTGTTGTTGTCACCAGTGAATGTATCGTACATGAGGTAGAAAGTTGTGACTAAAAACTACCTCTGGTCCACCTACTCTGTTCCAGAGGAAGTAATACTTCCTTCCCTACTTTGAGGAAGTCATTCAGTTTTGATACCATGCTTTGCATGTAAATCTCTCTCTATTGGATCCTCATCCAAGTGGTCAGAGGGATGCTTGTTTGGTTGTTAAAAGAAATTTTTGAAAAATAAGGTAGAGAGCAGAATTATTTTAGATAACATCTGAATGCCTGGGAGAGAAAATAAAGGCACAGTTATCTCTCTGCTTTTGTCTCCGTCTCTTGGTGTCCTGAAATATCCATCTCATTATAAAGAAAAGAATCAAATTAAGGAATAAACACAAGAAGAGTCATCATTTCTAACATTGCCAAGTCCTAAGACAGCAATATGCTCTACTAAATTATATATTTTTAATTTAATTTCTTTAAAAGTAAAATTTGCTATTTTGATGTCAAAAATACAAAACAAATACAAAAATGTTTGTTACAAGGATGTCTCATTCAAGTTGTAAATAGAGGTGGACAAACTGAGTTTTTTTCCTTTCAATCACATTGATTATTTTCTTCTACTTTATTTTTACTAAATTGAATGCCTTGATCTTGAGTGTTTCTTAAAGTTCATCTTAAAAATGAAACAATTTTGTTTTTATTCCTTTGCATAGTCAGAAAGTTTTTAGAGGGAGAAAAAGTATAAAATCTGGCATTGAAGGGTAGCCTCCCTCAAAGACATGAATAATGTTGTATTTTAAACAGGATGATCTAGATGTGAAAAGGCCTTAAAGGGTAGAGGGATGCCCCAAATCAGAAGGCTTTTGGGGGGTCTCCCAAGAAGGTCAGAAGCATTGAATGTGTAATAAGCGGGGGCCACTACAGCAACCATTATCTTCCCTCTGACAGAGCGGCTCACTGACCTGGCATGCTGGCAAATGGAGAGGAAAACTCTCCACCGAGATGTAAATTCCCCATACTGGTCCCTCATGAATATCTTGTCTCCAGGATTCAAGCCAGTGACCTGGAAAACAAGGTTCCTCCCCAATCAAAATGACAGGCAGAGCTGGTTTCTTGTTAGGAAGACTACAAGGTGTGTAAAAAAATTATGATTTCTGAGGGAAAAAAAATGAGATGTCACACAGAGCAAAATATTACTTTCAAATGGTCCTCTGCAGTTCTTTTGAATGGCAGCTGTTAAGAATTCAATTGTGTGTATGACACACTGGAATCCAGAATGGAAGTTCTGTTGGGGGGCAGGAATGAATAGAAATTTTCAATTTAAATACTCATTTGAGATTATTTGAATATCTGTCATTCTTTTTAGCCTAAAGGTTAATTCTTGAAGAAATAATTTCCATTAGTAACACAAATTCCAACCTTGTCAAGTCCTCTTATGTAATGCATCAGTGCTGAAAGGCATACTCTTGCAAAACTGAACCTTTATATATGTAATCTTGGTTTGTAGACAATGTTTTCCTACAGAAGTTTCATTGATTTATCAGTTATTTGTTTATAGAGGATTCATTAAGGTATGTTTACTTTTACTGATAATATAAAAAATCATGAATCAAGTATTAAAATGTAGAAACTATTGAAATTATAAAAAATACCCAGTATTATACATTTCAATAAATGAGATGTCTAAAAATTTAAAGCATTGTATTATACACCATATAAAGCAAAATAATGCCTTAGGTTTGGGTTATATTTCGGAAAGCATGTTTATTTAAAATATTCTATTTATTTCTAGCAATTATTCTTCTTTCTTTGAAATAATAATTCACAAAACTGCAACTCAATTAAGACAAATGAATTATTCTGCCACACCATAACCAACTTGAAGCAATTAATTGTACATCAAATAAAGCACGCAACGTTTGTGCACCAATCATAGCAGAACCTCTTCTGCCTGCCCAAGAGAAGTATTTACACATATGCTCAGTAAGATAAAATTTAAAGAGGGGATTTGGGGATTTCTAGTTCATACGGATAAACAAAACTTTTCTTAGAAAAATAATATTTAAATATTCTTTATTTTAAGAAGTTTTTGTGAATGTAGTGATACATACATCATTTTTTTTGACAATCTACCTTTTCCTCCCTAAAATGTTTTTTAACTTATTTATTTATTTATTTTTAGATGGAGTTTCGCTCTTGTTGCCCAGGCTGGAGTACAATGGCGCCATCTTGGCTCACCTCAACCTCCACCTCCCGGGTTCAAGTGACTCTCCTGCCTTAGCCTCCCATGTAGCTGGGATTACAGGCATGCGCCACCATGCCTGGCTAATTTTGTATTTTTAGTAGAGACGGGGTTTCTCCATGTTGGTCAAGCTGGTCTCGAACTCCCGGCCTCAGGTGATCTGCCTGCCTTGGCCTCCCAAAATGCTGGGATTACAGGTGTGAGTCATGGCACCTGGCTTATTTTTTAATTGAAAAATAAAATTGTAAATATTTAGAGTATAGCGTGTTGTTTTGATAAACATACATTGTGGAATGGCTAACTCAAGCTTTTTACAATATGCATTACGTCACAAACTTATCATGCTTTTATAGTGAAAACACTCAAAGTTTATTCTCACCAATTGTCAAGTGTACATAAAAATCTACTTTAAAAGATTATGAATGATACATAATCATTGTACATATTTGTGGGGTACAATGTGATGTTTCCCTACACATGTATAAATTGTCTAATGATCAAACCAGAGTAATTAGTATATCCATCAACCTTAAACATTTATCAGTTCTTTGTGATGAGGACATTTCAAAACCTATCTGGTAGTTATTTTGAAACATACACTACCATGTTGTTAACTCTAGTCATACTACTATGCAATAGACCACCTGAATTTCTGTCTTCTAATTGTAGCTTGTACTCATCTTCCAATCTCTCATTGCCCCCTTCATCCTCTGGTAATTATGATTCTACTCTCCACTTATACAAGAACAAATTTTTAGATTCCATATATGAGTGAGATCATGTGATATTTGTCTTTCTGTGCCTGGCTTTAAAAATCTACTTTTGAAGTCACAGAATCACAATATGAAAGACAAAACAAAAATGAAAACAAATATTTTGGAGATGTCACTAGAAATTTTGTACACACACATGCACTCACATAGACACACACATACTTTCCCCTTTATTTCCATATGAAATTTTTGTTTTATATATTGCAGTTTTCTTTTTTAATTTTGTATTAAGTTTAATCTGAATGCAAATTATATTCATATTGTTATAATTTTTTAAGAGTTGGAAATTGTCTTCCAAAATATTTGCTCAACATGTGGAAGTCTTTGGGCTCCACCATCGATAGTAAGAATGAGTGGTTTTGATGTTTTGGAGTTATTATGAGCCATTTTTTGGAAAACTACTATTTAAATTTGCACACAGAGCTTATACAGAATGAATACGTTAATGAACTCCAGCCATGGACTGCACACTCATATTATCATCAATTGTGCATGAAATTTTTCCAGACTATTTGTTCAGAAAATAAGTACTAAATTATGCATTCAACTTAGATTCAGGCATAAAAATAGGTTTCCACAAATATTTTCAGATGGCAATTTTTGTGTGTGCAAATACTACACAACCTTTTTATATGGTATTTTCACTTTATTAGATTAAAATCAACATTGAAAAAAACTAGTTCATGACGTGTCACAGAAGTACAGGTTGATTTTTCCCACTCTTAAATCATACCCTATAATATTACAATTTACTATTGTTTATAAAACTATCATAAGCCTAGCTTCTATTTGTTTCAGTGTCGTGAAAAATCTACCTTCAGTCTAAGAAAACCATAGTTAAGCATTCATTCAGTAAGCATTATAGTACTAACCTAGAGTTTCCATGGATTTTATGTTTGAGTTTACAAAGGATTTTAAAATGTCAGACTACGTTCATCTTCTTGACGTCCACATAAAAATAACCAATAGCATCAGATCAAAGGATAATTTGTCATTATAATCTAGTGAAATTTAATGTTGGAAGAATAAAAAGTCAAATAAATGTCCTCTTTTCTCTGGCTAGAACTAAAAATTTTCTGATCCAAGATTGTTAATTTCACTGATGAGCTCCTTATTTCATCATAGCCAAATAATTAAAAAGTCTAAGTTAGCTGATGGTCGGATGATTCTTCATTCTTCACCACATGGGTCAGAGATAGAGAAAATGTTTTCATGAGGTGGGGTTCAGGATCCTAAGCCTAAGCCCGAAGGGATCCTTCCTCTTCCTTTTTGTTGCTTCAATTGTGCATTTAGTAAAAGATAATAAACTTTAAAGCAGATGTGGATGAACCAAGACCTCTGTTTTTACATGAGGAAAGGATGGGAGGCCTGTAGTAACAGTTGAACAGCGGGGTATTTTCTTAAACCCTGAGCTTCAGACCGCACATACTCACTCTAAGGGTGTATGAATTGGCTTCCATTGCAGCTTAGACACCTGCTATCAGGAAATGTTTGAGCTGGAGCAGCAGTCCCCAAACTCTTTGGCACCAGCAACCAAGTTCATGGAAGACAATTTTTCCACAGACGTGGACGTGGAGGGGGTGGGTGGTAGGGAGATAATAGATTCTCATAAGGAGCTCACAACCTAGATCCCTTGCATGCACAGTTTACGATAGGGTTCGCACTCCTATGAGAATCTAATGTTCTGATAGGAGGCGGAGCTCAAGCAGTAATGCGGGCTCGCCCGGCCTGCTGTAAGGCCCAGTTCTTAACAGGCCACCGACTGGTACCAGTCTGTGGCCCAGGGGATGGGGAGCCCTAAGCTAGACAGAAACCTAAGGAGCACAGTCTGATCTTACCATGCTTACTGATAGCTGTGGAGGCTCTGAGGTGGCTGTAGAGCAGTTCAGACTCACACATATGGCTTCAGTGGCATCCCAATAAACTTGTTTATACTTCAGATTATACTTCAAAGTTTACTGTAGCTGAAATTGCAAAAATGCAACTATTCTTTTTTATAATAAAAACAATTAAGAAAATATAGTCTTTGAAATGGTCTGATTCAGTTAAAATGTCTGCTAATTAATTCAGTGAATGGAAATACCCTAAACAGCCTTGGTGTTTACAGCTTTGATGTAGATATGGCCTTAAAAAGATATTTCACAGGCTCAGGGACAGTGTGTGTTAAAATTATAAAGTAGGTAAAATTTGTCATTGGTGTCATCACTTTCATAAGCTGCACTCTCCTCCTCCCACATTTTCTTTCCATGGGAATGAATCTTCCCTTTTTTCTTTCCCAATTCACTAAACTCCCTGCCAGAAAGTCTACTGCTTCCAAACCCTCCTAGGGACTCCATTATCTATGGTATGCACTCTCTGGGCTGACCTCTGATGCCAGCCTGTTCTGTGCTATCCCTATCCTTCTCTCAGATTAAAGTTTATCCCTTAGGTGGCTGTCTTTGCCAAGGATTGTTTGATTGTAAGAACGTAACTGAAACCCACTATAACTTATCTAAGCAAATGAGAATGGCCATCTGTCCAAAGCCAGGAGCAGACATTGTAGCCATGCCTTATGTGGAACTTGAAAAAAAAAAAAACCTGGGAAGCCATCTATTAAATATAATAAAAGCAATTATCCTCTCCGTCTGCTTTTCTCTGAGGAAGCACGTGTATACATTTCTTCTCTCCAATACATCTTTTTTCCTTTATCTCAGACAGTATCCTCTTCTTATTTACAAAGGATGACTCACCTTAACTTGCTTTGCAAGTGACCTCGGTATTTGGGGCACCTCACTTTACAGATCTGGTGCCTGAATTTGATTGACATGATCTTTAAGTAAACCAATTGCAATTTTCTCAGAGAAAGAATCTGATGGGCCCAATGTAGCCCTTGGGATAAGTGTCCAGCTCTCTATGAGTCAGCTATGTCTAGAAAGAAAGAGGTATGTGGTAGAATGTTGAGGAATAAAAAGGGAAGAAAGGTAGTTTGGCTACCAAAGGCACTCTGAGACTTTTTTCGTTCCTACGCATCTTTGTTGCCCTTTTTTTATTTTTTGATTAAGAGATTATTAGGCAAATTGATTAATCTGTGTTAATGTGTTCATATGGTGCTAGCAAGTTACTTTCTGGTAGAGTTTTTTTTGCTTTTCTGTGGCTCTATAGAACTTAGACCATAAGCTCAAATGTTCCCAAGGGACTGGATCAAAAAGTATATAAATGAAAGTGTCCGGGTATAAGACAATTTTCTGTGGAGGAGCTTTTGGCCAATTGGGGAAGGCATGCTCAATGTAAAGCCATTACAAATCATTAAAAAATTATGTGTAAAGTAATTGAAATTGCCTGGTGTTCAGAAGTAGCCTACGGCCTGGTATTTTGTGATTCCTGATCTGAAAGCTCTTCTGTAATTCAAAAGGATTGCTCTAACGGTTGCTCTAATTGGCATCTTAAAAAGCAGGTGAAAAGGCAGTACTGTCTTCTAGGTTTTCTACAGTCTAACAGGAAAAGTTCTGCTATTAGGAGTTAGAAGACCTGAATTGTAATCCCAACTTTGCCACTTTCTGATTTTAAGATTTACTATAAGGATTTCCTTTTGGGGGCTCATGGGGAAAGGGGTGACTGCTGAATGGTTTACTGATGAGTTAGTAGCTTATCAGAATCACATGGTGGTGGTGGGAAGGGGAGGTGAGTGACAAAGCAAAGTTCAACAATCTTAAAGTATCTGGAAAGGGTTTCCAGGAAGGTGTATTTTTTAAACTCCCCGGACGCTTTTAATGCAATTGTGACTATGACTGCCCTTTAGGAAACTGACTTTGCTGATCTCTTAGTTCTGACAACCTAAGAGACAGACAGAATTCTAAGACCGGCCTTTTCTCATGGGCTATTCTGCTTGAAAAGAAATCTGGGATTGCCATATTGAGTAAAAACAGACTTCCCTTGGGACGAATGAACACATCTGCCATTATTTTCCCCAACAGAGGCTAATATTAGGGATTTCTGTTTTCCTGCATGTTAAAGCTAGCCTCAGCTAGGGATCAATCAGCTCTTCTTTTCAACCATTAATTCTTGATTCCTGGCTTATCATGCTGTTTTCATTTGACTATTTTATATCTTTACACTGTGTACTCTTCACAAAGTTAACTTCTTATTTGTTAGTCCAAAAAGACTTTATACAATGCAACCTTTCTCAGCTAGATGTCTCTAAAGGCTCAGTCTCATTCACACAATTATCTTGTAGGTTTTTATCAGATCTTCTTGTAGTTATACATATTTCCAGTATTAAAATGAAGAACTTGATTTATTTTTCTGGGGTTTTTCTTTCCCAGTACATCTTATTTTCATGGGGCAGAAACTGTACCTTCTTTATTTCTCTACTACTGGTACCTAACATATTGACTGAAAAAATAAGCATTTCTGAATAATGGGTGAATTAGTGAACTGAAAGCTGCTGCCACCAATGCTTACATCATCATCATCATCACCACCACCACCACCACTGCCACTACCATCACTATATGCATAAAAGAGTTTTTATGTGCATATTTCACTTATTTTTCACAAGAATACAGTAAGAGATAGTGGCCTATTTCTATATCCTTTTTTTTTTTCAAATGCAAAATTTGGGTACTGTATAGCATAAAATAAATGGACCAAGGTCAATATGTCGATAAGCAGCAGAGTCAGAGTCTGAATCTAGTCTGACTTTGGAGCCCGAGGTCTTAACCACAAAGATATACTCCCTGCAACATTTATTACAGTTGCTCTGCAGTCTGGAGTAAAGATTTGTTAGGCTTCTTTAAGGTCAGGGTCAACAAATTATTCACAAAAAGAGGAGAAATAGAGACATTTGTTGCTTCCCAGTCACCACTCACACAACCCTAGATTCTGTGTCCTTGTCTCCTTTTTTACTTCATGGCTGCAACTATGTGCAAGCTATGGTCGAGGCAAAGTCACAGTGATTCTGGCTTATGTTGTGAAGGCCAGGAAGAAAATACACTATTCTGCCAATAATATATCAACAAACCTATTAAAACAACAAAGCAAACAAACGAAACGCTCCAGTTGCACATAACCATCATAGTGAGCTAGATGATCAAGGAAAAAAATAATGTAGTTAATTCAAAATATTTAGCATTGTTGTATCACAAATGTATAAATTAACACATCCACTGCTAACTGAAATTTCTGATAAGTGTTGGTCAGCTTTCTTTAAAATAGTCTGAAATGCCCTTTATGACTGAGGCGGGTCTATATGTCTGATCTCTCTATCATACATCCCTCTCTCAGATCTTTTCTATCTAGCTGAAGTCCCAAAACAGTAACAGCAACAGCAGCAGCAGTTGACATGTTCTGAAAGTTTACTTTGTATCAGATACTTTACATGCATTGTTTTATTTCATCCCAAAGTAACTCTGTCAATAACAAATTAATACTATTTTCTCTTCACAAATGAGGACCCTGTGGCCTAGAGAGATCAAGTAAATCTGCATTAATATGTAACTAGTAAATGGAAGAAATGGCATTCAAATAAAAAGTCTGTCTGATTTCTGATTTCAAAGCCCATGATATTGACCATAGCTCTGTCCTCTCATCACTCTGCCAAGTGCTCCATATTTTCATGTCTTTGCATAGGCTGCTGCCATTACCATGGTTGCCTTCCCCACTCATCTATCTGGCTTTCTCCTGCTCATCCTTCAAAGATCAGCCCAGGCATCACCCATCTGGAAATCCTTCCTTGCCCACCCTTCCATCATCTCTTCTAATGGGTTAACTGACTTTTTTTGTCTTCTTATTCAGCAACGCTCTACTATTGCTTTGTAAAATCATATTTAACTTGTCCTACAGTGCCCTGTGAACTCTTCAAAGACAAGAATGATGTGCCCTTATGCTCCCAATGCCCAGCAAAGTGACTGACTTACTGTGAACATATAGGGCACATTAAATGGATAAATTTTCACTGCTGTGCTGTTCTCAGAAAGGTAACCAGGAATACGGATGCTTTAGTTACTCTCTTCCAAATCCAAAAACCAGCTCAATTGCTGATTTTTAAAAATAATTTTCTTTTACTTCAACTTCAAACTAACAAAACAATTGCAAAAATAAGGTAAAGAATTACAATCTCCTCTTCACCTAAGTTCATCAAAGATTAAATTTGCTTCACCATTCTGTCTCTTTCTGTCTTTATCTGTCTCTCTATATTTATATATATGCATTTTTCTTATATATCTCTCATACATATATAAGAAAGAATGGTATCTAAATCTATCTACACATTATATATACATGAGAGAGAAAGAACAAGGTGCAGATCTCATGTCCTTTTAATTCTTGAATACTTCAGTGTGTACTAAGAAAAAGGATATTCTCTTATATAACTACAATACAATTATCAAAATAAAGAAATTAACAAGGATTTTTATATGATGCATGGATTACCTAATTCACAGTCAGTATTTCAGATGTCACCACTTGTCTCAATACTGTCCTTTTCTAGCTATTTTCAGTCTAAGATCACTCATTGTCTTGAGTTGTCATCTGTCTTTTAGACTTGTTGAATCAGAAATAGTTCCTTGGTCTTCTTTTTCCCTCTCATTCTTATTACTTTAGCATATTTTAGAGTATATGTGAGTTATATTGTAGCATAACTGATGACTTTGATATTTTGTCTGATGTTTTCTCATAATTAGATTCAATTTATGCATTTTTGGCAAAAATTCCACAGAAATCAAATATTGCATCCTTCATCACACCTGGAAGCACATCTTGTTTTATTTTGTTGTCATTGTGTGTTTGTTTGTTTTGTTTTTATCCATATTATTGGTGATCGTTAATTTTGATCATTCCTTTAAGGTACTATCTTCCATTTCTTCACTTTAAAGAAGTGGGTAATTTTCTCTAGGTAATTAATATGTTATATGTGAAAAGATATTTTGAATACACATAAATTTTTTTGTCTACAAATGTTTTATTCTTGCCCTAGTCAATTACTGTTTATTGCACAATGATGGTTTTCTAATTCACCATTCCTTGAACATTTACTAGTTGGGTTTCTATATTAAGGAATAGTTTTCCCTGGTCCCTTATTCATTTATTTGTTTAAATATGTACTCATGGATTTTTATTTTATTCAATGGTGTATAACTCATACAAGCATTTTTTAAAAGCATAAATTGTCTTATGTTTAGTCAGTGGGACGCTCTTAGACTTGTGGTTTTTTTTTGCACGTCCTATTAACATTTTATACAAATTTCTTTTTGTTACTTCTCCTCATATGAGAATCTTAAGAGTTAACAAGAGTTTACTGTTAACAGATAAGGAACTCTGGCATGGAGATGAATGGTTTCCTGAACTTTAAGACCTATATGCAGTGGTGTGCTGCAGCTGGTTGAGACAATTGCTTGCATCTCTTCCTAGCTTCCTGACCTCATTATGTCGGTACTTTGAAATTAGCCATACCAGAGAAATTGCCATGCCTTTTCTGGGAGGGATGGTTGTTAAACATTTTATTAATACCAGCACATTTCTGGCTATATCCAACCTCAAATCTGTTATCAGTTTCTTGTGATCAAGTCAGCATCCTGAGCAGAAGTTAGTAGCTTTCCTTGAAACCCTGAGTGTCACAAATGTGCCTCCTGACTTAGAATAGAGTCCTTGGGAGCAGGATGTCAGAATGAATGAGAGAGTAACAGTAGCCGGGAGTGAATTACCCCATTGGTCATCCCTCCCAAACATGTAAAAGAGGAATCATAACCCTAGAGTCATGTGGTAAAAAGAGGTCATTCCAATTCTATGAGCTTGGCTCTGGGGTCTCAAAGGGCTATGTGCCTGGAGCTCAGGAGGTCCCTTCTGAATGGGCAAATACAATTACCCAGCTTCAATGGAGGTAGCTGCCATTTGAGGTTCACTGATTTCTCTTCCTTTCAACTTTGAAGGCCCCACACCATGTCTTTGTCTCACTGCAGTCCATCACAGAGAACTGCCCCAGATAACTACAAGTTAAAAATGCTTGGGTGAATTTGTTCTGGAAAGTGGGGTCTCTATCAAATTCTTATTTAAAACGTGTGTGCCCAACTGGAACATTTATTTATCTCAGATTGATAAGCAAGCCTAGGCTTGTTTTCATCAGCTCCAAATTTGCCTTGACACAGGAATGTTGACTCTACAACCTGGGCTCAAATTTGATCACATGCTTTTACAGAAAGGATGGCCAGCAGTCTAGGATTTCTCTAATGTGACAGTACTTGAATGTACTATGCAGCTGTAAATGTAATAACATTTGAAAGATTTGCTCTAACACTAAGAAGGATTGTAACATCTTAAAACAGATGCAGTTTTAAGTGATGTGCTGTTCTCAGAAAGGTAACCAGGAATATGGAAGCTTTAGATACTCTCTTATAAATTCACAAAAACCCACTCAATCTGCTGCTTTCAAAGGAATATAGAGAGTATGAAGAGTTTATGGAAAACATTTTTCCTCTTTCCCTTTTGTCTTGTGTCATATAAGCTGTATTTTCTTTTATTTATAACTTGTAAAACACTTTAAAATGGAAAAATAAAATTTTATTCAATTTGTTTTATTATTTTTGTAGGATTGTTTTCTGACAAGCCTGATTGTGACAACTAGAGGAATATTAAAGGCTGACACCTGCTATTAAGTCAGAATTTTTGATGAGGTTCAAAGATGGCTCTTCATGACCTGGAAAAATAAATCAAGGTCACCAATTGACTGAGGCAAATTCTTTTCAGCCATTTATATTACAATGTAATTATAGCAAGCTGGTGTACAATCCTGGAAAAGCTGTAACCTAGTCACATTGATACATATGCATTGTATGATGAATAAATGAAAAGAGAAAAAACAATATGCAAAGGAAATTGCCCATATTATTCATTATGCAGAGATTCCAAATACTGCAGAGCCACCTTAAACATTAGTTTCTGGATCCCTGTCCTTCAGGGGTATTCAAATTATCTTGATTTCCTTTAATTTTGCAAGTGTTCACTCTTTATTATCAATATTTGCACTTGAAATGCAGTTCTGTTATTTTACCATTCTTGGGTATAAGCATTATTTCAGAATTGAAGCATTCTCTCTGATAATAATATTGAAAAAATCTAAATGCGTATTTGTACACATTGAAAAAAATCACTGAATCTTCTGCAGAGTGTGTGTTGAGGTTTCCCATGCTACAATGACTTTGGAAAATTGTGGAAGGAGAGAAATCTTATATTTCAAGAAGCTTCTTTTTCAGGTTTAGACTCAGACCGATTAAGTCAGCTTTTAGCTCCCTGGTCTATGAGGGGTAGTATAAACTGAGAAAGAAAAACACTATCTGGAGTTATGTGAGCCAGGAATGCAATTTCTTGTTTGCAATATGTTCTTTTTTGGATGAAAATAAAAGCATTGATTGATAGGCAGTTCGCCTAAAATATGAAAAAGAATAAAGATTTTATTGGTTAAAAGAACATAACAGGGCAGCCAATTAATCTTTTCCTTGGTCCTAATCAAAAGCAGTTCCTTTACTTAGTTATTCGCTGGAGGAAAGAAAACCAAAACCAAAACCAAACAAGCAAAAAAGAAAAAGATTAACAGCATAACTATGGCTAAAGGGTATTGTGACAACATTTTTACACCTGAGAAAATGAGAAATAGAGGACACAGGTGGATGGGGGATTTTCTTCCTTCCTGATTCCAGGAGATTCCCGTATACTGTTACACTTCACTTATTCAATAGCTAAATTCAATTCTTAAACATTGTGTGCATATCTGAGTCTCAATAAATCAAATTTACTTTTATAGGCACCAGTAAAATATATGATTGAAAGATAAGTTTCACTATTACTTAAAAGGTATTTTTCCTTTCAATACACGTGAATCTTTCAATCTCAGCGTTTTCTACTATGCTCTTTGGGCTATGCCCCCTCAAAGTGTTACATAGTAGTACCTTCACCCAAGATTGTGTCAAGCTTTCCGGTATTGAGATAGTATTATGAAAACTATTATATATGTGTGTGTTTATATGTATATGTTTTTACTACAATATAATGCTGGAAATGCCCTAGCATGCCTTCTTTCTTCCAGAATATGCTACTTGTCATTCTAGGAAAATTCTTTTATATCTTCTTAAAACTTCCATTGTGAATCTGTGAACTAAGGTAATCTTCTTATGGCTCCTTTTGCAAAGTCATTTTTAAAAATTGTCATTTAATTTATGAAGAAAATAAAATTTTCAAAGATAAGTTGAGACTTTTAAGATCAGTTCTGGAAATTGCTATTACACAGAAATTAAACTTACTTTCTATGGTGCATCATGCCCAATCTCAGAAATTACAAAATGAGAAAAGTAATTTATCTTTTGTTTGCTGCTGATTAAATTTTGACGTCACGTCAACCTTAATTGCAGACTATAATCTGAAATCTGTATTTTTATCTCAAGAAGGCTGCTAGTGACTCTGTGTGTCAAAAACATGATCCAGCCATACTTGACTGGATAAAGGAAGCAACCTATTTATTTATTTTCTCAAGAAAATTCATAATTCAGTGGACACCCACTGAATTATCCCAATGTATTATACATTGGGATAAAAGAAATGTATAAGGCCGTGAGATGAAATGAATTCTCTTTTCTATAAATATTTACATTTTCAAAATGTATAATGTAGGGTGTTCTAAAGTTTGACTTAAAGGAGCATCCCTCTCTCCAGGTTAAGTGGGAGGAGGTATAGCAGCACATTTAAAAAGCTGAAGAGATTGCAAAACTAAATCACATCAAATGCTGCAGAGTAGCATAAATAGGATTGTATCTCTGTGCATTTTCAGTAGTTAATATGCAGATAGAGCACTTTTGTGGAATTAGTTTGGCTCTTGTTCAGCTCCCAGCAATATCAATATTAAATCTCTAGTACAGTTGAATAAGTAGGAGATTAACATATTTCCAGATTCATTTTACTATGTACCTTGATGGTTTATTTCTCATATTAAAAAAATAACCTCTGAAGTTACACCACAGATAAATGATTTCATTCTAACAAAATGGGAAACTGTAGACATTTTAGGTATTAAAAAATCTATTTAGTAGCTTTAAGAAAACTTAAAAAGGAAAGGATTCCTTTCTTCATATTTTAACATGTTGATATTTTTGCACAAATGACATTTTCTGAATGCAGTGGTTGGGCTAATTTACTAAAATATCACATTTAAAATGTTATCAATTACCCCCCTCCTTCTTTCTTTATTCCTTTTCTTTTATGCAAGTAGGCATAACAAAAAGTGCATAGCTTCTGTCCAGAACATCATCTTATAGCAAGTTCTATTTTGTTTGTCCTTCGTCTACAATTCTGCTTTTGAAGAATAGTACAATACACATAAAAAATAGAATATCTGCCACTAGTAGTACTTTAGATTCTGCCAGACAGAACCATCAATATAAAAAAGAAAAAAAAATACACACAACAAAAAACAAACACTACCTTTCTTAGATTACCTTTCAGCCATCACAGTGACAAAATAATTGTAGGACCAGTAAGATTAGTCAGACCACATGGGTACAGGACACTGAGTCTGTGACTGAAGCAAACGTGCTATGAAGAAGGTAGCCAACTAAAGGCATGCTGTTCTGACACCTCTTGTGCTGCCTGGGAATATAGAATGCCCTCTTTGAGTGACTGTCAGGGCTCAATGATTACCATAATTAAAACATACATATATGGTGCATTTGTAACAGTTTAGAGTTCCAGCAAGTAAAGATTAGTCACAACTGGAAACTGGCACGG
Organism: Homo sapiens; assembly: GCF_000001405.40. Lineage (NCBI taxonomy): Eukaryota > Metazoa > Chordata > Mammalia > Primates > Hominidae > Homo > Homo sapiens. The sequence continues at coordinate 52,415,617 of NC_000005.10, read as the reverse complement.
TGACTGGCTTAAAGGTAATGCTGAGTTCAGGCATTAGAGGTAACAAACACTCTTTTAAGAAAAGCACAACCCTAAACTCAAGGGCTCTGTTTGCCTCAGAAAATGTGCTACCGGAATCTAGGTATTCATGGTATGGTTTGGAATAAAAAAATTAACTCATTGGCTTTGATTTTTCTTTCCTTCCTTCCTTCCTTCCTTCCTTCCTTCCTTCCTTCCTTCCTTCCTTCCTTCCTTCCTTCCTTCCTTTTTCTTTCTTTCTTTCTTTCCTGACCTCAGGTGATCCACCCACCTAGGCCTCCCAAAGTGTTGGGATTACAGGCGTGAGCCACTGCACCTGGCCTCGTTCTATTTTTCTAACCAGAAAACAGAAACTGAGAAGCGTTGGGTCTTATGTTTTATAGGGAAGCCAGAAAACATTTCTCCCTCTGTAAGAGCCAAGTGATAAAACATTCTGGAAAGTCACATGAATTATTATCTACTGAGGGTTGAATTGACAAGCATCATGTCGATTACTGCCTGGGCCTACTCTAACTTTTCAAATCTACCACCAGCACGAATGGCTATACAAGGTTACATGTACCCTGTAAATTACAGTGGTTTATATTATATATTTCTAGCACCTGGTAGATTTATTTCTTTAAAAAACCACTGCATAACTCACCACTATGCCTCTAAAATTAGCTTTTTGGCACAAAGCAAAAATTGTGTGTGTTTGTGACTTTTAAAATTAGTAGCCTAATTTAATATGAAATGATGGTAGTATAATGTTTTGATTCATTTAATACACCAGGTAAAGATACAGATTTAGTTTCCAGGAATGATAATTGCTGAGGATTACTTCTAGTCTGTTTTTAAATAAATTAAATCTGAGGAAAAATTGTGGACTCTAAATTCAAGCAGTTACCTGCTTTGAAAAAATCTCCTTCAAACGATTGTTCATTGAAAATATAAAGTAACTTCAGTCCCTAAACTCGTACATCTTATACTATAATTGCAAAAGATTTAGGGGAGAAAAAATTCATATTTATACTAATTAGGTAACTTATTCAACAAATTATTTATTAAATGCATGTACAAGTGGTTATCTGAGGGGGTGATAACTTAGGATGTATTTTAAAAATTTGTGGGCATCTTTCTTGAAGTCACAATGAATTGGAGATACCACTGGCATTTAGTATCCAGGTCCATCCTGAGTTATCTTGCAATGCATATATTATCTTCCCCTTCCCAAAGTAGGCAGTTTCCCCCTCGAACGTCCCAATGTTTCTTCTGTCTGGCTGAGAGTTTTCTCCAGCTTCACAGGAGCTTACTCAGCCACAGCAGGGGCAACCCAGAAGTGAGAAGTAGTTAAAGCCTCCAGTGGGTCAAGGGAATCCACGGATAAATGCCAGAGCTTTTGTATCCTCAGGTAAGAGACTTCTGAGGTGCTCCACGTGGTTGCTCAGATGATGCCCAGTGGGCTGGGCCCCCTTTACCCACAGCGATATCCCACACATTAACTCATCTTTTATTCCTTTCTTTCTTTTCTGCACCCATGTCCTTGTGATATAAATTGTTGTTGAATATGAATCAAAAAACAGAGGGAGAAGGTCTCTGAAGCCATCTTAGCTCCTTCTCTATATGATACTTATCATCAGCTATTTTGGACCCACTAATGTAAGCTGTTCCATTTTGAAGGCATAGATTAAGTTATTTTTGTTTTTGTTTTTGAAGCAGGCTCTTGCTTTGTTGCCCAGGAAGGAGTGCTGTGGTGCAATTGCAGCTCACTGCAGCCTCAACCTCCTGGGCCCACACAATCCACCCACCTCAGACTCCCAAGTAGCTAGGACCACAGGTACACATCACCATGCCTGGCTAATTTATAAATTTTTTTTGTAGAGATGGGATCTTACTTTGCTGTCCAGGCTTGAAGGTTCTTAATGTCAACCAGAAATGGTAGTCAGCAAATTTGCCTGGCTTTACTATATTGATTTACTACATCTGCATAATAAATATGCATATAGAAACTACTCATCACCCCAAACTTAAGCCATTTTACAAAACAGGTAATGGCAACATAGGCGAAAGGAGCAAACTGGAAATTGTATGGGAGCGGAAGGAGGAGTTTATTAGACAAAAGCATCCTGACCACAACTCTAAAGAAGACATTACAAAAAAAAAAAGTCATAGTAATTTAAGCAAAACAGTAGGAGGGAACTATTTAACTATTTAGGGAAGGGAGACATATCTATGCATAGGCTTCATTGGTTCCAAAAAAGCATTTATAAATTATAGCATAGTAAAATTAATGCAAAGATCAAATATTCCCTTTTTAAACAATATGTTAAACTATAAAGGCATATAACATAGGGACTTGACTTCTACAGAGGGCTCAGGGAAGAGTACATGAGGAAGTGACATTTGGGCTGAGATCTGAAAGTTGAAGTGCATTTAATATACTACTTAAGAAGGTAAGGAAGTATGTAATATGTGTTAGGCAAAAAATATCTAAATTGTTAATTGGTTTTAATGCGGTACCCATAGGGGTAGCATCTGAAAAATGCTCGAATGTAGATTACGTTATTTCCTGATGATGTTCAACAAATGTAGTTTAACTGCAATTTTTTCAGCATACTTAGATTAAAAAAGTTTATGCCACTAAACTACTGAAAATTGAAGATAATTAGTAAACTAGCATCAATATGAGTCTTAGGTAAATTTGAGAAAATACTCATTCATTTTGTCAACAAAGGCTTATTGAGTACCGACTGTCAGTCACCATGCTAGAGACGCAATGATGTGACAACAGATATAACCTTTGCTTTCATAGACATACACTCTAGTATGCAATAATGACACTGATAAAAAAATCATGAAAATACTTGTAAAATTACACTGGTTCATTAAACTATAAAAGCTTATAACATGGAGAATTGAACTATTTAGAGGGCTTAGGGAAGAGTATGTGAAGAAGTAACATTTGGGCTATCTGAAAGATTAATAGAGAAAGATTTTTAACTGAGAAAGCACAGATGAAAGAATTACTAATTGACCAAATTCATTTTTTTGAACAGATGATTGTGGTTGCAATGTAGAGAACAGAAGGAAAAGGCCACAGTTAATGCTATAAAGCAATTAGGAAGTTTTAGCAATGACTATTCAAAGGAAAATAATGGTAGCTTGGACTAGAGAAATAGTCATGGATCTGAACATAAAGATGCAGTTTCAAGAGAGAGATAGGAGTTAGAACTAATGAAAACAGTTTGAGAGAAACAGAAACAAGTAGAGAATGACTGCTGGTTTTGTGGCTGGTGTAACTGGATAGATGGTGGTAGTAACATATACTGAGGCAGGGAAACCAGAGGATAACTATCATTTCAGGTGAATCTTAAGTTTGGTTTTGGGCACACTGAGTTTCCTTATTTTTATTTTTTATTTTTTGAGACAGAATCTTGCTCTGGAGTCTCGCTCTGTTGCCCATGCTGGAGTGCAATGGCTCAATCTTGGCTCACTACAACCTCCGCCTCCCGGGTTCAAGTGATTCTCCTGCCTCAGCCTCCCTAGTAGCTGGGATTACAGGCATGTGCTACCATGCCCAGCTAATTTTTGTATTTTTAGTAGATACTGGGTTTCACCATATTGACCAGGCTGGTCTTGAATTCCTGACCTCAAGTTATTCACCCACCTTGACCTCCCAAAGCGCTGGGATTACAGGCATGAGCCACCGCACCCAGCCGAGAGCACACTGAGTTTCAATTGTGATTGCAATGCCCAAAGAGAGATGCCAGGTAGGCACCTGAATATTTATGAGCCTAGGTATTGAAGAATAGGTAGGGTTTAGAGATATAAATCTCATATATCATTGTGATGCAGATTGTAATTGATTTTGATGGCATAGCTGAGAATGTGTAGTAGGGTGAGACAGGAATAGGCCTGAAAGGGAGACAGTTTATTTTGAACACTATCCAAACCTTAAACTGTAATGGAGAAGCTGGCGAGGTAGGAGGAAACAAGAAAAGATGTAATCACAACAGCCAAGGGAACAGAGTTCCTCAAAAAAATTTAATGTCAAATTCTGCTAAAGGAGCAGGAGAAGTAAAAATCACTTACTAGCTTTGAATGCAAATCTTGGCTCTACTTTCGTATACTACACTGCAGCTGGGCAAGTTATTTAAAATCCCACTATCCATATAGTCTAGAGAACGTTACTGACTTCACAGGTCTAATTTAAATAAGACGGTGTTTGCCTAGTGCTTAGCTTACACATGTTCAATTATGGACTTTTCAGCAAGGGCAGAGGAGGACTCTGGTTGGGTTTACAGTATCTTTATAACTTCCTTGACATTCACTGTAATCAAGAAAAAATGAGTTTCTGATTCCTAACTTAAAATAAAGGTGGCAAATCTAGGTAGCATAAAGTTATTCCTAAAGCAATTCAAGTAGCTAAAGACTCAGAGAGCTGTGGTTATTACCTAATCTAATTACTACCTTCATTGAGCATCATCAGGGAATGATGGGTCTACACTAGGGCATTTTCCAGACGCTATCATCTTCTATGTTCCTTAATTTATTGGGTCTGTTTATTGAGTGTTTCCTCTCATCTTCTCTCCCTGGTAGCCCATGGTGATTTCAAGTTGTGGTCAGGATGCTTGTGACTAACAATTATTCCCTTCTGCCCCAAACAATGGCTAATTGGTTGTTTTAATCTGTTATGGGGCCACTGCCTTTTCTTTTTCTTATGATACAGCTTAAGTTTGGGGTTACAGGTAGCTTCTTTATGCAAACTTTTAATACAGCTATATATTAAATATATTTAGTGGAAGCCAGGCAAATCTGCTAATTGCCACTTCTGGTTGATGTTAAGAATGTTCACCTGTACCTTCAAAATAATAGCTTACATTAGCCAGTCTGTGCACCTTTAGTGTGCATAAGAATCATTTGGGGAGCTTAATGAGCACTGTAATCTCAGCCTTTGCTGTCAGTTTCTGATTCAGTATGTCTTGTTTGGCACTCAGTTATCTTAGTTATTAAGAAGCCACCAACATAATTCTAACAATATGGAGCACTTAGTGCAAGAGGTGTAGTGACTTAAATTATGAAGTAACTGGGTATACAGGATATGAATCCTAGCTTTGTCACTTTTTAGCTGTGAAACCTTAGGAAATGTACTTAATCTTAAGTTTCCATATGTATAAAATAAGACTCAAAATAGTAGCTACATCTTAGTTTTATTGTGAGGGCTAGATGTGTTAATCATATAAAGTACTTAGAACAGTATCTGGCACATGCTAAGTACTTGTCTTAGGTTGAGTTACTTAGAAGGTAAAGCCTAGGAATCTGGCTGTATTTGCTTATTTGAGAGATGATCTTAGAAAACCAAAGAAAAGAATGAAGGAGAGAGGGAAGGGAGTAAAGCCAGTAGAGAATGAATTAATAAAATGTTTGCTACTATGAGCAACTGATAATACCAGGTGGCCTTCTAAGAGGTACTTCAGAATTGTCCCACCAGTGCAGGGGTCCCCCACCTCCAGGCCGTGGACTGATACTTGTCCAAGTCTTGTTAGGAATCGGGCTGGGCTTCACAGCAGGAGGTGAGCAGCCGCCAGGCCAGTGAAGCTTCATCTGGATTCACAGTCGCTCTCCGTCACTCCCATTGCTACCTGAGCTCCACCTCCTGTCAGATCAGCGGCGTCATTAGATTCTATAGGAGCTCGAACTCTATTATTAACTGCACATGCCAGGGACCTCAGTTGTGAGCTCCTTATGAGAATCTAATGCCTGATGATCTGTCACTATCTCCCATCACCCCCAGATGGGACTGTCTAGTTGCAGGAGAACAAACTCAGGGCTCCCACTGATTCTAAATTATTGTGAGTTGTAGAATTATTTCATTGTATGTTATCATGTAGTAATAATAGAAGTAAAGTACATAATAAATGTAATGCACTTGAATCATCCCGAAACCATCTCCCGCTGACCTCATCCATGGAAAAATTGTCTTCCACAAAACCAGTCTTTGGTGCCAAAAAGGTTGGGGACCATAGCACCAGAGAAAGTGGAGGCTGGGGATTTCATCCAGTACGTTATGTTTCTCATTGGTTGAAAGTTTTCCCAGGGAGGTAACTTTCCCTCACATCTGGGCTGTACCTCTAAACGGCTGATCTGTCTTCCTTGGCTCTAGGGAAAGCCTTGTGGTGCAAAGCAAAAACATCATGGCAACTTGATAGGGGTCCTGGCAGTGCGTACAGAACTGTCAATCGAAAGCTGAGCTAAAATCAGGGTGCCGGAAGTATGTAAAGGGATTCATCCTAGCCATCTGCTACAATTGGTAAATCCAAATGACACAGTATGTGCTCAATAAACGTTAGTCATTAATATCAGGTTTTAGGCATTGCTCCAGGTTCTTTACATGCTTATTTCATTAACTTTCATGAAAACCCTTTGAAGTATTACTATGCCCATTTTACAGAAATTGATAACTGAAGAGATTAATTAAAATTAAGATACACAGTATCATACCAAGAGGCAGTCATATTTTAAAACTAAGTGTTCTTTTGCTATAGCTATCTTTACCTCAATGGAGATAAATCTGAGTGGTGGTAAGAAAGAAGACATATATCCCCAGAGTTTAAGTTTTTGAGTTTAAATACTTTATAGGAACACTGGCAGGTTTGTGTACTTTCATATACTAAGAATTAAAAAAAATTCCATATTTATTTATTAAAAATTATAAGAAATGCCAATTTAGATTTCTACTCTTTAGAGTTAACCCAGTTTTTTGTGGATTAGGCTATGTGTAGCTGACCTAAGCCTTTTTTAAAAATATCCTTTCTATTGCCATCTCACCATCAAATAGTTCCTCTATCTAAGATTGGTGGTGAAATTCAGGTCTAGGCGAGTTTTTTAACTTATGAATAGCTACTATCTCAGTTTGATGGGAAAAATACTTGAAGATTCTATGGGATGAGTTGTTTAATTAAATAATCTTTGAATCATAACATTTCAGAATAAATATTGCCTTAAACATCATCTAATTGACTTAGTTCCTAATGGGTAAGTTGTTTATTGTCAAAATGTTTAAGAACACAGCTAAAGTGCACAATAAAATTATTTTTGAAGCTAATAAAAACCAGAAGAGAAGAGAAATAAGCAGTCATTAGCATCTAATGATTTTTGGGGGGCAAATTTTGGTAAAAAAAATTTTTATGTTCATTTTGCAAAGAAGAAAATTGATACAATAAAAGAAATCCTATTATAAGCTTGACTTATATTACTGACTAATCATCTTGAATTAAAAACAGTTGAAAATTTCAGCTTGTTGTTTAATTCATATTGTGAAATGAGAGAAGTCGTTATATTTCTTATAAGACCCTTCCATATTCCAGCACAGAGTTGAAATAATACCTTAAAAGGAACACTTTTCTTAAAAGACTATTTTGCTAAGATTGAAATGTGAAATCGCTGATATGCTGAGGAGTGATTTTGAAGTGGGACCCGGTGCTGTGTCTGCACTTGGGCTGAGCCGACCAGCTGTGCTAGTTGTTCTGTTGGAAGGAATACCTGCTGAGAGTGTAGCTGGCATGCATTCCTTAATTTCCTGAATTATCATATCTTTATAATCAGTTTCTGAGCCATGACACCATTATAAAGACTGAAATACTAGGTTCCAGGAGAGTTTCTAGGAGATATACTTTGAAGTGGAATATTTAATTTAGCCTTTATCATTCAATGTGTGGTGTTCACATATATGTGTCTGTGTGTGTATGAATTTATACATATATGTACATACACTAGATTTTTGTTTGCCTTACCTAAGCCATGAGCCACTTATGTTAATTTATCATAATGAGTTTTCAGACCCCCAGAAGGTCTTCAAGTAGTTAAGTAAGAAATATTATCTCACTTAAGAAGGCTGAATCAGACAAAATATATTTGGATTGTGCATACACTCAGAGAAAAATAAAATTACATCTTACAGACACTGCAGGGTCCAAAATAATGGATACACTTTTAATTGAAAATGACAATGATATTATTTTCATAGTTTAATGATTAACAACTCTTTGCATGGGAGTGGATAGATGAAGTCAATTGGCTCATGTTTTATAATCATGCTTTTATGAGGCTCCAGTATTCCTTGTTTATACATTCAATATTCTTTAGCCATTAGCTGTTATTTTGTCCCATGCAGTTTAGCATTTCATAGAGACATTATGGACTTTTGCAATCAGTGAAAACTGGTGAAATTTTGAATTCAGAGAACAACAGTATTATTAGAAATGCTCTTTCATATTTTATAGAACATTTTGATAGGGTTAAACAAAATAATCTGCCATCCTTGCTCCATACTTTTTAATTGCAATTATTGATTAGACTAAGCTTTATTGTCTAAAACTCAAAGGTTTCAAGTATGGGTGAGACAGAGGATAGCGTGATAATATAAACAGAGACAAGGCATCCAGAAGAGGACCCTGTGTTTAGGGAAAACTATACACTTAGATGAGGAGCATGTTGGGTCTGAAGTGGTGAAGAGACATTCATGTAAAAGAATCAGCAGGTCACTTTTACATGCTTTACTGAGTCAAATGCTAAGATTCCCTTAAGAGAATTAACAATGGTTACTTCCTTCTTAGGAATTCATAAAAAAGCTTGCATTAATTTGGTGATAAGAATCCAACTGAGCAAGGGTAAGTAGCAAAATAAAAGGTCTCAAATATTTGTGCATCTAGTTTGGAGTGGACATAAGACATAGCTTGGACTAAGCATGAAGGTGGCAGGATTAAGTTTTCTGGCCCATAATTGCCATCTATATTCTGGTGACTCACATACCTATGTTTCCAGACCAGATTTCTATCTAAAGCCTAGTGGACAAGTTTACTTAAATGCTCATAGAGCATTTATGCTAAGTAATTGTATTTATGAAAATACATTTTTTTCATGTATCCAAAATCTGCTCCTTTTTTATTCTCTGTCAGTGAAAATCACCTCAAGCCTATAAAATTAACATCCTAAAGAGGGTATATTTTAAATTTACAGAATGTTCTTTTTAAAAATAGGATATGAATGGCATATGCCTTTATCTCTCTCCTTTTGGCTTAAGTTGAAAGTAGTCCCCAAACATGACTACAATTTATAATTTGTCTTTTTTTTAACCACTCATGGTTATTATGACCTGTGTTCTTGGATTTAGAAACAGATAAGCAAAGTATCTTATGTTTCTCTTTCATTCTAAACTATCCTGCAAGCAAACAAATCAAAACATAATAGAAAACTGGATTAAGTTGCTCTCAATTGGTCAGTGGTTCAGGGTAAAATATATGATAACCATATATTTTTCCAGATAGATTCCATCACTTTGCCTCCAACATATTCAATGAATGAAATATTTCATTTCATACATGATGATATTGGCCATGTGATTTTCTGTGAAAGAGACAGAAAAAAAATCCTCCCAAATCTTGTTTGGCTTGTTTACTTATTTAATTTTGGGTTCTACTCCCATTATTCCCTCTGAGTGTGTTCAAGTATCTTGGTAAATTATGTGCCAGGTTGCTACAGAACCAAGTCAACTTCTGAAGGCTGCCATAACAAAATGACAAATGACAATAGGTCTGTTACTTTCCACCATTCCGCTAGAATTTTGCTACCACATCTTTTTAGCCCTTTGAGTTTAGGCCTTTAAAATTTGAGGCTTTTTTTTTTTGCAGTTGTCTGTCTTTCAACCTTCTACCTCATCTGTGCTCTAGGAGTTATCTAATCCCCCTACATGGCATTTAAAATGCAAGATCCTAGATTCTCAAAATTTACAGGGGCACGTACAGCACCTTCAGTTGCTATTTTTGTTGTCTTGCTCTGTCTTCATTTTCAGCCCTTGAGAATATCTTTCAATATGTTTTGCTTTCTGCTATGCATCCAAAAATCTTTGTAACAATTTATACAGCACCTCTTAACATCTTTTAGAGCTGGAAGATTTTACAGATTATGCAGCCTGCCATAGTGGTAGGAATGAGATCTCCCATCACAGCTTCATCTCAGGCTTTCCCCCATCCCTGGATTTTGGGTTCTTGTTTTTGTTTAGATTTATTGTTTTATAACCTTTATCATGTTATTTTGTATCTTCATCTTTTTTTTCTTTTTCTAATAGAAGATTCTTTAAAATTTCAAGATACTGACTCATTTCCTTTAAGTCTCACTTAAAGAAATTGAAATTAGTATTATGTTGATTGGGAGTAACAAAAATGTAAAATAACAGTACTTTAAAGGAGATAATGTTTCTCTCTTCTGTTAAAGTGTAAAGTGGATAGTCTAGGCTTGCATGATATAATATGTCTCTTCCAAGAGCCTTTGTTTCTGGCAGTTCATCACTTCTGGCATATGATAGTAGCTACTGCTTCAGCTACCAATTCCAGTTTTAGGTTATAGGACAGAATAAGGGACACATAACTTTTATAATGTGGAAAGGACATTGTATTAGTCCGTTCTCATGCTGCTAATAAAGATACACCCCAGACGGGGTAATTTATAAAGGAAAGAGGTTAAATTGACTCACAGTTCCACATGGCTGGGGAGGCCTCAGGAAACCTACAATCATGGAGGAAGGTGAAGAAAACATGTCCTTTTTCACATGGCATCAGGGAGAAGAAGAATGAGTGCCCATTGAAGGGGTAAGCCCCTTATAAAACCATCAGGTGTGACAACTCACTATCATGAGAACAGGATGGAGTAAACAGCCCCCATGACTCAATTATGTCCACCTGATCTCTCCCATGATTCATGGGGATTGTGGGAACTACAATTGAAGTTGAGATTTGGGTGGGGACACAGCCAAACCATTTCAGGCATACACCAGTAATTTTATAAGAGAAGTTCACAAAAGTGGCCAAATAACACTTTGATCTATGTATTATTGACTAGAATTTGTTTGTACTTCCTGCAAAAAAGACAGACAAATGCTCTTGATTCATTCTCTAGGTAAATATTGGAGTCCTATTGCCAGAGCAAAACTAAAAAACAGGTTTTAAAATAAACAGCTTTCTATGTCACATTATTTTTATAAGAATTAATGTCGTCCAAGAGAAAGAGTAAAGGACTACCCATCATCCCAACCCTTGCCATTCAGAAAAATTACTTTCTAAGAAGACATAATTAATGTCTTCAAACTACAGGCCCAGTTTTTATGATCTAGGTGGCATTTGTTAAGATGACCCAAACAAGGTGTACATGACTGCTATAATCAGTGAACAATTCCACAAGAGGTTTTTCTAAATCCACCAATAGTATTTGAATTATTTGAGCAATATCTCCAAAATTTAGTGGGAACTCGATAGTACTTCTTCCTCCCTGCCCTCTAGCCCCTATAGTTCTTACCCTGGTATTACTGCATTCCAAAATGACTGACTATATTTAGAGGAGATGCTAAAAACAGGTCCAGGACAGTTAAGGAACAACTCTTTCATACTTTGTTGCCTCACTGAGTCAAGAAAATAGCCTTCCCTAAGAACTATTGATTTACTTCAATTCAGAACGGAGAAAAAAATAAACACATATAAGCCACAAATGGAGATTCTCAACTTACAGCTACACATCTTGTTAGTGGGAAATTCTCTATAGTATAGTCAAAACTCTTTTCCCATGTTTTAGGGAGGTGAAACTTTGATGTACTTTATTGGATGTGTACCAGGAAATAAGAAGAGACTAGTGGTTAAGTCAGACACCATGTAATAAAGAGGTCCTCAATTATTTATTCTTTTTTAAAATAGCAAATCTATTAATGCCTCTTGGAGGCACTAGTGTGTCCGGAATTGGTTCCTTCTGGTGGGTTCTTGGTCTCGCTGACTTCAAGAATGAAGCTGCAGACCCTCGCAGTGAGTGTTACAGTTCTTAAAGATGGTGTGTCCGAGTTTGTTCCTTCAGACGTTCAGATGTGTCTAGAGTTTCATTCTTCCAGTGGGTTCGTGGTCTTGCTGACTTCAGGAGTGAAGCCGCAGACCCTCGTGGTGAGTGTTACAGCTCATAAAGGTGGTGTGGACCCAAAGAGTGAGCAGCAGCAAGATTTATTGTGAAGAGCGAAAGAACAAAGCTTCCACAGCGTAGAAGGGGACCCGAGCAGGTTGCTGCTGCTGGCTTGGGTGGCCAGCTTTTATTCCCTTATTTGGCCCACCCACATCCTGCTAATTGGTCCATTTTACAGAGCACTGATTGGTGCATTTTTACAGAGTGCTGATTGGTGCATTTACAATCCTTTAGCTAGACACAGAGCACTGATTGTTGCATTTACAATCCTTTAGCTAGACACAAAAGTTCTCCAAGTCCCCACCCGACCCAGAAGTCCAGCTGGCTTCACCTCTCAATCCCCACTCTAAACGGGACACCCCAGCTGCTCTTGGGAATTGGGCAATGACTGCTCTAGCTACTTCCTTCTGGATAGGGGCAAAGATGGGGCCCTGCAGTGGTAGTGTCCTCCAGAGGGGAACTCTTTAGGCCAGTGAAAGGGCCAGGGGGTTGGTCTAGGGGTCCTCAGTAGAAGTTGATAGTTGAGCTCATTTGGGGTTCCATTTGTAAGACCATCTGTAGCTTGATGGCCTCGATCCTAGAAGAAACAAATTTGACAAGGAGGTTAAAAATACAGGGCCCAAAGGCGAGTAATAGCAAGATGGCAGCCATGGGACATAGAAAGGGAAGAAACCATGTTGCCCAACTCCAGAGGTTGGTATAGGAATTTGAAAGGCGTTGTCTGATTTCAGAAGCCTTTTTCTGTAAATGCCGGGCAGCATCTCATACTATCCCTGACTGGTTAGTGTAAAGACAACACTCTTCCCTTAAGAAGGTGCAGAGTCCTCCTTTCTCAGCAGTGAGGAGGTCTAGGCCTTGGCGGTTTTGGAGAGTCACTGCTGCCAAAGAGTCTATTTGGGATTGTAGAGTAAGGATAGATATCATTATTTCTTGCAAACTGTCTGAGAAATCCTTTGAGAGTGTGTGGTAGTAGGATAATACATGTTACGCTGTTAACTTTTAGCAAACTTTACTTTTGTTGAAAACCTTATAAGTTTGGGATTTTAATTTTTCTTTGCTATTAATAAAACCTCCTTCAGTCCATATTAACTTAGAATTGGTATAGATGGCTCCTTTCTGATTCTGCAAGTACTTCAAGGTTTGGCTGAGTGCAAACAACTCTTGAGCAAACCAATTATTTGGCAATTTTCCTAACTTTGCTTCTACAAGTGTTCCCCTTGCCACTTACTGAATACCCATTGTGTCTTTTTCCCTTAATCGCCTGGGAGGAAGCATCTATCTTCCTGTCCTGAAGGGAATTCCTCCTAGGTCTGGTTGGACCATTGTATGGTAATTAATTAAGATTTAGATCCCCTGTTAGGAAACCTGCTGGGTTAAGGATTTTTGATAGGAAGGCTATGGGTTGTTAGTGGCCTCAGTGCTTTTGGGCTACGCCCTTGTTTACACTGACAACAAGGTGGTATTGGAGTGTTACAGGGTTACAGAGAAGACCTTCAGTTATCAATTATAGGTTTTAAATTTACCCTGGCTTTTAAAGGAATAGGGTACACTGTTTTTCCTTTACTACTTCCATCTCTCTTTCTTTCTCTTTGACTTCTTCTTTGTCTCTCTTTTTCTGACTCCCTCTTTTTCTCTGTCTCTTCCTCTCTCTCTCTCTCTCTGACTTTCTGTCTCTCTGTTTGATTCATTCTTTGTCTCTTCCTCTCTCTCTTTCCTTCTCTCTGACTCTCTGTCTCTCTCTCTCTCTGACTCCCTCTTTGTCTCTGTCTCTTCCTCTCTCTCTCTCTGACTTTCTGTCTCTTTCTCTCTTTCCTTTCTGCTAGTCTTTCCTTGCCTCTGTAGCCACTTATGCTGCTCTTCTCCCCTCTTCCCTTTTCTGATGGCTTTGGCAGTGTAAGACTTCCACCTCCTTGAGTTTTTGCACTGTGTGCAATAACTCCATGATTTACTTGTGGTATTTAATGGGGGTTCCCCCAGAGGTTAGGAACTCCCTTTCTTTCCATATTGCAACATGGGCATTTCGGATTAGATAAACATACTTGCTATCTGTATACACATTTATTCTTTTTCCCTTTTCCAGTTCTAAGGCTCGGGTCAGTGCCACTAGTTCTGCTAACTGGGTGCTGGTCCCTGGAGGAAGAGGCTTGCTTTCAAGTACAGTTACATCACTAAATATGGCATAACCTGCCCTTCATATCCCATTCTGCACAAATGAACTTCCATCTGTATATAGGTTAAGGTCAGGATTAGCTAAGGGGACTTCCAAGAGATCATCTCGGGTGGCAAAATAATTTGCCTATAATTTGTTGGCAGTCATGCTCGATTGGTTCCCCATCTTCTGGGAGAAAATTGGCAGGGTTGAAGGCCACGCATGCATGTATTTGAAGCACTGGCCTCTCAAGGAGTAGCACCTGGTATCTAAGTAGGTGGTTGTCTGATAGCCATAAACTTCCTTTGGCACCTAGTGTGCCATTTACATCATGAGTAGTCCATATAGTGAGATCATTTCCTTGCATTATTTTGATAGCCTCTGACACTAAGATGGCCACTGCCACAACTATTTGTAAACAGTGAGGCCAGCCTTTTTCTACTACATCAATTTCCTTACTTAGGTATGCCACTGGTTGTGGGGTTGTCCCACGAGGCTGAATAAAGACTCCAAGAGCTATTCCTGCTCTCTCTGTGATAAAGAGAAGTTTTGTCCTGTGGGAAGGGTTAAGGCTAGAGCTTGAGTTTGTTCCTTCCAACATCCAGACTTCAAGGTTGATTCCCTCCTGAAGCAGGGGACAACAAATGGGTAACTTGTTCCCCATATTCATGTAGATAATGGCTCCAGCTTTGGCTAATATGTCCCTCCCTAATAAGGGTATGAGACTTTCAGGCATAACAAGAAAGGCATGTGAAAAGAGCAAAGTCTCCCAATTACAACTGAGGAGGTGGGAGAAATACCTGGTAACAGGCTGTACCAGGATTTCTCAGATGGTAACGGACCTTGAGGACAGTCATCTGGGACAGGAGATTACCACTGAGAAGGCCGTGCCAGTGTCCAGGAGGAAGTCAATTTCCTGGCCCTCAATGGTTAAACATACCCGGGGCTCAGTGAGGGCGATGACTTGAGCTGGCGCTTGCCCCAGGCACCCTCAGTCCTGTTGTTGGATCATCTGGTTGGGGGCTTCTGGCCCAGAGAACCTTTGTCCTCTGGGACAGTGCACCTTCCAGTGATTGCCTCAGCGTAGTGGACATGGTTGAGGGGGCAGCTTGTTTCTCATTGGACAATCTTTTTTAAGGTGTCCTTGTAAACCACACAGGTAACAAGCCCTACTAGGTGATTGGCCTGCTCCATTTTCTGTCCTCTCTGAACCACCAAGGTTTGTTTGTCTGAGGGCCATGACTAAGGCTGTGGCCTTTCTCTGATCTCACTTTTCCTTTTCGGCCTGTTCCTCTTGGTCCCTATTATAGAACACTGAGGTTACCAGGTTTAATGATGCCTCCAGATTTTGTTCAGGTCCCAGGGCTCACTTTCGGAGCTTTCTTCTGATATCTGTGGCTGATTGGGTAATAAACTTATCTTTTAGGATGAATTGACCCTCCAGTGAGTTGGGTGACAGGGAAGTATATATTCTTAAGGCCTCCTGTAGCTGCTTGAGGAAGGCAGAAGGATTTTCTTCCTTTCCCTGAGTTATGGTGGACATCATTGAATAATCATGGGCTTTTTCCTAATTCTCCTTAGTCCTTCTAGAACACAGGTCAACAGATATTTACGACTCCAGTCCCCATGATCTGAGTTGAGGTCCCAGTGGGGATCCATACTGGGGATGACTTGCTGACCAGTAGGGAATTTGTCCCTTTCTTTGGCTGTCATTCTAACATTTACTTGATTAAGATACCAGGTATCTCCACTCTTGGGCTGCAGCTAAAGCTGCATTCTTTTCATTAAAGGCCAGGGTTTGATCTAATAGCATGACATCTCTCCAAGTGAGATCGAAGGTTTGCCCTAGACCCTGTAGGACATCTATATGCCTATCAGGATCATCTGAAAACTTCCCCAGATCTGCCTTGATCTGCTTTAAATCAGAGAGGGAGAAGGGGACATGTACCTGGGTTGGGCCAAATTCCCCTCCCCCTACAGCTTAAGTGGACATAACTGATAGCACAGGGTTTTTTGTGGTCCTTTGGAGATTTCTTTGCTTGTTTCCTTATGGGTGAGGGAGATTACAGGAGGCTTATCATTAATAGGAAGGGGAGCTATAGGGAGACTAGAATATGGGGGTAAACTGAGAGGTCCTCCTGTGGGATGTAAATTGCAAGCTTTGCATGGTTGTGGATTCACCTTCAATGAAAAGAAAGCTTGGACATAAGGTACTTCACTCCATTTGCCTTCCCTCTTACAGAAAAGGTCAAGCTGCAGGATAGTATTGTAATTTATACTTCCCTCAGGTGGCTATTTTTCCCCATCAGAGAGAGAATAGTGGGGCCAGGCCATAGTGCAGAAAAAAATAAGCCATCTCTTTTTCAGAGTTTGTGGGTGAAATTGGTCCCAATGGCTTAGGATGCATTTCAAGGGTAAGCCTGTTGATGCCTGAGTGTTTCCCATCTGAACGACAAAACCACCCACGGTTTTGGTTTGTTTGTTTCTCCCCCTGCCCTAGAACCCACAACGGTCCCCAGACCCTGTTGATCAGAATAGTTGCGATCACCAATGCAGCAGCAGCAGAAACACTAGTTTTCCTCCACAAGGAGAACCGAGGAATGTCAGATTTAGTGGCCCTTACCGATGCATTCTTGAAAACCTGCACTCTTGTCTGTCCTCCTAGACCACAAAGGGGACTGAGAAAAATTGGATTTAGTGGCCCTTACTGATGCATTCTCAAAAACCTGCACTCTTGCCTGTCCTCCTAGACCACAAAGGGGACCCAGACAAATTGGATTTAGTGGCCCTTACCGACACATTCTCGATAAACTGTTAGAGTCCTAAGTGTTCTCTTGTTAGTATCGGGAACTTACCACTGTCCTATAAAGATGTTATGCCCCAAAAATGAAGTGGAGGGCCATACCCTGAGGGAGGGAAGGGATCTCCAGGGTTGGAAGTGTGACACCTTTTGTCCTCACTTGAATAGGAAAGATATCATTTCTGAAGCTCCCCATATCCTACCTTCAGGAATAGCTTTTGTTAGGCCTGCTAGTCTGAGGAGGGATCCTAAAATTCCAGATAGTCGCCCCTTGATGGGGCTTTGGGCAAATATTATGTCTTTCTGATTGGTGAGCCCAGGTGCCTAAATAAGGGAATAGAGTCCTGGAGTTTATACTAGAAATCATTCTTATAGGAGAAACTAGAAAAGCACCAGAGACAGGCAGTGGTTTTTAGGAGCGGTTTTTAGTAGCCTTGGAGAAGAGAGGTGAGAGGAAGTTTGTCTGACAGGCATTAGGACCCAGAAGGCAAGGGTCAGGTTAGATAGGTTAGATGGGCGAGTCTCACTTGGGCGACATGACTTTGAGAGTTCCACTCATGGCCGCAGGGTCAACCAACTTGTTGTTGGGATCCCGGAGCTGAATGGCTTTCCTCTCTGTCGACACTTGGCTCAGCCTAGAAGTACAGGAAAAGCAGAAGCTGGTTCCAGGCAAATCAATGCTTCCAACTCCAAAGAGTCAGGGGTTGTTAGAGAGCCCTTCCGGTGGGTTCTTGGTCTCACTGACTTCAAGAATGAAGCTGCACACCCTCGCAGTGAGTGTTACAGTTCTTAAAGATGGTGTGTCAGGAGTTTGTTCCTTCAGATGTTCAGATGTGTCTGGAGATTCTTCCTTCTGGTGGGTTCATGGTCTCGCTGACTTCAGGAGTGAAGCCACAGACCTTCGCAGTTGAGTGTTACAACTCTTAAAGGTGGCACGTCCGGAGTTGTTTGTTCCTCCTGGTGGGTTCGTGGTCTTGCTGACTTCAGGAGTGAAGCTGCAGACCCTCGCTATGAGTGTTACAGCTCATAAAGGTAGTGCGGACCCAAAGAGTGAGCAGCAGCAAGATTTATTGTTAAAAGCGAAAGAACAATGTTTCCACAGCATGGAAGGGGACCTGAGCGGGTTGCTGCCACTGGCTCGGGTGGCCAGCTTTTATTCCCTTATTTGGCCCTGCACACGTCCTGCTAATTGGTCCATTTTACAGAGCACTGATTGGTCCATTTTACAGAGTGCTGATTGGTCCATTTTACAGAGTGTTGATTGGTGCATTTTTATAGAGTGCTGATTGGTGCATTTACAATCCTTTAGCTAGACACAGAGTGCTGATTGGTGCATTTGCAATCCTTTAGCTAGACACAAAAGTTGTCCCCAATTGACCCAGAAACCCAGCTGGCTTCACCTCTTACTAGGATAAGTGCTTTATGTAGACGATTCTTTGTAAGCCTTACACAATCTTCTGTGGTATCATCCTAATATCATCCTCATGTTACAGATGAAGAAACTAAGATCTAGAGAGTTTAACTTGCTGAAAATAACAGAGCTAATAACGGGCCCAACTGGCACTTGTTCTAAGTCTTACTCTGGAGCTCAGGCTTTAAAATTCACATGATTCTGCCCCCTTTTGTTGAACATGACTATTCCAAGATCTACAAAATAATAAATATAGTTCTTCATACATTTGTCCATACTGGGTTTCAGAACTCTGAAGATAAATATGTCATTATTTTCTTCTTTTCTTTTTTATTTTTCAGAATTCTCAAGATTAAAAATGTCATTGTTTTCTTTTTTTTTCTTTTCTTTTTTGTTTTTTTTGAGACAGGATCTCACTCTGTTACCCAGGCTGCAGTGCAGGGGCATGATTTTGGCTCACTGCAGCCTCAGCTTCCTAGGCTCAAGCTATTCACCCTCCTCAGCCTCCAAGTAGCTAGGACTACAGGCACACACCATCATGCGCCACTAATTTTTAAAATGTTTCTGTAGAAACAGGGTCTCACTATTGCCCAGGCTTTTCTCAAACTCCTGACTTCAAGTGATCACTTTGTCCTCTCAAAGTGTTAGGATTACAACACTTCCAAAGTCAGCCACTGTGCCCAGCTCATGTCATTATTTTCTAACTTTATATAATAATATGTGAGAAACCTCATGTTTACTCAGCTTCCTGACTCTAAGCAAAAAACAAAACAACAACAAAACAACAAAAAACGACTTTCAGTTTTGATTAGTCAACTAGAGGCAGCTTAAAGAGAACATCTACTCAGGGGGCATTTTTAAATGTACCATCTTCAAGTGATTTAATATGCTATCCATGATTACCTTTGACACTTTGAATAATTAACAAAGATGTTTATAATTTTTGAAAAGGCTGGGATACTCTCTTTCCTAGACAATGAGAAAATTTGAAAGGCTTGAAATCATGACCATCATCTGACTGGTGAATAGCCATTAAATCACCATTTGATAGGAGGAAAAAAAAATCACCAAAATATTTCTTCACATATTTGATTGACAAAGATTATGCAAAACTTTATTTTTACTTATAAAGTGAACATATTTAGAAAAGTTATTAATCCCTTAAAATAACCAAGATGTTGCTCATCAATAGGTATTAACTATATTATATACAATACATGAATATTTTATTATATAAAACATATTTATATAAATATAATATAATTTATATAGTATATAAAATAAGCTTTGGTAGTGAATAATAATGGTTAGCTTAATCAATATAGTAATGCTAATTTTTTGCTCTCCTGTGCAAATGACACTAGGATGTTCTTATAACTTTTATGTGCTCATCTATAATTTCATCTGTCTTTATAGAATCAGGACACTTACTATGTTGTTCTCCATTCTACTTTTTGCACTTAGTCTCTGTCATGTAGTAAGAATTCAGTAATCACTGTTAATTATTTTAGTTATAAAATCAAAGATTTGTAAGAAGTATGTATTCATGCTCATTCCATATTTGTAGAATTTACATTGATTGATTGTTTTTTGAAAAGATAATATTTTCATATGGTTAAAATTTATAAGGGAATATCATGAAGCATCTCTGTTTCCAACTCCCAACTTCCATTCCTGGTCTCAATTCTTATGTGTCCTTCCAGAGATATTTTATGCATGCACGAAAACTATCTTTACAGGTACCTTTTAAAATACATTCTTAAAACAAAAATAGTAGCATGTTCTATATGTCAGCAAGATGAGCTATAGATCATGGAATTTAGCTAGGCAATTATTAAAAGATAGAAATAGCTTGCAGAAACATTTGCATGTCTAAAGAAGCAGACTTGAGGCTGAAATTCCAGAGATACCCTTTAAGTCACACCTCACTTAGACTTGGAACTGCCAGGGAAAGCTCTATTAGTTGCAATTATGAAGTTACATCCATAGTCACTGAGACCACAGCACAGCACCTCTGCCTGGATTCACATCACATAATGGATGCATCCTATCTCTCCCAGTCTCTAGGTAATTTTGGGCTATATTCATGCTTCACAAGATTATTTCTTTCATCATGTAGATAGCTTCTGACTGGGGTGCTGGGGAATACACCTCACTAGTAGGACCCCAATCTTATTTAGATCTCTAGCTCTCACGTATCGAGAAAAGACATTTTTCTTAGGTTTATAAATTCTGTTCCTTGTTTTTGTTTTTTTCTTTTACACTTAACATATCTTGAAGCTTAATTTATGTAGTGTATAAAGATAGAATCACTCTTTTCGGTGGATACACAGTAGCCCATAATATGACTTTACCATGATTCATTTAATCTGCTCCAGTTGAATAATTGGGTTGTTCCTAATCTCTTGGAATTACAAGCAAAGCTGAAGTAAATATCTTTGTATTTACATTACTTATGTTTATTGTTTGCATTTAAATTGTTTTGATAAATTGCTAAAAGTGACATTCCTGGGGTAAAGTGCAGGCTTGTATGTGCCTATGCATCCTTAACTGAGGATTACAGAACAATTAAAATTCTGTGGGATGAATCTTTTATCAGTGGGAGGAGAAAGCCAACAGAAAAAGAGTCTTTTCTCTCTGCATGGGCTAATCTGAGAAGCAGCTGTTAAGGTGGCCTTTTGTGAGATGGTCTCAAGAGACCGTCAAGAGACGGACAATCAGTTTTGCTTGATACAAGTTGCATGCTGGCCTGGTAACTGATCCGATATTGACTGTTCTTCAGTTCTTAGTTCTTTTTCCCTTGAACCCAAGTTTGTTACCTAGTATTGACTCCTTAAGAAAGCATATATGCCTTTGCCTCAGATTCTTCTTTTTTTGGGTAACCCAGTGTAATCTAGGAGACATATGATAAACAAAATATACAAATAAAATATGTAACACATTAGTTGATGATAAGTTTAATAAACAAAAATGGGAAGTACAGAGCTGCCATTTTTCAGGTACAAATGGTACTATCACAGTGAAATAAATGCTGTGGTTTGCTGTCCAAATCCCTCCTTCAGAGCTGAGGACTCTTTTTCCCAACTGATGGGAGAGTTAACAGTCGTTGGGGCTCAGCTGAATTTTATTCCAAGATTTCCCCTCAAGGAGAGCCACCTTTGATGGTCACACTCCTTTCCCCAGAGCATCCTGTATCTAATAAATGGTCAATGTGGGGTATAAAAACCTTACCCCCTCACGGCAATTGTGGAAAATTCTGAAGGACTGCCCCAGCTCTAAAATTTCCAATGGGATAGGCTAACACCTTTGTTGGAACTGCTTTACAGTTCAGTACGTTCCTTTGCTCAATCCTCTTTTGTTTATTTTCCCATAGGTATTGCTCCTGAGCCTACTGCCTAATCTTTTCCTGCATGTTAATATCTGTCCCAGACTCTGTTTCCCTGGGAACCCTACATTAAATATATGCCATATGATTTGCTAGAATGTTGAAATGCAGGTGATTCTCATACCATCTGCTTGGTGCTGCCACTCCAAATGTTCTTTTCTGCCCTGGTGTGCCAGGTTCTCCCCAGAATTCCCAACTTCTCTTATTCTCCAGAAGTCCCAAAATTATGAAAGAGCTTGAAATAGTGAATTTTTTATGGTCTCAAACCAAGATTTGAATGTAAGTTTTGATTTTCAAATTCTAAATTGTTAAAAACATGTCATGTTTAGACGGTAGTACCTCCAATGCCACACCCATCTGTGATTATGTGTCAGCGAGAATGTAAACCAGTGAGTGAGCACATTCTCTTATATTTCTGCAGTTTGCAGAATGAAAAGAGAAAATGTTTTATAAAGACTGCTGGGGAAACAGTCAGATCCTCTTTACTAAGTGTTTTGGTCTATTTGATCTGCTAAAACAAAATACCATAGACTGGGTGTCTTATAAACAATAGAAAGTTATTTCCTACAGTCCTGAGGCTGGGAAGTCCAAGATTAAGGTGCTGGCAAATTTGGTGTCTGGTGCAAGTAGCTGTGTGGGATTCAAATTCCTTAAAAACATGTGAAGTGACTTCAAAAATTTATTTCAAGTAAGACTGCTAATTTACTCAATTTTAAGGATTGTCCTTTATCCTAAGACATTGTCTGTCCCTATTTCAGTGTTAATATTAAAACTAAAGAAGTATAGAAGCATTTGAAACATATTAATACTTGGCAAAATAAAAGTTGGCACTTCTATGTCTGGCCTATGATTATGATTGTGGTGGTGGTTTTTTTTGTCGATATTTACTTCTTTTTCCCCTGAAATGTTAGAAGTCTAGGCATTTAGAGTGACAAAATTTTGTATCTTCCTTGGATGAAAATTCAACCTCAAAGAGCATAATAATCATGTTATTATAAGCTTGTACATTATTTAAAATATGTAAAGGAAAAGATGTATAAATTGTGGCAAATATGAGATTTTACAAACATGAATATTCTACCCCACAGCTTCACAGGACTAATTTGAAATTCACTGAGTTTACAGTTTGTGTTTTCTGCATCAACGCTTCAGAAGATTTTAAGTTAAGAGAGAGAAAGCCCTGAACGTATGGTACAATAAGCACAAATAGGAACAGAAACATGTACTAACAGTCAGAAACGCAGCAGGGTAGTTGTGTTTTTGTAATCTTGATAGTGTCTTCAGGAGACTTCATCGAGTTAAACTCCTCTGGAATCAGCTTTCACCTATGGGACCTGGTGACAGATTGTGGCAAAGTTTGACAAGGTTCCCTGGAGGCCATGATGCTTTTGGTCACCATATGGTCTGAAAGAGCTCTTTGTATATTACAATATTTGGCAGTAGGGACTCTTGGCTAATCTTCAGAGTACATTCTTAATCTCATGAGCCTAATTATCTGTGAAGGACAGTTTAAGAGATCCTCCTTAAAATTATTCATACTAGTCCTTGTACTTGTATCATGAGACATGTATAACTCTCATTATGCCATGATTAAAATTTTGCTTGGGGAATATAGTCTAAGATGGATTAAAAAGATTATTCATCTCCATGGTGATCTCTGCTCCCATTGTTGATCATAAATACAAATGTATCCAACCCATTCACATTTTTAGACTACTGTAGCTTTCCCATACATGATCAATGTTCATGTTTCACCTACATAAAGAAGAAGCCATAGGAGAACACCGAGTTTTCTGGAAGAGATCAATATAAAATAAGTGTTTTTTGAATTTTATGAAAAGTTTTGTCCTCAAGTTGTATTTTACCACATAGTTGAGAGATTCATTGACTAAGTTTTAATCTCTTCTTCACAACTCTGCTGTATATACTATTTCTCTATGTAAGCATGGGCTTTGAGGTGATTGTCTCTTTTTGATTTTCATAGCTGATGCTGTAATTCTAGTTTAGCTATCATAAAATGTGATATGTAAATGAAGACAAATTAAGCTAACATATTACCCAGTTCTTTTGATAAGGGTGCTTTGTACCTCATCGTGAGTATTTACATAGTAAGATAATTCAAAACAACAACACAATGATAAATGACCCTATTCTTTAACATGCAAATATTCAAATGGTAAAAAGAAGACCCAAATCCCACATCTATGAAATGTCTTATTTAAATTCATGAAAATAAGATGTATAATTAAAATTGCAGCAATCTCTTACTTTAACACATATGAACACAATATACTATTTCTGATAAACTTTATTTGCTAAAAGTAAGTTCTTATTCTTGTGATAATATATTGGGCTAAGATGATAATTTGAGTAAAAAATATATATCAAAAAGTAAAGTAAAATATTTCAAAATAAATTTAAAATAAAAAATCAAATATGCTAAATTCCTCTAATAGCATTAAGACTGAATTAAGCAACTAGTGTTAACTTTTTGCTTGTAATAGCTTATCAGAAAACAACACTTTGAGAAAAATGTTGTATCAAGAATTAAAGTCTCAAGTATTGGGGCTAAGAAATATATTTATATTTGAAGAAAATTCGTGTCATAAATTGATTAGTGCAACAAGTAAAGTCAAAATATCATCTTAATAGCTGAGCAGGCACAAGCAGAATAGTTACGTCGGGGATTCCACCAGATAAAATACAGAATTTAGGCAGGAGAGCAGTCGGTAACAGTTCTGGAACTAAATCACTTCAGACATCGCTTAGATAGACACTTTGTTCCACCTCTACTCTTTTAAATGAACCTTTAATAGGTTCATTTGGTAATAGGCTGAAAAGGGGGAAAAGTCGTGAACCCCAGCTGCACTGCTCATTCACCTGCACAAACAACTTGAATTTGACTTCTCTCCAAATGGTGTCCTAGTAATCTTCCCAATGTACAGCTGCTATATATAAAATATGAATTATAGTAAAGGTCCTGCTGTGTTGTGAATCACAGAACACTCGACCACACTTTAGCAGGTTGTGGGATGAAAAGAATAAAATGTCTGCAAATGTTCTGTCTCCTTTTCCAGCCAGCATGCTGAATTCTGTGTCCAGCTATACTAGATATGGCCTGCCCCATTCCCTTGTCATCCTTTAGTACAAATAA
This sequence comes from Homo sapiens, assembly GCF_000001405.40. Lineage (NCBI taxonomy): Eukaryota > Metazoa > Chordata > Mammalia > Primates > Hominidae > Homo > Homo sapiens. The sequence goes on along the minus strand of NC_000005.10, from coordinate 52,390,727 downwards.
ATAGTAAGAACATCTTGCCTTTCTTGAGACACTGGGGGCCAAATCAATTGCCTAATCAAGTGAAAACAAAACATCTGTGACGTATAAAAGAAAGGGTGGCTTTCTCTGGAGATTTTTATAAACTGATTAAGTCTGGGCACTGCTAATCCTGTATCTTGCACTTCAGCTGTTACATTGACAAGGAAGATTAGAATGAAAAGATAATGTTATGTCACCAGCATGCAATAAACAATTTGTAAAGAGCCAGCAGAGGTTCTGAAATGTTCCCATTACAAATGTAAACGTGAACTTTAGCTCCTGAGCTGGAGAATGCTGTGAGAGACACCTGCCTCTGTGTCAAGAAGATAGAACGAGGAGAGAAAAACAGTACAGGAGGTTATTCTAGTAACAGATGACACCCATTCCCATATGCTTATCATATTAAATTTAGGATATGTGAGTCTTGGCCCAATAAAATCTGTGCAAGTTAATCAGAGAGTTATTCTGGAAGCTAAATTTGATATTTTGAGAGTGTTTTTTAAAATTCAAAGGAGCCCTAAACAAATGGTAGGTTTAAATTGGCAGGATAGTATCAAGTTTTAGAGAAAGCAATCTTCAGAGAGAATGAATTTTCCTTTACAGTGGCTCATGGGATGAAGGTTATGCATTAGAAAGAATCACGGAGTAACCGAGTCATGAGGGTTTTGCTTCATACAGTCTGTTCAACTAGACCCAAGCACATAATGCTCTATATACAAATTCCTCCAGTAACAAAATTCTTTTAAATGTTACTTCTATATTTGAAGTGATTTTCAATCTTGCAATTACTTTTATCTTTTAATCCTACACAGCAGATATGTATGAAAGGTATTAAGATTTGGAAACATATTTTAAACTTGTAGCAAGAAGGATATATAATAAAAATAAAATGGCATTATGATAAAAATGATTGGTTGAAATGACTGTACCCATTCTGGTAAACGGGATAATTAAATGTCAACCTATTTTGTTTTTATCCTTTTTTAATTCATCATCTTTTCTGAAATTTCAGTAGTGAAGGAATTAGAAAAACTGGAATTTCTAACATGACACTATGAATAAACACTAAGATTCATATGATGGAAAATGAAAAATGTTGAGAACTATGGATATTTTGCTCAGGAGAAAAGACAATGATTTACTGAGTATCTACTTGTGGAGATACAAGCATTAATAAGTTGTTTTTCATGTGTCTGAGAAATTTACAACCAGTACATAAGGAAGCAGTAAGTATATAACAACACAATGTGAAAAATGCCCAAGACATAGGATGCTATGGGAGAATATACAAGAAACAAAATAACTAATTTAGGGGGCCAGGAAAGGAAGAGATGATGTTTTATGTTAGTTTTGAAATATAAAGCAAAGTTACTGGAGCAAAGAAAGTTGGCAGCATTTCACACAGAGAAAATAGCAACTGCCAATCCATGGACATGTGAGATGCCCTGGCTCCTTCAGTAGTTCAGGGTGACTGGCTTCTACAGAATGTGAAATAATAAGGCTGGATACCTGAGCAACGGTCAAACCATGAAGATCTGTGCTTCCTTGCTCTGGACTTTAGACTTTTGCTTGAGAATTTAGGTATCATAAAGTGTCATTCATATAGTAAGTAGTTAAAGTATTTGTTTATGAATATGTGAGAATCTTGGTAACATCTGGTTAGATGAGCATTTTAGAAGGACTAGTCTGTTAACAGTGCAAATATTGGGTAGAAGGGTTGATGCTCTACACAAAAGAAGACCATTTAGGAGGGAGTTGCATAATACAGGCAAGGAATAATCACTTGAACAAAGGAGGAGGACATGGGGCAAAAGTGTAGGTTGTTTATTTAAGCTGCAGAGGAGGTGGAATCATCAGGTCTGGTGGCAGATTAGATCAGGGAGCTCAGGGTTCAATGCAATTTTGCAAATTTTAACAAAATGGTTATTCTAGACAGATGTAGCTCCTCTGAGCTGGAAAATGGGAGACAGCGTTGGAAAAATGAAGGGTGCCCTTTCTCTCTGCCCAATGGAGCCCATATACTCATGGCACAGGGCTTTAGGGAAAGGATTAAATTTCAACTCCTACTTGTCATCCCAGTGGGATACCTTCATGCAGTGCACTAACTGCACAACCTTACACAGCAGTCATAGTGAGTGAGACCATTCTTAGATTTCTGATGTAAATAACTTCATCACTGAGATGCAATTCACTGTGACAAGAAAATCAGCTGGAAGGGTAGATGTTGTAAGAAAAAAGGTTTGCTTTAGACTTAGTGAATTTGATATGTTTGGCGATATGACAATGAAGACATCTTGATTTCCATTTAAAATATGGGTCTGCAGTTTACGAAAATAATTTGAAATTTAAGAATTGTGATGTTTTAAGTGGCAGGGAAATACCTGGCTGAGATGGCTCCAAGTTTGCTATTCAGAACCATCTTTGGAATGACAATGTAGTGGGAAGTGGAGGGAATGGATATTTATAGAGATTATGGAAATTGGAATGGTCAGAAACAAAAATGAAAAAATTAGCACCATAACCTGGGGTCAAGGAAGGTCAGGCTCAAAAGGTGTTTAGGGAAATGTACCACCTAAGAAATAATCTTGACCTGCCTAGGTTCTATCTTCTAAATGTTATGTCCTCCAAAATTCCTATGTTGAAATCCTAACTTCCAAGGTGATGTTATTAAGAGGTGGGGCTTCTGGGATTAGGTCACACAATTAGCGGCCTTCTAAAAGGGATCCCAAAGACACCCTTCTCTTTCAAGCAGGTGAGGACAAAATAAGAGACTATGTGAGCCAGTAACCCAGGCCTCACCAGAAAACAAATCTGCCTTGATCTTACACTTCCCAGCTTCCAGGATCGTGAAATAAATTTCTGTTGTTTATAAACAACCAGTCTATAGTATTTTGTTATAGCAGCCTGCATGCATTAAGACACTAAGCAAAGAAATATTTAGGTGGATGATAGAAGCAGCAGGCATGTGGGAGTGGGTTGATTTTGGTTTTAAACTGCAGCATTCAGATTACTCTGAACAAAAGAGAAGTTTGTTTGGGCTTGCTTTTAAATGGGACAGTTCAGACTATGAGCTAAAAGTTTATTTTTGTCATTCCTTTGTATTACTGATGCATAAGAAAACAATGTTAACTGTTACGTATTCATAGAATTTTCTCTTCAATTTTGTCTTTTATATGTTTCAATTCTAGTTAAATGATAGAAAATGGCTTTCATTTCAGGAAATACAGTAATAAAATAATAAAATACTGTAGGGGAATTTGATATTAAACATTTCTTCATAAATTCATGATTCATTAAACTATTTTTTCTACTCATTTATTTTTATATGATATAGGGAGAAAACAAGTGTGTAAGGATGATGTGGTAGCTAGCCTTCAAGATGGCTTCCAATGAACCCTGGGTCCTAATATTCACTTCCTTATGCAGTCCCCTTTCATACTGCACCAGGGGGTTCTGTACAACAAAAGTGGTGGTATGTCACTTCTGAGGTTAGGTTATGAAAGACCATGACTTCCATCATGGTGCCCTCTTTCTTTTGAATCACTCCATCTGGGGAAAGGTAGCTACCATGTTATGAGCAGCCCTATGATGAAGAACTGAAGATTTTCAACAAACACCATAGGAGTTTGTTGAAACTCACTCATAGGTGAGTTTGTCTATGGATATGCCATCCCTAGTTGAGTTTTCCGATGACTGCAGCCAGGGCTGACAACATCATGAGAGACTTTGACCTAGAACCATCCAGCAGAGCTGCTTCTGGGTTTTCAACCTTGAGAGATTATTTTAAATAACAAATATTTGTTATTTTAAACTGTGAAGTTTTGAAGTAATTTTTTTATATGGCATTTGACATTTTATACATATTTGCATCATCAAGTTTGATATGGTTATCAATTTTCTTCTTGAAGAAACAAAATCTGCTAGATACATATAATGTAGATATAGTGTATGTAATTCATTTTACTCAATTTATTCTTTTTTCTTAAAGTAACATATTTGTTTATATAGGCAGCACACATTAGCTGTCGCTTTCTACTTTTGTTTTCAATTCCAATTTTTATTTTTAATAAGTAATAATTATATGTTTATAAAGTTCAATATGATGTCTTGAAATATGTACATATTGTGAAATGATTATATCGAGCTAATTAACATGTCATCGCCTCACATACTTATCATTTTTTTGGTAGTGAGAACATTTAAAATCTAGCCTTTTAGTAATTTGAAATGTACAATACTTTATTATTAACTATGATCACCATGCTGTGCAATAGTTCTCAAAAACGGATTCCTCCTGTCTAATTACAACTTTGTACCCTTTGATCAACATCTTTCCTTTCCTGCCCCCTCCCAGCCCCTCAGTTTCTAGTAACTACCCCTCTACTCTACTTCTGTGAAGTTTGAGTTTGTTAGATTCCACATGTAAGTGAGATCATGTGGTATTTTTCTTTCTGTAACTGGCTTATTTTGCTTAGCATAATGCCAATTTGTGCTTTAAGACTGAAATAAATTATTTTTTCCTCAATTCTAAGTGAAAGGATTCAGGTTGGTCTACCTGCAGCTTCTTAATCTCCTTCAGTCAGCTTATTAATTCATGCTTTGACAATGATCCAGAAATTTGGATTCTAAAGGTCTTTTTCTCCCACATTAGATATGAGTGATTTTCTCCCTGCTATTCTCCTTCTTTCCAGGTTTGCCAATGGATTACAACTTCAGGGTAGCTGGGGGACAAGAAGACCGGAGGTTGATTTAAGATGATTGAAACACAGGAAAGGGGAATTCCTTCTTCATTCTTTCTCCCTCCTACTCACCTTTCTCTCTAGACTTTCTTTCCTTTTCTCATCTTTCTCTCCTTTTTCCTCCCTGCTGCTCTTTCTGGTGTCCTGCTTCTCCTTTCAAAGTATATAGTTTTTTGGAGTGAATTCGGGAGGACTCTATCCCTGCGATTTTTGTCATTTCTCAGAAGGTAGCTGAACAGACCATGGAAAAGCATGCAGTCATCATCTCCCTGGTCTTTCTAGTGAAGACAGCTACTAAAATGAAAGAAAGGTTTTATAGTTTCTTCCAGGGTGTGGAAGCTTGTGTTCCATCATCTTGGACTTGAGTAGGAAGACAGCTACTCCCCTCACTGTTAGGAGAACCACAAACTTGAGCAATTTGTCTGGTAGTAAAACACAACACACACACACACACACACACACACACACACACACATATACATATATATACATATATATATACACACCCGTATGTATAATACTAATATCTAATAATAGGGGTTCATATATATAATACTGATATAGATATATACACTCCCCCCGCACAAACACACAGGCACATATCTATATCTCTGTCTCTGTTAGCTTTCAGGATGATTTTCACAAAAATACGAAACTGTCCAAACATTACATGACTTGATGCCATAAATAAATGTACCATTCCATTGCATTCAAATTTATAGGATAATATGGACAACCTAAGGTTTTTATCAAGAGGAATTATATTTGCCAAAAAAATTCTTTTTGATTGGTTACTTGGGTTAAGTATAGTTTTAAATGCAAATCAATGCACAGTAATTCTCAATTGTTATAAAAATTATGTCCATTATGCCACTTTCTGGGATTCCAGTAATCATCTAAATTCCATAAAACTTAAATTTTCAAATCATCCTTAGTAATTTAAATGTTTTATTAGACCTTTCATGAAGCATTTTTCTTCTTTGAAGAAAACAAGCTAAGTTTTTCAAAAGCACTGCAGGATAAGTTATAAGTGACTTTCACTTGTAATTTGCAGATGCTGTAATAGAAATTTTCCTTTTACCTCCATCTAAGTCCAACTACTTTGCATTCTAATTTGCAACTAAAAAGTTGCTTTAAAACTTGCTATAAAAGTTTGTGGGGACTTTAAAAGATTTAAAATATATTTTTGCAAAAGAGCAATTGGGCATGAAAATAAAGATGTGATTTCTGAAAAAAAGAAAAGTATATAGAGAGGAATAAACTAGGGCATAAAAATATCTTTTATTTGGCATTTTATATTTTAGAAGTAGAAAATGATATCCATATTGGTTTGTACATTTCATATAAAACATGCATGTTTTAGGCTCCAAACTTACATTTGTAAGAGATATGATAAAATGTCAATAGACGCCCAATGGAGGGAAAAAATAATCCAGATTTCTACCACCTGTAATATTGGAAGGTCGGATGTAACATTTGAGACAGGGAGTATTCTAGTGTTGCCAAAAGGATGCTACATGAGACAACATTGTCATCCTAATAAGGCATACACAAATAAAGATCCATGGCAGAAGTGCTGAACCCTAGGAAAACTGATTTTCTTCACTAGGAATCACAGAGATCCACACACAAAGCTTAATGAAAGAACAAAACTGCTACTTTAGTATAATAGATATCAGAATTTAAGAGTCTTTTTGCCATATAGAAAATAGACTATTTATAGGTCATATTAGTGATGTTTAACATTAGCAGCTCTTCAATAAACATTGGATTAAGAATGAATATAGTTTTGAGTTATTAACACCTATCAAGCAATGATTTCAAGTACTGTAATGGATTATCTCAAATGCCTTATATTTCAATGAGTGCTGAGAACTTAATAAAAATCATAAATACCAGAGTTGGAAAGTACATTATGCATTCTCAGATCTAGCCTCATCATTCAGGTATGGTAAATAAATCTGAGAGATGAAATGAATACTACAAGAACATATAGCTGAGAAATTGTGCTAAATGACTTTCCAGGTCTCGTGTCACCTGGAGACAGCCTCAGTTTTTTGGAAGAACCAAAAACCAAAGAAAAGTCTATGGAATGGTTGAATACATTGAATTTTTCCTTAATTAATTATGTCGTTAGTTTATTGAATTTGACAAATATCAAGTTTATTGTGTTGCAAGAAAGGTAGTAAAATGTAATGGTAGAGGACTCAGGATCTAGAATGAGAGCTTCAGAGTTCAAGTCCAAGATAGTGGAACACAAGCTTCTACACCCTGGAGGAAGTTATGAAACCTTTTCTCTCATTTAATCTTCTCTACGATGGGGCAAGTAGTGGTGCTTGACTCATAGGGCTGTTGGGAAAAGTAAGAAGAAGATGTACAAGGAGAGTGCTTAGCACATAGTAAGGAATCAATAAATTGGTAGTTTTATTATTCATAGGAATCCTTATAATCATTAACACAAACATCACATTTAAGGGGGAGGAAAGGATTTTTTAGTTTATCTTATGTCTATACTGAGTCACAATATTTAAAATAGTTTTCTGCAGCTTGAAAATATGCATCATTTTAGAAAGAGGTATTTATCAGGAATAGGTTGTTTTAATTTTCATAAAATATAATTCATAACACAATAAGAAATTTATGTATTATGTATATACACACATGTATCTGTGTGTGTATATGAACAAACACAAACACATATACTTATTTCCATATAGTGGAGAAAGATTTGTCATATTCTTTTCCTGGAATGCTTTGCCTTTAAAGATAAACTTTAAATTCAATTGCAAGAAATTTTTCAAAAGTATGGGCCATTTTATATTAAAAGAAAAATAAATGTGAATGTGGGCTGAAAAACCCCCCATGATAACTGCCATGTTAATAATGACTGTATCTATGGCTATCACATGCAATATTTAGTAGCTGTGATTTGGTAGATTAACAAAAGAAAGCTCTAAATGAATCAATTAGGTTTCTAACAAAGGAAATGTGTTTCTGCATTTTGCACCATAGCAATTTCCATAGATGGTAGCAATCTACAATAAGGATTAATAATACAAATTTGAGTTTCCTGGAAGGAGTCCACAGGCAGAGTGTTTCTTTGCCACACAGTTCTCACAAACAGTAGGCATTACTTTTACTGTGTATTATTATTACTTCAGCTTAAGATGGGGATAGCAAGATCCTCCAAATTGAATAAAGTCTAAGAGGCTTGAAAGAACAATGCTTCCAAATGATCTTTATTGTATATCAGAAGTCTCGGTATGTCCCGGGGAGTGGGAAACTGAGGGGGTCTGGTAAAGAACCCCAGGAGAACCCTCAGCATCATATCGCCCACTGACATACAATTACAAGGCTTTGAATCTGGTCCGTGACACAATCCATGATGATTACACTACTCAGAGAAGCCAAAAGACAGATAAAAATGCTTAATTTGCTTATTCTCAAATGTGGCAATTTGCCTAATGAATGAAATTGACTTTATGAAATGTCAAGGTTATCTTTTAGTTTCAAATCCAGAATACAAGCATAGCCTTACCATGCATCCAGGGCTCACAGCTATAATGGATTCAAAGTGAGGTACATGGAGCGCCACATGGCTCCGGTTCTACAGGAACAGGTAGCAATAAACAGAAGAGCTGGTCAGAACAATGGATAACAAGAAATAAGAGACCATCTCAAATCCTGGTCATCCATGATTGTCTCTAACCATCTGCATAAGAAGATATAGAACTGTAGTTTGTCCAACCACTTTCTTTCATTTCAGCATCTTTCAACAACACATTATATTGCCTGAGTGTCCCATGAATCCTATGAGGTTAAGTATAAAAACAATAATTAATGTGTCTATTTGTCATGACAGAAAGCCCCAGAATGGAGACGGGAAAATTTGCAGACTCTCTAGATGGTGGTTGTGGTAGTGTATCTGGAGAAGGCAGGAATTTTGCAGGTAACCCCAGGGGATTATTTCCAGAATACAGAGCTGAAGGTAGAGCACTAAATGCCCAAGTTTACATATTTCATCAACGGCAGATGTTCCCTGTAGAACACTGAGGTCTTAAAATATTTAACTTTGGGCTCTAAAGGTGATTACTCTTTGCAGTGTGTTTTCCAGTGTTAGCTGCCATTGTTGGATCTGGCTGGAAAACATCTTTTCTATTGAGATTCATCCATATGGTTATTAAGGTCCTCAGAAAGATGTCTGGGAAGTATTTGTACTGTAAGACTCCATGAAATTAATCTATTATATTATTTTAGAATACATTTTGCAAAAAGTTCAACACACAGTAAATGAGACATAGGACCCTCTTAGTAAAATCTATTGATTTAGACAGAAATGAAAAGCACTGTTAGAAATTGCTGCTTATGGCTTTGTGAACTCAAAAATATCTGAGACAGGTCTCGATCAATTTAGAAAGTTAATTTTGCCAAGGTGAAGGATGCATCCATGACACAGCCTCAGGAGGTCCTGATGACATGTGCCCAAGGTGGTAGGGGCACAGTTTAGTTTTTTACATTTTAGGGATACATGAGACATCAATCAATGCTTGTAAGATGTACACATTTGTTTGATCCAGAAAGGCAGGACAACTCAGACTTCCAGACTATAGGAAATCAGAGACAAAAGGTTGCATTCTTTTGAGTCTTAGATCAGACTTTCACTGAATACACAATTTACATGTAGAGGGGATAGAGGAATAGTCACTTATGCCTTAGTTTGACTCAATGAATCTTCATTTTTACATAGACAATAGGGCAGAGGAAGCAATCGGTGAGCAGAGGGATGACTTTAGGTTCTGTCTGTCCTTTGCCTGTGAAGATAAGCTATCAGTTAAGATTGCCAGGGTGGAAGTCAATAGAACTGTTTTAGGGTGAAGATCTTGAGGTCCACAAGGAATTTCCTTATGGGCAATCGTAAGGAAGAGATGTAGCTTTCTTTTGAATCTTTGTAGGTATCTTATTTAGGAATAAAATGGGAGGCAGGTTTGCCTGATGCAGTTTCCAGCTTGACTTTTCCCTTTGGTTTAGTCATTTGGGGGTCCTGAGAATTATTTTTCTTTTACAGCTTCAAGATGGCTGACTAGAGGTACTCGCCTACTCCACAAAGAAGAACTAAAATAGTGAGTAGACAGTCAAACTTTGAATAAATTACCTAAAAGAGAACTCTGGAATTCAATAGAGAAGTGATGGGAAACATTTAAGGCCAGGAAGAAGAGGGAGGGTGGGAGCCTCTATGGCAGAGATCCACTGGGATCTTGGAGAGGCTCCCTGATGCAGGAAAAGGGTCATTGAATGATCACCAGAGGTCCACATATCTGCTGTAGACTCCTGCCGTTCTAGCTATGGGAGAGCCCCTTGACCTTGTGGGCCCCAAGACTAACATGAGGAGCCACCTGGAGACCATATGATGGCATTGCTCCAGAGAGGTTGCTCAGACTGGGTCTGATTTTATAGACAAACAGAGTAGAATGGTGGTTACCAGAGAGCTTGGAAGGTTAGGAGGAGGAGAATGGAAAGATGTCAGTCGAAGGACATATGATTACAGTTAGATAGGAGACTGAAAAAGTCCAGAATAGGCAAATAAACAGACAGTAGGTAAGTGATTGCTTGGGGCCAGGAGATCTGGGGAGACGCTAGGTGAGGATGGGAAGAGAAATTGGGAATGATTGCTAATGGTTATGGAGTTTCTTTCTGGGGTGATGAAAATGCAGTAAAATTGATTGTGTTTATAGTTGCACAACTCTGTGAACATACTAAAAACCATGAGATTGTACACTTTAAATGGGTGAATTCTATGATATGTAAATTGTCTCTGAAAACTGTATAAGAAAGAAGGTATTAGAAATACTGTTGGAAAAGTATACACTTATAATATCAGCAACTCAAAACATTATTTCTCTCTAGATATGTGTGAGGATTACTGAAACCACACATACTTCATTTTTCTGAATATTTGGTAGGGAATTAATATGATCTGGTCTTTATAAAAACTTGCAGTTCTTCATCATACTTAGAAAATGAAATGATAATTCCAAACCAAGGCTATAAAAATACTAGAAATCATTTTGTTCTTACTGTATGAAATTAAACTATGAAAAGTCAGGAAACAACAGGTGCTGGAGAGGATGTGGAGAAATAGGAACACTTTTACACTGTTGGTGGGACTGTAAACTAGTTCAATCATTGCGAAAGACAGTGTGGTGATTCCTCAAGGATCTAGAACTAGAAATACCATGTGACCCAGCCGTCCCATTACTGGGTATATACCCAAAGGATTATAAATCATGCTGCTATAAAGACACATGCACATCTATGTTTATTGCGGCACTATTCACAATAGCAAAGACTTGGAACCAACCCAAATGTCCATCAATGATAGACTGGATTAAGAAAATGAGGCACATATACAGCATGGAATACCATGCAGTCATAAAAAAGGATGAGTTCGTGTCCTTTGTAGGGACATGGATGAAGCTGGAAACCATCATTCTCAGCAAACTATCGCAAGGAGAAAAAACCAAACACCGCATGTTCTCACTCATAGGTGGGAATTGAACAATGAGAACACATGGCCACAGGAAGGGGAACATCACACACTGGGGCCTGTTGTGGGGTTGGGGGGGAAGAGGGAGGGATAGCATTAGGATATATACCTAATGTAAATGACGAGTTAATAGGTGCAGCACACCAACATGGCAAATGTATACAATGTAACAAACCTGCACGTTGTGCACATGTACCCTAGAACTTAAAGTATAATAGTAATAAAAATAAATAAAAATACATAAATAGTATGAATAAATGACAAATGTCTCAATATTGTTTTTCTAATAAAAAAATAAATCAATCTCCTCATCAGTCCCCCACAACACATCTATGTACATGAATATTCATATGTTCATGTGTTCATGTATAATTTTCTGTGCAAATATACTCAAACTCAGATATTCATGGCAATAAACTAGGTAGACAGGTGGCAATTCCATGACAACTTTCTTTTCCTACCTGATTACTCAAAGGTGTTGCTAAAAATTTTATTTTAAAAATTTATGTGTGTTTTCTGAATTTAGAACAGCAAAAACAAAACAAAAAAATCACCAATCATCTTTAATCAAATTGTGCTACAGATATGATTCTAGTATTACATAGTAAGAAAAGCAGGAAGCAAAGACTGAAGGCCTATTTTTCAAAGCATAAGAAGCTTATTACTCTATGTCTGTTTTCTCTCAAATGCTTCCCTACTTATTCTCATCTATTTTTCAGTTTGGTGTTTCCTTATATTGTCAAAGCAGGTGCCTTGCTCACACTAACAGGAGTACGTGTTTTAAAAGGTCCCACAGGGAATAATTTACCATACAAGATTACTTCATGACTAATGATGTTCTCTATAAACATTGAGGTGCTATTTGACTGCCTGGTTGGTGGTGGTCCAAACTGGTGACAGTTGGCATGTGTTTTATCTCATCTTGCCTTCTACATTCTTGATATAGTCTAATATATGTTGGAAAGAAGCTTTGGGATGTTATAAGACATAAAATGATGAATAGAAGCTATTAAATAACATTACTACAAATAAAACATTGAACACAGGTCTTTATCATCTTTAGTTTTATCAGTGACACAGAGGTCTTTTTGAAGCTCTATTTCTAACCTAAAATATTAGCTGCTGAACACTACAAAATAACAAGATCTCATTCCATCCAAGCTTATGATTGGGAATGTGGGTAGGGAGGAGGACACTTTTTAAATTAATTTGTTACGCTAGCTCAAATTTTAAAACTACAGATAATGTATATGAAATGCTGTGTAAAGTGTAAACACTGTATGACTATAGGTGGTTTTAATATTACTGTAATATTTAAACCACATATTTTATTAGATCAAAAAAATTTTTTTTTTTAGATGGAGTCTCATTCTGTTGCCCAGGCTGGAGTGCGGTAGCATGATCTTGGCTCACTGAAACCTCCACCTAGCAGGTTCAAGCGATTCTCCTGCCTCAGCCTCCCGAATAGCTAGGATTACAAGCGCCTGCCACCATGCCCGGCTAATTTTTTGTATTTTTTTTACTAGAGACGGGACTTCACCGTGTTTGCCAGGCTGGTCTTGGTCTTGAACTCCTGACCTCAGGTGATCCACCTGCCTCGGCCTCCCAGAGTGCTGGGATTACGGGCGTGAGCCACTACACCAGGCCTAGATAAACATTTTTAAACAACCTAAGCTTATCTTTTTAAAATTTTAATGTCTGGCTTTAGTCATTTTGAGTTCATTCAGCACCTGCAGCAAGGGAACAACACAAAAGGCAAATATGTTTCTAACCTCAAAGACACAAAGTATATTTTTATATTAACCTGTACAAGAAAATACAACTTATACAAATGTTCTTAAACGGATAAATAATTTTAATTCTGAGCTTATTTAAAATAAAACTAACATTTTAATAGTAACAATTCAAGTTCTACATAATTTTTAGAAATATATCTAAAGCTGTTATAAGTTATAGATTGCAATAAATCACCAATATGGAAATATTTTAATCAATACTTCACACATTCCCTACCCTCATCTTCCATGACATGCAGCATAATCTGGCAACCTATGCAAGCAAGTGAAACTTTTTTTTCAGTTTTCTATTTTTCTGGGGGGTGGGGGTGGATGATTACTAATTCATCTGCTTTCTTCTGCTTGACTAAAATTTACAAGCTCTTTCTTTCCTCTTTCCTTATAAACATTGAAATTACAAAGCTTTTTCAAAATTCATAATGAATAAAAGGATTGCTGTTAAGAACATTGAGTTGAGAGCCCAAAGACCTGGCTTAGGATCCTAACTCTCAGATATCAGCTGCATTATCTTGAACAAATGACTTAGTGTTTGTCTTCCAAATGCTTCAACTGTAAAGAGGTGTAATCATAGTGCCCCCTTTATGGGATTATTGGGAGGATTAGAAGTAATGCAAGTAAAGTATTTGTGACAATTTTTGACACATAAGACATGCTCAACAGTTGTTAGATGTTGTTAATATTACTTTTCTTTACTTTTTTTAAAAAAATATATGCAAATTTAGGAAAAAATAAAGTCCTTATGTGGCAACTGTGATGAGCTCATGTGTTGCTCAGTCTTTAAGCTCCACATAGACTTGAGTTGTGTCTGCCTCGCTCACCACGGCAACCCCAGGATCCAGCACAGTGTTCAACATGCAGGGTGCACTCAATAACTGTCGAATTCATGAGCAAATGAATGTATTAGTAAATCTGACCGCGAGGCCAAGGGAAGACACTGGGCTATTTCCGACTTGTCCAAGAGAGGACGAGGAGGCTTCTATAAACTAAGGTAGCTTTGTCTCAGTTGCTTTCTATCACTGTCCCTTATGGGTTTTGCCCTCATATTAGCTAACTGATCTTGCTCGGCATTCCACTGCTTCACAGTCTTGTTTATAAACTTCTGTGTTGATTTTCGCAGTCAAGGGTGATGCCCGGGAATAAGTAAGACATTTAAGATAAGTTTAAACCTTTCAAGTACTAATTCTAACAGCACCTATTGTATTTGCTACTGTATGCTAGGTATACAAATACATACTCTCATTTAATCCTCATATAAACTGAAAAGTTATTATCTACATTATACACAGAAGAAAAAAGTGAACACAAAGAAATATTAAATGAATTTGCTGAGATTCTACAGTTCAGTTAGGAATCAATCACCACTAATAGCTAAGATTTATTGAATGCTAATTAAGTGCCAGACACTCTTCTATGTACATATTCATTGCATCACTCTGAGATATGTACTACAAAAGTCAGAGAAACTGAGAGTGAGAGAGAGTAAGTAATTGGATCCAGTCAAACACTTAAGTCGTAAACCAGTATCACATCTAGGCATTTCACTGGAGTCCACATACTTAACTATCATGATGCAAGGACCGTCACTGTAGGGTTAGTCTTAAGACCACATTTCTTTCTTATTTTGAAGCGCATTCTTTTGTGGTGAAGTTCAACCTTGATCTTATTTACGAATATGTTATGAACTTTAAACTCTATCAATTCACCTATCGTTGGTGTGGAATGTTTCCAAAGGCAACGTAGAAGTTGATTGATGAAGCTGTGGTGTTATTTTTTTCATTCATTATTACATTTATCACTTTACAATTTAGGTGGACATTAAATCTTAATGGCTAAAAATGTCACCATGATAAGCATGATGGCATTTCTATATACTACTTCCAGCAATACCATATTTAAAGTTAGAACTGATGGTATTTTTGAGAGACTGTTTTTGTAAAGAAACTAAATGCAATGAATATATGCATAAGATTGCACATAAATTGCACCTTTTATTTTAACCTTCATACTTGGTAGAAGACTATGCTCTGTCTGCACATATCACCTTGCATGGTTGACACATAACAGCCTTTTTATTTACAACAGTAGAGTTCTGCAAACAAAATACTGTTTAGGTAAGAATGCTTAATATCATTCATATTTCTTAGAGTGTAAGTTCAGCAATAATTTGGTTCATTTGAGATTAATATCATTGTCGGAGATCACAAGGAACCAAAAAAAACAAAAAAAAAAAAAGTAAAATGGTGCTTTTCAAAATAATCAAAATCAAATTTAAAATCTACCATCCTAGATTTAGAAAACAAATTTATACTTAGTTAAAATTTTACATTGTTTTAATATTAAATTATTAAATTATAATTTCTTTTGACAATAAAATACATTTTAGTAAAGTTTAATTCATGGGGATCCCATTAGAAGGGGAAAAACTTTGTTAGCTAGAAAATTAATGTTAAATGTATTTTAAATTATCATTCAAAAACATATTGTAGTATGATATGGGACCTGATATCTTTTTCCCCAGTATTGTCACTGGGTATGTTAAGATTGATGAGAGCAGGCTGGGAAAATCCTAAGGTACCAACAATCAGTAATAGTCTCCAAAGGCAGGACTACACAACACAAGAGAAGGTAGAAATTTGACATAAGTTGCATACTTACATTAAACTGTACAACTTGGTAAGCATTATTATTTCTATTGTATAAATGAGGAAATTAAGGCTTTGAGATATTGTGTAACTTGCAAATGGGCCCACAGCTATGAGTGGAGAAGATGGTGTCTAATTCTGGGCTTTCTTTATTCAATACCCTGAACTGTTTATACTGCATTATATTGCCTCTATGTAACAAACAGCTGCATTCATTAATTATTTCAATATAAAGCATAATTGAGCATTAATCAAATCTTTCTTTATTCAATACCCTGAACTCTTAATACTGCATTATATTGCCCCTATGGAACAAACAGCTGCATTCATTAATTATTTCAATATAAAGCATAATTGAGCATTAATCATATGGTGTATATCATGGTGTGTTCTTGAGATGAGAAAATAAAATGAAACATTCTGGTTTCTACCCTCAGGGAGTTCAAATCTAAGAAAAGAGAAAGATTGCTAAACAGACACTTAGGGTCAGTGTAACAATAGAGGCTATTGTATGGAGGAGTGAAAGGGTGGATGAGGAATAAACTGTCTTAAATGATGGGCTGAAATTTTTTTCAACTAGACAACCAGGAGAAAGATATTCCAGTAAGAAAAATAATTTAAGGAAAATTATGAAACATGGAATCACATGGTGTATTAGGGGAACAACAAGTGAGCTTTCATTGTCTAGTATAGAGCCAGTAAAATAAAGTGGATAAAGTAATCGGTTCTTCACAGTTACAAAGGCAATATTTGAAAATCATACTTATGAGCTTTTTTCCCTTGATTTTACAAGAGAATAATGTACAATTGTTTTAGAGCAACGATAAAAGTTTTTCATCCTTTGGCTTTGCCTACATATCCTAAGTCATTTCCTCTACTACTGTCTTTAGAGATAAAGACCCATCCTTTATCAATAATAAAGATCTTATGGAGTGCTTACTATGAGTCAATCATTTTTCTAAGTTGCTTAATATCTACTGACTCATTTTTTGTTTTATTTTGAAATAATTTCAAACTTACAGAAAAGTTGTATGAATAATATAAACCAAACCAACCAAACTCCTGTTTATTCTTCATCCAGAGGCCCCATGCAAATTTTGGCAATCACCCCAACTATGCTTTTTATAGCCATATGTATGGCTGTAAGATATGTATGTTTTCTATATATACATGTGATAAGATATGTCATCACATATAAGACATATGTGAATATATATAGCCATATAAAAATTATATTTTTATAGCTATATATTTATGTATACAAATATATATAGCTATAAAAAATACATATAGCTATTTCATTGTCTAGTATAGAGCCAGTAAAATGAAGTGGATAATCAGTTCTTCACTATATATATATATATATATATATATATATATATATATATATACACACACACACACACACATATGTAAATAGCTATATATATAAATATATATATTTTATGGATATATATTTTTATATAACTAGTTACATATATATTAATATATATATGAATACTTGATAGGACAGAGCAACAGGTGAAGCTTGATCATGAATTGAATATACATATATATCTATATGCATTTTCATATATATGAATATATATTCATATTAATATATATGATTCATATATATTCATATATAGCTATAAATAGCTAAATATATATATTATATATACATAACTATTTCATTGTCTAGTATAGAGCCAGTAAAATGAAGTATATAAAGTGATCAGTTTATGTATAATAGCTATATATGAATCATACATATTTCAATTACTTTCATGAACTTCGTATGTGTGGATACTACAGGGCCCTATTTTATTATAAAATACCCCTTAATTTGGGTTTTTCTAAAATTTTCTCATGATGAAATCCATGTTATTCATTTTGGCCAGAATATCATAGTGACACTGTACTTTTTATCATTGTATTCTTTTGGGGATCAAATGACATTAGTTTGTCCCATTATAGGCAGTAGTGACTTTGATTTGCCTGTGATGATGTCCTCTGTGTTTCTAGACTAGAAAATTACTTTTTCTTTCCTCCATAATTAATAAGGATTTTGTGAGGATAGAATATGTAAATCTTGTTCTTCCTCCTACACTCATCTAATAGTTTTGGCAGCCATGCTATTTCTTGCAAGAATTGTCATTATGATAATTTTTAAATACTATAGTGACTTTTCTAATTCCATCATTCCTTCTATATATTTAATAGTCACTCTACTATAAAGGAAAGCTTTTTCTTTTCTTCATTTGTTAATTAATTTATATCAATATGTACTCATGGATTTCAAATTTCATGTAATGAATTATAATCTATTATTTTTGTGATTTATTTTGGTGTTCAAATGTTTCCGGATTTGACCAGTTAAAACCTGTTCAAACTGCTTTCATGTGTTTTTTTAGCACTTCATTTTGTTGCGCCAGGTCTGGTTTTCCTTTATCCTCAATACATTTCACTCGATTTCTTTGTATGCGATCCATTCTCTAACCTCACTGGGCCACCACCATGCTCTGCTGCCATTGTGCTCCCTTCTACTTTGCTCTAGTGCCATATTTATATAGGTCCCGGCTACCACCAGGCTGCTTTCTTAACTCACTGGGACATGCTAATGGCTATTTTACTGAATTGGAAGGGAGGAAGGATGAAAGGAAAAAAGAAAAATTATTTATTTTAGTTTTTTTCATCATCAAAGCACAACGAGATAGGTACTCATAATCAGATTATTATTTCTATTTTGTATGCAAGGAAAATGAAGTACACAATGGACAGGTAAATTTTCTAGGTTTATACATTTAAATAGGGCAGGATTTAAATTCAGTTATTGTGACTACAGAGTACATACTTGGATCCATTACATTCTGCCGTCTCTTAGGTAGTAGATAGATGAAAACAAGGGTGTGTCTGTGACACAGAAAAAGTCTAAGCTACAGATACCAGATTTTGGCAAGACAGATACTAACTTCTATGCTGTATTCATGGCACTGAAGTTAGGTGCCAATGAGGAAGGGGATATGGAGAGGGAAGAGTAAAGATCTAACTATGGCATAAAACACATATTAGCAAGGAAAGGACCAGTAAAAAGATATCATAGACTGAAACAGACAGAAAAGAATGAATGGTCAGAAAGGTAGAAAAAACTAATAATGATAGGATAATGCATAGGGGACAAGAAGCTAACCTAAATTTTTTCACTTGATTTCATGATTAGGTGACTATTGGTGATTTGATTCGGCACGTCACATGATTTATTCACAGTCTGTCATTATAGCTGAAAAATGGTGAAAACACTTCCAGAGTAATAGCATATAATCAACCTGCCTAGAAACCTCATACAATTCTCTGTAAGAAGCAAACACTCAATATGAAGCTATCACATTTATCAAAAGAAATTAAGATGAACTTAAGTGATTAGATAATTTTCCAAAACAGTAATTCTAGAAGAGAATAGCAAAAAATATAAATTAAAGGAGAAAAGTTTTAGCAGCATGGATTTAAAAGAAAAAAGTGAATGAAGATAGAGGTTTTAGTCTTCTGACAATATCTTAGGGAAGCGTAAAGAAGGAGCTGCCTTTATTTGTTTTTAGAGAGAAAGCAAAGTTTTTCTTGTTGTTGTTTTGTTTTTTTTGTTTGAGACGGAGTCTCGCTCTGTCGCCCAGGCTGGAGTACAGTAGCGTGATCTCGGCTCACTGCAAGCTCCGCCTCCCAGGTTCAAGCCATTCTCCTGCCTCAGCCTCCTGAGTATCTGGGACTATAGGCGCCTGCCAACACGCCCGGCTAATTTTTTGTATTTTTAGTAGAGACGGGGTTTCACCGTGTTAGCCAGGATGGTCTCGATCTCCTGACCTCGTGATCCGCCCACCTTGGCCTCCCAAAGTGCTGGGATTACAGGCAAAGTTTTGTTTTATAAGCAATTTGGTAGCAGTGATGGATGGTGCCTACTGTGCACTATGCATTAATTTACACTGTATATATCAAGTTACATCACTTTATATATAGTGTAAATATATTTTTACACCAACATTTTAT
Organism: Homo sapiens; assembly: GCF_000001405.40. Classification (NCBI taxonomy): domain Eukaryota; kingdom Metazoa; phylum Chordata; class Mammalia; order Primates; family Hominidae; genus Homo; species Homo sapiens. The sequence goes on along the minus strand of NC_000005.10, from coordinate 52,370,971 downwards.
ATATAATTATATGTATTAAGTACCATACAGTTTAAATATATAATTTAATAGGTTATATATAGTATAACACACACACATATAAAACCTATATATATAATATTGATTTATACATTTTCTTTTATGGTAGGAATCCTATCTTTTTATCTGGTACCTCTTTTAACTACTAATTATTTTAATGCAGGCCTGACATTTGAGATAAGATGCATGTGAAAATTTTTTCTCTTTGTTGTCCAAATCCTCCCACGAAATGACCTTTAGGGCTCTAGTTCAGTTTTAATGGCAGGGAGGATATAGATGCTTTTATCCGTTTCAAACATCCATGGATTGTTATTGTTCTGTCTCTCCATTATCGTTTAGACAATCAATATGTATTTAGCTTCTTTAGTAAATAAGTCAATGATTGCAAAGCCCTCGCAATTATTTGGACTCCCTCTAGTTTGTGTCTTTCTGGTAATGAGAGGATGAAAAACAATCCTATGGTTTTGTAGAAACAGCATCATTAATTGCGTAAGAGAAGAATTATCTCCTTCTTTCTCATGGTGCAACAGCTTTTTGAATTCTACTGAAATAGCAAAATTTTATTTAAATGCACTGTACAGATGCATATTACAACTTTATCTCTTAGTTGTCATTTCTTTGGTTTTCTCCACGTGTGTCTCTTTTTGCACCCACCCCCCGCCCCACTTGTATATCAGAGATGGGGGAAAGGCAGCTATTAGCATAGGCTAAATATAATGTTTTCTTTTTCTTTCTTTTTTTTTTTTTTTGAGATGGAGTCTTGCTCTGTCGCCCAGGCTGAAGTGCAGTGGCATGATCTCGGCTCGCTGCAACCTCTGCCTCGCAGGTTCAAACAATTCTACTACCTCAGCCTCCATATAAAACCTCAAGTCACGCCAGGTGCAGTGGCTCACACCTCTAATCCTAGCACTCTGGGAGGCCAAGGCGGATCACCTGAGGTCAGGCATTTGCGACCAGCCTGGACAACACATTGAAATCCTGTCTCTACTAAAAATACAAAATTTAGCTGGGCGTGGTGGTGGATGCCTGTAATCTCAGCTACTCAGGAGGCTGAGGCGCGAGAATTGCTTGAACCTGGGAGGTGGAGGTTGCAGTGAGCTGAGATTGAGCCATTGCACTCCAGCCTGGGCAACAGAGTGAGACTCCACCTCAAAACAAAAACAAAAACAAACAAACAAACAAAAAACCCTCAAGTCAAAATGTCAAAGTGTGCATTTGTCTTTCAAGTTGCCTGCAGGGCCTTCTTCCAAGTGTCCTTTCCTTCCTTCTTCTCCTTCCTGCTCTAAAGCTTTTTTTTTTTTTTGAGACGAGTCTCGCTCTGTAGCCCAGGCTGGAGTGCAGTGGCGGGATCTCGGCTCACTGCAAGCTCCGCCTCCCGGGTTCACGCCATTCTCCTGCCTCAGCCTCCCAAGTAGCTGGGACTACAGGCGCCCGCCACTACGCCCGGCTAATTTTTTTTGTATTTTTAGTAGAGACGGGGTTTCACCGTTTTAGCCGGGATGGTCTCGATCTCCTGACCTCGTGATCCGCCCGCCTCGGCCTCCCAAAGTGCTGGGATTACAGGCGTGAGCCACAGCGCCCGGCCTCTAAAGCTTTTTAATAAACTTTCACACCTGCTCTAAAACCTGCCCTTTGCCCCTCCTTCTGCCTTATGCCCCTCAGTCAAATTCTTTCTTCTGAGGAGGGAAGAATTGAGGTTGCCGAAGATCCATAGGGATACGGGTTCGCGGCCATTACCAAAACCACATTTTATCCAAATCCGTAAACTGAAGAGTGATTTTTCAAAAAAATCTTGTTATCTTGTAGGGGCTCTCTAACTATTAGGGACCACATAGGATGTTCTAAGAAATGTGAAGAATCTAAATGAATTATAAGACCTTAGCTTGAAGAAATGCATGGTCTTTTGGGAACAATGAGAACTATATACCTAGGCAAGTGTGAAAATTTATGAGAAAAATGAGTAACAAAACATCTTGTTAACTAATTTAAAAATATTGTAATGTAAATATGTTGAGGAAAATGATATGCTTTCCCTTGCTTCCTTTCCAAATACATGGCATTGTTTCTATTTGACCTCATATATCTGTGTCAATCATGATCCAGGCAAGACAATACATAATTTTAGGAAATTTAATATAAGAGAGACAGGAGTTAAACAGGGAAGAGTTAAGCAATATTCGATTAACAAATTCTACCACCCAGGGTTACAAATACAAAAACTGTAGATGGTGTTATCTTAATCCAGGAGCCTGGGTTTTCGGGTAAGACTTAAAGCTATAGTAGGGTCTGCCCAGCAAAATCTAAAACCGTGCGTGGAGGAGAGGTAGAAGGGAGGAGGAGAAACCAAGAAAAGCATCCCCCAAAGGAAAGAAAAAGATTGAGAACTACCCTGGCTTTTCCCAGATACTTGTATCCACCAGGGCTTCTATTTGACTCAACTTAGCCAAATGTGGCAAAGGAGCCCAGGAAACATAGTTTGTAAAAAAAGGGAGAAGGAATCAAGGTAAGAACAATTAGGCAATGACAGGAATAGTATTCATCTACCTGGAGTGCAGCAGGAGTAAGGGAATGTGCATCAGGTGGTTCTTAACATTGGTATAAAGAAATACCTGAGACTTGGTAATTTATAAAGAAAAGAGGTTTAATTGGCTCACAGTTCTTCAGGCTGGACAAGCATGGCACAGCATCTGATCAGCTTCTGGTGAGGGCCCCAGGAAGCTCACAGTCATGATGAATGGTAAAGGGGAAGCAGGTATGTCATGTGGTGAAGGCAGGAGCAAAAGGGAGAATGGGGAGGAAGGTGCCACACACTTTTAAATGACTAGATCTTGTGAGAACTCACTATCACAAGACAGCATTGAGCCATGCAGGATCTAACCCCATGACCCAAACGCCTCCTACCAGGCTCCACCTCCAGCATTGGGGATTGCAATTCAACATGAGCTTTGGGAGGGGACAAATATACAGACTATATCAGAATTAAAATATAATTTTGTTACAGAAGAAATACAAGGAATAAGAAAAATGTATTTTCAACCCCTGGCATACAAAATAGACTTATGCAGCAAGACAGAATTCTTATAAGCCAGGCCAAAATATTGAGAGGTATTCTAGGTTCTGTTTTCTTTTCCTTTAGCATATTGAAGTTTAAGTCTTGAGAATGCACTCCCGGAATTCTCCAGCAGTGTAGAGAAAATTAGTCCTGTTGTCTATTTTGATTTCACTGTGGTATTGCAATTGGAAATAAACAGGATAAATCAGAGAGGAAGTATCACTAAGACAAAAGCCCATCTCATTCTTGCTCTGGGATATAGCAGGAAAGAGAAAATATATATATGAGGGAGATTTAGTTGGATTTCAAGTATGCTTACAAGACTGGAAGATAAATCAGATAAGTGATAATAACACTGACAAATTGGGACTTGCTTTTGTTCTCTACTGGAGACTCTGGGAGAAGGCCCAGAAAATGGGGAGTTACATGTACAGACAGTAAGATGCCTTAGTTTATCAATATTGAGCAATATTGAGGGGATTCCTCATCCCCCTCAAGCCCTAGGGATTGCCAGGTCAGGGCTTAGAAGTGGCTGAGAGTCTGTCTGCACATCTTGCCAGAGGAGGCACAGCAGTGGGAGTAAAATCTGTGGACTATGCCCTCTAAGCTGGGGCCAAAATGAGTCGAAAGAGACCCAAGAACTATCTTAGTCGTCAATGAGGACCAATGTGAGAAGCTTCCACAGGGGCATTGCATTGTGTTGAACACAGTCTAGAGAGACACACCCTTGATACATACCCAAAACAGACTTACAGCAAACCAACAGACAGACAACACTCAGATAAAGAATAGGTTTCATCCATCCACACTAGGAACCAGGAGACTACAATCTTTCTCTCATATAGGAGGGAAAAGAAGAAAAGATTTTGAAATCTGAGATGGTTATAGATATTTTTTCTCGAGAGAATAAGCAAAAATTAAAGGCAGTATTTAATTTTTCAGATGAGACAATTTCAATCTGAATTAAACCTGTGGTTCTTTCCTCCACTTTAACCATGACCTGTAAAGAACATGGAAGTATGTATAAAAATAAATACTTTTTTTTGTTCGTTAACTTGTGATATGAGTTAAGATTGGGACCCTGAGATACATCACTGTTTTATGGTTTTTAAAGTATTATACTTACCTATTCCTTTAACTATCATTTGCCAGCACTTTCTTTAACATTTCTTTTACAAATGAGATGCCTATGGCACAACATACAAAAACTACCTTTATAGGATTATTCCATGCATTTCTTAGAGACTTATATAAGTAATAGCTACATTTCTGGCTTGAGTAAACTAGATAAACGGCAGTACCATTTACTGAGAAAGAAAAGCAGAGTGGGTAATACTTTTATGGTATATACTGACAATTCAGTTTTAGACATTTTGAGTTTGAGGGGCTTAAGTCATACAGTAGGCAACATCATCTAGGCTATTTGATTTATAGTGCTAAACTGTTAAGATATGGTTCTAACTCACAGAATTAAAAACTAATTTCTGTTCAAGATTTGCACTTACTTAGATTTAAAGTGTTCTCTTCACACAAAAAAATGAAAATCTCAAGGTTGTTCAGTTGCTGGGGGTAATCTAGAACTCAATTTAGTGCTTTGAACATTTATTAGCTGCTGATAAAGTGTGTATCCTATTGGTAGCATGTGTGTACAATTCAACTCTTGTTGAGGTCTCTTCCTGGTTGCCCTGTGCCCTCTGACCACAGGTCCTTGGATTAGCTGACATGTTCCTCTCTGTCCCTTCTCCCTACTCATTCTTCCAAATCTTCCCCTTCATTCCTATCATCATGCATAGTTAGTTTCTAGGTATCTGTACAAATTATTTTCTACTTTCCTAATGCAGCTGACATTCCTTATCAAATGCTCAGAATACGATATACTCTCTTGGATGCCACTTACTACAGTAGTAGTGTTACTCCATTTGTATTTCCTGGTTAATATCTTACTTCTTTAAGAGATTGTGTTCACCTTGGCATAGCTCAAAATAGAAGTCAAAGTTGGACACATGGTAATGCTCAATAAATGTCTGTGAAAGAACTAAGTGATTGAATTAGAGAATTATTATTAAGGTATAAAATATTTAAGTAAAATACTTCATTAATCTATTCTATTAATGCATAAACATTTCTACATATGAGAACTGCTTGTTGCACTAAATGTCTCCTTCAAGAACCAAGGCTTTAAAAGATTTTCTTTTCTTTCTTTTTTTTTTTTTTTTCAAGACGAAGTCTCACTCTGTTGTGCCCAGGCTGGAGTGCAGTGGTGCCAACTCTGCTCACTGGAACTTCCGCCTCCCGGGTTCAAGTGATTCTCCTGCCTCAGCCTCCCAAGTAGCTGGGATTACACGTGCCCACCACTACACCAGGCTAATTTTTTGTATTTTTAGTATAGATGGGGTTTCACAATATTGGCCAGGCTGGTCTCAAACTCTCGACCTCAGATTATCCACCCGCCTCGGCCTCCCAAAGTGTTGGGATTAGAGGTGTGAGCCACCTCACCCAGCCAAAAGATTATTTTTAAGAGCTCTTTCCAGAATTATTGTTTAATTTCATGACTTTCTTTATGGACAATTCTAAAGTTAATTTAACCTTTTCTTGTTGACTTGGAGTCATTATGAGCATAAGTATTATACTGTATATTATTAGAGTTGATGTTTACTTTTAGTTTTTTTCTGCTTCATCCCTCAAAATGAGAGTATCATTCTTCTGCATTTCAAATTCCACCTCTTCTCTTAGTTTCTTTAACATTAACCAACCTTTCTTCCCACCCCTTAAATTACTGCCTCTCATCTGCTGTTGTCAAGGAAACAAGATAACCAAGATTTTAAAAGAGCTAGTTAAAATATGAGTCAAAAAAGGAACTGAGTATAAATTTTAGGATTGAAGTAGAAAACATTAAAGCAGAGGCTTATTGAGAGTTATTTCAGACATACAAAAGACTTTTTCACCTATTTTTGAGTTTATACGTTTATTAAAGGCATTGCTTTTTCTCAAATTCAAACCCTGGAGAAGTAAGATCTTCTCAGAAGTGAAATGATGCAGAGGTCGTTACGTGAGACTTGCTATTGAAAGTCTGTTTGGACAATGAGAATATAACCAAGACACCACTTCATATCCGGCATAATGAATCCAAATTGAAGGCAGCAGATCTATCGTGAAACAAACAACTTCATGAGTACTGTAAGCTAGTGGAACACAAAACTATAAAGATACATTAACTCGGATGCATTCAGGCTTTTGTCTAGAATCCATGTTTTAGAACCAAGAGTATAAAACCTCAATTCAGGCCATGTATCATAATCTCTTACAGAGCTTTCTATAATGTTCACAGTCTTACTTTCAGGGAAATGCAGCATTCAGAGACCAGTAGATCGGGAGTGGCATCTCTTATCTCTTTGTGAATATGAAGCTCCGCAAGTGATCAGAAGCTGCTGAATTTCTGTTTACAGTGTGATTTCACTCAGAATTTTCAATCTTGGCTCTGAAATATGTAGCACTACTGTATTGTGGTGAAATTCTCTCTGTACTTCTACTATGGAGGTTGGGTTAATATTTCCAAAAAGTAAATGCAGAGGACTGTTCCACATATGAATGAGATGGTGCTCAGTGCACGAGAGTCAAACTTTTGTATTCTTGCCATTTTTCCTTATTTTATATTTTAGGACATCAGTCAATTTTATGGATACAGTGTAATGTGTCACAGTAACCTTTTAAATTGGGTATACTAATATTTTATTTTATTTTATTAATTTTTATTTCAGTATTCTTGGGATAGAAGTGTTTTTTGTTGTTGTTGTTACATGGGTGAATTACACAGTGGTAAATTTTGAGATTTTAGTGCACCCGTCACCCAAGTAGTGTACATTGTACCTAATGTGTAGTTTCCCCCCCAGCTCTCCTCCAGCCTCCCACTATGAGTCTCTAAAGTCTATTATATCACTCCGTATGCCAGAATCTACAAGGAACTCAAACAAATCAGCAAGAAAAAAAATCTCATACAACAGGGCAACGAATATGAATAGATATTTCTCAAAAGAAGATATACAAACATATGAAAAAAATGTCCAACATCACTAATAATCACGGAAATGCAAATTAAAACCACAATGAGATACCACTTTACTCCTGCAATAATGACAAATATTAAAAAGTGAAATATGCTAATATTTTAAACATCTCAATTCTAGCTTTCATGAAGTAAACAGATTAATGTACAATAAGAATGTTGAGAATTTGGAGGAAAATTTTAGCTAAACTAGAGTGCTCTCTGCCAATTAATAGATATAACACTAGATTAGAGGAAACTCTTAAAGCAGTATGGAAATGGGTGTCTATGATTGAGACAATGCTGGTTAACATCTACATTTTTATCTGAAAAACTTCCGATCAATCTATGCTCTTGATTAATTTAAGCACAATTATGTGAGATGCTACTGATTCATGATAGCATGAATCAGTTTGGGGGGAGGAGGGCAATGTTTTGATTTTTTAAACTTCCTAATAATTTAATATTTACATATACATAAATCATTATTTTTTATATTTTTATTTGCTATAATTTAATGTAACATAAACACAATGCACATCTCAAAAGGACATTAGTAAATACATGAGGGAGGATAGTATGCTCCAGGAAGAATAACCCTGACTTTGGCATCATATTTCCGTCTTATATTCCACTGTTGAGAAACTGACAACCTATCAATCACTTAGCTCAGTAAATTGTTACCTTTCCTCTGCAGTTATTATATGTATTATAATACTCAATCAGTGAAGTGAATCATAGTCTGTGCTCTGTATTCAAATTCTGGGCTCTGTATTCAAATTCTGACTTTCTACCTACTTGCTTTGTGATCCTGAGCAAGTTACCTAATAGTTCTTTGTCTCAATTCCTCATATGTAAAATAAGTACAAAAATAACCATATCTTAAAGGATTGTTATGTGGATTCAGTAAGTTTCTACACATAAAATACTTAACATTTAATAAACAATGGATAAATGTTAGTTCATGTAAGTAGTTGTAGTAGCAGTTCTCGTGCTAATGCCAGCACTTTAATTGAAAGAAAGAATCCACTTCTTTAACTCTATGATGGATATAAAGAACACTGAATGAATTTAATTAAGTTTTTTCTTCAGGCTAAAATCAAGTGAGGACATTTTTGTGAAAAGTGAATATCAATATGAAGATACAGTATGAGAAAAAGAAATGTAGTTGGACATTTCTCATCGCTGATTTTTGGGGATACCACAAGACAATCTATGTCCATTACCAGATGAAAAATACACTTTTGTAGATCAAAGCAGAGTGTGAAAAATACTATGTAACTAGTTGAAATTAAAAGAAAACTAAAAGCATAAAGCTATTTTGTATGTGATTTAAGAAGTCTTTTGGAAAGTTCTTTTAGTTTCCAGGATAGGGGCATTATGAGTACTTGAAAGAATTATTGAAAAACTCTTCCATTGAATCATGTCTGAGAGAAAGAAATATCAATATAAGGGGACTGCTTTACAGCCTCTGTCAATTAACAGGCTGAAAAAGACGATAGGACCACATTAGAAGTCCTTCATAAAGCTGAAGATTTCCCGTGTATAGATTAGGTCAAAAGCTAATCTGTTTGATATTCAGTAGTATGCTAAATGACAATAAAAATCCTTGATTATGTTTAGAGAGAACAAGAAGGCACCAAATACTGCCAATTTATAATTTAACTATAGCACTGAAATCTGATTGTTGACCTGAGCGAGTTTCTGTGAATCTTACTTTATTTCAACCCTATGCCAAAGCAAATGGAAACTTTAGAAATTATATAAAGAGGAGCCATATTAATTTTCAACATTCTTTAAGATGAATCTTCATAAATATGTAATAAGTTATATTTACAGAATGCTTACTATGTGTTAGGCTCTATTCTAAATACTTTACAAAGATTAAATCATTTAATGCTCATAAGAACCTTATTAAGTAGATACTACTCTTTGAATTTACAGAGGAGAATACTGAGGTACAGAGAGGTCAGTCAGAATCCAATGACTTGCTCCCAGCTAGCAATTAAATAAATGAATTCGTGTTGTATCTGCTTGTTTTGATGTCACACAAATATGAAAAGAAAAACAGATAATAGTAACAAGTAACAAACCCATTTTCTGATTATTTGCAAAATATTTCTTGTCATTTGTTAGTTTTTCAAACATTCTCAGAGAATTCTAGGAGGAATTACCAGTAGGAACCTTAAATGTGAATAAAGGCTACAGATGCATGTGAAATTTTATTAGAGTCAAGAATGAGTAAGTCAATAAACACAAGAAATACGAAATTTCACATATTAAAAGGACAATTTACACCCATACATGTATTTATGTTCCAGATTGGGCAGAGCTCTGAGTAACTATTTTCAAAGTAGAAGAAATTGAAAGCAAGGGCTTATAATTTCATCACAGGGTACAGTCATTTTACAAAGTGAAGATACAATCTAGAAAATTGTGTTTTGAAATTTTAAATCTGTTTACATCTGTTTTGCTGGTACTTTTATAGAATAAAACAAATTTCCTCCCCTAATCAAGTATGGGTGAAAATCCTCTATTTTAAAAGGAAAAAAGTACAAAATTGTCACTATTATTCTACATTGTGGGGATCAGTCTAGGCCATCAACAACTTTGCCAAACTAAGAAGCTGAGCTAAGTGTCTGCAATTGCGTGATTCACTAAGGGTGCCACTGAGGAGAAAATCTTGATGGCTTGATTAGTCTTATCTTATTTCCTCTTCTCTTACCTCCTTTGTTGTGGTTCTATCTAGTTTTACTGAACTATTTATAAAGTCAGGATTTTACTGAGATTTCACAATGATCAATGTCACCACATGTAACAATGAGACTAACTGTCCACTTTGAAACCCATAGTCTACCATTTCTGAAAACTAATCCTGTGGATTTCTTTCAGGTTGGTAGCCCAATCTAAATATTAATTAAATTGAAACTTTGTCTAAACAGATCATGTGTTTTCACTTAGAAATGTTATTTTTACTTTAAGTCCTCAGTCATATCTTCTGCCTCTGCCATAAACTTCTTTAAGCCCAATTCAAATACAGAATTTCAAATCATTCCCTTACAATATCTTTCCAGATCATCAACACCAGGTCATTCTAGCTCACACTCTATTCCTGTCTCATTCACACTTCTGGATCCAGCTGAGTGTCTATCAGTTTACTCTGGCTCTCATGTTCATGGTAACAGTGCCCATGTCCTTTCACCTGCATGAAAGGCTTAAAAATGTTCTCTTCGCTGCCCCCACACTGCCCTTCCAGACTCCTTTGGTTACAAAAAGTACTCAAGGGAATTACTAGATGTAATTGTCTTATATGTCCATTTTCTGTTTCTCTCTGTTAAATACAGTGTGCAATTTGTTTCTTTCATTTATTGAGTAGCCACTGATTGCCAGACATCATGATAGAATCCAGACATACAATGGAGAGCTTCCATTCAAGTGAAGGAGACACGTAATAAATAAGAAAATAATATGATAAATGAGCAAATTAAAGATTTTGGAGAGTGATACAAAGCAAACAGGGTGTTGTGGTAATAGAGTTTTGAAAGAAAGTACTCGCAGGTGGCAAGAGTTTACTTGGCATGGGTCAGCCTCAGGGAAGGAATATCCTTTATTTGAAAGAATAGTAGAGGCCAGCTAAGTGAAGAGCTTGGCAAGGACACTGAACAGAGGGAACGGCGGGTGTTAACACGAAGCCTCAAAGGATTGTTTGATGATATGTTGAAGAGATGGACACACTAGATGAGGTTGAAGAGGTTGGAAGCCTCATATATATCATAGAGAACTATGCAGAGAATGATACAGAAGAATTTCTGTTCTTTTTAAAAGTTATGATAATAAGCTTTGATAAAATATTAACACTCTCTTGGGCGCTTAGGTAATAAAAGGCCTACAAAGGTAAAATATTTTACTTGGGCCAAAGTCTGTGGCCAAAGAATAATATATTTGTGTAAAACAAACTGGCTGTAAAGATGATCATTTGATAATAAATATTGATTTAGTGTTATTGTATCTATTTATAGCCTTTACTTTTATGAGAAAGATAATTACATTTGTTAAAATATATATAGTTGACTAGATGTAAATATACCTTTCACAAACAGAGAATATGTCTCTTGCTATAATCTTGTTTAGGCCTTTAGTTTGAACAGTGTTGCAAACATAGTCCCTATCTATAAGATGAGGAAAATATAACAGGGCTTTGAAAATCAAGTTGAATTATATTTTGCCAAAAGATCATGAACATATATCAAGACTTATCTGTGCAGGTGGTTCTTGTACAGGAAACAGCATTATACACAGTTTGACTAAGGGTCACAAAGGAGTAAATACAGTTCTTTTTGAACTTGACAATAATTTATTGGAATTTAGCTTACTTTAAATAACAAAGTGGCAGGCTAAGCCTCAAAATTCTCCATTGTATACACTCATTTCTCTGACTTGACTCATTCTGAGAATAAACTGGCTCTGAGGGAAAGAGGAGTCTGTGTTGAAAGATGTATTATTAAGCCTTTGCTAATACTAAAGTAAGATGCTTTTCCAAGAATCTTGGTCTAAATTTTTTCTTATATTTTGGAAATTGACTGTAATTCAACAGTCAGGATTTTGGAAATGGGGAGTTGTTGATCAAAAGGTACAAACTTTAAGTAATAAGATGAATAAATTCTGGAAATATAATTTACAGTATGGTGACTATAACTAATAATAATGCATTGTATACTTGCGATTTGCTAAGACAGTAGATTGTGTTTTTATCACTCACATACACACAAAAGGTAACTACATAAGGTGATGTATATACTAATTAGCTTGATTTTGGTAATCATTTGACAATGCAGATGTATATTAAATCATCACATTGTACACTTTAAATATGCATAATTTTTATTTGTTAATCATACCTCAGTAAAGCTGGAAAAAGTCTATCTACAGTTTTTAAAATAAAGTGTAATGTAGAATTTGGGTAAGACTTCAGAATTATTATAAAATGTGTAAGCACATAAACATCAAATTATACCCTAAAATTAGAGAGAGAGCATTCTTGAGTTGCTTGAATTCTAATATAGTCTTTTGTTCAATGTTGTTTTGTTTTTGCTTCTTGTGTTGATTGTTTTTCTTACCGTTACTCATGATAGGATAAGCAGGGTAGCAAGATGTTAAAGAACAACAACAACAAAAAGCTGGGCGCAGTGGCTCACACCTGTAATCCCAGCACTTTGGGAGGCCGAGGCAGGTGGATTGCCAGAGCTCAGGAGTTCGAGACCATCCTGGGCAATGTGGTGAAACCCCATCTCTACTAAAATACAAAAAATCACCCGGGCATGGTGGCATGTGCCTGTAATCCCAGCTACTTGAGAGGCTGAGGCACGGGAATTGCTTGAACCTGGGAGGCAAAGGTTGCAGCGAGCTGAGATTGTGCCACTGCATTCCAGCCTGGGTGACAGAGTGAGACTCTGTCTTCAACAAAACAAAACAAAACAAAATAAAACAAAACAAAATAAAACAAAACAAGAAAAAAGAAAAAAAAAAGACTTTCAATGTTTCAATGACATTTTCTTTTATGTGTGGATAGAAAAACATATTCACAAATATAAACATAGTGAACTCAATATTATTCTAACTATATTCTCAAATCTGATTTTTTAATTGAAAATTACATACTAAACAAATAATTCATGCAAAATCAGAACCTCCCATTAGGAATTGCCTATGTAATTCATTTCATGTGTTTTCCAGGATTTATCTAACCAGTTCCCCTATTCCCCTTTGGATGAACCGCAGGCTATTTCAGTTTGTTCATTAACTGTAACGCTCCCATGAACATCCTTCTACGCATTTTTTTTAAAGCACATGCTCTGAAGTACTGTAATATATGCTCTAAAACTGATGAATTGTTTTTTCAACATACAGATGTTACATTCAGCAGAGAATAAACAATGGCTTAGCCCCAAACAGAGAGGTGGCAGCATGGAGAACAGGATTGATGTTTGGAATATTGTTCTTAAGGGGCTAAGCACATCATCCAACACTGTCCTGGATTCGAGCCCCATAGTATTAGTGACAGATTCCCCAGGCCACATCTACATTGATCTTTGTGGAACATATAACAACAGGGAAAATTAGATAGGTAACCACTCGGTGAGGTTTGCGTTGGTGCATCTATCAATTATTTCACCCATTTAACTATTATCTCTCTTCTTATAGAGATTGCTTTCTTTTTTTCATGCAACAACACTATTAGTCTAGATTTCCACAGTGCTCTCAATTGAATCCTTAATATTCTACCTGTGGGAACAAAAGACATTATAAACTGACACTCACAACATTGGATCTTGGTTTTTTGTCACTGCTACTTGTAGCCATATATCTTCAGAGTTTTGATAATGACTGAGATGTCAATTGTCAATTTTGAGGTAAAGTAATAGGGATTTATTGCCCTTTAGGTTGATCGAAAGCTGAAGTAAATAACACATTATCCTTGATTTTTAAAGGTATTTTGCTTAAAAATAAATCAGTTCAAAATGTGTTCTCTTTCTTGCAGCTGAGTGTAACAAAGTCTGGTGACAAAGAAATGTAGTAATTAAGTAAGTGGAACAGGTCAAACCCCTTAACCATTAGTAGGTGGTATTTCTTTGTTAATTTTTGAATTTAATCTAAATTTAAACAGATATAATTGCCTTATATATTTATCTTTAGGTTACAAGTATAAAATCCATATGGATAGCTATAAGTCTACCGCCCAAAGTGCATAATTATCACATCCAAATAAGGATTGAAATGAAGATAAATGTATTTTAAACATATAGGTGCATATTTTTGAAAATTCTCTTCTTTTTAAAAAATGTGTCAATTGCAGTCACCTGGAATGAATGAGTTTCTTATTTTATAAATAAATTATACATTTCTAATTCTAAATAAAATATTGTTCTCTAATGCATGACAAAATAATAATTGAGTGACAAGCTTTGTTAAGAGAAAACATAGTTTTTAAAGCATATAATTTTGTAAAGTAGTCATGGATGGGAACATAAAATAGTTATTTACATTTTAAATGGAGGAATGCACTTTTTTTTACTGAATAAATGTAGTATTCCTTCACACTAAGAAGGATTGGTAAAATAACATACATTCTTTCTAAGTTTTATAGTTTATTCAAATATGTCAGCAATTAGCTCTTTTAGAAAATAATTCAACTGAAGCAATTGAAAATAGTTTAATGACTGTGATGAATATTACAGGAAAGAACTTCAGTCTTTGTGATCCATCATCTACAAAGAGTTCTCAGGTACAGCCACAATTTGATAGATTGAAACAAAAAGTTTCCTTATAAACACCTTATCAGAATTGGACAGTAGGGGACGATATTTCCCTAGTTTGTGTAAAATAAAGCAGCAGTTAAAAGACAAAAATAATCTTTAATGGGCGATATAGCTAGCCAAAAGCAAAGGCAAATCTGAAAGAAATTATGAAATTAAACTCACATTTGTTATAATACGTTTCTTTGTGCTTGTTTATCAAAATCAGCTTTTGTTCCTTGTGGAATATTTGGCTGTATTGTCATCAGCATTTTTTGTATTTAGATTTTATAAACACTTCTCATTAGTGTTATTTCCACTATATCTTCCCAATTAGAATTTTCCATAGGGGAAGAATATACATTAAAAAGGGTTTGGTTTGAATTAAACACATTTATCTTTTAGTTTTGCCAAGAGAAAAGAAAAATCAAGAGGTAAAAACATACCAGAAGAAGCGATATAACTGGTGATGCGTCTATAGAATTAATATAAGTGCTTTCAATTCTATTCTATGTAGTAACCTGGGGAAAAAGAATCTTATCAAAATTATACATGTTTAATTGAGTTTGTGGTAAGAGATATAATTGTGTCAAGGAATAGTTCTAGAGAGTTTTTATTGGATAGGCCCAGTTTCACAAAAATTAATGGCTGAAAATACATCCATATTTATGTAGAGAAAAAAAAAGTATGAAATAGTAAACCATTCCAGAGTAGTTTTTGGTATGGTTTTCAGGTTGATTTTTATCCTGACATTGCCATGAAAATTGAAAGCAGCAGTTTTACATATAATTTTAAGTAGCTGGTATTTTATTAGTGAAATTATGTTTTTTCTGGTATCAAACATTTTTGCCATATGTTAATGAACTATTAAAATTAATACATGATTTTGGCTAGAAATTTCATAATTTTTATTTCTGTGCTTTTTCCAGAAACTAGATTTCTATTTACCATTTCAATATATAATATTGAAATACTTGTGAGTATTAAAGCCTGATATACATCTCAAACTTTCATAGATTTACTTACTGTGAAATATAATCAAATTTATAAAACTTACAGGAGGTAAAAGACATTGAGGTACTTTATAAAGGCAAAGTCTGTGGATAATTGTTAAAACAATTTTTCTGATAGCTCAGTTAATCATGGAATCATACACAAATCATGTAATCTCTATACATTCTAATTTCGGTGATTGTTTGTTAGAGGCCCAGGAAACCAAACCCAAATTTTACCCACTTTATAAGTGTCCCACTGGATGGTTTTTTTTTTTTTTTTTTTTTTTTTTTGGAAAGTAAACCTGATTTGGCTAAAATTACTGAAGCAAATCATAATGCAACGCAAAGATAATTTACTATACAAAAGTACAACCATGGTTTAAGACAAATTTCTTATAGTGATCCAAACTTAGCTGGAAAATATATACAATTAATGGCACTTACATATGACATATATGTAACAGATCAATAACGGTAAAAAGGTTATTAAACAAGGAAGTAAGAATATCCAAATTAAGCAGATAGGCTAAGAGCAGCCCTCAAATGGCATGCTTATCACCTAACTTCTCTCATTCCTGAGGAGTTTACAAACCAAGAATAAATATTCTAGAGTAAAGTATGAAGTATAAGATTGATTATAACTTAGACCTTGTCAGGACAAACACTATATATACACCACAATATGTTGTGTTCAACCTTTGAAAGCCTTTTCAACCTTGTGAATACATGAAACATAAGCTACCTGTAATTATGAATTAATAGTGTTATTGAACACCTATCAGATTCAAGGTTTTTGTGTAGTTATAAGGAAACCCTTTGACCAAAAATAATGGCAAAATAGAATCCCTTCACTACCTTTTTAGGACCGTGTGTCCTTTGTTTTCTGAGCTAGTCCAGGATATTTGCGTGAAAGTTTAAAGACACTTGAATAGAGCTTTTAAATTGGTCTAACTAAAAAATAAGTAATAGGTTTAGAGAAGTTTCTTTCTATAAGAACAACAGTTTTTGCCCTACAGGGAGTATTTGGCAATGTCTGAAGATAGTTTTAGTTGTCACAGCTTGGGATGGCAGGAGAGGTTACTACTAGGAACTAGTAGGACAAGGCCAGGGATTCTGCTAAATCCTTTCCTTTCCTCCTTAACAAAGTATTGCCAATCTAACATGCCAATAGTGCTAAGGAAGGAGAATATTCAGAAAAAAAGAGAATTCCTTCTGCTACCTTTGAAGTCAAGTGGAACATAGCAGTGAGAATTAGGAAAGATTTGTTCACCGGAAGCAGATTGGAGAGCCCCTGGGAAGAGTCCTATGAATATTTTTTAAATAAAGTATTATGTGCTAAGATATGCTATCCCTCCTTGTGAGTTACAAATCTTCAGTAAAAGTACAATATGCTGGTTGTTGTTGATTTCCCTTCACAGTCCTTTGAAGGGACTGAGTTTTATAATTAATGCTAGTTAATCCATGAAGACACAAGAGAACAAATGCAATTTGATTTGATATTTAGTTAGTGCATCCCAGTTCACTGACAGTGCAAGTATTGTAATATTTTCATGTCAGCTGATAAATAACTGCTAACTTATACCTCTAAATGATCTTGTCCTGACTACCCCTATACCTCTCAAAATCTAGCAGATGAAGAGATGATGTCTGATATAACTGGGGGCCAGAAGCAGATTCCAATCCTGCAGTCAATGTCCTCTAAGATGGTTTGTGCCTCTACTATATTTTGGTTAAGTATTTTGAACATTACTCCTAGCTAAACTCTTAATAAAATCGAACCCCAGTTCTCAAAATTTGGCAACCGAAGGTCAATCTGCATATGAGATCATGTAGACGGTAGTGAAAACCTTCACCTTGTGAAGGTTGGAGATTCACAAATTGAGATTGTTCATTCTATTGACAGACTTGAAAGTGTTGTTTTAAATTTATTAACTAACATGGCAGGTTTTTAATGAGAGATTCAGTGTGTGAACAATTGCTTACATGTCAGTATGCTAGTTTTCTAAGTAAAGCTAAGAATGTTTCAAGTAGCATAATATTTATTTGCTTAGTTTAGAATCCTTGGCATGAAAATGCTTTGAAAACACTGGCTTAGTTTCAAAATAATAAACATGTCAAGGAATGGAAATCTCCTTAAAAACAAAATGAAGATAAGATTGGGAATGTCAGAATTGAGCTGTACAAGTGCTCAAATCAATTATTTCAAATGCATTTTCATTATCCAAATTCACTTGTGATATTTATTTGTAAGAATTGTTTATTGTTGCTATAAAATTCATGACACAGCACCTTGGATTGGTTTGCATTTTTCTCTACAGAGAGATATCTGAAATTGTGATAGTGAATTAGCCAAGGTAAGACAGAGGTCCTGGATGCAGAAAGGCTGTGAAACTTGCCCATTGTGTTTAGGAAGACAAGGCCAAAATGTAACCTGGACCACAAGATTGTATGTGGTAAGTACCTTACTGTGGTGTTTGAACACTTATTTTTCTTAAAGGAGTAGAAATTATTATTATAATTATCTGCATGAGATAGTATTCCTGTTTCATTACGTTGTAGAGCTAAATGGCTTTTCAATGGAATACCAACCTACATAGCATATGAATTTAAAGAGTGTCAAATTCTGTTACAGAGGTTGGGTAAAGAGATAAAAATCTCCTTTAACAAATGGATATTTAGATGATGAGCCTGATAACTTAGAAAATATCAACGTAGCAAAACCTCAGAAGAGATCAGGTGGTTTTGATAATGAATGTTTGAATTAAAATGATTTTCTATTGTTGCTTTGATAAAAAAAAAACTAAATAAACTTTGCCTTTGGCCCACATTACACCCAGCTCTACACCCAGGCCTCTTCAAATTGCTCTGACAAAAACACTCACTTATACACACACATACATGTCACCATGCTTGTTTTCAGAGATCTAGAAAACCCCAATACCAATGTAAAATTAAATCTTCAAGTAGTTATTCAATAATCAAAATCAAGGCAGAAATTGGCAAATTTCTCAGTTTCTGTGGGTCAGGAATCTGTGTGTGGCTTAGCTGAGTTCTCGCTGACAGTATCTCATAAGGCTCCAGTCATGGCTGCAGTCATCTCGAGACTGGAGGAAGATTCACTTCCAATCTCATAGACATGGTTGCTGGCCAGATTCAATTCCTTGCAGGTTGATTGGGGACCTCAGGTTTCCCCTGGCTATTTGGCAGAGGCCACCATCAGTTCCGTGCCACGTGAATCTGTCCATAAGGAAGCAGCCATTCACATGTTTTATTACATCAAATAAATGGAGAGAGAGAGAGAACTTGACACAATGAAAGCCATGATCTTTGTAATCTAACATTGGAGGTAACATCCCATCATTTTGGTTTGTCTAGAGAGCCCAGTAATAAACCCATGCACATACAGTCACTGACATTTAACAAGAATGCCAAGATGTCATAATGAGGAAAGGATAGTCTAATCAACAAATGGTGGTAGGAAAACTGGATATTAACATGCTAAAGGATAAAATTGAACACTTATTTTACATCATACACAAAAATCAACTCAAGATATATTAAAAACGTAAACCTAAGATGTGAAACCATAAAACTTCAAGAAATCATAGGAGAAAACTTTATAACATTAGTCTCAGTAGTTATTTCTTGGATATGACACCAAAATCACAGGCAATCAAAGCACCAAAGCAAAAATAGATCATGGTACTACATCAAAGTTAAAAAGATTTTGCATAGAAAAGCAAATAATCAACAGAGTGAATGGCAACCTATGGAATGGCAGAAAATATCTCCAAACCATATATCTGATAAGAGATTAATACCCAAAGTATATAAGGAACTCCTACAACTCTACAGCAAAAGGCACAACCAGATTAAAAAATGAGCAACAGATTTGAATAGACATTTCTCCAAAAAAACCATATACGTGGCCAACCGGTATATTAAAAGGTGTTCAGCATCACTAATCACCAGGGAAATGCAAATAAAAACCACAATAATGTATCATTTACAACTGTTAGGATGGCAAAAACAAAATAAATCAAAACAAAACAGAAAATAGCAAGTGTTGGAAGTTAAATGGCACAGCCTCTATGGAAAACCATATGGAAGTTCTTTAAAATATTAAAAAAGAACCACAATATGACCCAGCAATTCTGTTTCTGAGTATTTTTCAAAAAATTCAAATCAAGATCTCAGATATTTAACTACACTATTATCGACAATAGGCAAGAAATAGAAACATTCTAAATATCCATCAAAGAATGGATAAAGAACATATAGTATATACATCCAACAGACTATTATTCAGCTATAAAAAAGAAGGAAATTCTTTTGTATGCTGCAACATGGATGAACCTCAAGGACATTACACTAAGTGGAATATAAACCAGTCACAGAAGGACAAAGACCGTCTGGTTCCATTCATGAGTTGTCTATAATAGTCAAACTCACAGAAACAGAAACTAGTATGATGGTCGCTAGATTCTGGGGATAGAAAGAAATGGCACGTTGTTGTTCAATGGGTATAAAGCTTCAGTCATGAAAGAAGAAAAATTTTAGAGGTCCACTGTACAACATTTTGCTTATAGTTAACAATACTGTAACATACACTTGACTTTTTTTTTCAATGGAGTCTCACTCTAGTGCCCAGGCTGGAGTGCAGTGGTGCAATCTCAGCTCACTGCAAACTCTGCCTCCCAGATTCAAGCGATTTTCCTGCCTCAGCCTCCCAAGTAGCTGGGATTACAGGCGTGCGCCACCACGCCCAGCTAATTTTTGTATTTTTAGTAGAGATGGAGTTTCACCATGTTGGTCAGGCTAGTATCAAACTCCTGACCTCAGGTGATCTGCCCGCCTCGGCCTCCCAAAGTGCTGGGATTACAAGATTACAGGCATGAGCCACTGCACCTGCCTTGATTTTTTTTTTTTTTTTTTTGAGACAAGATTTCCCTCTGTTGCCCAGGCTGGAGTGCAGTGGTGTGAACCCAGCCCACTGCAGCCTTGACCTCCTGGGCTAAAGCGGTCCTCCCATCTTGGCCTCCAAAAGTGCTGAGATTGCAGATGTAAGCCACCATGCCCAGCCCACTCAAAAATTTTTAAGATGGTAGATTTAATGTTATATGTTTTTTTTTTAACCTCAGTGTAAACAAAGAAAATGAAAAGACAATAGGCCTGAAGATCTAAAAGAGAGAAGCAGTGGACTAAGAGGTCTATCAGAGCAAGATTCAGTCATCTTGTTAACTGGTGTACTTCTAGCTTGGTGCTGACACAGCTGTCACAATGTGGCTGCGCTCAAGAAATATACAGATTAAAGGAGAGTTAAACTATGCTCTTTAACTCCGGAGGAAAAATGATAAAAGAAAAGGTAGACCCCAAAACGTTTACCCAAAAAATCCAGACCCGGAAAAAATAACATGCTTAAAATATTCTTGAGGAAAGGAATAAAAACTTAAAAACTAAATACATGTTGACAAAATATTTGAATTAACCTGATAAAAGGGAGTAGAAACTGGAGAAACACTCCCAGTTAAAGCAGAACAGAACACTAATACTTCTTGAAATATATCCTGTTGAAGAGTTATTGAATAGATATAATAAAACTGTGATAAATGTAATACAAATATAAATCACAAAATGTAACACATAATAAAATACAGAAGAGTATCAGCAAGGGGGAAAGTGTGAGAAACCACATGGAAAGCCCTGACCTAGCACTAAGATAGCTCTTAGGGAGTTGAAGGTTATTGTCCTCCATTATTCCATAGTTTTAAGCTTAAAGACTAAATAAAAAAGGAACAAGGCCTTAAGATCAGGTGAAGTAAGGAATTTAAACTGAGATGCTTGCCTAAACTTGGGGCCTAAGGACTATGTTTCCAGGAACCATGGTAAAAGTTCTGTTTTCTTGCATCATAAATTAGACAATTAAATGTCTAGGCCTATACTTGCCATAGGTTTATGATTTAAATTTATACTTCTTGCTTGGTCTAACAACCCCGGATGAAAAATTAACAACAAAAAATTGATCTTTAGCTGATGATGCCATGGGGTACTTGGCAGAAACAAAGGCAAAGCCATTCTAGAAAGCACTCACACATATTTCTTAAAAACATATACTTTTAAAGGAATGAAATAACAGCATTTACATCAAACTGGATGGAATTAGAGACTATTATTCTAGGTGAAGTAACTCATAAATAGAAAATCAAACATCATGTGTTCTCAAAATAAGTGGGAGTTGAGCTATGAGAATGTAAAGGCGTAAGAATGAAACTATAGACTTTGGGGACTCAGGGAAAAGGGTGTGGGGGGTGGTGAGGGATAAAAGACTGCACAGTGGGTACAGTATACATTGCTCAGGTGATGCGTGCACCAAAATCTCAGAAATCACAGCTAAAGAACTTATTCGTGTAACAAAACACCACCTGTTCCCCAAAAAGCTATTGAAATAAAAAATTAAAAAAACCAAAAAAATAAAGTTTGAGACACACTTTTTTTAAAGCCCCCTTAAAGATGAGCTCACAAACATTCTTACATACCTGAGTGAATACATACATGAAAGTATATAAACAACACGTTAGCGTCAGGTTCAAAAATGGAAAATAATGAGCTCTAAGAACTTGAGGTTCCACAACAACAATGTCCAGTGAGTTTATATATCATCTACACATGATGACAAATCATACATGTATATCTCCACTGGGCCTCAATTCTGAATTTTCATATATAAGAGATGATCATATATTAATAATCATAATGCATGCCTATATATAAACATATACAATTATCACCAACTCAACTTTTCCAGTTGGATATCTAATGGCTATCCCTAAATTAATATATCCAAAATTAAATTCCTGATTTCCATTTTAAACTGCTCCTCTTCCATCTTCACCATCTCCAAAGAGGCATCCTTGATTTTTATTTTTTCTCACATCCTTTGTTCGACTCGTTAGTAAGTCCTTTAAGTCTACCTGTAAATTACATTTCAAATTTAATAACAAAGTAATTACTTTTTCTAGGAAAATAAATCCCTTTCATGTTCTGTTTTTATCAAAAATTAGAATTTGAAACAGACTTTAAGCTCAAACAAATGGTACCATGGTTATTGGCAAGAAAAGAAAGACTGGTGCAATGGTGTGCAGCAATAATAAAACACAAAATACTCAAAAGCATTTCAAGCAGGTGGTGCCACCTGTACCCATCTAATTCCTGCCCTGACAGTCTGCCACCCACTTGTGAAAAGGATGGAGAACTTGATACTGGTTCAATCCTGGTGGGGAAAGAAGGCTGTGGCTGTAGCTCAAGTACTAAGTCAGATATGGAGGAGGAGATTATTACTATTAGTGCCAGTGGATAATTTTCTTTCTGTGAAACAACTGTGGGGATCCCCTCAACAAATCCAGCTTTGATATTGGCAAGCTATCAAATGCGAGAATGGACACCTGTGGGCTAGAAATTCCCAGCTGTACTTGTTGCCCTGCTGTTCCAGCTGGCTGGCGTTTCCTTACAAAGGGTATAGAAAGGACCTGGGTGAGGGGGGAGCTAATCCATTAGAGAAGCCAGACCTGCTCTGAAATCAACAAATACATTAGGAGATCATTTTAAGGAGTGTCATCTTCAGGGAACCAACAGCAGAAGAGTAAAACCAAATAAAGTTAGCATCTTTTAATAAACTCCTAGGGTGCTCCTTCTTTCAATGCCACTATGGTAAAGATGCCATGTGATCAATTCTGGAAGCAAATAATATGAAGCATGTTGAATAAATAAATGAATGAATAAATGAATCAATCAATGAGCATCACAGTTTGTTTTTTTTCCAAATTTAAGCACCATAACTAGGCTACGTATGCACATTTCACTTTTGAATCTTTTTATCGGAGATGCTGTGTTAAAGATGTTATTTTGTCTGCCTTGTGTTGGGAAATGCAACTTACCATAACTATTTTTGGCTGTGTGTTTGACAATTTTCTTTACAATGAGTCTTAGATTCCCCAGTATCTAATAATTTTTACATCATTAGAGAGGAATTGGATTAATAGTAGAAGAAATCATAGTAATAACTTTTCCAGTAATGGAAAAATCCATGTGTCTCTGGTCCATAATTCTCACTTGAGGGTTTCCTTTCTGAAAAAGTGAAAGCATGTGCACTTGAGTAGATCTGACTATAAACATAGTTCCTCATATGTGACTGATTATGTTGTTTTTTAAATTAGACTTCTTGAGTAAGATCACCAACATGGGCCAACTCTCTGTATAACCCTATCCTCTTCTGGTCATTGTTTACTCTCTGGCCAGTGACAGCAGAGGGAGAGAGCCATAAGGGTTCTGATATCTTTAGATAGTATTATAATTTAGTCTTTTATTCATCCTTCTCCCAAACACAAGGGCATTTATGAACATGGGTATTTACGTCATTTCCTTCATCTACCTAGGTATTGGATCTGATACCCATTATGGTTTGTGTGGTGGCCATAATTATCTAACGATAGCAGCTAATACATGGAATTACCTCATCTCCTGTACTAGGGAGAAGGGGCAGGCAAAGAATGTCTCTTGAAGAAACGAAAGTAGCTAGAATTACAACAGCAATTATTGAGAGCTAACATGAGTTCTCCAGGTTTGAAATAGTTAAAATTATCTTTTATAAGGTAATGTGTTCTTCCGCTATTAAGTCATTTTGTTATTACATGTATTCCAGTCTTAGAGAAGGAAGAGCCTGACAGCTCTGGTGGTGTGAGGTCCCAAGTAGGATCCTGTTACTAAATTCCTTTTAGAAGCCTAAAATTTCTTCAAGAAAATGAATGTCTTACGCAGCCATATCTTAATGGATCAAAGGGGCCTGTAATTTGTGTAAAACATCTATGTACATGGCAATGTATCAGAGTTCCATGTAAAAAAATATTTCTGGTACCGAAATACAGAAACCAAAATCCTTGACAAATAACAGTGGAAACTTCGTATTCTTTTTCTAGGCGACATATTCAGATCGTCTGGTGTGAAACAGCATTCAGCACCAGGCTTAAATCTCACACCAGGCAGAGTAAGTAATCTCAATATAGTGGTGACAGGTGCAAGCCTTATGTCTTTTTACTGCAGGTTCACTGGGAAATGGCACCTGATAATGCCTCCCAGGTTCATACTGATTCAGAGAATCTGCTTTGATTTCTTATAGCTTCGAGTCAACGATTTTCTAATTCTTTAGAAGAACGCTAATTTTCTATCAGCTATCATTCATTTTACTATTCATTAAGACAGGACTTGGTACAAATATTTCCACTTTTCTTTTTTTCCAGCACACCCTGATGTAAAATTATCATTTTTGTTTATTTTTCTTCGACTTGTTAAAAAATAAAATGGATTTAGATGAATGTGTGAAAATGATGAGATGTAAACCACTTTGGATTAGAAAATACTTCACATTTCCCTCAAAGAATATTGCTAACTAAAGCAAATGTTTATTTAACATTAAAAGTTAAATGTTAAAAGTTAAGAATTAAACATGCAGAGAAACAATCAGATGTATATCACGATGTGTCAGCAGAATCCAGTTAAGTTCCTTATTAATGATTTTTTGTTTCATTTGTGTTATCCTGGCAAGGAACTCGTAATTAATTCTCAAACCATCCCTGCTGTAGTTATAAGTTACTTGTATCTTTAAAAACATTTAACATGTAGAGTGAGGGCATTTTTTGGCCATGTACAGACTTATAATCTCATTTTCTGACTGTCTTAATTCATAAATTTTTATACTTGATATTTTTGTAACTTCAGGAAGATAGAATATCACTTATAATTTTATTTTACTTCACAATACAATCAAGTGAATATCCACCCCCTACCTACATATTTCCTAGTTAATGCATATTTTAACATTTGTTTATCTGTGAAGTTGCAGGGGTTGGTGAAAGGGTTTAGGAGGAAGAAGGTGTGCTTAATTTATCATGACTGCTGACCCCATGTCCAGCCTGAATTATTCTCCTATTAGACTCTCACCTTTAAT
The DNA here is from genome assembly GCF_000001405.40 of Homo sapiens. Lineage (NCBI taxonomy): Eukaryota > Metazoa > Chordata > Mammalia > Primates > Hominidae > Homo > Homo sapiens. The sequence continues at coordinate 52,345,572 of NC_000005.10, read as the reverse complement.
TATTTATGTATTTATTTTTGAGATGGAGTTTTTGCTCTTGTCACCTAGGCTAGAGTGCAATGGCGTGATCTTGGCTCACCGCAACCTCTGCCTCCTGGGTTCAAGCGATTTTCCTGCCTCAGCCTCCCGTGTAGCTGGGATTACAGGCATGCGCCACCATGCCCGGCTAATTTTATATTTTTAGTAGAGGCAGGATTTCTCCATGTTGGTCAGGCTGGTCTCAAACTCCCGACCTCAAGTGATCCACCTGCCTCGGTCTCCCAAAGTGCTGGAATTATAGGTGTGAGCCCCCGTGCCCGGCAAGTCTTACCCTTAATTTTTTCTCTCAAGAAAGGTTCTTCCTGATTTACTCCTTTATTTGAACAATTCTACTAATTCACCTGATTGTCAGTGACTACAGCCTACATGTGATCCACAGCATTTAAAGTGAGCATTAAAAAAATCAGTTTACTTGACAACTCACATATTTCTCAGCCCAGAGAACACTTTAGAATTAATTACCTTGGGATATTTAAAAGAATACTAACATTTGGACTCTACACCAGCCTGAGTAAATAGCTGGCTGCCCAGGCTTTAGTATTAAAAAACAAAAACCGAAAACTTCTCTAAGTTATTCTTAATTAAAGAGGGCTGAGAACCACAGCTTTAGAGGTAGAAAAAAAAAAGCACAGTGATAAACCGTATGAGCTCAATATTGCTGATGTTTTAATCTAGAAAGGAGCAGAGCAGTGAGGGATAAAGTGACTTCTCATTAACACAATGCTAAGCAAATTGAATTTATCCTATATGGTAATTGCAAACCAATGAAAGATTCCAAGCCAGAAGTTGATATTAACTTTCTGTTTAAGAATGATTACTTTCAGAAAACTGGAAATTTTTTACCTGTATTTGTAGTCCAACTAGGAGTTCTATGGATGGGCTTCATATTGAAAGTAAAATTTTAGAATATTTCACACAGGCATAGACACGGTTTTCTTGAAAAATTTTTTAGCTTTCACTTTCTCAAAGAAATATGTAACTTAAAATAGTTTAAGATCACTAATTTTTAATGGGTGGATGGGGGACTGAAGGTAGAAAAACAAATTAGAACTATTGCATTTTCATATAGATTCATTTATCTATTGCTATAGATCATTTCATGAGAGACGCTTGCATTCCTGTGGCTGTTACATTTAGCATCTAAATGTCCATGTAAAAAAGAAATATTTCTATCCAAGGAAAAGAAAATATACTATATTATTGCTCAGAAACACATTGGGAAATTTACAAATGCATCTCTAATAAAAAGAATAATGTAAATCTCTAAAGATATAGTCACATACACATATACATTTAAGTATGGTTGCTCCTAAATAACCTATACTAATATGTAAATGATGCTTTGAAGAAGGCTCAACAAATCACTAATGCAGATACTATTTTAAAGCTGCCAGTTAATGAGTAGAGAGGTCAAGGAACTTCCTTTAGGGCCAGGGTTAGCTTCATGGGCATGAGGCCTGCTCTTGTGCAGGGTTCCATGCTCAAGGAGGCGTATGTTTTAATTGGTGCTCTGCTTCTGCAGACTTAATAATTTTTGAAGGGCCTCTGATTTTTACTTTGTACTGGACCTGTCATATAGCTAATCCTGTTCAGGATATATAGCCAGTAAGTGTCAAGTAGATTAACTACCCTTACAAAAATATGATTTGAACTCAGACTTTTAAAATGCAGTATCTACTGTTAGTTGTTTTTACTGTTTCACTAAGTAAAGGCTATATGGAACAGGAAATGCAAATGGGACATTTATTGGATCAAATAACAGGAAGTCCAAATGTAGGGTGAGTTTCAGGGCTAATTGATGCAATAACTTAATGACTTCATCTGCACCCTCATTGTTTCTGTCTATCCTGTCATCTACTGTCTCATTCTACCCTGCTACTGGTTTCACTGAATTGCCATGAACAATCCTGGACTTCAGCCTTTCTTATTCATTTCCTCAGAGAGAGAAAGAGTCAAGTTTTTAAATTCTTCTCTGAGAAAGCAGGGATCTTATTTCCCAGAAGCTCCCAGTAACTATCCTTCATGTCTCATTGATCAGAACCAGGCCAAAGCCCATTTCTTAAACATTAAAAGCTCTGAATCAAGACAACTAGGACTGCTAAGTGGCAGCATCTCATCGGGACTTAGCTTTGTAACTGTAGATGAACCATCTTCTGTCAAGGCATGTGGATATGCTATGAATAAAATTCCTGTGCAAAATTAGAATCTGTGAAGAAAGGAGGGAAGAGATTCTGGATTGATAAACAACAATATTTACCCCTACCTCAACTGTAAATGTTTTACTTACTGGGTTTTAGTGCTTTTAATTGCTGTGATTATTTCAATCTATTATTTAGAGAAATGATTTCCTAAGAATAGTATCTATGGATCAGTTTCATCAGTCTGCTGTGGAATAAAAACAAATTAATTTGGTAAATTTTTAACAGTAATACACTTTTTAAATGTCAAGACCTACCTTTCTCTTAATATCTGTCCAAACTGTAGTGTTACAACATGTTTTCTTTATAAAAATGGTAACAGATTGTAGACAAAAACATTTATTTGGAAAGATTAAATTTAGTAATAACATGGCAATTCTCTGTTATTTCTCTTGTTGTGATTATTGTGATTAGAGTTCTTATTTTCTAATTTTACTATTTATTGAAAATTTAAAATTTTAATTATAAAATTTAAAAGTGATAGGTGTTTTTGTTTTCAGTCAGACATAATTTGGGTCTCAAATGTTGCACTTAAATTAATAATAATAACAGCTAAAACTTCTTGAATCCTTAAATGCTTTCACTTTGCCTGGGACCCAAGTTTTACACATGGCATAGAACTCTGGACACTCAGTGGTGTGTTTTTGACCAAATGTTTGATAGGTGCCAAGCTTTTTATAAGTAGTGAGGTCAGCCTGAGTAGAGAAGAAGTAAGCATATGGTTAAGAATGTAAGCTATCTGTATTCAAATCTTGCCAACACCACTTCCTAGCTGTGTAAACATTGGCAATTTTCCAGAAAATCTGCACATTAGCTTCTTCATGTATAAATTGGGTTAACACTATTAACCTTCCTAATACAGTTATTGTGAAGATGAATTGTTTTAGTAAAGGCAAAGCACCTTGAAGGAAATCTGGCATTTCATATTATAAAAATTATAAATATGTTAGTGTTCAACATATTAGTTAGTGTTAGTACTCACTGTGTTTCAAACAGAGGAAATTAAAGGCAAGAATTGATTACACTTAGAGCCAAGAAACCAACTGTAGCAGAGTGAGGCAACATAGAGATTATGAATAGCAGGTGCTGCTCTTATCCCAAGCCTTCAGGAACATGGGTAGGACGTGAGGCTAATGAAGTCCAGAGATAAGTCACCCAGGAGGCATTGTAATCAGACAGGAAACTGGTAGAATTTGAAGTCATGGAGGGGATGTGACTGCAACTGGAGTCACTTTCCAGAGAAGAAGGTGAATTACCCCTACCTTCTCCCTTTCTCACAATCTCCAGTTTCCATCTGTATGTCCTTTGAGCCAAACTTAGACGGATGCTTACAGAAGTTAGCCTTCCCACCACACAGAGCAGAGCAGCAGAAAGGTAAAAAATGGATCTGTAAGCAAGTAAGGCCATTGCTGACATAGATACTATTATCATCTCTTTATGTGTAAGAGACTTGAAGAAATCATAACCTCACTTGTGGTATATATTGGTGTAGTAAGAAGGTTAATAATATATTAATGTTTGTCAGTTTAGACAATTTCACATGTTAATTTATTTTTCCTTCATATTGCATTAAAACTTCCCCACTCCCAAAGGCATTCTTATCTATTATGTCTCATTAGGACTTGAGGTAAAGAAAATGCAATTCTTATATTCATTTTACAACTGAAGAAGTTGTGTTCAAGTTTGTATATCCAAATATATAGAAAAAAACAAATGAATTCTTTTTACTTATGTAAACTTAGGTCCATTTGTTGTGATGAAAGCACATAATAAATTATAATTTATTTGAGAATATGTATTAAAGTATTGTTTCTACAAAGTAACCTCTGTTCTTACAGATGTCACCATCCTGAAGACCTATAACTCAGAGATATCCATATATCTATATCTCCAGCTACAATCCTCACACTATCTCTCTGCCTCAAAGATACGATGGATTGTGTCAGACCACTGCAATAAAGTGAGTTACATAATTTTTTGGTTTCCTAGGGCATAGAAAACTTATATTTGTACTATACTGTAGTGTATTACATATGCAATAGCATTATGCCTAAAAAAAGCCTTAATTTTAAAATACTTCATTGATAAAAGTGCTAATGATCATCTGAGGCTTTGAGGAGTCTTAATCTGTTTGCTGGTGTAGGGTGTTGCTTTGGTGTGATGGCTGCTGACTGATCAGGGTGGTAGTTTTAGCAATTTCTTGAAATAACACAACAATAAAGTTTGCTGCATTGATTAACTCTTTCACAAAAGATTTCTCTGTAGCATATGATGCTGTTTGATAGCATTTTATCCAAAGTAGAACTTTCAAAATTGGAGTCGATCTTCTTAAAGACTGCCACTGCTTTATGAACTAAGTTTATATAATATTCTAAATTATTTGTTGGCATTTCAACAATGTTCACAGCAACTTTACAAGGTGTAGATTCCATCTCAAGAAACCACTTTCTTTGCTCTTCCTTAAGAAGCAACCCTTCGTCTATTCAAGGTTTATCATAAGTTTGCAGCAATTCAGCTACATCCGCAGGCTCTACTTATAATTCTAGTTCTTTTGCTATTTCTACCACACCTGTAATTATTTCCTCCACAGAAGTCTTGAATCGTGCAAAGTTATCCTTGAGGGTTAGAATCAACTTCTCCCAAATTCCTATTAATGTTGATATTTTGACCTCCTCCCATGAATCACAAATTACAAGTGTTCTTAGTAGTATCTAGAACAATGAATCATTTAAAGAAAATTTTCAATTGACTTTGCCCAGATGTATCAGAGTAATCACTATCTATAGTAGCTATAGCCTTCCAAAATGTATTTCTTAAATAATAAGACTAGAAGGTCTTAATCACTCATTGATCCATGGGCTACAGAATGGATGTTGTGTTAGCAGGCATGAAAACGTTAATCTCCTTGTACAACTCCAGCAGAGCTCCTGGATGACCAGGTGCATTGCCAAAGAGCAATACTATTTGGAAAGGAATCTTTTTTTTCTGAGCAGTAGGTCTGAAAAACGGGTTTTAAGTGTACATTAAACCATGCTATAAAGAGGTGTGATGTCATCCAGGGTTAGCTGTTCTTTATACAACACAGACAGAACAGATTTAGCATAATTTTAAAGGGCCTTAGGATTTTCAGAATGACCAATGGGCATTGGCTTCAACTTGAAGTCACCAGCTTCATTTGCTCCTAACAAGAGTTAGCCTGTCCTTTGAAGCTTTAAAGATAGGCATTGACTTATTCTCTCAAGCTATGAAAATCCTAGATGGCATCTTCTTCCAATAGAAGGCTATTTTATCTACATTGAAAATCTGTTATTCAGTGTAGCTACCTTCATCAATGATCTTAGCTAGATATTCTGGATAACTTGCTGCAGCTCCTCCATCAGCACTTGCTGCTTCGTCTTGCACTATTTTGTTTTATGGAGACGGCTTTTTTTCTGAAACCTCATGAGCCAACTTCTGCTAGCTGTGAACTTTTCTACTGCAGTTTCCTCACTGCTCTCACCCTTGAAAGAACTAAAGAGAATTAGAGCCTTTCTTTGGATTTGGTTTTGGCTAAAATAAATGTTGTGGCTGGTTTGATCCTCTAACCAGGCCACTAAAGCTCACTCCATCTCAGCAATGAGGCTGTTTTGCTTTCTAATCATTCTCATACTCACTGGTGTGGCATTTTTAATGCCTTTCAAAAACTTTACCTTTGCATTCAAAACTTGACTGTTAGGTACAAGATGCCTCGCTTTTGGCCTATCTTGGCCTTTAACATGCCTTCCTCACTAAGCTTAATTATTTATAGCTTTTGGTTTAAAGCGAGAGATGTGCAATTCTTCCTTTCACTTTAGCATCTAAAGGCCATTGTGGGGTTATTAATTGACCTAATTTTAATATTGTGTCTCAGAGAATACAGAGGCCTGAGGAGGAGAGAGATGAATGGCCAGTTGGTGGAGCAGTCAGAACACATATAACGTTTATCAATTAATGTTCCCATCTTTTATATTGGTTCAGTTTGTGCATGGCACCCCAAAACAATTACAATGGTTACAAAAACAAAAGCAATTGTGGTGATCACAGATCACAGATCACCACAATAGATATAATGGCAAAATTTGGAATGTTATGAGAATTACCAAAATATGACACAGTGACACAAAATGAACACACGCTGTTGGGAAAATGGTGCCAATAGACTTGCTTGAAGCAGGGTTGATGCAAAACTTCAATTTGTACAAAGCACGATATCTGCAAAGAGCAATAAAGCAAAGTGCAGTAAAATGAGGTATGCTTATATAGATATGCACATATACCGAAATATACATTGACTATGCAGCCATTATTTTTCCAATGAATTCTAGCAGTACCATTTTAAAAATAATGTTTTATGTTTTGTTTTTCAAAATTAACTTACGAGGATAGGATGGGTTCTCTATATATTGACTTCCACAATTTTAGTTTTTTTGTTTTTCCAATGCAAGTGATTTATCTTCAAGTAACAACATTTCTGTCCTCTCACATTCTATTGAAGTGTTTTACTTGATTTATTGATATAATGGCCCTTTATGATGTGAAGATTTTAATAGAGTGATGATATAACTAATTTTTATGATCTTGTATAAGATTTTAAATGGTATACAAAAATAGGCTATGAAGTGTAACTTTATCTAAGATAATACCAGTTAAACTACTTTCAATTTTTTCCATTACTATTTCAAAAACTGGGGTTGAATAATAAGACCCCCAAGCCAGGATATTACTTTTAGGGGCATCAGAAAGTAGAATTTAACCTTTCATGGCCTCTTGGTCTTGCTTGAAAGAAAACAATGACCTCTGCAAATTTGAAGGGTTCTCACTAGAATATGAATTTTTCTACCTATCCAGCCCCCCGACCTGTGACAATGCAAAATCTCCACTATCAATTTCAAGATTTCCTTTTTAATATAAATCAGGTTGGTATATTTATGACACACTTTAGGTGTTAGATTCTTAAAACATTATCTTACTTAATGATTCTCTTGGTTACAATAGAGCCATGCCAATTCTAAATTTGTTTCAAAATAAGAAGAGGAAATGTTCCTTCCACTCAATGTTACACACTGTTATAGGTGTCCCACAGAAGGTTTGCTTGGGCACAAGGTATGAGGGTTGAACATGATGGTTTATTCGCAACATGTCTGCAGTAACTCTTTCAGTCTCAGGATGCATAACAGGCCCAGGGTATCTGGTTCAATAAGGCTTTAAATAGAAAATGTAGAAAACACAGAGAGCCAAAGCCTGCTAACTTTTATGCTTTGTTACTGAATCTTCCCTGTTTTTTTTTTTTTTTCCTGTTACGGCCTTATTTTAATATTAAATTTTCTCCCAGAGTCATAGATTCACTAATAGTAGATTTTGTCATTACCTTTCTGGAGTTCTTTTTGCTAATTAGCTTAAAGCTAGTTACTATCCCTTCCATCACCAACATGAACAAAATGAGCTTTCTTTGTCTAGGAGAACCCATGTAATTACTTATACCAAGAGATTAAAAATCATATGGAAGGGGAGGAAATTGCCTTTGTAAAGTGGTTACACCAGTGCTAAGCATTTCCTAGGCACTATGTAAGTACTTGTTATTAAATGATTGGATGTATAAATTAATTCATCAATGAAGTGAATGACATAAGAGATTTACCTGATTGAATCTCCACTCGTAATTCAGCAAGTAACCATAACAATAAAAAATAATCAGGCAAGAGAAATAAATAAAAGGCCTTCAAATAGGAAGAGAGGAAATAAAATTGTCTCTATTTGCAGATGACATGATTGTATGTTTAGAAAACCGCATCATCTCAGCCCAAAATCTCCTTAAGCTGATAAGGAACTTCAACAAAGTCTCAGGATATAAAATCAATGTGCAAAAATCACAAACATTCCTATACACCAATAACAGACAAACAGAGAGCCAAAGCATGAGTGAACTCCCATTCACAATTGCTACAAAAAGAATAAAATACCTAGGAATACAACTGACAAGGGATGTGAAGGACCTCTTCAAGGAGAACTACAAACCACTGCTCAAGGGAATAAAAGAGGACACAAACAAATGGAAAAATTATCCATACTAATGGATAGGAAGAATCAATATAATGAAAAATGGCCACACTGCCCAAAGTAATTTACAGATTCAATGCTATCCCCATCAAGCTACCATTGACTTTCTTCCCAGAATTAGAACAAACTACTTTAAACTTCATATGGAACCAAAAGAGAGCTGTATAGCCAAGGCAATCCTAAGCAAAAAGAACAAAGCTGGAGGCATCATGCTACCTGACTTTAGACTATACTACAAGGCTACAGTAACCAAAACAGCAAGGTACTGGTACCAAAACAGATATATAGACCAACGGAACAGAACAGAGGCCTCAGAAATAACACCACACATCTACAACCAACTGATCTTTGACAAACCTGACCAAAAAAACAATGGGGAAAGGGTTCCCTGCTTAATAAATGGTGTTCGGAAAACTGGCTAGCCATATGCAGAAAACTGAAACTGGAACCCTTCCTTACACTTTATACAAAAATTAACTCAAGATGGATTAAAGACTTAAAATGAGACCTAAAGCCATAAAAACCCTAGAAGAAAACCTAGGCAATACCATTCAGGATATAGGCATGGGCAAAGATTTCATGACTAAAACACCAAAAGTAATTGCAACAAAAGCCAAAATTGACAAATCGGATCTAATTAAACTAAAGAGCTTCTGCACAGCAAAAGAAATTATTATCAGAGTGAACAGGCAACCTACAGAATGGAAGAAAATTTTTGTAATCTATCCATCTGACAAAGGGATAATATCCAGAATCTATAAGGAACTTAAACAAATTTACAAGAAAAAAACAAACAACCTCATCAAAAAATGGGCAAAGGATATGAACAGACACTTCTCAAAAGAAGACATTTATGCAGCCAACAAACATATGAAGAAAAACTCATCATCACTGGTCATCAGAGAAATGCAAATCAAAACCACAGTGAGATATCATCTCATGTCAGTTAGAATGGTGATCATTAAAAAGTCAGGAAAAAACAGATGCTGGAGAGGATATGGAGAAATAGGAATGCTATTACACTGTTGGGAGGGTAAATTAGTTCAATCATTGTGGAAGGCAGTGTGACGATCCCTCAAGGATCTAGAGCCAGAAATACCATTTGACCCAGCAATCCCATTATTGGGTATATACCCAGAGGATTATAAATCATTCTACTATAAAGACAAATGCACATGTATGTTTATTGCAGCACTATTCTCAATAGCAAAGACTTGGAACCAAACCAAATGCCCATCAATGATAGACTGGTTAAAGAAAATATGGCACATATACACCATGGAATACTATGCAGACATGAAAAAGGATGAGTTCATGTTCTTTGCAGGGACGTGGATGAAGCTGGAGACCATCATTCTCAGCAAACTAACACAGGAACAAAAAACCAAACACTGCATGTTCTCACTCATAAGTAGAGTTGAACAATGAGAACACATGGACACAGGGAGGGGAATATCACACACTGGGGCCTCTCAGGGGGTGGGGGGCTAGAGGAGGGATAGCATTAGGAGAAATACCTAATGTAGATGACAGGTTGATGGATGCAGCAGACCATCGTGGCATGTGTATACCTATGTAACAAACCTGCACATTCTGCACACATATCCCAGAACTTAAAGTATAATAAAAAAAAACCCACCATTTTTATATTTTCTCTTAAAATAAAAAACAAATTCCTTGGCAAATCAATCTAATTTGAATTTGATAAATAATTAACACCCCAAGCTTTTTCCCACCCATAGACCCAGACTGCTTTTTTGACATTTGCAACTCTCTTAGGGTAGAATAAAATGCTGGCCCAATGGTTATTATCAGGACTGAAGTTTCAACCTAGAAGCTGGTTAATTCCAGACATAGTCTTCAGTCTATAATTAATAGATCTTATTCATCATGAATATGTCTGATTAGCCAACTACACTGTAAATGCTTTACTGGGAGAGACTAATCGTTTTCTACCACTTGAGTACTAAACTAAATATGCATCGCAATAGTTTGTATATTATTAATAGTTAAAATGCTTTTCTAATTATACAGATAAAACAAAGAATGATAGCTCTTTATACTTAAAATTTGTGTTTTCTACATTTTCTAAGAAAAAACTAACATTAACAGAATATTTGGACTTCACATTTGCCAACGAAATAGTCATTGTATTGATAATGAAATAGTTCTGTTTTCTACCTGTATATTTAAATTCTCAATTATGAGAGTTCATAACAAGAAAGTACACAAATCCTTGATGAAATTTACATGAACAAGTTCCACAAAATATAAATTTCTTTCAAGAAGATTTAGTAATTTCTTTATAATTAGAAATGTAAAAAGATACATGATAAGAATTATAAATTAAAAGAAAAACCTGTAAACAGTCTAAAATTTAGTGGTAAAAATCCTTCTATGTAAAGACGCTAATCTTCATGCATGTATGTCTAAATAAACAGAAGGTGTTTTCCAGGTTTTTAAGATGGATTTCTCTTCAGTTAAAAAAAAAAAAAAGAAAAAAAGGAAATATCCGAAGCTTTCAGGAAGTAAAAAAAGAGTTTAGGCTCATAAAAAAAAGTCTTTGTAGTTCTGCTTAACGTTCATGTCATCAGTTAAATTAGATGTGACAGGACCAGTAAGTCTGGAGATTTTCACTACTAGTGTGATTGCCTTGAAGTATTCTGTCTCCTTCGAATCTCTTTGGCTCCATTTCCCAAGGAAGTTGACTCCATGTTAATCCTGTTGACTCTTGCACAGTGGTTTTAAATAGTCTGTTTCCAGCCGTAGGGAAGGGAATGCTCTCTGAAAACTGCTAGCCCATTTAGCCACCCAGCTGTCAGCCTTTTCCTAAGAAAGAATGCTAATTACAACAAGAGATTGCTTATATCTTAACACCACCGTGAGAGTTGAAAGAGTCAATTACTTATTTTGGGACTGTGTATGAGGTTAAAGAGTATGCCCTCTCAAAGATCTTTAAACTGATAATTGTCACATGCAAAGAAGACATGGTTTGAAATGCTGATGAAGCAAGGCAACATATTTTCATCACCCATAACACAATCACACTTTTAAGCAAGCTGATGTTTGGTTAAATTATAGGGATCTGTACTCCTTATCATAATGCATTTGGTACTCAGAATTTAATTGGTTGATCTTGAATATACTTCTTTAACCAATTTTTAAAATAACTTTATAATAGCACCTAAATGATTTGCCAGGCAAATACATATAGGTCAAGATTTAAAACTTTTCCCTGTTTTTGCTTCAATGATGAAAATATTGGTATTGGCTTGTATGCACGCTTCATTATTTATACAACTTTGACAGTTTTATTTTAAAACATATTTTGAATAAAATGTTTTATTTAAATAGAAAATCCCATTTAAATAAAAGTCCTGAAAGAAATAAACATTATAAATGCATAATATTAAAATAAATTACTATTTAAAAATGTACGTAAGTTTTATTAATAACCTAGATAAAAACTTTAGATGATGAATGACAACAAACTACAATTTAGAAGGAAAGAATTGGTTTTCAAACGTAGAACTCTTCCTTGAGATACATTCAGCTAGTATGAAAACTATACACTTTAAAGCAATACTCTTACTTATGATTTAAATAAATTTAATTTTCATAGTATTACCATGATTATGATTCAGTTAACTGGTTTCTCCACTGAGACTTCCAGTATATATATGAAATAATTAAAGTAAAATAAAATTATTAATATGTTAAATACTAACATGTTTATAGTGCTCTCATCATTGATAAAGCATCTGGTTTCTAACCATTTTCTAATCAAGATCATTATGTTTCTCTTCTTTAATTGTTTTGCTTTCTAATGAAATAAAGTGAAAAAAAACACATTCTCTTGGGATATATTCATAGAAGTCCTTTTAGTAAACAGTAATAATAGCAAGGTAGACTAAACTATTTGTAGGGAAAGGTAAAAGCTGATATTCCTTCCCAGAAACTAGTTTTAAGCTAGGGAGCAATTTGAGATACCATTGGTACATTCCAGAACTCCCCTTGGTCTTAATTAGAACAATTGAAAGAAACTGTTAATTTTGATCAGCTGGTGAAAAGCCCTGCTGTTGCAGTCAGTCATTTCTATAAAGTTCAACTTTCAAGTTCATAAGCAAAAGGGTTAGATTAAAGGATTTTTCCTCCCAGTAAATCATTAGCACAAATGCACCATTTCAAAATTAATACTTTAAGATTGAGCTGTATTTTAAGGTTATAGAGTTATTAGTTTAAAATGAGACACATAGTGTATGAGTAATTCATTTCACAGTGGGTTGCATATTTTTAGTTTCCATATTTAGAGCTAAATCGAATATTTTAATTTGTGGAAAATCCATCTTTTGGAAACATATACTGGTATTCATACTACATATCTATATAATAATCAAAAATAGTGTTTTAGGGGAAAAGTAATGTAGGGAAGCCAGAGAATATGTTAGAAAAGGCTACAGTGAAAGGGGCAAATAAAGTAGGGATATGGTGGGTGAGATGCTTTCAACAGCTTTTCTGTTTGTAACACAAAACCAAACCATGAGGCAGTGGGAAGAGAAAGCTAGCTAAGACAGGGGACACAGTTGCCCACAACACAAGATTTCTCATTGACTGTCACATACAGCAGAGAGGGTGTAAATATGCTTATTTCAGAGATCTCTGATTGATGATGGATAAATTCCATTTCTGGTATCTTGTATTTGTTTTTCCTTTCTGTGTGGATGTGGATTACTTTTGCTAGACTGATGATCCCCAGGTGTGTGTACCTGATGGTACACACCACATGCTCTTTTGAGATTCAGGAAGACAACATTGAAACGTTTTGGTATAGTTTGTGTTTTCTGTCATTTTTTTTTCTGTAGGATTAATAATGTGCATATTGTATTAATATAGTAGTATGTGAATATTTACACACAAATACATGAATATAATAGTGCCCAATATAAAAGATTTGGAGACTACTGATCTATGTAACGATTATGTTTCAATAATCAACAAAGTCCCTTCAAACCAAACATTTATGCTTCTAACTATGTGATGGTGTGACTCTACATATTTGTATTCAGAATAAATATTTAAATAGTTTTATACTTGCATCACATGGAGGGATTGCTTTCTATTTGCTGTTTAGTAACGTCAATTAAATACAAATTTGTACCCATACACCTTCGCTATCTTGCTGGCAATTTGGGTGCATAACTCATTTCAACCTTTGAACACTATGATTCTTGTTTAATCACTATTGAGAAGGAATGTTTCCTATGGGGCTACAGGCATAGCTTCATTTGCATACATAGCTCAGAAACTGTAGAACATTAGGGCAGTTGTTAAAAATCCATTAGCATCTCTATAAGCATCCCTAAATGGTAGTAAGGAAGAGACAACATGAAAAGTGGCAGCTGCTGGATGAATCCACTTGCAGAGGCTGAGTGGAACCAGAGGCCACATATCAGAAGAAAGTGTGCAAAATGACTCAACTCTAATCTGCAGTAGCAAAGACTGTACCCATGGAAGCCAGCCCCAGATTATACTTCAACCAATATACATACATTACTTTTTCAGTCAGGGCCATACTGGTATAACTATAAGAATAGACTATCTCCTCTCTATTCCCTGGTATGGTTTCCATGTGTCCCCACCCAAATCTCATCTTGAATTGTAATCCCTGTAATCCCCACCTGTCAAGGGCAGGATCCAGTGAGAGGTGATTGGATCATGGATGTGGTTTCCCCCATGCTGTTCTCGTGGTAGTGAGTTCCCATGAGATCTCATGGTTTTGTAAGGCAGTTTGCTCTGCTCTTGCAAGCTCTCTCTCGACTGCCTCCATGTAAGATGTGCCTCTTCCATTTCCACCATGTTCGTAAGTTTCCTGAGGCCTCCAAAACTGTGAGTCAATTAAACCTCTCTTCTTTATAAATTACCCAGTCTTAGGTATGTCTTTATAGCAGTGTGAAAATGGACTAATACATTCTTCAAGTGGAGACTTAGGAGAACATAGGCTTTTGTTTAGTAAATTAATGACTTTTTGGAATGGTCAGTTCACAGGTTATCTATCTGCCCTTAAGGGAATAGCTGCTAAAGTATATGTAACCCATTTTGCTTTCTAGTGGATAAAAAGATTTAAACCATAGCAACAGGAATAATCTGGGGAGATTATTCGATAATGCTGGGTACTAAATCATATTCTCAGATTCCAAGATCTCTATGTAGTACAGGAATCTGTCCTTTGAGAAACCAACTCAGAAAATGTGCACACAATGATTCAAAAAGCAGTAACAAAAATACTTTTCTCCAATTCCTTATTCGAACCTTTAGGAAGAGATATATTTTACAATTCTGAATTTTAGAAAGATAGATTATGCATATACCATATATTTCTTAATATACCCAGCAGATTCTAGGGGAGCATGCCAATATTAATCAGAGTTCAGTTGAGAAAAAAGAAATCTCAGCTAAGTAAAAGAAGCCAGATAGAGAAAGTCAAATACCACACGATTGCATTTATCTGTGGAATCTAAAACGGTCAATGGTGGTTGCTAGGGAGAGGGGAAGGGGGAAAGGGAGAGATGTTGTCAAAGGGTACAACATTTCACTTATGCAAGATGAATAAATTCTGGGGATCTAATTTGCAGGATTGTGAGTGCTGTGGTTTGAATGTGTCTCCTTCAAAATTCAGGTATTGAAATTTAATGGCCTGTGTCACAGTATGAAGAGGCGAAGCCCTTAAAAGTAATTAGGTCATGAGGGTTCCTCTCTTAAGACCCCTATAAAAGATGTTTCACACACTGTCTGGCTTTCTTGCCGTTCTGCCTTCCATCATGTAAGGACACAGCATTCCTGTCCTTCCAGGAGTGCAGCAACAAAGTGCCACCTTGGAAGCAGAGAGCAGCCCTCACCAAACAACTGAACCTACCGGCACCTTTATCTTGGACTTTCCACTCCAGAATTATGAGAAATAAATTTCTATTCTTTATAAATTATCCTGTCTTAGGTATTTTATTAGAATAGTACAAATAAACTAAGACAGTGACTATAGTTAACAATACTGTATTGTATGCTTAAAATTTGATAAGAGGATAGATCTTAAATATTTTTACTGCACAAAATTAAAAAAGAAAGACAATAGTAACTATGTGAGGTGATGGATATGTTCATTAACTTCATTGTGGTGATCATTTCACAATGTGTGCAGATATCAAAACATCAAGTTGTATACCTTAAATGTGTACAATTTCTATTTGCCACATACCTCAATAAAGCTGAAAAAAGAGAAATCTCACTAAAGAAAGTTTAACATAGAGTGGTTACACAGATGTTGGCGATATGAAAGCATAAAGAAGAAAGCATTGAGAAACTCAGAGAAAATAATAGCAAGAAGAGTTTATCAGAATATAAAATTTGGAAAAGGGTACTGCTCAACTGAAGTTATGATACTGATTCTAGAGGTACCAAAACTACCTGGAAACGGAAATGAGCTGTTAAAATGTTTTTGTTAAGAAAATTAACAAATATAAAGAAGCAAGACCCTCTTCCCTCCTTCTGCTTGCTTTTTATGCCATGTACTGGTACAAATATAACTGGAAACCAGTTGGCAGAGGAGAAATGTAGTTTGGATAAGTCTAAGTCCCAGCTTTTCAGAGCCAATTATGGAAGGACGGATGGATCAGAATTATGAGACAACAGCTTACCAACAGGTTAATATGTCCATAACAAAAATAATGAATATTGACCCTAAGTAGAAACAGTAAATAAATAGTTTACTTCTGTTCAGTTGAGGTTTTGCAGCCAAATGAGTTGCCTGCAAATTTTTAAGAATTGGAGATTTTGGGATTTTGAAGTTATGAATAAACTGGTTATGAATAAACTTATACTGTGCTGTATTCGAAGAAAACACCTTATATGCTCTCCGAGTGTTCTTGAAAGATTTTCTCTCTGTAAGCATTTTGCTTGAATCACTGTGAACATAGAAAGATAGAGAGACTTCTCTGAGAATAACTAGGCACACGCAGATCTTATCTGTCCTCTTCCTCTTGAGTGCAAGCTTGCCTGCAGAAAGATGAGTTACCTTCTGCTTTAGCAGATCATAAATAGAACCTGCACAGGCCCCTTCTATGTGGGAAGGCCTGTGCAAGGTCAGCTTTACCTGTGACTGGAATTTAGTAGGGTAAGCCCATACAGCAAAGAGATTAAAAGCCACATTCTCTAATTTGGCCTTTAACAGTCATAAAGATAATATTTTGACTTCTTTCTTTATTCAGTGAAGGTAGAAAAGAGTGGTACAAATATTTGGGGATCCCTAGAATCACTTATTGTTTAACATCATAACGTAAATTTTAAAATTCATGAATAGAAAAGGAACTTGTGCAAATATTGTCTACTTCTTAATGGCATCAGCCTATACTATCTTGGAACATTATTGATCCTTGGGAGATGTATGCAATAATGTTCTGTCCTATAAGTAAAATAGTCAAAGCATGAGGTGTGTTGAAATCCAATCTAGTTGGTCCTTACTCACTCTGGATTTTCTTTCAAAACTTGGAGCACAAAAAGCTCTTTCCATCTTCTATGTTTAGCATATGCTGTTATAATCAGCATTTATTGTGTTGCTGAAATCCTGAGATAATTTCTAGAGTAAATGACTCACACTTGAGAAATGTGCAAATGGAATAGGAGAGAGGGATCCAGGATGAGGCCCTAACCTGTGAGCAGGGTGAAATTTAATGCAAGAACATTTAGAAGCACTTAGGTGGCACTGAAAATCTGAAAGCAAATCAAGGTGATTAGGAACTAAAAGTACATGGGAAAATAATGCCTTTGTGAAGAGTAGCTTGACCTTTTACTTGGTAGACCTTTGGACTCTGAAGGAAAATCTATTTATATTAAACTTGTACCTTTGACCAGATTTAGCCATTCACCATGTTTGCTAAAATTCTATTTATAAAGCTCCCTAAACCTTGAATTTAAAAGCTGTGCATGTATTTGTCCAGCCAAGGTGCATATCTTGGGTTAACTGAAGGAATGATTAATAATAAAGTAGTATAGTTTTTCACATCTATATTCTTTATCTGATGCCAGTGGAAAGTAACATCTTTTTGGAGTCTCGAGCTTGGGTTTCCAGGTGATGACAAGAAATACAATGAGTACTAACATATAATAAAATTGACTGTAATAGGTGGGATAAAAGCACAGACCAGTGAAGGAATGAAGATTGACAATTCAATTTTCCTATGCTAGAAGATGCTGACATAAGAACCAGATGGGGTGGATTTCCTAATTAATGAAATTAATTATATAAAACCTGAGGCTGCTAAATACAAATGCACATTCTGAGTTCCCCCAAATCCTTGGACCTGCACAGAGTTTTGTTTTGTTTTCTTTTTGTTTTTTGAGAGGGAGTTTCTCTCTTGTCACCCAGGCTGGAGTGCAATGACACAGTCTCGGCTCACTGCAATCTCCACCTCCCGGGTTCAAGTGATTCTCCTGCCTCGGTCTCCTGAGTAGTTGGGATTACAGGCACCCGCCACCACGCCTGTCTAATTTTTGTGTTTTTAGTAGATACAGGGTTTCACCATGTTGGCCAGTCTGGTCTCAAACTCTTGACCTCAGGTGATCTTCCCACCTCAGCCTCCCAAAGTGCTGAGATTACAGGAATGAGCCACCATGCCCAGCCCTGCACAGGTATTTTTAAGGAGTACAGATACCGTGTATTGAGAGGATTTTGTTAAACCCATAGGCGATTTAAGAAAACTGAAGCTACTTTCTAATTATTAGAAAGACAGTCTCCAATTCAAATAGGTCCACCTGCAACCAAACAGAAGAAGACAAAATTAAATGAAGGAGAAATTAAAGAGTAATACAAAGAGACCAGGGAGGCAGAGTTGGGGGAAAGAAAAAGTTTCCAGAGAGTCCATATCCAAGGTGAACCAGAGCATATCCCTGAGCACTCCTTGCTCTTCTTGAGTTCCCTCATCTTCAAGTTTATTATGAAGTAATTGATCTGTTTGTTCACACATCTCTTTACTATCCTTTTGTTACAACCCACTTTCCCCAATAGGAAATTCAGTCTCAGAACCTCTACAAGAGGGAGGCTGAAATCTCATAATTAAAGAGTATCATGGTTAATGTCTATTTTTATGTTTGAAATAAATGTCATCAAAAATACATACTTTTAAATTTAATGCAATCTTCCTGTTTTTTAAAGCTCCTCAAGCCACTTAGAAGTCAAAACATTTATTATGTTATTGAATGAATAAGAATTTCTCACTTGATCATAAACTTATATCTGTTTCTATTTCTAATATAAGTAGCATTGTCAGTGTCCTTGGGTCTTCAGAAAGAAAAAGAAAGATAAAAGAATATAGACCTTGAATCCAGAGAGTTGAAATATAAACTCCAGACAAAGATAAAAGCAGCAGTGTTGTTGGCTATTTGATTCAAAGTTATTGGAACAACATTCTTCTGTCAGTGTATAAATTCCAGAGTCATGTTTGTATTATAAGAGTGGAAATCATATTGCACAAATTAAATTGTTTTGTATGTGTACATAACATCATTGCCTACTATGGCTATCTCTGTAGGAGTTGGAGTGGCTGATTTCCTATAGAGGAAAGAGATGTTCAAACACCTTATTTCATAAATGTTTACAAATATGTATCAATCAAAATTTTTTAAAAATAATAAAAAATAAGTGAAAATCTTTACCGCTGAATAGTGGCTACAGCAAGAATATAAAGAATTGTGCTCTTGCTAGCCAATCTGCTTCAAGGTCCCTGTATATCTCCTCCCTACAAAAAAAGAAAAAAAAGTAAAAGGAAAAAAAAAACAGTTGTTCTATTTCTTTCCATTACTTCCTGCTAAAGTAAACTGAATGCGAATTGGTTTGAATTTTGACTATCTAATACTAGTTAGATATTTTGAAAATCTGATACTAGCTAGATATTTTGAAAATTTAACACTAGTTAGATATTTTGAATATCTAATATTTAAAATGGGGAGCAGGACACACTTATCACAGAAAAATTTTTCTTTGGTGATTAGACTAATATTAGAAAATTATGCAGGCCCTTGTATATTTCTCTTGGAAAACTCATTTATTTTACTGTCTTTTGTACTCTACACTACTGCCAAACTACCACATCATGTTCTTCTGCTTTTTTTTTTTTTTGCACCTACATGCTTTGTGAGATTCTGTCTAAAAAATTCTTTCTTTGAATCTTCACATGGCTAATTTATCTGTGTGATCTAGCTCCAAAAGTTTTTTCTATCTCCCACATTTTTTTTTTACCTTCCTCATGTTGTGCTATAATAACCCGTGCTTCTCTATGTATAGCTGTATAGCACTGACTTCTGGTTTGTGCCCTAATGTGGAAAGAGATTGGAATTTATCACTCCTTTTCTTGCAACAAGAAAAAAATGGACAAAAGGAAAATCAATGACTTTTGTTGAATCTGTCAATGAGATGACATTATGAGGCAAATTGCCATCTCCAAATCTGGAGAGACAGGCTGATACAGAGAGTCACAGCTGATATGCTTGTTCATAGCATAAGTTGTTGAAGCCGTATCCTGCTAGAAACACTGAAATGGTCATTTTCACAAACTGTTGGAGTCCAAATGTGTGTTTGTGTAGACTAGCATGAGAGTATAAAATTTCTCTGGGCCACAGTTTTAGGGGAGCCACCATATTTTCATAGATTTTACCTCTAGGAAAAACTTCTCCCCCTGCAAGTTCTCGTGGGGAAAATCGGAAGAGATGCCCTCAGGATTCTGGCAGGGGGTGGGAGAAGTAATCATAAAACACACTCACGACCTTCTCCATAGAAAAGGCCTATATTCTAGCAGAAATGACTTTACCAAAATCTTATGCCATTTGGGGAAGGACATTCCTCTTGCCATTAGAACCTCTTGTTGCCTTGCTATCTCACCTAAGGAGTAAATAAACAAATATCAAACAACAACAACAACAAAAAATACTCAAAAAGGATTGGGGAATCAAGGAAATAGATTGGGGACACTGCAATAAGAGAAGGAGAAAAAGAAGTTGTATCACTAAAAATATACTTGTGAATGTCACAGCCCCAAGACATAAGTTCACCAAAGGTGGTAATATTCAATTGGAAAATTATAGGACTCTGTTCTTCACACATAAACAATGCTTGAGTATGACAGGGGATTAGAGATATAATAGCTGCAAAATATAAATGCTTTCTGAAGAACACACAGGGAAGCTCAAACTCAAGAGAAAAGACAAAAATTAAGGAACTAGAGAATTTTGAAGCTTCTGGCACCTATAGCTAGAGTAAACATTAAACGCAGCCAAGTCTTAGCCCATACATCTCGCTAAACATCTCTTTATGCCCTCATATTATGCAATGCATATGTCCAATTTTCAACCAAAAGTGACAAAACATGCCAAAAGGCAAGTAAATAAAAGCAGTCTAAAGAGATAAAGTAATAATCAGAAATAGACTCAGACATAAATGTTCAAATTATTATATAGGAAATTTAAAATAACCATGACTAATACAAGCTATTTCCTATCCGAAATGCTTGATACCCAAAGTGTTTTGGAGTTTTTCAGATTTTAAAATATTTGCATTATACATAAGGAGATGCCTTGGGGGATGGGACCCAAGTCTAAACATGAAGTTGATTTACTTTTCATATACACCTTATACACATTGCCTGAAGGTAATTTTTCATGATGTTTTAAATAATTTTGTACATGAAAGTTTTTATGCCTTTTGACTGTGATCCAATACAGATAATTTTGGATTTTAGATTTTTGGATCAGGGTTCAACCTGTATGTCAAGGCTCTAATGCAAATAGCTAGACAGCAAGCAAGAAGGATACTCAATGTAAGCAGAGACATGGAGACACTACAAAAAAACTCATGTTGTAACACGTATCGAAGCTTATTTTTACTAACAAGCGATATTCCCTTGTATGGAACTTTGTTAACCCATTCATCAGTTGATGGAAATTGGGTTGTTTTCCAGTTTTAAGCTATTATGTATAATGCTACTATAAACATTTGTGTACAAGTTTTTATGTAGATGTATATTTATATTTCTTTTGGGTGTGCACTTAAGAGTAGAACTGCTAGATAATGTGCCAACTCAATGTTTAACATTCTAAAAAGCTATTAAATTGTTTTTTCAAAGCAATTGCATCATTTTACATACCCACCAGCAATATATGAAAGTTCTGTTTTTTCCCCATCTTTGCCAATGCTTGTTATTATGTATATTTTTAAGTACAGCCATCCTATGGGTATGAAAGTGATATCTCATCATGGTTTTGATTTGCTAGATCATTGCTTTAGAGAAATGTCTATTAAAACTACTTGCCCATTAAAAAAAACATAAATACGAAACATGAGAAACCAGACACTGTAACAGAAATGAAGAATGTCTTTAGACTGAACAACATACTTGATACTGTTGAGGGAGAACTTTAAAGGGTACAAGAAACCTCCCTAACTAAAAAACAAGAGAAAAAAGGGAAAAACAAAACAGCACAGAACAGGTAACCACTGCAGGATAATTTTAAAAGGTATAACAATGATGTAACTGGAATGTCAGAAGAAAAAAAAGGCAAAAGAAATATTTGAATAAATAAAGATCAAACCTTTGCCATCATAATAACAGACTTCAGGACCCTTCCAAGATCCAGAAAGCTTAGAGAACACCAAGAGTGGGATACATACCAAAACAAATAAACAAACCCCACCACCAACAGCTATTATAACAACTACAACAACATCAAACGTACACTTATCTATCACGTAGGAACTGAAGAAAGCCGAAGACAGAAAAATCTTGATTAAAGCCCTGGGGCTAGGAGTGTGGGAGGGAAATGACTTGTCTAAACTGGAAAAAGGATACAAGTTAGAGTGAACTTTTTATCAGAAACCATCAAGCAAAAAGAGAGTAGAATGAAATATTTAAAGTATTCAAAGAAAGTCAACTGCCAACGCAGACTTCTGTATCCCGTAAAATTATGCTTCAAAAGTGAAGGACTTTCTAAGACAACAAAAAACTAAAGGTAATTCACTGCCTGCATACCAGCCCCAAAAGAAATGTTCAAAGAAGTTTTTCAGGCAGAAGCAAAATAATATAAATCAGCAGCTTCGATGTACATTAAAAAGAAGAAGAAAAGAAATAAATGAAAGCAAAGTGAAATATATTACTTTTCTTACTCTGACCCAATCTAAAATATAACTAGTTAAAGTCCTAATAGTAATATTTTAGGTTATCATAGTATATGAATAAGTAGAAAGAATGACAGCAATGTCACCAGGAATGGGAGGAAAGAATTAAGAATACTTTTATAAGATACATGTACTATGCATGAAGTGTCGTAGTATTATTTTAAGATGGACTTAGATTAGTTAAAAATGCACAGTGTAAACTCTAGGAAAACTGCTAATTTTTTTTGTAAGAAGTATAACTGAAAAAGTAAGTGAGCTGATCAAATTGAACGACATAAAATTTTCAATTAAAACCAGAAAAGGAAAAGAAGGAAATAGCAAGGACAAAGAAGAAACACAAGAAACAGAAAACATTTAAAACATGCTAAATACTAGTCCAACTACATCACTTTAAATGTAAATTGTCTAAATAACCAATTAAAATATGATTGTCAGAGTGTATACAAAAATCAATACCCGGCTGTATGTTGTCCGCTGTGAAGATCGAATTGGGCCATGACAAAAGAAAATCTCTTTGAAAAATGTGGTTGCTCTCTCCTTTTGTAACCTAGTAAAAATGTGGAGAGATCAGTTAACGGGAAATTACATGTGTATCTTTAAATTTATTATATTACTTTTTTTAGGAATTGCTTTGATTGTGGTTATTTATTTCAAGAATATCAGTAGAGAGCCACGGTTTCTAAAATGTGTGCTTTGGTAAAAACAAAGCAAATCTCTAGTTATTTTATATTCATAAAGATTTGGTCATTAAATGCTATACTGTTTATCAATGGTAGTAATGAAAGGACATTAGCTTTCTGAGAAACAATTAAATAAAATGTTATTTACTTGGTTTCAAACTCATAGTTGATTTCTTAAGTGTCCTCAAATGCATACTTCTTCCAGCATTCCTGGATTTTGACAGTTCCTAGATATGTGCCCATCCATCTTGGTAAACGTTGCCTCCAGGTTATCAGTTAAAAGTGAGATCTTAGAATGTCTTCATTTTAAAGTTCTGTCTGCAGTGGGACAGTCACACACAAGTTTAATCGACTGAATTATAGAGTGCACCTAGGGAAGTCTACTCAATCTAGGTTAAATACATTAGATAATATCTGCTTCATACCACACAATGCCTTCCATTCCCAAGCCCCTATAGAATGAGAGCCATCTTTTACTCATTACACTTTTTCACATTCAACACTCAATATCTTTATCATATAATCATACAATGGCAATCATATTGTTTGTAGAAGTCACCTGTATTTCTTTGCTTGTCTTGATGCGTGTTTGCTTGTTGGATAGCACCAACAGTTTCTCTGAGCTCTTTCTATTAACACCTGCTTCTGGACTGGATTATCTCCTGTAATGTAAGAAAATTACTAAAAATGCTCTTTTGATAACACAGAAGGTGCATACTATTTAACAAAGAATGGTGGGAGGGTAGCTAATATTAAATAAATTTTGTGATAAGCTTTGAGTGTTTATTGAAAAACAATCATTATTTTCTCCTATTTGAATTTTTTAATCTACACTTTGTCTTAAAACATTCTATTGAAATATATTTATCTTGGGAGACCTGCTATAAAATAAGGATTATTAAGTAGATTGATTACTTTCCAGCAATAAAAGCAACACCATGACCATTTATATTTTCTCTTATTGATTTTTAAGCAGCAGAGCCTTATAGAGGAGTATTGTAACTCAGTTAATTGAATGAATTTTCATGGGAATTTCAAGTGCTCTCAAATAAACTAATTGTATTTTTACTAGTGTATGTAAAAATATACTTTTCGTAGCTACCACTATTTGTATTCACAGGACAGTATTAATAATAACCTGAGCCCATAAGACAATGTAGTTTCTTAAATATCTTCTCTTGAGCTAGACTAAAAAAGGTTATAATCTTCTGAATTGCAATCCTAATATGAATCTAATTTCTTTCTCAAGTAGAGTAATTTTATATAAACCCAGCCTAGTGAGTCACTGGAAATTGACATTCTTCCCTGTAATTAAGTAACAAAGAAAAATTCCTATTCAACATCAGGTCTCAGGCCAATAGAAAGTAAATAATATGAACCTCTGATCACTAACAGGCAATATTATGGGGTAATAGCAAAGGCAAATTCTTTTGCAACTGACAGGTGACTGAAAAGGCTAGAAATATAGATTTATTTTGTGTTTCTGCTTACATTATAATATTTACATGCCAAAGGATAGTGAAAAAAGTCATTGCACATGTAATGAAATTTAGGAGAGGTACTGACATATATAAATCAGAGACCTTGACGTATCTATTGTTCAAGACAAGGATGACTATAATGTGACAAAAATGGCAAAAAAAGTTGTATCAATTAAATTTTGTCTCAAGTGGTGATTTTAAAATAAAATATATCATATTTGTATAGAATGAATTATTTAATATTATTTTCTCCAGTAAAGTAGTTTCTTTTTGCCAAAGCTAATTTATATTTCCAGAATAAAGTAGATAAATTAAAAGCTTACTTGCATAATATTTAGGCAACAGCTTTTTGAAGCATTTCCTTATGAATGTTCTTGTAACATTAGCATGTAGAGAAGCAGAGGGCAGTGGGGGAAAAACAGGAATCTTATATGTGGTCTAAAAGGCACTTCCATTTCCCACTTTTCCCCCTAGTAAATAAAGACAGGATGAACAGCTAAAATTACTAATTGGTTTACTGATCAGTTGTACTTTGTTCGATTGATTTGCAATTAATTCTGGTTTGTGGTGCGCTGAAGAAGAAGGTTGGCGCCAACCTTTGAGGCAGCTGATACGTAATACCCTGCTGGAGTCTGCAGGGCAGGGTATTCATACTTGGTTTAGAGACAGCTCCTAGAGCCTCTCATGAAGAATTGCTCTGCTCCATGATCTTTCGAGGGAGGCTGAGCTCATATTATTTGTTTCAAGAAATAGTAAAATGCAGTCTTCAGTTTGAGTTTTAATCTTGCATAGTTAGGAATGCAAACACCACATACAAACAAAATTTGAAAGTATCAGTCCTTTCAGTTCTTAATTTGCTCATTTTCTTTTTCCCCTCCTTGTGCCCCAAACTCCACATATAGTCATGTAGTCACACACATGCTCGTGAGTGCTCATGAATGTACACACACACACACACACACACACACACACACATTCTTCCATTTGGCTAAAGAGATTTTGATAAACTTATTTAATTTATTTCTACTGAGAGAAAAGGATTCATTAAAACTTAAATATTAACCTTTCTAAGTTAATTTTAAATTAATATCCATTTTAAATAAAGTCAAAGGCTGAAGAAACAAAACTTTATTCTTAAAATTACCACTATCAGACAATCAATGGGTTAAGTGTGGAAGGCAAAAATATTTTCTCGGTCTTGATGACACTCTGCGTTTGCTGACTCTGCTGCTGTTAGTCCCTGTTTACTCCCCTCACTAAGAAAATCGTGAGTTTCATGCCTTCTGGTCTTAAGTAATTTCTTCTGTCTATATCAAATTCTTTATAGAACATTTTATACTGTTATTTATCCACTGCATTTTCCTTAGAACTATATTATTGCTAATATTATAAAACTATATGACCTCATTTAATAAAAATCGAAACTATTCTTAATATATTTTTTGACTGTAAAATCTAAACTCCTTTTACATAAACATAGAATGTAAAGTTTCACAAAAAATATTTTTAAACCTTATTTTTATGTTTTCCCGCTCTTCTATAATGGTAAGATTTGTCTCACACTCACTACTGATTCTCTGAAGCATGTGGGCACAATTTTCTTCCACTGATACGTGAAAAACCACTTTATCAGTTAGGACTGCATTCGGTGCACTTAGCAGCAACTGTGATACAATTAGTGTTTGCTTGTTTGTTTTTCTTACCCTACATGAAGGGGATGGGGGTTAGGCAAGCCACAGCTGATACCACTTTTTAAGAACCAGGCTTTTTCTTCCTTCCTTTGCCATTCTTAGGGAATGACTAATTTTCATGGTTGATAGTCACCCATTGCACCTCCTATCATCATCTGTTCCACTTTCCCGATGGGAGAACAGAAGAAAAGAAGTGAAAAATCAAAGACAGCCTCGTGTGGACCATCCAGTGACTTAACGCTCATTGATTAGGACTGCATCATGTGGGTGCACCAAATTTCAAGAAATTCTGAGAGGTAAATATGTTGGATGGGGTACCTTGCCACATCAAAAAAAAAATGGAATTCTCTAGATAGGGAAAAAATGAGAATAGATATTGAATTTAATATTTACTTATTAAATTTAATATTTATTAACATTGAATATTAAATTTGATATCCACATTGAAGACTCTGAAGCTATATTTCCATTATTTTCTTTCCATTGAATAAATGAATGAATTTAATCATTAAGGAATTTATGACAAATTTATCCAGCATCTACATGGCATTTCAATGCCAATCAGAATGCCAAGTATTAAAAATACAAACTAAAGCAGTATTAGTTTG
This sequence comes from Homo sapiens, assembly GCF_000001405.40. NCBI lineage: Eukaryota > Metazoa > Chordata > Mammalia > Primates > Hominidae > Homo > Homo sapiens. The sequence continues at coordinate 52,318,588 of NC_000005.10, read as the reverse complement.
CTTTTTTAATAAAAATTTTCATTTTAGCTTTTGCGGGTACATTGCAAGTGTATGAAATGTTAGTTTTCTAACACCAAAGTGCATAGAGTTTATGGGGAAGTCAGTCATGGAAACAGGTGATTGGAATGATGTGTGATAAAGGCCCTTATCAAAGTATATGTAGGGAAGGATTCCAGGAGTCAGGACGTCTAAACCCAGGTTCAAAATATAAGAGTCTATGAGCCACGGGAAGTACGGTGGGAATTGGGTAGAAAAGAAGGGAAGGAGGAGCTAGGCCAACCAACAGGACAGAAAAGCAATAATGTAAAGTCAAGAAATCCTGGTACTATCAGGAAACTCTAAGAAGGTTAATATGACCAGACAAGAGCTTATGTATGTCGAAGGTGTGGGAAGTTGGCGGAGGGGGGCCTCGTTGGTTATAAGGGGAAGGTTGGGGTTGGAAAACATGAAATTGGGGATAAAATAAAAGGCCCTATTATGAAGGGCTTGTTAGCCAACTGAGGAATTTTATCTTGAAGGCAAATAGAAAATTTGACAAAATATAATATGATTTGGTTTTCAGAAGTATATAGTTAATTAGAGGTAAATAAGAAGCTGGGAGCAAGGAGATAGTTTAAAACTATTAATAGTTGCAATACATTAGGAGAGAAATTTCAAGAATGTGAGTTAAGGTCCAGGGAATAAAGGGAGGAAGTAGATTCCAAAAGAAGAAAACGGTTTCTGGGCAGAGGAGTGGTTTAGATGATGGGTGGTTGTGACAGAAACAGGAGTCGTGAATAGATCATGGTTTCTTAACCGGTTAGACAGAAACACAGGAGTATTATAGCTTAGGGGGTAAGAAGTTAAGAGTTTAGTTTTGGATGAATTTAATTGCGGGATGTTCAGATGTTATCCAGTCTATCAGAGTTTTGAAAAGAGAAATGAGTAAGAAATCCCTCTGTAGGACATGAATAAATAACTGGTAAGTGATTCCATGGAAATGAATATTTTCCTCTTGGAAGAATGAGAAGTATAAGAAGAAAGAGCCCAGGTTAGAACCCCGAAAAACACTAAAAGATTAGAGATTGATGAGTGAAGAGAACTTTATTAAAGACATTAGTAAGAAGTAACTACAACCTAAAAAGGAACCAGCAGAGAAATCTGTCCTTTAAATTAGTGGAGAGTATCTTAAGAAAGCAGTAGTGGTCTGCATTAATTTCTTGAGAATCAGTCCATCATTACTAACACTATTTTTCTTGTGGAGGACATTGGCATTGTAAAAAGAAAAAAAACATCTCACTGACATTTGTAACTAGGGAAAACCTAGGTCCTAACAGTGGCTCTCAGTACTAAATCCTGCATCTCCCAGAGCAGATATAAAGTTCTGGTCACATGATTGGTGCTAAGAAATTTTTTGCTACCCAATATCTTACCAATTAAAAATGAGAATGAAGGTTGGAAAACAGAATATCTATGATTTGGTGAAAATCACAATTGCAGAATTTATTTTTAAAAAGTCTTACCTCAAAGGTCAGTATTTCATAAATTAAAATATAACTGATTAATAAATTGTTGTAAGTTAGAAAAAGTCACAGAAGGCCTAAATTAATATGTTACATAACCAAATATAGGTTGGTGCAAGAGTAATTGAGATTTTTGCCATTGCCTTTAATGGTAAAATATTTGATAATATATTTTTTAGATCTTGGAGTTTAAAAAACAACCTTCTTTATTTTATTTTTTTGTTATTTTACTTATTTTTTTTGCAGCTTCTGATGAATGGAACTCTCTTTATTTAGATGTAAGGAAGTGATTAGAGAACACTTTTTCCCAAAAGCATGCAGTCTTTTTTTTGTCTTTTTTTTTAAATTTTATTATTATTATACTTTAAGTTTTAGGGTACATGTGCACAACGTGCAAGTTTGTTACACATGTATACATGTGCCATGTTGGTGTGCTGCACCCATTAACTCCTCATTTAGCATTAGGTATATATCCTAATGCTATCCCTCCCTCTTCCCCTCCAACCCCACAATAGGCCCCGGTGTGTGATGTTCCCCTTCCTGTGTCCATGTGTTCTCATTGTTCAATTCCCACCTATCAGTGAGAACATGTGGTGTTTGGTTTTTTCTCCTTGCGATAGTTTCCTGAGAATGATGGTTTCCAGTTTCCTCCATGTCCCTACAAAGGATATGAACTCATCATTTTTTTATGGCTGCATAGTATTCCATGGTGTATATGTGCCACATTTTCTTAATCCAGTCTATCATTGTTGGACATTTGGGTTGGTTCCAAGTCTTTGCTATTGTGAATAGTGCCACAATAAACATACACGTGCATGTGTCTTTATAGCAGCATGATTTATAATCCTTTGGGTATATACCCAGGAATGTGATGGCTGGGTCAAATGGTATTTCTAGTTCTAGATCCCTGAGGAATCACCACACTGACTTCCACAATGGTTGAACTAGTTTACAGTCCCACCAACAGTGTAAAAGTGTTCCTATTTCTCCACATCCTCTCCAGCACCTGTTGTTTCCTGACTTTTTAATGATTGCCATTCTAACTGGTGTGAAATGGTATCTCATTGTGGTTTTGACTTGCATTTCTCTGATGGCCAGTGATGATGAGCATTTTTTCATGTGTTTTTTTGGCTGCATAAATGTCTTCTTTTGAGAAGTGTCTGTTCATATCCTTTGCCCACTTTTTGATGGGGTTGTTTTTTTCTTGTAAATTTGTTTGAGTTCATTGTAGATTCTGGATATTAGCCCTTTATCAGATGAGTAGGTTGCAAAAATTTTCCCCCATTCTGTAGGTTGCCTGTTCACTCTGATGGTAGTTTCTATTGCTGTGCAGAAGCTCTTTAGTTTAATTAGATCCCATTTGTCAATTTTGGCTTTTGTTGCAACTATTTTTGGTGTTTAAGACATGAAGTCCTTTCCCATGCCTATGTCCTGAATGGTATTGCCTAGGTTTTCTTCCAGAGTTTTTATGGTTTTAAGTCTAACATATAAGTCTTTAATCCATCTTGAATTAATTTTTGTTTAAGGTGTAAGGAAGGGATCCAGTTTCAGCTTTCTACATATGGCTAGCCAGTTTTCCCAGCACGATTTATTAAATGTGGAATCCTTTCCCCATTGCTTGTTTTTGTCAGGTTTGTCAAAGATCAGATAGTTGTAGATATGTGGCATTGTTTCTGAGGGCTCTGTTCTGTTCCATTGGTCTATATCTCTGTTTTGGTACCAGTACCATGCTGTTTTGGTTACTGTATCCTTGTAGTATAGTTTGAAGTCAGGTAGCGTGATGCCTCCAGCTTTGTTCTTTTGGCTTAGGATTGACTTGGTGATGTGGGCTCTTTTTTGGTTCCATATGAACTTTAAAGTAGTTTTTTCCAATTCTGTGAAGAAAGTAATTGGTAGCTTGATGGGAATGGCATTGAATCTATAAATTACCTTGGGCAGTATGGCCATTTTCACGATATTGATTCTTCCTACCCATGAGCATGGAATATTCTTCCATTTGTTTGTATCCTCTTTTATTTCATTGAGCAGTGGTTTGTAGTTCTCCTTGAAGAGGTGCTTCACATCCCTTGTAAGTTGGATTCCTAGGTATTTTATTCTCTTTGAAGCAATTGTTAATGGGAGTTCACTCATGATTTGGCTCTCTGTTTGTCTGTTATTAGTACATAAGAATGCTTGTGATTTCTGTACATTGATTTTGTATCCTGAGACTTTGCTGAAGTTGCCTATCAGCTTAAGGAGATTTTGGGCTGAGACGATGGGGTTTTCTAGATATACAATCATGTCATCTGCAAACAGGGACAATTTCACTTCCTCTTTTCCTAATTGAGTGCCCTTTATTTCCTTCTCCTGCCTGATTGCCCTGGCCAGAACTTCCAACACTACATTGAATAGGAGTGGCGAGAGAGGGCATCCCTGTCTTGTGCCAGTTTTCAAAGGGAATGCTTCCAGCTTTTGCCCATTCAGTATGATATTGGCTGTGGGTTTGTAATAGATAGCTCTTATTATTTTGAGATACATCCCATCAATACCTAATTTATTGAGAGTTTTTAGCATGAAGAGTTGTTGAATTTTGTCAAAGGCCTTTTCTGCATCTATTGAGATAATCATGTGGCTTTTGTCTTTGTTTCTGTTTATATGCTGGATTACATTTATTGATTTCCCTATGTTGAACCAACCTTGCGTCCCAGGGATGAAGCCCACTTGATCATGGTGGATAAGCTTTTTGATGTGCTGCTGGATTCGGTTTGCCAGTGTTTTATTGAGGATTTTTGCATCAATGTTCATCAAGGATATTGGTCTAAAATTCTTTTTTTGTTGTGTCTCTGCCAGGCTTTGGTATCAGGTTGATGCTGGCCTCATAAAATGAGTTAGGGAGGATTCCCTCTTTTTCTATTGATTGGAATAGTTTCAGAAGGAATGGTACCAGCTCCTCCTTATACCTCTGGTAGAATTCGGCTGTGAATCCATCTGGTCCTGGACTTTTTTTGGTTGGTAAGCTATTAATTATTGCCTCAATTTCAGAGCCTGTTATTGGTCTATTCAGAGATTCAAATTCTTCCTGGTTTAGTCTTGGGAGGTTGTATGTGTCGAGGAATTTATCCATTTCTTCTAGATTTTATAGTTTATTTGCATATAGTTGCTTTTAGTATTATCTGATGGTAGTTTGTATTTCTATGGAATCAGTGGTGATATCCGCTTTATCATTTTTTTATTGCGTCTATTTGATTCTTCTCTCTTTTGTTGTTTATTAGTCTTGCTAGCAGTCTATCAATTTTGTTGATCTTTTCAGAAAACCAGCTCCTGGATTCATTAATTGTTTGAAGGGTTTTTTGTGTCTCTATTTCCTTCAGTTCTGCTCTGATCTTAGTTATTTCTTGCCTTCTGCTAGCTTTTGAATGTGTTTGCTCTTGCTTCTCTAGTTCTTTTAATTGTGATGTTAGGGTGTCAATTTTAGATCTTTCCTGCTTTCTCTTGTGGGCATTTAGTGCTATCAATTTCCCTCTACACTCTGTTTTGAATGTGTCCCAGAGATTCTGGTATGTTGTGTCTTTGTTCTCATTGGTTTCAAAGAACATCTTTATTTCTGCCTTTATTTTGTTATGTACCCAGTAGTCCTTCAGGAGCAGGTTGTTCAGTTGCCATGTAGTTGAGCAATTCTGAGTGAGTTTCCTAATCCTGAGTTCTAGTTTGATTGCACTGTGGTCTGACAGACAGTTTGTTATAATTTCTGTTCTTTCACATTTGCTGAGGAATGCTTTACTTCCAACTATGTGGTCAATTTTGGAATAGGTGTGGTGTGGTGCTGAAAAAAATATATATTCTGTTGATTTGGGGTGGAGAGTTCTGTAGATGTCTACTAGGTCCGCTTGGTGCAGTGCTGAGTTCAAATCCTGGGTATCCTTGTTATCTTTCTGTCTCGTTGATCTGTCTAATGTTGACAGTGGGGTGTTAAAGTCTCCCATTATTATTGTGTGGGAGTCTACGTCTCTTTGTAGGTCACTAAGGACTTGCTATATGACTCTGGGTCTTTCTTTAGATTATGAGAGACTAAATCCCAGGCCATAAGTTTTCTTTCATTGAGGAAGTTCCTTCTTCTGGTCACAGTTAGAAACTCCCTGAAATTCAGTTCCAAATTCTGATTTTGGATAACCATCCTAATTCATTCTTGTTTTTAGACTGTCTAATGGAGAAAACAATATTTACAATTCCACCTGTTTATATTAATTTCTGAGTATCGATGATTAGAGATATTGATTAGTCATGCTCATTATTAATTATATTTATAAAAATTTAGAGACTGAAATGCTTGTGAGGTCAGAAAGAGCAACAATGTAATGCTTTTGAATAAAGGTGGAATAATTCTAAATAAAATTAATGAGATCAAGTACATGCAAACTTGCTCAATTTAACATAATTTTTTTCTGCTTTATGAATGATCCACTTTCACTTAAATATATTAATAATAAATTAGGCCACACACTCCATTTTGTCCGATGAAAATGGATAGACATAAATTTGGGTCCCATATTATAAGAAGAAAAATGGAAAATATGCCAAGATAAGATGAGCTCTTTCAGATAACTTGTAAAGGCTAATTCAAGACCTCTGGGTGCCTAGCAATATCTTCACACCAATGCAGGATAATGTTAATGACTTGCAAGCATTGCTCCCATATAGCCAAGTTTGTTGTTGTTGTTTGTTTACTTGGGTCAATACGGCTGACACAAATCACAGAGGGTGATATTCAAACTTATGTCTATTTCACTTATTAATTAATTCAAGCAAGCTAGCATTACAATTGGTTTACATTTTTTCAATCATGTTTTTCTTTTATTTTTTTCTCTATCTTTCATGATGTCCTATGAAAGAATGCACTCTTGAGAGATTTGTAACACACTCTTAATACACACTTAGCAATACAAGAATCTTTTCTTATCTTTTCAATTTAGATTTCACTCAGTTTTCTCTATACTTTGTTCCTTGTAGTGAAACAAAAAGCCTGAAGTAATTTGTGGAGTTAATTTTGCATATAACATAACTTCTTTTTCTCTCGTGTGTTATTTCAGGAAACTTATCTTGCTAGAAAACAAGTTTTAGTGACTAAAAAAAGAATGTATTCTGATTACCCCCATGTACATTTCACTTGGCACTGAGAACAGCCCCATCCCCACCTGGTACACTTTATACAAGAGATACCTGTTTACGTTACTATAGTTCTATGATGAGTTTTCATTTTCAATGATCTTAATCTTGAGTCTTACTCTTGTATAATTTATTAGCACCCAATAAAGGAGTCTCTTTTTCTAAATGGGCATCTGTTTTTTTTTTTTTTTTCATTAAGAATGTGATGGCATACCATAGATATATAACCAAGACAAAACAGAATAAGGGCAAATTATTTGTTCAGATTTAGTAGAGCTAATAAATTAGATACTTGATTTGAGGTATTGAAGAACAGTGATAAGAGAATGAAACTCAGACTATGTGTTAGAGTGTGCTTTTCACTACTGTAGTGATCATGTTTCTGCTACTGAATGAGTTTTCAGCTCTGTTTCAAATCAGCTACCTTAAGGACGCTATAGTCTTCATAGAATATTCCCGTGAGAGTGGTGAGAGAGTTTCCTGACTCCAAGGTAAGAAAACTATCTGTCACTTTATCCAACTGAGCTCTCTTAACTGACATTGAGTCTGCTTACATAAGGAGACTTTTTGCATCCATATCAGTGGAAGCTTGTGTGGCTAGCAAAGATGTGAGGCAAGATGGAGTTGGGGAGGGGAACGGCTTTGCTAAATGAGTAAAATGATTATTTTTACTCATCAGAAAGATGACTTTTTATCCAATCTATTCATTGTGATGCTTAGTTGTATGACATCAATTTGAAGATGTATGACATTGATTTGAAGAACAGAATTCCTTATGGGACAATTCCTAGCTTATGTCATAATTCAGTCAGCATGTCACATTACTTATGTGTCATGAACCAATAACACAGATAGTAGGTCTTAGAAATCTATAGATTCACTGCTTGATAAAGAGGAAAACTTCATTTTCTAAATATGTGAACTGCAAAAATCAATCATTTACTATTAAATCAATCCTAGTCCAAGCACTGTAATCAGTGGGGAGGATGAAATATAACATATTTCTAAGTTTGAGGAGAAATAATTATCATACCACATGACAATGATGAACAAACAAGGACCCAAAATGGAGAAAACCACCTTTAGGTAGAAGAGGGCATAGAGAGGAGAGAGAGGGAGGGGAGTGATGGGAGAGAGAGGAGAGAGAGCAGGGAGGGAGAGGCCACTATAGTCTCCATGGAGCTATAGTGGATGGAGAGAATCATAGACATGCAGGAGTTGAATTTGGTTTTGAGACACAGTGGAAACAGGGCAGAAATGAATCATCGTTTCTTTATTTTGTGTATTTTTCTTTGTTTTTAATACTGGATCCTTTTCAAAGATGCTGTTTTGAAAAATAGGTGTGGTACTTTAAGATGGCATTATCTGCATAAGCCATACTACAGATCTATGGCCTCTTATAAACACTGATAACAAATGTTGTGCTTTTATAAACCACTTGAAAGGAGGAGGAAAAGCTTGAGTGGAAAAGCATTGACATAAATGTATTCTTAATGAAGAAGGCTTATGAGAAACGTAGCTGCTTAGTGCTGAAGGCAAAGAACAGGTGTCACTAGTGGCATAGTGACACCGCCATTAATTTTAGGTCAAGAAGCAGGTAAAGACCACATGGGAAAGCCATGATATCCTCCACCTTTATAGATGGGGAAAAGAGTACATTTTATGCAAGAAGTGGAAAGAAGGGGTGGGAAGAATAACTCAAACTGAAAGAAGTGGTGCTGAGACCAGCTCTGTCAGGGAGACCCTAACTCAGCCGTGCTAGAGGAATTAAAGACACACACACAGAAATTTAGAGGTGTGAAGTGGGAAATCAGGGGCCTCACAGCCTTCAGAGCTGAGATCCCTGAACAGAGATTTACCTACGTATTTATTAACAGCAAGCCCGTGATTATCATTGCTTCTATAGATATTCGATTAACTAAAAATATCCCTTATGGGAAATGAAGGGATGGGCTCGAATTAAAGGAATAGGTTGGGCTAGTTAACTGCAGCAGGAGCATGTCCTTAAGGCACAGATCACTCACGCTATTGTTTGTGGCTTAAGAATGCCTTTAAGTGGTTTTCCACCCTGGGCAGGCCAGGTGTTCCTTGCCCTCATTCCAGTAAACCCACAACCTTCCAGTGTGGGTGTTATGACCATCATGAACATGTCACAGTGCTGCAGAGATTTTGTTTATGGCCAGTTTTGGGGCCAGATTTTGGGGGGCTTGCTCCCAACAGATCTTATTAAGAGCTATTAATAGTTTCCACAAATCCTTATGTTTAGCTCCTACAACGAGCCATATCATTTGAGGTTGAAGTGCCACTATACTGCCATGATTCCAGATAATAGGAACTCTTGCCATACATCTTATCATTTCTACTGTCTGACCATTTTGTTCAGACCAGCTGAACATAGTGTGGCCATGGCATGTAGACTAAGAGGTGCAATTCAACAGGGGACCAATCAATAATGATTCCATAGGAATCGTTGTGCAGCACCTCTGCCTGTTCTGCAAAGCAATCTTCCTAAACAAGTACATTCATATTTTCTGGCCAGGTTTGATTTTGTTTACAAATAGGTTTTTGAAGGCAGTATGCCTCAATTATAGGAGCAGATTTATTATGGTAAATACTGAGATCAGAAAGTATGTGTAACTGTGTCATGGAGTGATTATATCTAGGCATTATTACCAGTCAGGATTGATAAATATGCCCAATAAGTATAACTGGTCCCTGTGTTAGCCTTTGTTGAAGGAATACTCATAGCAGTGGTGATAACCACTCTCATAGCTACCATTAAATTTCTCATTGTGACTGTTTTTCCTGCTTTCCTCAGGTTTCCTTCCACCATCTGTGACAGCTTCTTGATCTGTCCCTAGGTGGGTGGCTTGTGTTTGACTCGTGTTGCTCATGACAGTTGGGGTCCTCCTCAGTGTCAGTCTCAACATGACTGCAAATGGGGGGTCCTCGGGATCCTCCCAGCATCTCTTCCTCAGCACCTGGCTCATGATAAGATGTCAGGTGTCTTGATGGTATCCAAATCGGCTGTTGATTTTGACCTGGAGAAACACATGCATAACCTCTACCCCAAGTTATTATTTTATCTATTTCCTAACTTTTTGTTATTGGATCTCTCCACCAAATCAGTTGTTCTGCTTCTGTCTCTGCAGCTGGTTTCTGCAGATGCTGTTCAGCTGCTAATAACATCTGGCCTTTGGGCAGGCTCAAACAATTTAAAGTTAATTATGCTAGATTCAGTTTCATCTGTGGGGTTCCATATTCTCTATTTTCCCCTTTGTGCTTTTGCAACTGCTGTTTTAGGGAAAGATTCATTCTTTCCACTATGGCTTGTCCTTGAGAATTGTATGGGATACCAGTAATGTGTTTAATATTCCACATAGAGAAAAATGTAGCTAGAACTTGGCTAGTATAGCCTGGGGCATTATCTGTTTTAATAGAGGCTAGAATGCCCATCACTGCAAAACACTGCAAGAGGTGATGTTTAACACAGGCAGAAGACTCTCCTGATTGGCATGTAGCCCAGTCAAAGTGAGAAAAGGTGTCCACACATACATGTACATAAGCTAGTCTCCCAAACAAGGGAATATGTGTGACATCCATTTGCCAAAGAGAGTTATGTTCCAATCCTCGAGGATTAACTCCTCCTGTAAAAGATGAGGAAGGTACCATTTGGCAAGTTGGGCATAGTTGAATAATAGCTTTAACTTCTTTCCAGGTAATGCTATATCTGCGTTTGAGACCAGAGGCATTAACATGGGTTAAATTGTGAAAGTGTCTAGCATTAGATACTGCATTAGCAACTAGGTGATCAGCCATTTGATTCCCTTCAGTCAAAGGTCCTGGAAGAGGTGTATGAGCCCTAATGTGAGTGATGTAGAAAGGGTGCATTCTACTTCTAACTGCTGTTTGCAATTGGGTAAATTAAGTCATCAGTTGTTCATCTGTATGAAATCATAACTGAGAATTTTCCATTAACTCTGTGTAATGAACCACATATGAAGAACCAGAAATCACATTAATAGGCATATCAAAAGCAGTCAATACCTCAATTACAGCTACAAGCTCCCCTTTTTGAGCTGAAGTATAAGGCATCTGGAAAACTTTACCTTTTGATCCAGAATAAGCTTTACCATTACTAGACCCATCTGTAAAACAAAGAAAATGTTTAGCAGGCTGCAGGTTGTTTACCACAGGAATTGTAAATGCAAACTCTTCACAGTCTTGCTTAGCTAAGGGGATAGTAAAGAAACCGGCTTTTAAATCTATAACTATTGAAGGCCAATTTTTTGGAATTGTAGCAGGAGAAGGCAATCCTGGCTGTAATGCTCCCATAGGTTGTATAACTTAATTGATGGCTCTTAGGTCAGTTAACATTCTCCATTTACCTGATTTTTTCTTAATTACAAAAGCTGGAGAATTCCAAGGGGAAAACGTTGGAGCTATGTGCCCATTTTCTAATTGTTCAGTAACTAATTTGTCTAAAGCCTCCAGTTTCTCTTTACTTAGCGGCCATTGTTCTATCCAAATTGGCCTATCTGTTAACCATTTTAAAAGTATAGGTTCTGGAGGCTTAACAATGGCTGCCATTAAAAATGATATCTTAAACCTTTGGTGGGAACTTTGTCTTTCCACTTGAAGTGGTTTTTTCAAACCTTGCAAATTTTTTTTTCTAGTCCCATGCCAGGGATATAACCCATTTCATGCATTGTATGTTGACTTTGAGGGCTATATAATTGTTCTGGAATTAGAACTTGTGCTCCCCATTGTTGTAATAAATCTCTTCCACATAAATTTATAGGTACAGAAGTTATAATTGGTTGAATAGTCCCAGGTTGTCCATCAGGCCCTTCACAATGCAAAATATAACTATTTTGATATGCTTCAAGGGCTTTACCAACTCCAACTATGTTAAATTGAGCAGGTTGAATTGGCCATGTGGACAGCCAGTGCTGTAGAGAAATGACTGAAATGTCCGCTCCTGTATCTACCAAATCTTTAAATTTCTTTCTCTGAATAGTTATTTCACAGGTAGGGTGTTTGTCAGTAATTTGATTTACTCAATAAGCTGCTTTGCCTTGTTTATTTGTGCTTCCAAATCCTCTTGTTCATTTAATTTCACTTTTTCCCATTTGCACATATGGCACAATCAGGAGCTGTGCTATGTGCTCTCCTGGCTCTGCTTTCCAAGGAACAGAAGTAGATAAAACAATTTGAATTTCCCCATTATAATCTGAATCAATGACTCCTGTATGTATTTGTACCCCCTCTAAACTTAAACTAGACCTTCCTAAAAGTAATCCTATTTTCCCCACTGGCAAGTGTCCACAGACTCCTGTTGGGACCTTTTGCGGGGGTTCCCCAGGCAGAAGGCTCACAGCTTTTGTGCACCATAGATCTACTGCAGCACTACCAGCTGTGGTGGGGGACAGACATTGTACAAGGGTGAGGGAATGGCTTGAGCTGGAAATGCCCTGGTTTAGAACGGGGCCTGGGACGGGCCCCCCATGGTGTTTCCTGAAATTGGGTTCCCATCTATCAAACTTAGAGTAATACTGATTAGCCCAATGTTTTCCTTTTTTACATTTTGTACATATTTCAGGCTCAGCAGTTTTCTTTTTTCTCCTATCTGGCAGCCTGACTCGCTGATTTTTTCTACATTCTTTTTTAGTATGACCATGCTTCCCACAGTTAAAACAAGCTCCAGGAAATGGAGTATTTCCTTTATCTACTCTCAGCCCTGCCATTGCCTATGCCAACAAAGTAGCTTTATGCAGGTTACCTGTGATACCATCACAGGCCTTGATATAATCAACTAAATGTGCTTTCCCTCTGATAGATTGCAGAGCAGCCTGGTAATCAGATTAGCATTGTTGAAAGCTAATAACTGCAACACTATCTCCTGAGCAGCCAAATCTGCAATCATCTTTTTAAGAGACTCCTGTAACCGAGCTATAAAATCAATGTATGGTTCTTTTGGTCACTGTTTTATAGCACTAAAGGAAGGGTATTGTTCTCCACATGAAGTGATTATTTTCCCAAGCTCTAATGCGCACTCCTCTAAGCTGTTCTATGGGATCATCCTTCATGGACAGTTATGCATCTAAACCAGCCCAGCTGGCAACCCCCAAAAGTTGGTCTGCAGTTATATTAATTTGAGGTTGGACCTGGGCATTGTGAGCAGCCTGAATGGAAGCTTCATCTACCCACCAAGTTTTAAATCATAAGAACTGAGCAGGAGTTAGACAAGCTTGAGTAAAAGCATCCCAGCCAGTAGGAATCATCCGACTAGAAACAGCAACATTCTTTAATAGTCCCATTACAAAAGGAGAACCTGGTCCATACTGATTTATAGCTTGTTTAAATCCTTTGAGTAATTTAAAAGGAAAGGGCTCAAATGTAGCTATATTTCCTTGTTGATCTGGGGGTTGTATTCTAACAGGGAACTGCCAAGCCTCTAAATCACCCTCTTGTCTAGCTTGCTGAATTCCTGCCTGAATAGAACTAAGAGTGGTCACTTGAGGCTCTGCTCAAACAGTCACTGGGGCAACTACTTTTCACCCAGTGACTTCCAGAAAAGAAAGATCTGGAGGTTCTTTTTCTTCAAAATAATAAGGAGGGGGTGCAGAAGGGTATGAATGAACCTTTCCTTCCTTTGCTGCTTTAGCCTTAGCTGGTAAATAAACCTGCTCTGTAACCTCTTCTGTTACTTTGCTATACTCTCCTTCCTCCTCATCATCAGTGTGAAAAAGTTCTAAGGTAGAAAGAACCAGACCCCACATTTGTCCCATTGTTACCCTGATGCTTCCGAGCTCCCCTTCTTACACACCACGGGGCTTGCTTTAAGAGTATTCGGGTGTCCTCTAGCTAGTTCCATGTTCTCCAACCATCACTACAGCAACCCTTTGACCTAGATTCGAGCCCCACGTTGGGCGCCACTTGCTGAGACCAGCTCAGTCGGGGAGACCCTAACCCAGTGGCACTAGAGGAATTAAAAACACACACACAGAAATATAGAGGTGTGAAATGGGAAATCAGGGGTCTCACAGCCTTCAGAGCTGAGAGCTTCGAACAGAGATTTACCCACGTATTTATTAACAGCAAACCAGTCATTAGCATTGTTTCTATAGATATTAAATTAACTAAAAGTATCCCTTATGGGAAACAAAGGGATGGGCCGAATTAAAGGAATAAAGGAATAGGTTGGGCTAGTTAACTGTAGCAGGAGCATGTTCTTAAGGCACAGATCACTCATGCTATTGTTTGTGGCTTAAGAATGCCTTTAGGTGGTTTTCCACCCTGGGCAGGCCAGGTATTCCTTGCCCTCATTCTGGTAAACCCAAAACCTTCCAGTGTGGGTGTTATGGCCATCATGAACATATCACAATGCTGCAGAGATTTTGTTTATGGCCAGTTTTGGGGCCAGTATATGGCCAGATTTTGGGGGGCTTGTTCCCAACAAAGAGGGAAACTACTATATTGTTAATAAATTAAACATTATAGTAGGGCCAATGTTCAAATGACATACAATGGAATGTGCATTATTACTGATAAAATGCTGCAATACCAGTATGTAGATGGTAAACAGTGAGTGTCCCAGATCTTCCAAATGATTGTGCTACTCTTATCTGGCTTCCTTCATTTAGCAAAGTACATTTGCAGTTCATGCATCTTATAGCTAATAGCTTATTAATTAGCTATAAGAAGTAAACTATTGACACACACTATTCTGTGTGTCAATAGTTTACTTCATATGGCTAATTAATATTCCATTTCAGGTATGTACCAGTTTGATTAGCCATTCATTGGTTGAAGGACATTTAAATTGTTTCCAGTTTTTGACAATTATGAGTAAAGCTGCTCTAAACATTTGCAAATGGGTTTTTGTGTGAACATAAGTTTTCATTTCTCTAAGGTAAATACCTAGAAGTGGAATTGTTCAGTTATATGGTGAGTGTGTGTGTGATTTTAAAAGAAACTATAAACTTGTGTTCCAAAGTGGCTGTACCATTTTGCATTTCCATCAGCAACTATATGTAGTTGCGAGAACTTACAACTGGAAATTCCAAACTCCATGGAATTCCCAGGAGTATTCTTAAATCTATCAATTAAGTGGGTAAACTTGGAGCAGCAGGGTCATTAGAACCCTGTCCCAAATCTAAAGTCCCCAGACCCAGTCCTTGCCCACCACCCCCCACTCCCTGACACACTGCTTTAACCAACTTCTTTTTTATTTTAAATTTGTCATATAATCTTTAAATTTAAGACTTAATACCAGATTTTCCTCCTGCCTGAAATGCTTTAATCTCCCCTACTCTCCTACAAGTAGCCAACTACTACTGATTCTACAGACCTCAATTATTTTATCTTGAATTACACCATTAATGCTTGTCTTCTCTGTGAGCATACAGACTGTGCCTTGCTGAAGACCTAACACTTATCACCATGTCTTGTACATAGATGTTCAATAAATATTAGTTAAATAAATACATAAAGAATTCCCCTTGAATTCCCATCCTCCATTTCAAATCAGTTAATACCATGATTTTACCTACTTCATTTTCTGCTAAAGCAGAAATGTCCTTCCTGCTGTCAAAATATAATGCCTCTACAGAAATTCTGGTCCTTAAACCCCTTACACAAAACCATCTTTCCTCAATTATCCCTTCCTACTCAGGTATACTCAAGTTATGCCTACCTCCACCAGATAGGCTTTTTAAAAATTATTACCTTAAATGTAGTCTACTTATTACAAATTTCCAAAATGCAAATCAAAACAAAATAGACTTCATTACTCTATTTTTCTTTAAATTATCAGGATTCTATGGTTACTTTCAAGCATGTAACATTATAGGACTAAATTGAGCACCAAATTAAACTACTCAAATTGCATTTATTTAAATAGTTTGAAATAGAGACAGAAGCAGAAAAAAAGAGATACGGTATGTTTAAACCCTTAGAAGAGGGTGTAGTGGGATGAAATCATTACACTGTCAAAATTCTACGTTATTCAATGTTCATATTGAAGATAAATGAAACTAAGTACAGAAGCAAGTAGCTTGTGAGACATTTTAGACAAATATACAATAAAGTATATGTGTGCTGATGATAGATAGGAAGATATATAAGGACCAATTTAAGCAATAAACTTTAACGTGTCCATCAGCCTTCCCCATTGACAGTGCAGATGTGAGGACTGGAGTTGAGGGCAAGCAAAGGTGATCAGAAGATAAAACTTTCTTGTAGCTAAACACACTTGCTTTATTAGAGAGATACAAGGCTACCACAGTCTATCTTCCCTCTTCAGCAGCACTCCTCAAGCTGCTTCTGTCTGAAAGGCCAGTCTCTGGGACAGAAATGTACCTAAACAGCTCCATTTCTCCTAAGCCTGCTTGCATTGCTGGGAGAATCTATCTAACTGCATTTCAAATTCCTGGTCAAGCTGTCTGTCTCTGAGGGTGTTTCTTAGTCTATGCTTTTGAGATTCTAGGTGCTATTATAGTAGAAGTATTTCCTCTAATTTATTAAATAGAAAATATTTTAACGTAGAAAATGTCCTTATCATATGTCTTACACCTGTAATGTTTCCAGGTAGTTTGAGTTATTGTGAATCTGCCTTCTGAGCACCAGCTATCAAATGCTGCTTATTGTCAAGGATATATAGTTATCCAGAGCATTATTGCCAAATATTAATATTTGGATTTTAAAGAAAGCATTCCAGTTTTATTGCAGCAGTGTAAATGTAGGTGCAATGCCTTATAATATAACTTTGTGTTAATATTTCTTTATAAATGTATTCATATGTTATAAATAATTGCCTTAATTATAAAGATTTGAAGTCATTTGTTATACTCTTTGCTAAAATAGTTATAGTTTATAGTTATTAAACTCCAATTATGGTAGAATTAATTACTTATTAAAAAGGGAATCCAAAAAAATAGGAGGGGAATCAAGGTTATTTTTCATATTTAAACATTCAATAAAGGTTCTTGAAGTGCAAGATTATTTACAAAATATCTTCTGTCTTAAAAAAATCATCCAAGTATTTCATGTTTCTTTTTTATAAGTGAGTACTAAGTTACTTCCAAGGAAGCTTGTGAGTTACCAAAAATTGTACTTAGGGAATTAAAACCATAGACAGTTAATTGCGTGGTTGAATAGAAGTCCCCAGAAACCTCTGAAAAAGCATGATCCTAATACTCATATAATATGTTCCTATTTTTCCAGTATTTGCTTATCTGCTTTTTATCAACAGCAGTTTTACAAGGTCCTTATTTTTGCAGTCAATTTATAATGAGTTATTGCAAAGAAATCCCAACAAAGCACTTTGATCTCCCAACATTCTAAGTTACATTCTCATTCCTGTTTTTCACTGATTTTTACTTTCAAATGATTGGACAAAATTTTATATTTAAGGGCTTCTTGATTTATTTAAAAACAATCACCTGATACTCTACTTATGGCCACTTTAGAATTGCTTCTGTAAGGAGTAGAAAAATTTTACAGAAATAACTATATGTATTTAATTATACATATTTCACTTCTGTATCTGTTGCTTTTATGCATTCCTACAAACTGAATTTTATGTTCAAATTTCTTTATAAATATGTGTTCTACGTGTTGCATGCCAATTGCAAAACTTAAGAATTATTTTTTAAACTTTTTTATTTACTGTCAAATAAGTTATTTTAAATTTATGTTAGACCAAAGTTTAGATTATTTTCTGATGAAAATTAGCAAGCAGGGAGGATCAAAGACCAGGAAGTGTGTGTGCTCTCCCTATTCAAAGATTGAATTAACATTTGCTAAAGTGAAAGATCATTAAAAGAAAATATCTTTCTTTCTATTCAATTTCCCTAAAGGTAGGGGGTGGGCAGTGGAATTAGTAGTCTGGGGTTTCTTATATTTAATTGCCTCAATAGACCTGACATGCTATTTAGTGACGAATTTTACCTAAAATGAATACCTTATCTCTTGCTCTGTAACTTGAAATGTAGAGCCAAGCTCACCAAGCTATTTGTATCCCTTACTCATTCTTTTACATATTTAAAATATTGAGAATGCATGAATGATTCATGAATCTGAATCTTTGAAAAGTTGTTTTACACCCCAGCAAAACCTTCATTCATCTTAATCCACTAGCTCATAGGAGAGGGAGGTGGAAGGTTGAGGAGATGATATTCTTTAAATATCACAGATGTTTAAGAAGTGTCTGTATTTCTAATTAGTCATGTGACAAAAGATGAGAGGGTTACTTGTTGCTGTTGTGTAAATTGGAACTGAGAGGCAGGTAAATATTTGAGTATTTGAGGAGAAAATAAGTAATTGTGGTTAAGAACTAAAAATATTACATATGTTTAATTTTCTACTGCTAATAAAAAGTAAATTCTCTGCTATTATTTAGATTATGGCAGGTAGATTATTTTTTTCCAACTGTTCATGAAAAATCCATTGATAAACTAATGTAACAAAACACCAACCATGCATCATGGATCTTGGGAAAATGATGGTAAAAGGAGAGGATAAAATTTTGGGTAACGGACAACTTCCCTTCCTCCCTGTATTTACTATTCATTAACACACTGTCACTTGATTCTCTCATATGTGTTTAGAAGGATTAAATGAAAAATTGAATATAAGCAAACTATTTTTAATATTTAGTTGAATATATTTTCATTACCCCGACTGTCATTTTTCTTCTTTAGCCACATTTTTCCTTTACCTATGGCTACAGACATAAACACGCACACACGTGCACACACACACACACACACGTATTTCTCCCCAAGATCCTTTTCTTATACTTCTTTTCTCTTGTGTTTATACATTATCTTGTTCTTAGATGTCATCAACTCTAATGCCTTTAACTTGTAAATGTACAAATGAGCCCCAAATTTCTCCAAATTTCCACCTTTAAACTGAAAATGCTCCAAACCTTGTTTTACTTTTTAATTTTTCAAATTTTTCTCCATAAAAAATGTACCTTTACCTATCCCATTTTACATAGAATCATTGAAGCACAACCTTTATTTTCATCTCCCTTTGTAGATAATTTTTCTTCACCTTCTAAAATTATTTTATTATCACAAAGCAGCCCTAGTTTTATTTCCCACTTCCTAGTGCTCATTATAATTTCTTTTCCTTGTCTTTGTAATTAAACAGGTATCTTTTTATTAATTTTACTTAGAACATGGTGAGCCCATGCCAAGTTTAATTTTAAATTTTTATTGTGAACAAACTATATTATTCAAAAATCTTCATAACAAATCCTTACTGGTTTTTAGAACTCTCTGCTTCATTCAGGCTCAAATGTTTATATATCAAACATCTAGATGGTAATTTAAATAGCAAAAATAGTGTTAAATAAGATCCACTGATTAAATAAAAAGAAATTTAGAAAAAAAACTGGGTGAAACCATACATTTTAACCTGGAAATTTTACAAGCTCTTGCTTCAAAGAAGCAGTATAATCCCTTGATTTTTGAAAAGTTTACAGCTTTGTGAATTTTGGCAAACATATTCAGTTTTATGAAGCCTAATATAGCCAAGATTTAGAAGGTTTTCATCATCCCTCCAAACTTTCCCCTATCCTTTTATAGTCAACTCCTCCTGCCACCACTACCCCCTGGCAATTGCTAACCACTGATTTGTTTTCTGTCCCTATAATATCGCTTTTTCCAGAATTTCCTATAAATGAAATCATAACAATGTATGTAGCCTTTTGGAACTGGCTTCCTTCACTTAGCAAAATATATTTGCAATTCGTGCATGTTGCTTTGTGTGTCAATAGTTTACTTCTTATAGCTAATTAGTATTCCATTTCATGTATGTACCAGTTTGATTAGCCATTCATTGGTTAAAGGACATTTAAATTGTTTCCAATTTTTGACAATTATGAGTAAAGCTGCTCTAAACATTTGCAAATGGGTTTTTGTGTGAACATAAGTTTTCATTTCTGTAAGGTAAATATCTAGAAGTGGAATTGTTCAATTATATGGTGAGTGTGTGTGTGATTTTAAAAGAAACTATAAATGTGTTTTCCAAAGTGGTTGTACCATTTTGCATTTCCATCAGCAACTATATGTAGTTGCAAGAACTTACAACAACTGGAAATTTCTCTCTCTCTTTTTTTAGTAGTCATTCTGTTAGATGTGTGGTAGTATCTTATTGTGGATTTAATTTGAATTCTTAAAGACAAATAATTACTGCTGCCTTAACTCAGATGCTTAGCCTCTCTGGGATGGATTATGGATTACCTTCACATGGACTTCCCTGACACTAGGTCAAATCTCTCTTGATCTATCCTTCAAACTCTCAAATGTATTCTTTAAAGCACTACTAAAACTTTGGCACATCTATATTTAAAAGCCTTTTATTGTTTCTTAGCACAATGATTCATGCATTCATTCATAATACAGTCATGCCCTGCATAGTGACTTTCAGTCAATGACAGACCACATATCTGATGAGGGTCCCATAAGATTATAATGGAGCTGCAAAATTCCTATCACCTGGTGACACTATAGCTGTTGTAAGGTCCTAGTGCAACACATTACTCACATATTTATGAGGATGCTGATGTAAACAAACCTACTACACTGCCAAAGGCATAAATGTAAGCACATACAAGTATGTACAATACATAATACTTGATAATAAACAACTATGTTACTGGTTTATGTATTTGCTGTTATATAATTTTTATCATTATTCTAAAGTGCACTGCTTCCACTTATTAACAAAATGTTAGCTGTAAAACAGCCACAGGCAGGCCCCAACCATAGAAGATGACAGCTCTATGCATGTTACTGTCCTTAAAGACCTTCCAGTGGGACAACATATGGAGGGGGAAGGCAGTTATATGGAGGATCCCGACATTCTGTAAGCTTAGGCTAATGTGTGTGTTTGTGTCTTAATTTTTAGCAAAAAAGTTTAAAAAGCAAAAAAAAAAAAAAAGAAATGAAAGTTTAGAATAAGGATATAAAAATATATATATTTAACAGCTGTACAATGTGTTTGTGTTTTAAGCTAAGTGTTATGAGTCAATAAAGTTAGGAAATAAAAAGTTTATAAAGTAAAAAAGTTTAAGGTTAATATTAATTTCTTATTGAAGAAACAATTTTTTAACATTTGTGCGGCTCAATTATACAGTGTTTATAAAGTCTAAAGCAGTGGACATTAATGTCCCAGGCCTTCACAGTCTCTCCCCACTTACTCATGACTCAACCAGAGCAACTTCCAGTCCCGCAAGCTCCATTCATGGTAAAGTGTCCTATACAAATATAATCACTTTTTTTCTTTCATACTGTATTCTTACTTTATCTTTTCTATGTTCAGATATTTTTCTATACACAAATACTATTTTGTTGAAATTGCCTAGAGTATTCAGTACAGTAGGATAGTGTACAGGGTTGTAGCCTAGGAGTGATAAGAGGCTATATACCATATAACCTAAGTGTGTAGTAGGCTGTACCATCTAGGTTTGTAAAGCTACACTGTATGATGTTTGTACAATAAGAAAATCACCTAGGAATTCATTTCTCAGAGAGTATCCCCATCATTAAGTGATGCATGGCTTTAGTAAAAAATGTTTTTGGAGAGTTTACTGTGTACTAGTAACTGCTTTAAGTGATTAAAACTTATTAATTATATAAGTCATCACAACTGTATGAGGAAGATAAAATTATTTTAACTTTTAAGATGAGCAAACTATGATGCAGAAATATCAGGAAGATTTTCAAAAGATAGATTTTAAAGGCCAAGCTTCGAATTTTGGAAGCTTCATTTTCAAAGCTCATGCATTTAACCCCACCACATTGTTCATTCAGCAAATATCCACTGGGTACTAAGTGCTAGGAGTTACGCTACATGTTAGGTTTTTTTAAAAAAAGTACAGGGACAAAGTATTACCACAGTACAATTTTAAGATAAAAAGGACAGTAGGAAAGGAAATGAAAAGAAAGAAGAAAATGTTAGAAATATTACAAATAAGATTAAGAAAGAGCAAACAATTTTGAAGAAAAGGAGGTATAAATCTTAAAAATTAATTCAAATCTTGAAAGCCTTCTGACCAGGATAAAGGTGGCATCATAAACTCAGATGAGGAGGTAAGAAATTATCAAGTCATATACAGATAAGTTAGGCCATTATGCTTGTCTATTTCTTCTTGGGTGAACTCCTGTTGTTTGTGTCTTTTGAGGTATTTGTCCATTCCATCTAAGTTTTCCAATTTATTGGCATAACATTGTTCATTGTTTGCTTATTTTACAATTATCAATAGAATCTGTAGTGATATTACCTCTTTCATTTTCAGGTCAGGGATCACTTCACTGAGCTTTGTTGATTAATGTCCAGTGTCTAAAAAACATAACTTTCCACATATTGTGTTTATTTATTAGCTTTTTTAGGCAGGAGTTAAAGCAGGAGGTAAAGAATACAATTTCTTTTAATTCATCTTGGAAGGAAGCAAAGGGGTCTAATGTAAATTGAATTTGAAAAATGTCAAGAAATTAGTATCCAAATAATTCGATACTCAGTTGAAGAGGAGGAAATAAAATTTGAGGAACAATTCTAGATTAATGTATAAATATTTCATATGTCAATTGATGAATTCTTAAATAAAAAAGGACTAAGCTTTAGAGAATTCCTTTATTTAATAAGTAGAAAAGGAACAAAAGCCAGTAAGATGGAATTCACTGGTTCCTGCAGAATGTTGCATATTTTAAAACACAACATTCTCATTGAATTTAATTGGCCAAAGAAGCACAAGTAACAAGGAAAAGGTCTTGAAAAATTATACAGGTATACCCAATGGTATAAATGCATAAATTATTTTCCTTAAGCTTTTAACCATTTTGATCCAAAAAGATAAGGACTTTGAAAGGAGATGGAGGCCAGGCATGGTAGCTCATGCCTGTAATCCCAGCACGTTGGGAGTCTGAGGCAGGTAGATCACCTGAGGTCAGGAGTTCCAGTCAGCCTGGCTAGCACGGTGAAACTGTGTCTCTACTAAAAATACAAAAAAAAAAAAAAAAAAAATTAGCCAGGCATGATTGCGGGTACCTGTAATTCCAGCTACTTGGGAGGCTGAGGCAGGAGAATTACCTCAACCCGGGAGGCGGAGATTGCAGTGAGCCGAGATTGCACCACTGCACTCCAGCCTGGGCAACAAGAGTGAAACTCCATCAAAAAAAGAAGAAAGGGAGGAAGGAAGGAAGGGAGGGAGGAAGGGAGGGAGGGGAAAGAAGAAATAAAGAAAGAAAGAAAAAGAAAGAAAGGAAGGAAGGTAGGAAGGAAGGGAAAGAAAGAAAGAAGGAAAGAAAAGAAAGAAAGGAAAGAAAGAAAGAAAGAAAGAAAGAAAGAAAGAAGAAAGAAAAAAAGGGAAAGAGAGATGGACATTAGAGTTGTTTAAGTCAACGATTTTTGAGAGGAAAGGAAAAAGAAGGCACCACTCTCACCTTAACTCTCAAAGAGTTATGGAAGAATCTCTTTGGGATGAGAGGATTTTATTTGAAAACATAAAGTAGGATCTACCTAGCCTGCTTGCTTTACAAATGAAAAACCAAGAAAACTAAAGTTGAAATAAAAATCATGTGTTTCATCCCACACATCAAGTTACTTGGCAACTGAAATAGTTGGAGCATAAAGAATTGTATTAAAGCAGCAAGTATTTCCTGGTTGCTAAGATTTCATTTTGGTTGGGTTGAACCATGCCAACCTGCCAATTCATTATTCCTTCCAGTTTCTGCACGATTTGAAATGTGATTTTGTAGCTCCTCACTTCAAGAGTTGGAGATTTTTTACATACTCCTTTGAATCTAGGCTTGCTGTGTGAATTTCACTGGCTAATAGAATTTGTCAGAAGTAATGGTAAATGTGGTTCTGAGCCTAGCTTTTAAGAAGCATTACATTCCTCTTAACATTCTTTATCTTTCTCTTTGCACCCTCCTCCAAAATGAGAATAAATTCAGACTAATCTTCTAGAAGATGGGAGAACATATGCAACAGAAATGAGGTCATCCTAAATAACCCAGCTGAGGTCATCCTAAATCACCTTGTCCAAACCTGACCTGTCAGCTGACCCAAGAGTCAAGAGCAAGCCAAGCCAAGACCAACTAAGACTGGTTCTTATCAGCAGACTTGCCCATGAAAACCTACAAATTTATAAGTAAATACCTGTTTAAGCCATGCAGTTTTGAATGGTTCATTACGTAGCTATTGCAAACTGATTCATCCATCGTTATGTGCTATAATACACAAAAAGTTAATTATAGCTTTCTTCATTTCTCTTAATAAAGACTTTCACATTATTTTCCTCCTCAGCATAATAATACATTGAGTTTATTGTTGAAGACTAAAGACTTTTCTGAATTAAGCGTGCAATTGGCAGTTTCACATGTAATCACACACACATGTTGCACATTGCGATCCATGCCCATCACTTTGTACCTCCACCATCATTGTGTACTTCTGAAGCAGATTGAAGAGATCAGATTAAACTTACTTCTCCCTCATAATTGAGATATGAATCTTAAAGGGTGGTATGATTTGGCTGTGTCTCCACCAAAAGTCTCATCTTGAATTGTAATTCCCACATGTCAAGGGCAGGACCAGGTAGAGGTGAACAAATCATGGAGACAGTTTCCCCTATGCTGTTCTCATGGTAGTGAGTGAGTCTTGGGAGATCTGGTGGTTTTATAAGCATCTGGCATTTCCCTGGCTTGCACTCCATTCTGCAGCCCTGTGAGGAAGGTGTCTCCTTCTCCTTTGCTTTCCACCATGATTGTAAGTTCCCTGATGCCTTCCAAGCTATGCAGAACTGTGAGTCAATTAAACCTCATTCCTAGTCTCTTTACCCAATCTCAGGCAGTTCTTTACAGCAACATAAGAATGGACTAATACAGTAAATTGGTACCAAGGTAGTGGGGAGCTGCTATAGGGATACCCAAAAATGTAGAAACGACTTTGGAACTGGGTAATGGGCAGAGGTTGGAACAGTTTGGAGGACTCAGAAAAAGACAGGAAAATGTGGGAAAGTTTGGAACTTCCTAGACAATTGTTGATTGGCTTTGATCAAAATGCTGATAGTGATACAAACAATGAAGTCCAGGCTGAGGTGGTCTCAGATGGACATGAGGAACTTCTTGGGAATTGGAGCAAAGGTGACTCTTGCTATGCTTTAGCAAAGAGACTGAGGGCATTTTGCCCCTGCCCTAGAAATCTGTGGAACTTTGAATTTGAGAGAGATGATTTAGGTATCAGCAGAAGAAATTTCTAAGTGTAAAGCATTCAAGAGGAAGCAGAGCATAAAAGTTGAGAAAATTTGCAGCCTCACAATGTAATAGAAAAGAAAAACCCATTTTCTGGGGAGAAATTGAAGCCCACTGCAGAAATTTGCACAAGTAACAAGGAGCCAAATGTTAATCATGAAGACAATGGGGAAAATGTCTCCAGGGCATGTCAGAAATGTTCCTGGCAGATCTTCCCATCACAAGTCCAGGGGCCTAGGATGGCAAATGGTTTCCTGTGCTGGGTCCAGGGTCCCCCCTGCTGTGTGCAGCCTCAGGATTTGGGACTTGACCCTTGGTTCTCTGTGTCCAGCTGCTCCAGCCATGGCTAAAAGGGGCCAAGGTACAGCTCAGGCTATTGCTTCAGATGATGCAAGCCTCAAGCCTTGGCAGCTTCCATGTGGTGTTGATCCTGCAGGTGCACAGAAGACAAGAATTGAGGTTTGGGAACCTCCACCTAGGTTTCAGAGGATATATGTTAACACGTGAATTTCCAGGTAAGTTTGCTGCAGGAGCGAAGCCTCATGGAGAACCTCTGCTAGGGCAGTGTGGAAAGGAGTTTGGAGCCCTCACACAGAGTCCCCACTGGGGCACTGTTTAAAGGAGCTGTAAGAAGAGGGCCACCGTCCTCCAGACCCCAGAATGGTAAATCCACTGACAGGTTGCACCGTTCACCTGGAAAAGCTGCAGACACTCAATGCTAGCCCATGAAAAGAGCCAGGAGGGGGCTATGCCCTGCATAGCCACAGGGGTGGAACTGCCCAAGGCCATCGTAACCCACCTCTTACATCACCGTGACCTGGATGTGAGACATGGAGTCAAAGGATATCCTTTTGGAACTCTAAGATTTGATTGCCCCATTGGATTTTGGACTTGCATAAGGCCTGTAGACCCTTTGTTTTGGCCAATTTCTCCCATTTGGAACAGGTGTATTTACCCAATACCTGTACCCCCATTGTATGTAGGAAGTAATCTAACTTGCTTTTGATTATATAGGCTGGTAGGCAGAAGGGACTTGCTTTGTCTCAGATGATACTTTAGACTTGAACTTTTAGGTTAAGGCTGGAATGAGTTAAGACTTTGGAGGACTGTTGGGAAGGCATGATTGGTTTTGAAATGTGAAGACATGAGATTTGGAAGGAGACAGGGGCAGAATGACATGGTTTAGCTGTGCCCCTACCCAAAATCTCATCTTGAATTTTAATTCCTATGTGTCAAGTGTTGGACCAGGTGGAGGTAATTGGATCATGGGAGTGGTTTCTCCCATGCTGTTCTCATGATAGTGAGTGAGTCTCAGGAGATCTGATGGTTTTATTAGTGTCTGGCATTTCCCCTGTTTGCAGTCACTCCATCCTGCTGCTCTGTGAAGAAGGTGCCTGCTTCTCATTTGCTTTCCATCATGATTGTAAGTTTCCTAAGGCCTTCTCAGCAATGCAGAACTGTGAGTCAATTCAACCTCTTTCCTTTATAAATTACCCAGTCTTGGGCAGTACTTTATAGCAGCATGAGAATGGACTAATACAAAGGGTAACCCAACTTTTCTTGAAAGTCAGCTAGAACTTTTTGGCAGAAAAATTTTATCTGCTAAATTGTAGCCCATTGTGGATGCAACTGCCACAGTAAACTGTCCTAAATTTGGCAATGTCAGTGCTATCCTGAGAGATCTGACAGTCTCCACTGTATTTAATTTTGCTACATGCAGGCTTCTTGTGTGTACATGATAAGACTTTTGTTTCAGCTCTGCATTATAGAATTGTTTCCTTGGAGACATTTGAAGTAACAATTAAGATTTACTTTCAAGTTTAATCATTTGTAGAACTACCAATAAAATACCTCAGCTGACAAGAAGATAAACAGATACCTTCTTAGCACTGCTAAATTCACACATGAGCAGACAATGACAGCTATATCATAGTCTAACCCTTCACCTAACAGATGGCACATTTCTTTGCATGAATCATAAGAAGCTTTCCCATTGTAGAGAAGATAAAATATGATAAAAGTCATATGACAAAATTGAAGAAAATCAGTAACTACCATTTACTGAGGGCATTCCGTATGCAAGATCTTTTTAGTTTCAGGCAGTTTTGCATGGCTTTGTATGTAATATGTCATTTCATCTTTATATAATGCCCTATGAAGAATGTCTAATTATCCCCTTTTCATATGATGACACTGAAATTAATAACCAGGAAACCAAGTCTGTGCTCCTACAGCTCAGCAGTGACATATGAGGCGATTTTGCGTGACCACAAAACACCTACACTGTTTGAGTTTCAAATGGGTTTAGGCAGTGCATCTCTATGATCATGCAATCTCATTTGTATAAGTTTATCACTTTTTTCCACATTGTGTTATAATTACCTGTTTGTTTATCAATACCTCTTGATTCTGAGCTGCTTGAAAGCAAAAAAACTCTGTTTATTTAACTCTGTTGACTGATGAAGCAGAACAGAGGATTCCAGCTGAGAGTGTATTCAACCATTTGGTCTAACTCTACAGAGGCTGTGCACTAGGACATATCAGATTTTGAAAAGGAAGATGTAATGGTTGGGAATGAAAACTAGAGAACATTTTACAGGTCCACGTATGAATGAGTAGACTGACCTGTCCCTTCTAATAAAACAGCAACAGCAGAGTGCTCTCTCCTAGGCTAAAAAATGCAAGTATTCTTACCTAAACAAAGTGAATAAATCATCAAAGAGGAGCTAGGTAGCTAATGGAGGTGACAAATCCCTAGTGTAAAGGCCTCTGTGTTCTGACATTTAGAGGTCACTTATATAGTGACAGCTTCAAGGTGAGCATTGTACCCTCCCACTCTAAAATAAATCCTATAAATTAACAAACCCACCAATGTACACAGAGCCATGTAAACTTTTATTTGGCATGGGGGTATCATTAGTAAATATGAGGGGATGTACACAGAACACCAAAAATTTGAGAAAAACCTGTAGCATAAACAAAAAGAGTTTAAATAAATAAAAACATAACTCTAAGAGAAAAGAGAAGCGATTTGAAGAATAGTATAGAAATTAAACAAAACAAAACAAAATGTTTAAGTGGAATTTCATATAAAGTTGAAAAGATATTATACCTAAAAATCCAGAATAAAATGTCAATAAAAAAGAGCTAATAAAAAACAAGAAAGAGCTTTTGGAAATTAAAATTGTTCTCCCAAATATAACACTAAATAGAAGGGTTACAAAGACAATTGCAGAGAATTCCTAAATAAAAGCAAAAAGAAAACAGAATTCAAAGCTCAAACAAAAAGAATACAGATATTCAATATGGATGGCCAAAATCTGACCAATAGGAGTTTAATAAGACTCAATATGGAAAATGAAAAAAAAAGATACTTTCAAATAACCCAAGAAAATTTCTCAAGCTAAAGTGATATCTAAAAACTGAAATGGTCTACCAAATGCTAACAAGATTAGTGAACACTACCTTAGTAAACCTATCATCGTGAAATGGTAGAACAACAAATTACTAACAACAATCACAAAGAGCAAAAATTGAGTTTTTGCAGTACCATGCCATTTTACAAACATCCTCCCACTTTTTGCTCATCCCCATATCTCTTTCCCTGACTTCATTGTCTTGGGTCTTTCAACATTGCTTCTTTCAGCCCAACTGCTAAAACATTTGCCCCTGCATATTATTCCAGTATATACTTACCTTAGGCCACTTTTCTCTTTCACGGAAAGGTGATAAGTTGCACTTTCTGAAGCTATGCGCTTGGGAAGAATTTTCCCTTTCTGATAAGAGCCACCTTTGAGTGGGGCTGTAGTACATGAGTGTTTATATTTGGCTCTCTCCCATGCCAAGTTGAACCATCTGAGAACAAACCTCATGCCATTTCCTCTTCGTTAGCATGTCTTGGCACTCTCCCATAAGGTCATCAATATGAGCCAAGAGAGTGGCATTGTTTCAATTGTGGCAGATGATAGGGTTTCTAGGCCATCTCTTGATGCAAGCTTACTTATACCATGTGAACCTACTGAAGCTTGATTCCAGATGTACCACCTGTACTTTGTAATAGATTGCTGTTGGACTTACCTAATATTATGACTTGGTAGGTCTGATATTATTCAGCTCATGATGGAGGACCCTGATTGCATGGTCATTTGAAATCTCCATGTTTGGGAACTTTCTGTCAGGACCCATAGCATGCCTACAGTTGCTTTTTAAGTGATGTGTAGTTCTCTGCTGCAGATAGTACGGCTTTGCTCCAGAATTTTAGAGTTCCTTGGAATGACACTCATATTGGCACTTTCCAGAGTGGTAACACCGAATCCTTCTCTATCAAGATATTCTCATAGCTTTGGATCTGCTGTTCCTATGGCTCAGGTGTCAGGGCTGCTTGTACTGAAATTTGAACCTGTAGAAAAACCTTTTCTAGCTCTGGCCCATTCAAATCTAGCAGCCTTCCTTGTTGTCCAGTAAATTAAGTGTAACAGTATTCACTAGTACACAGTATGCTACTTTCACATTCAAAATAAAAACCTATTCAAGTCCTTTGAGAAAATGATGCCAAAATGAGGTTAGATCTATTAGGAGAAATGCCTATAAAAGATAAAAGGAGGGAGTAAAAAAAGATGGTGAGACCTTCAGATTGTTGTGAGAGATCTAACATTTGTGAAAGAGGAGGGGAAAGAAAATGGATTGGGTAGTGTATTACTATTCTGTTATTGCTGCAACAAGCTATCACAAACTTAGTGGCTTAACACAATACAGCTTTGTGATGTCACAGTTTCATAGCTCAGAAGTCCAATGCAAGACTCATTTAAAATCAGGCTAAAATCAATCCATAGATTGATTCCTTTCTGGAAGTTCTAGAGGAAAATCAGTTTTCTTGCTTACTTGGGTTATTTACAAAATTTAGATCTTTCAGTTCTATAGCCGTCTTTTTATTTTTTCCTAATAGTAAACTGAGGAACATTTCCATTTTTAAGCGGCCACCCCCATTCCTTGTCTCATGGATATCTTCCACCATTTTCAAAGCCAGAAGTATCATGCTAAATTCTTCTCACACTATGTATCTCTTCGGATTTTTCTTCTGTTATACCTTCTGCATTTTATCTGGGAAAGGTTCTGAGTTTTCAGTACTCTTGTGATTAAGTTTGGTCCATCCATACAATCCAGGGTCATTTCTCGATTTTAATCACATCTTCAAGTCCCCTTTGCCAGGTAAGAACATATTCATAGGTACTGGGGTGGGGGGTGGGATCAGATATCTTTAACAGGGTCATTATCCAGACAACAGTACTGTTCCAAAATGTTTGGGCTAGGATTATAGACAGGTATCAAGCTAGAGTTGTTAAGGGATCTTGCATCTTGTGGGAATTGGACTGTGTCAGTACCCATGCTGTGCTCAGTGACTAGCTGGAGTAGTTTGCAGGAAGTGTGGACTCTCTGCAAATATGGTAGAAGACTCAAAGGAGGAATAGCTGGTGCCATTAGTTAATTATGGTCCCTGAAGCAAACCTGAAAGGAACATTTTTTATGGCTGCCAAAAAGACCTATAAAATATTGCAATGCTTTCTTACCAGTTAGTTGGTTATGTTTTCAATTGCCTACTGTAATCTACCTTGAATCATGTGGGTTTTGCAGATTCCTGACTAGTGAATTTAATTAAAATATAATTAATAGATTTGCAGGGAGATGGGCTACCCAAAATCCCTTTCAGGGAAGATTTTCATGCAGTGTGGTTAGTGGATAACCTCCAGCTTCAAACTTCTGCAGGGTCTGCCTTAGTTTCAGAGAACTGCTTTGCTGAGGTTATGCCCATCCAACAATTGGTCAAGGTAGAATATAAAGTATCGATGATTTAATCCAATAGGAGAAAATTTCACAAACATACTAATTCCAGAATTCCCAGCTGGCTTGGCCAAAGTTTCATGAGTCTTTACTGAATTTAGAGTTCCTCTTCTGTCCAGATACACTTTATCCTCTTTCTTCTCACAGGTACTGATATCTCATAAATATATTACATAAAACTTTATTTTAGCCAGATTCTAGAAAACCCAACCTACCTCAGATAAAAACTACCAACTCTTCATTCTGTCTTTAAAAGTGGCACTAATCACTGTTATCCCTTATCTAAGGAAAGGTATTATTTTTTAATTTACTATACTGGCTGGTGGAGATACTGCAATACTTTTACTATACAAATGAAGAACAAATATGAGAGTTCTTTCAACTATTAAGTACAGTAGGTCCTGAAATAACATTGTTTCATCCAATGTAAATGCATTATAATGTTGATAAGAAAAAAATAATTGATTCCAAGTCAGGGCCATTGTCTGTGTGGAGTTGCATGTTCTCCTCATGTCTGCATGGGTTTTCTACGTATATTCTGGTTTCCTCCCACATCCCAAAGATGTACATGTTAGATGAATTCATGTGTCTATATGGTTCCAGTCTGCGTAGGTAGAGGTGTAGGTGTGAATGTGCCTTGTGATGGGATTGGTCTGTCCAGGGCTGGTTCCTGTCTTGTTCCCTGAGCTGCTGGGATAGGCTCCGGCCACCTACCTCCCTGAACTGGAATAATTAGGTGAATAATTCTTTCACTTGTTCTTGGTAATCTTTCTCAAATGTATGTATAAGTCACATTTACTTCAACGTTTAATATTAGAAGTGTTTTGGTCTTTATTCAGCCATTTGGTGAATTTTTTGTGACCAGAAATATGCCATAGGAACTTAACTCTTATTTATATCAATTAACCTATGGTAAAATTGGTTTGTTTATACATTGTCATTGGGCTTAAAGTTGCAGTTTCCAAGAAGCTATTGATGATGTCAAGTGAAAGCTTATTGTATATCCATTTCAACTATATATTTGCAATCTGGGAAAATGTCCAATGGACACAGCGGTGCACTGGAGCTGGCTTCTACTGGTTCACAAGAGCTAATCACACACATCTCCCAGCTCTATGCCCAGTGTTGTCATGTTGGTAGCTCGAATTAGCTATAGTGGGAGTATTTACACCACAGATATGAAAATTGCCACACATTAGGATTTTGTGTTCTCAGAGAACTAACTGACAAACATGTACCAGCACACTACTTACCAGATGTATTTGTTGACTAAGTAGACCCCACTGTGTGGTAGACCTGAGCACAGGCTTCATTTGTTACCTGACCTGTATGTGCTACTACTAGAAGGAGGCATGATAGCACTGCTTCCTCCAATACCAGCATCAAATTGGATCTTTCACTAAACAACCCTTAAAGGACCTGGAGACTGTCCTTTCCTACTGTGTACTTACTCTTGGAAGAAGGACTTGGGGGAATCACCATGGTTTATATTTGCTGTAGTATTGCAGGATCTTTCTTCATGGAGATCCAACTTCTCGTAGGTTCTGGGTCTAAAACTTAGCTTAGGTTTGATAACTGGACAAGAGCTTGTGACATATTTAGAATTACAAATTTCATTATCTGTTTACCCCTTTTAAATACTTTTTGATTATATTATATGGTCATTGATTATATTTATTTCTTAGCTATTTATCAATGTTCTGTGAGCAATCTAAATAAATTCTGGGTGTCATACACTCCTAAGTGTCCTTCAAACTTTGCTACTCATTACATTAACTATACCCACCTTGGTTCAGACAGTTAAATGCTACAACCTGGCCTCTGATATTCCACAATGCATTACCGTCATTACTACCAGAGATCTGGGTTATGCATCTCCTAACAGAAATCTCAGTAGACAGACCACAGGCTTAACTGATGCTTGTCCCATCCTCATTAGTGCAGTTCTCATTGCCTTGGTAAACACATTTTCCTCCAGGCTCTCCAAAAGAACACAGTCAGTTGGTGAGTTTTCTAATTTTCTATTAGACATCTTCTATGGCATGCTCACTTTTCTGAGTCTTTTGTTCTCTTCCTACCTAGTCTGCCATAGCAGACCTAAGATTTCTGTTCCTTTTATTGTTGACCATCACTTTTTTCAAATTTCCAAAACCAGTCTCAGGAGTGTATTAAACCTGTCAGTTAGGGCCCTTGAAAATGTGTAAAATCATATGACATTGGAGAGTACTTCCTTATCACCAACCTCTCCTTTATCCAGCTTTATCTGGTAGTAGCCTTTGATCTATTACCCTCAGGAGACATTCTCAGCCATGCTATTCTCATTCCTGCAGTTACATGTTAGCTGGGTCCTGCAAGTTCTTTGATATATGGAATTTCTCTTCTATTACCAAGCTCAGCACTTCTCCAGTGGGTTATGCTGAGGTTTTACCATAATAATGGGTCTGAAGGATAAGAAGACAAAATATCGATGGGGTAAAGTTGGGGTAGACCACGAAGTGACAAGCCCTGTGTTATAAGACACCTGTTTCATTTGAAGACTCTACATAGTCTTTAATAAAAGGAACTCTTTTTTAAAAATAAGATTATTCTACAGGTCCAGAAGGTTCGGATGAATCTGGGAATTTAAATTCTCACTTGCAACTACTCATATAATTCTATCTCAAATTTCAGGGTTTAAAATTTTTTTTTTGTCTAGTAGGACCTTGATATTTTGTAGGAGACTTGCCTAAGATGAACTTCTTTCACTTTTACTACTAAGTCCAGAATATACCTTTAACTATTCTAACTTTCTGTTGTAGGAATCAAATGTCTTTTTACATGCTGCCAAGTAGGCCCTCACCCTTATGTGAAAATTTTGTAGATTAATAGATTTGAGCCTATCATGTTTCTTCCACATGAAGGAATAGCAGTTAGCATCACCCATTCAATTACTCAGCCATATAATTGTTATTTGGCCCCTACACCTTTAGCACATGAGATATTGGACCCTTATGATATGTAATACAAGAGAGATTTTGATGTGGGATTTTTACTTTCAGGTGCAGCATTTGTGTAGTTTTGTTATGATTGTCTTGACCTCTTAAGAATATTGGGTAATGTTCCATTTTCCCCTATTTCGTTAAATTGTTTGAGATTTGTGTTATACCTTCATAATATGTTTGATGAAATTCATCAGTGAGACCATTCTTGCCTGGAGTTTTCCTGGTAGAAGGTCATTAATGACAAATTTAATTTTTTAATAGAAATAATACTATTCAAATGTTCTATTTTATCTTTTAGTTGGTTTTAGTAAATTCCTTTTGTAATGGAATATTTTATTTTATCTTACTTGGTAATGATAATGTTGTTTATAACATAACCTTATTAACTTCTTAAATATCTGTAGATCTAAAATCATAGGTTTTTCATTACTGACATTGGCAGTGTGTGTTTTCTTTTTTCTTTACTTTTCTTTGTCCTGCCCTCCGTCTTTCCCTTTCCCTTTCCCTTTCCCTTCCCTTCCTTCCTTCTTTCCTTCCTTCCTGTGATGGTTAATGCTGAGTGTCAACTTGATTGGATTGAGGGATACAGAGTTTTAATCCTGGGTGTGTCAGTGAGGTTGTTGCCCAAAAGAGATTAACATTTGAGTCAGTGGGCTGGGGAAGGCAGATCAACCCTTAATCTGGTGGGCACAATCTAATCAGCTTTCAGCAAATATAAAGCAGGCAGAAAAACGTGAAAAGGCAAGAGGGGCCTAGCCTCCCAGCCTACATCTTTCTCCCTTGCTGGATGCTTCCTGCCCTCAAAAGTCTGACTCCAAGTCCTTCGGTTTTGGAACTTGGACTGGCTCTCCTTCCTCCTCAGATTGCAGACAGCCTATTGTGGGACCTTGTGATCATGTAAGTTAATACTTAATAAACATATATATATATATGTATTTATCAATTAATGTTCTTAATCTTTGTTAGATTTGCTAAGTTTTCCCTGTATTTTGTTTACTTTCTTTTATATTGATTTCAACTCTTATATTTGTTGTTTCCTACTAACTCTTGGCTTACTATATTTCTTTTTTTCTGAGTTCCTAACATAAAATCTTAGGTCATTAACTTTAGACTTTTTTTTTTTTCCCCAAATATAAGCATTAAAAGCAATGCTTTTACAACTTTGGCTGCACCTTACATATTTTAATATGTTGAGGTTTTTCTTCCATTTTGTTCAAAATATAGTTTTCTTTTAGTTTATTATTTTTGCCATGGATTATATATAAGTTTGTTTCATATTTGGCATGGTCATTGCATGTAAGTATTTCCTTGTCCTCTCTCCTGAACCAGATTCTTCATGAATGAAGCCCATGAGTGAATTATTATTTGAAAACTTCTCCTAGTTTCATTTATGTAGCCAAATGGGCACTGGTCCATGGGCTAGCCTTGAGAGTCACTGCTTTTCTCTCATGACTCATGAGGAGCTTGTTGATTTAGCTCCTGTTTGTCTCTACCACTAACCAGCAACGGATATTACCTTCCATATGTCTCTCATTCAGCCTTTCAAGAAAACAATCAGATAACTTCTATCAAACACAAACTTTAATAAATAAGTAGCCATACATAAATTTATATTTCTATATGTACATATGTATGGAAACATATGTGTGTGTTTGTATATGTATATATGTAAATATATATGTTCACATACAATTGCACCCATACACCCATAGGAATGCAATTATACATGAGAAAATATATATATTTTTTCCAATTTATCCTTTGGGTCCAGTTCTTGATCTTCCTTTTTCAGTGTTTCTACACTTTTTCTGTCCTGTTTGAATTCACATGTCCCCATCAACATTTGTCATTCATTAAGCACAATGGTTCTCTTTCACTCTTTGAAAAAAGAATAGTTATGCTGGGTAAATATCATAAAAAGAGCTAAATTTACTGCTTGGTCTGGTGGTTTCAGTTTTGATTTTATTGAAAATATAACAGCATAGCAGAAAGATTCAAATAGCTCCAAGTGGTGTTTGAAAACTCATTCCAGCTATGTGCTGACTGACCTGCAGGATAAACAGACTGCCAAAGTCCAACAGCTTTGGCATTTTCTAAGTGTCAAGATTTATTTCATTTATCTTTTGATCCAGGGCTGAGACCTCAGAAACATAATTATCTCCCTCTCCTTCTCCTCCTTCTGCAGCATAATGTAGATGCCTCTCCTGGAGACTCTTTGAATCTACTTCATGAGATCCATGACACTGTCTGCTATGTCGTTGCAGAGCTTCTTGCATGGAATGATGGTGATGTACTTGCTCATGTGTAATTTCTGTAGTACTTCTCTATGAAGACCCAGTTACCTTTATGGCTTTGGGCCAACACTGTTGGTGCAAATGCTATTGGTGGGTAGCTTGTAAAAGACCTCAGTCTGCTTTTGTTAATTCATTTCCTATTACCTAATTTTTTGTAGCAGATACATTTTCCTATGAGGTATGCCAGCAGGTGAAAAGAATGCCTTCATCAGACAGAAAACAGAGATTGAGCTTGTCCACTAAAATCACGTATGTGGAAGTGATAGATCTAATTGACACTGTTGCAATTTTTGAGCAGCAAGACTACCTGCACATTAGAAAAAAAAAAAAAAACGTTATTGAGAAGGGGAGTTTAGTGGGGCTCACTGGTGAAAACTGAAGTTAATGTCAGCATTATGTTCATTGTTCTCAGCATGGAAGCCTTTGATTCTGATTAGAAGATTTATCCTTTGGCATAAGAAGATAATTTTAACTCAGCAATGTGTCATAAAGGGTGGATAATTCTTCAACAATATTAAAATAATACTGTACTACTTCTTTTTACTACTGAACTAAGATCAAATCTCTGAAAATAAATTCGTGGACATTCATTTACTACTTTTGCTCATCTGTCTATCGCTTGCAGAGAAGGAATAGTCTGAATCATTATACATACATCTTGGGAATCACTGCTATAAAGAAAATCACAGTAGTCCTATTCCTTTGTAAATAAAACATGAAGGGTAATCAACTAAGGGATTTATTTTCTTCTGTCTTAGAAAGAAACAACAAAAATACAATGTCTCCTTGTTTTGTTTCTAGATGCTGTCATATCTGTGTGAGAACCACAGAATTGCAGCAACCACTCTAGTATCAGGAAGAGAATTAAAGAGCCATGCTCAAGATGGCAAAGAGGAAAAAGGAGCAATCATTGTTCAATAACCCAATGATATTGCCAATTCACTGAATTAATAAAACCTGGAGCCACACCTACTCCTTTTTTTTTCTTTTTCTTTTTTTTTAAATTATTACTATCCTTTAAGTTTTAGGGTACATGTGCACAATGTGCAGGTTTGTTACATATGTATACATGTGCCATGTTGGTGTGCTGCACCCATTAACTCCTCATTTAGCATTAGGTATATCTC
Organism: Homo sapiens; assembly: GCF_000001405.40. Taxonomy (NCBI): domain Eukaryota; kingdom Metazoa; phylum Chordata; class Mammalia; order Primates; family Hominidae; genus Homo; species Homo sapiens. The sequence goes on along the minus strand of NC_000005.10, from coordinate 52,281,435 downwards.
CTAATGCTATCCCTCCCGCCTCCCCCCACCCTACAACAGGCCCCGATGTGTGATGTTCCCCTTCCTGTGTCCATCTGTTCTCATTGTTCAATTCCCACCTACGAGTGAGAACATGGGGTGTTTGGTTTTTTGTCCTTGCAATAGTTTGCTGAGAATGATGGTTTCCAGCTTCATCCACGTCCCTACAAAGGACATGAACTCATCATTTTTTATGGCTGCATAGTATTCCATGGTGTATATGTGCCACATTTTCTTAATCTAGTCTATTGTTGTTGGACATTTGGCTTGGTTCCAAGTCTTTGCTATTGTGAATAGGGCCGCAATAAACATACGTATGTATGTGTCTTTATAGCAGCATGATTTATAATACTTTGGGTATATACCAAGTAATGAGATGGCTGGGTCAAATGGTATTTCTAGTTCTAGATCCCTGAGGGATTGCCACATGGACTTCCACAATGGTTGAACTAGTTTACAGTCCCACCAACAGTGTAAAAGTGTTCCTATTTCTCCACATCCTCTCCAGCACCTGTTGTTTCCTGACTTTTTAATGATAGCCATTCTAACTGATGTGAGATGGTATCTCATTGTGGTTTTGATTTGCATTTCTCTGATGGCCAGTGATGATGAGCATTTTTTCATGTTCTTTTGGCTGCATAAATGTCTTTTTTTGAGAAGTGTCTGTTCATATCCTTCACCCACTTTTTGGTGGGGTTGTTTGTGTTTTTCTTGTAAATTTGTTTGAGTTCATTGTAGATTCTGGATATTAGCCCTTTGTCAGATGAGTAGGTAGCAAAAATTTTCCCCCATTCTGTAGGTTGCCTGTTCACTCTGATGGTGGTTTCTTTTGCTGTGCAGAAGCTCTTTAGTTTAATTAGATCCCATTTGTCAATTTTGTCTTTTGTTGCCATTGCTTTTGGTGTTTTAGACATGAAGTTGTTGCCCATGCCTATGTCCTGAATGGTATTGCCTAGGTTTTCTTCTAGGATTTTTATGGTTTTAGGTCTAACATGTAAGTCTTTAATCCATCTTGAATTAATTTTTGTTTAAGGTGTAAGGAAGGGATCCAGTTTCGGCTTTCTACCTATGGCTAGCCAGTTTTCCCAGCACCATTTATTAAATAGGGAATCCTTTCCCCATTGCTTGTTTTTGTCAGGTTTGTCAAAAATCATATAGTTGTAGACATGTGGCATTATTTCTGAGGGATCTGTCCTGTTCCATTGGTCTATATCTCTGTTTTGGTACCACTACCATGCTGTTTTGGTTACTGTAGCCTAGTAGTATAGTTTGAAGTCAGGTAGCATGATGCCTCCAGCTTTGTTCTTTTGGCTTAGGATTGAATTGGCAATGTGGGCTCTTTTTTGGTTCCATATGTACTTTAAAGTAGTTTTTTCCAGTTCTGTGAAGAAAGTCATTGGTAGCTTGATGGGAATGGCATTGAATCTATAAATTACCTTGGGCAGTGTGGCTATTTTCACGATATTGACTCTTCCTACCCATGAGCATGGAATGTTCTTCCATTTGTTTGTATCCTCTTTTATTTAATTGAGCAGTGGTTTGTAGTTCTCCTTGAAGAGGTCCTTCACATCCCTTGTAAGTTGGATTCCTAGGTATTTTATTCTCTTTGAAGCAATTGTTAATGGGAGTTCACTCATGATTTTGCTCTCTGTTTGTCTGTTATTGGTGTATGAGAATGCTTGTGATTTTTGCACATTGATTTTGTATCCTGAGACTTTGCTGAAGTTGCTTATCAGCTTAAGTAGATTTTGGGTTGAGACGATGGGATTTTTTAGATATACAATAATGTCATCTGCGAACAGGGACAATTTGACTTCCTCTTTTCCTAATTGAATGCCCTTTGTTTCCTTCTCCTGCCTGATTGCCCTGGCCAGAACTTCCAACACCATGTTGAATAAGAGTGGTGAGAGAGGGCATCCCTGTCTTGTGCCAGTTTTCAAAGGGAATGTTTCCAGTTTTTGCCCATTCAGTATGACATTGGCTGTGGGTTTGTCATAGATAGCTCTTATTATTTTGAGATATGTCCCATCAATACCTAATTTATTGAGAGTTTTTAGCATGAAATGTTGTTGAATTTTGTCAAATGCCTTTTCTGCATCTATTGAGATAATCATGGTTTTTGTCTTTGGTTCTGTTTATATGCTGGATTACATTTATTGATTTCCATATGTTGAACCAGCCTTGCATCCCAGGGATGAATCCCACTTGGTCATGGTAGATAAGCTTTTTGATGTGTTGCTGGATTCGGTTTGCCAGTATTTTATTGAGGATTTTTACATCAATGTTCATCAAGGATATTGGTCTAAAATTCTCTTTTTTTGTTGTGTCTCTGCCAGGCTTTGGTACCAGGTTGATACTGGCCTCATAAAATGAGTTAGGGAGGATTCCCTCTTTTCTATTGATTGGAATAGTTTCAGAAGGAATGGTACCAGCTCCTCCTTGTATCTCTGGTAGAATTCGGCTGTGAATCCATCTGGTCCTGGACTTTTTTTGGTTGGTAAGCTATTAATTATTGCCTCAATTTCAGAGCCTGTTATTGGCCTATTCAGAAATTCAACTTCTTCCTGGTTTAGTCTTGGGAGAGTATATGTGTCAAGGAATTTATCCATTTCTTCTAGATTTTCTGGTTTATTTGCGTAGAGGTGTTTATAGTATTCTCTGATGGTAGTTTGTATTTCTGTGGGATTGGCCACACCGACTCCTAACTCATTATTTGAGACAATGAGTCTCAAATTTTTGAGAGAAATAGATTTTTCTTTTTTTTTTTTTCTTTTTTTGAGAGTGAGTTTTGCTCTTGTTTCCCAGGCCAGAGTGCAATGGGGTGGTCTTGGCCCACCACAACCTCCGTTTCCTGGATTCAAGAGACTTTCCTGCCTCTGCCTCACAAGTAGCTCGGATTGCAGGCGCACGCCACCATGCCAGGCTAATTTTGTATTTTTAGTAGAGATGGGGTTTCACCATGTTGGTCAGGCTGGTCTCGAACCCCCAACCTCAGGTGATCCACCCACCTCGGCCTCCCAAAGTGCTGGGATTACAGGTGGGAGCCACCACACCTGGCCTAAGAGATTTTTCTTAAATCTCTTGTTTAAGCTATTTTAAACTGCTTCTTCTACTACTTGCTGCCAAAATGCCTTGGAACTGATTTGCATGGATTAATACACCTTTCCTTTTCACAAAATCTTGACATAAGCGAAGCAAATATTAATAGCTCCATTTTAAGAATGAGAATTCTGCAGTTCAGAAAAAGTGAATGAACTTTGAAATAAATGTTAGTAGAAAATCTATGTTAGAGTTCTACCGATTAATCCTGAAGGTTAAGGGATATTAATACACAAGGTCACATGGCCTTTCAAAAAGAATACATGCAGAATCACTGAATGCTAATGATTTGACTTTTACTATATAGTGCCCTTCTGCAGAAAGACATTTTGAAGAAGAATATTAACTACTCTCAGTAGGTAGCTAGATATAAAAAGTGATAATAGAATGATTACCTAAGTAGGAAACACCACTTATGGTACATTTAGTATTTCACTTGCTTATTTGTTCATTTTTTAATGTGTAAATATTAAGTCATTCAACACACATGTATTGAGTGCCTTCTATATCCCATGAACTGTACTGGGCGATGGTGTTGAAAAGATAAAGTATAGATGGCTTTGCCTGGAAAAATCTTACAGATATATAAAAAATAAGTGGGATGTAATGTTTTCAGTCCTATAGATTTGATCCTGGATGCCATTCTTTCCTGACCCAGGGATCCACAGGTGATTAGCAATGGGAGGGCGAGCTAAAGAATCCAGTGGATAAATCTGAAAGGCAATAATATTAGTGAATAGGATCTATGTGTCAGGGAAGAACCTCAACCTCATAGTGGTTGGCAAGGAATATCAAGACTCTGAAGGCAATAACTAAGAAAACAAGCACATTGGCTTGCCACAACTTCATAGGTGGTGAAAGTAGACAATGAGTCTCAGTGGTTCAGAATACGACAGTTTATTGCTCACAGCACAGCAAAGAGTAGAAGCACCAACATTGTGGCAGTGGCTCCCTTAAGCACCACAAGTGAACAATGAGCCATATAATGGCCTCACACTCAGTAGGTTACATTACAACAAAGGAACCCAGAGGCAAGGGCTCAATGCTTATCGCACCAATAGATAAAGTTGTAAGTAAGCCAATCCATCTCCCTTGGAGAGCAAGCTCTCACATGGCAGTCATGCTGTGGTTGCCTTGACCTACTTAATTGACTATGTAACTACCTACAGAAATGGTTCAGGATCAATGGATGGTGAGACTTCCAATATAGCATACTCAGCAAAGATGTGTTGAGAGACTTGGGGGCAATGATAGATTGCATCTCCTAAACAGTTTGCTTACAGCAAGAATTTCTGCATTCAAGAAAATCTGCCATTTACCTACACTGTTTACTGGTTTTATGGATTTCAGTAACTCATTCCACCTCTTTACTTCCCCATTTGTAATATGGGATTGAAATCTCAGTCTCCTGCTAATGGGATTGCTTAAAATCAGTCCTGGCATATAGTAAGTGCTAAATACATGTGCACTTCTACTTCAGTGTGATAATATTTTCAGGTTGCTGGAAGAGAATTAGCATGATTAAAATTTTTAAAATGGCAATTGTAGTTTTTCAGAGGTAAGCTAAAATGTGCATGAAGAGTTATTTTGGAGAGCAGAAATCAAGGACCTAATGTGGAAAAGGAAGAGGAAGATGGCAAATATCCCCAAGTGGACACAAAGCCCAAAGAGTCTATGTAAATGGATCATTTGTAGTTTCAATAAGCTTGTATATTTCAGTAAAGAATCAATGCCTATGTCCATCCAATTTCTTGTATATGAGGCGGTTCACTTTTTTTATTTACAAAATTGAGCATTTTCTTTTATGTGGTAACTCTGATTCTTTCTCAAAAATCAATACCTCTGATTTAAAAACTGATATATTGATGTGTAGAAATTTCAGTAAAAGACACAATCTGGTATAGTCCTGAGAAAAATGTGTACATTTATGTCCCCTTTATTTTGTGAAATATTGCATATAATATTACTACTCTGGAATCTTACTATTAATAATAATAAGAATAAAATAATGTTAAGATGGTAGAATTATTGAGTGCTTACTCTGTGCCTGGAATTATTTTCGGTTGTAAGTACTGTGGACAGACTAATTCATTTAATTCTGAAAAATATCATATGAGTGAATGTTAGTGTTACCTAATTTTATAGATCAGGAAATTAAGGCATAGAGTGAGTACACTGTTCAATGTCACACTGCTAGTAAGTAGCCAAACTCTGACTCAGACAGCTGGACTTCAGAAAGCACACATTTAACCAACATCTAAGAAGAAAGACAAAACCTGCTAGCATGTCAAGCAAGCAGATTATTTCTTCTAAAGATGTAATCCACTTTTGATATATATACCTTAGAAATTTATGCATGGGTTTTTCATGCTCAGTAGACCAACCCTTAATGAGCAAATCATTTTGAATAGCCTTTCACAAATTTACTACTAGAACTCCAGTGACCCATTTGCTGACCTGGAAATTTGGTGTCAAAAGATCTTGCTGATCTTTAACCATGCATATCTTATAGATTCTCAGTCTAGTAAAGGGACTTGATAGATTTATGGATTTATTTATTGTAAGTTACTCACAAGAGAGAGAGATTTCATTGTAAAACACTCCCTGGTATTGATTCAGTAAAATGAGGGTGTCATCATTAAACAAATCTTCCTGAATATCTATGCTATTAAAACTAATTGACCACATCTTTTCTGTAAGGAGGTTAGCTGTACATTTCATGTGCTTTCTAAGGAAGGTTTTATCTGGCATTTCTACCCTATTCACATAGTATCTCAGGATGACACCTCTTACTTGAGGCTTCGTGGAGGTTTTCCCCATCTTTGGATAAAAGAAAATCATCCAGAAATGCTCAAAACAACTATGACTTTAAAAATTATTTTTCATTTCAATATATATTATCTATTTAAAATTGTAATTATCTGAACCACTAGAAATCTGATTTTTAAGAAAAAATATTTTATTTATATTATTTTCTATGAAATATTTTGAAATTTTCTTGTCAGTGTTATTAATTTTTCTCAGCTACTTTGTAACAATTCCTCTCTTTGAATAACAACTTAGGGTTGTTGTCCTTGTTCTTTTTTTAAACTTTTAAATTTATTATTATTATTTAATATTTGTGGTTCCATAAAAGAATATCCTTTTTTAAAATTTATTATTATTATTATTATTATTAAATTTATGTGAGTACATAAAAGAATGTCCTGTTTGTTCTTGATTGTTTCTTTGGACGATGATTCTCTAGCTCAATTATTTAAAGTAAAGTAAACTAACTGTTCATCAGGGCTAATACGTTTAGCTAAATCATTCTCTCCCTCTTTATAATAAAAGTGTAAGCTTTGGCATGTAACTCATGGTTTCCTCTATCAGCCATGGAGATGTCAATATTCATATGACTGACTCATTGGATTTCCTGACTTATAAGTGTTTTTATACCTTATCTCTACTTCATTCATACTACTAAAGTTACACTTTTACCACCAGAAACTGCTCTATCATTCCAAATCCTTGAAAAAAGCATGAGATTCTCTGACAAATTATTCCAGAACTCTACTATTTCCATGAGAACTTTCTCTTGACTTCCTCTTGTGAATTTTCTTCTTTCTATCACTCTAGCCCCCTCTTCTAATTTTTATTAGTAACCTGCTTAGGCTCATGATCTATCATTTCAGTAACAATCTTGCTTCTTTATCTTATATTATCAATCTGGAAAAACCATCAGCCTTTCATGAGCAAAAATTTGCTCTCTATTGTCTTGCAGTTGATTATTGCTCAAGAAAATTATGAATTAATATAGATTGGTACCATTGTTAAATTGTGATTACCAAATTCAAATGTTCTTTAATGAGTACAGAAATTCTCTTATGTTTTTCTAATTGACTCTTCAAGCATGCACTGCAAAAGCTATTTCAAAACTTTTTTACTCTTCAAAAAACTCCGATTTTGCCAATCCACCACAGTTACTCCCAACAAATAAGCATGTTTTCAAGATCATGGAAAAAATAGAAGACATGAAACAAACCTCACTCTTTAATTTTGGGCACCTGTGCTTATTTTAGCCTCATTTCCCTTCTTTAAAGAGAGATTATCTTCCTCTCTCTTCCCAATCTTTTCACCATTGCCCTGGATTCTATACATTCTAAATTTCTCCAAGATTAAGAAGGATGGTGATTTACAGGCCTCTTTGCCCTCATTCTGTGTATGGAGACATTTTTAAGGCCAAAGGAGAAAGACACCTGCTTATACTGTATAATGGTGCCTATATTGTGTTGCCCAAGAAAAAGCATAAACATTACTTTGCTAATAATTTTCACATAATTGACCCACAAAGGGCAAGATCAAAATCATGCTCAAATAAGAAATATAACTTACTAAAATGATATTAGACTCTGTTAGCCCTGGAATAACATTCATGTTTGCTTGGTCAAAAGGGGCTTGATTTTTAGATAAACAAGTGAAAACCTAGTCATAACTATCCCTGGTAGAGAAGGAAGCTAGAATGAGAGCATCTGCTCTTACTCTCACTTCTGGGCCTATAGGTCATTTTCTATTTGGAATCACAAGCTGTAAAAGAAAGCCTTCGTGGATACCTGGACTAAGTTGAAATACGTTACTCCGTAAGACACAAAAGGAGACCAAGATTGTATAGGAGAATGGTAGTGGGGGAAGGGAAACACAATGCTCTTAAGGGGAAAACGGATTTCCTAAGGGCAGATGTGGGGCAGCAGATTTGGAAACTTGAAAAGGGGAAATGAGCTAGCAGGAGAGGAGAACTACTCATATGAAGATTCAAGTTTGTGAATCAGGAGGAAATAGTAAAAAATCAAAAGAATCCACTACTTTCTCTATGCTGTATGCTTCTATTGAGAACACTTGAGTCTCCAGTGAACGACTTGGTAACTTGGGCTGTGCTAGGTCTGGATAAATCAATCTAACAAAGGTTTTCAAGAACAGGGATGTAATTAATTGCTTCTTACCCTTCTTGAAGAAACTGGTGGAGACAGAGGCAAAGCTTGCTTGGCTGAGATTTTTTTTTTTTTCATTTTTTTTTCTTTTAGAAAAGAATTACAAAAATATAGATGTGTCATGCTTTGTCATTCGGGCTGAAGGGTGGTGGCATGATCACTCACTGCAGCCTCAAACTCCTGGGCTCAAGCGATCCTCTGAAGTAGCATTCAAATGATTTTTCAACTTTTCAAAAGCATCTTTCCCTGGGCATTGGCAATGACACGTTCTCCACCTTTTCTCATGCTTTTTGGCTATTTCTTCTCAGCCTTCTTCCAATTCATTTTTTTCTACTTGATTCTTAAGTGTTTTCATTGTTCTTTCATGTTATACTCTGTCTTTAGACCATCTCCTCCATACCTGTGGCTTCAATTGCTGCCTCTAGGACAATGATTCTGAAATTTCTATCTTGAGCTTTGAGTTCTCCTTTGATTTCCAGACCTCTATCCAACTCGCTACCTACATCTTCACTTGGATATCTCAAAGTCACTTAAACTCTGCATGTGAGAATTGAACTCATGGCCTTCTTTCCAAAGTTTATCATCTTCCAATGTTACCTTGTATGGTAAAGTGACATAATGATACTGAATTAATAGATTTAGAATTTGTGATAGTAGAGATTTGATTTATCTCTAAGAGTTTCTTTTTCTCTCTCCTTCCCTTTCTTATTTCCTTCTTTTCTTTCCTTTTCAGTCAAGCTAATTGACGTATTTTTCACCTAACCAACTTATAATTTTTTGTGATGAGAACATTAAAAATTATTTTCTAAGTGATTTCTAAATGATTCTAAATAACTAACACTTATTTCTCCAACCTAACAGACTTTGTACGCTTTGATGAACATCTTCCTTCCCTTTCCCCATTCTTCTCTCTCTCTCCCCAGCCTCCCAGCCTCTGGCGACCAATTTCCTACTGTCTCTTTTTGTAAGGTTGACCTTGTTAGATTCCACATATAAGTGAGATCATGTAGTATTTGTTTCTGAGCCTGGCTTATTTTACTTAGCATAATGTCCTCCAGTACCATCCATATTGTTGTGAATGACAGAATTCTCTTCTTTTTAAAGGTTGTGTAGGATTCCAATGTGTATATATACTATATTTTCTTTATTTATTTATCCATTGGTGAACATTAGGTGCTTCCATAGCTTAGCTATTACCAATAATGCTGAAATGTACATAGGAGTGTAGATATCTTTTGAACATTCTGATTTTAATCCCTTTGGATATATACCCAGAAGTGGGATTTTACAGTTAATCACTTTTCAACAAAGGCACCAAGAACACACAGTGGAGAAAGGACAGTGTCTTTAATAAATGGTGTTGGAGAAACTGAATATCCACATGTGGAAGAATAAAATTGGACCCGTATATCTTACATGTATTGATTATGTCTCTGCCTGTAACTTCTGTCCTTCTAAAATGTATAAAATTGAGTTCTGACCCAATTGCCTTGGGCACATGTTTCAGAATCACCTGAGGCTGTGTCATGGATCATGATCCTCACATCTGACTCAGAATAAACCACTTTAAATATTTTAGAGTTTGGCTTTTTGCATCAACAAGACAAATGGGATTGCATCAAACTAAGAAGGTTTTTGCATGACAAAGAAAACAGTTAATCAAGTGAAAAGACAACCCATAGATTGAGAGCAAATGTTTCAAAACCATACATCTAATAAGGAGCTAATATGCACAATGTATAAGGAACTCAAACAACTCAATAGCAAGAAAACAAATAACCCAGTTAAAAAAATGCCAAAGGATTCAAACAAACATTTCTCAACAGAGATACAAATGACCAACAGATTTATGAAAAAATGCTCACATCTATAATCATCATGGAAGTGCAAATTAAAACCGCAATGAGGTACCACATGACACCTGTTAGAATGGGTATGATCAAAAAGACAAAAGATAACAATTTTTGTGAGGCTATGAAGCAAAGAGAACCCTTGTATACTGTTGCTGGAAATGTAAATTAGTGCAGCTATTTTGGAAAATAATATAATGGTTCCTCAAAAAAGAAAAAATAGAATTATCACAAGAAAGAATTCCTTAAAAGAAAAATTTGTAAATGAATACAGCTTCTAGAGTGAATCGTCATATTGCAGTAAGATAGCACCTTAACTCTTGTCACAGGCTATCTTGGTCAGTTAAATAAAAATAAATTTCACTTTGCTCATAATATGTTGCTACAATGTTAGGCTTTTAAAATAACCTTTTTACTTATGTTATCAGAAAATCTTAAGGCATAATACATAATACATTGATGTAAATATAGGACATTTTTCTTTTCGATGAAATTCTTTTTTTTTTTTTTCTCTGGTGGGGAGCACTTCAGGCCCTGAGATCCTCTGTATTCTCCTGTCCCCACAGGTGGACATTGCCCAGCCAATCCTCTATCCCTTGTGCATTTTCAGTGGCTCTGTGTCCCAACTTACTCAGCACCCTCTGCTATCAAACACTGAACCATTTTCAATTTTTCAGGCTTGTAGTAATGCTGGAAGAAACATCTGCATCCATAAATCTCTATTTTTTTTTATATTTTGTTTTAGGTTTTGGGGTACATGTGAAGGTTTGTTATGTAGGTAAACTCATGTTACTGGGGTTTGTTGTACAGATTATTTCATTACTCAGGCATTAAGCCTAGCACCCAATAGTTATTTTTTCTGATTCTCTCCCTCCTCCCACCCTCAAGTAGACCACTGTGTCTGTTGTTCCCTTCTTTGTGTTCATTAATTCTCATTATTCGGCTCCCGCTTATAAGTGAGAACATGTGCTCACAGAAAATCATTCTGTTCCTTATAGTAGGAATTTTTATAATTGAAAAATAAAAGGGGGTGTTTTAAAAATATATATTATCACCTTGTACCATGATGTTTTGTTTAAAAATAACTTTTAGAAAAATTAAAGGAAATGAAAAGTTGTGATCATTTTTAATATCACATTTTGGATCTCTCCTGCAGGATCATATTTATAATGTAATCTCTACTGTTAGGATTAAGAAACATGGTCCAGTAATTTTAATTAAGTAAACCTGCTTGCGATTTGCCTTTTGAATAAAATAAAGTACTTAAGGATGTTATATCCCCCTTCAAATTGCTGACACAAGGCAGAGGTGTGAGGTCATTCCTTAGACTTTTTCCTCGCATCCAGAGTGAAAGGGAAATGGAAGCATGATGAGAATCACCCTCATTTGCCCATTTTGAGCTTAATAAGGCACTTTTACACAGATACTTAGGGCTCTCTTGTAGCTGCACTAGTCCTAATTAATGCTCGCCACCTAACGTCCTGGGCTTAAAAACGAAACCAAGAGAATCTCTTCAGGGGGAGGAAAATGAATTAAAAAAAAAAAAGTCCCTTTGAAAGATTCAATGATTCAATGTAGGGACTTTATGAAATAATATAAAATGATTGAAAAATGTTTACATGGTTTTCAATAATATGCTCACATTTATGTTATGTTTGCTGAATAATGAACAGAAATAAATGAGTGATGCCTTTTATGTATGATGTAAACATTATGGGCAAGTCACATTTTAATTTCATACTTGATGCTTCAGCTTGTGCTGTGTTTTTAGTTAGTGCTGGCCTATTAAGCTGCTAATTTATCTACTGTTGTGAAGGCCTCTGGAAATGCTGCTCCATAAATAATAGAGCAGTGATCCATAACCACCTCCCATGTAACAGCATCAAGTCCACTGCAGCTAATAGGAACAAACTGCTGGTTGCTAGGTGCCAAAATGCTGCTTGCCTATTTAGGAAGTGATATAGTTTTGTCTCCCTGCTAAGATGACAAAACTGTAATTAGAGATTAATCAAGAGCTACATTAGTGCCACAGTTTCCTGCAGTCTGACTTTTGTTGCCCACCAGCAGTTAAGTGCATCTGCCTGTATTTACCAGTTCTCCGGAGATTTAGAAATTTATTGTCATATTTACAGGAACAGCTGCCGTGCAAGTTGTCAAATCATAAAGAACTAACTCAAGAGAATGCATATAATTAACTGCTCTGTCTTTAGTCTATTTATTTTTAAAATGAGGCTTCATTTAAAAAGATTAAATAACCTATTACATAACCAGCTTTTTTTTTGTTCTTGGAATTTGTTATTTTTCATTAAAACATTTCTACCAACCATTCAGTGATTTATACTGAATAAATAAAGATCAATTCAAATATTAAAAAAGAGACAAATACAAGCAGATATCAAAGAAAACTTGGATCTAGTGATTATCCTGGTGGCTGGGATGGTGGTATACATTAACATCACATAAAGTTCTATACCACTACGGCTTTCTTAAGAAAAAATAATATGAGTTTTTATAGAATTCACCTTTATTTCAGTTTCACTTGCTATTCCCTGATAATCTTGGTTATATTTGCTTTGGGACAAATTATTCCTCCTCCATTATTTGCATCGGTTATACTTGAATGTCTTTCAAATGTGTTAGCATAGGGGACACATTAATTACCAGCATTTTTTCTCCTAGAAAACCTTATACCCTTAGAGAATGGCTTCTTTGATTTAGTTGATTACTATAGTAAATGTACTGTCAAAATTAAGGCCTGAAATATTTGAAATCTTAGATTGCAAAGTTATGAACAATACTAAATCATGAATGTCTTAGCTTTTCCCTTTTTACATTTAATATGCAATTTTCTTAAAACTTGAAATGGAATTAAATGTAAAATTTGTTTTTATTGACTTGCAAAAAACAGTTATGAATAAAATTATTGGAAAATAATTTTCTTATGAGTACACTTGAGACTACTGCATACATATCACACACATATACACATGTTTAAGCATACTCATAGTATATATATTATTTTGAACTTGAAAAAAATACACTAGATCCCCTTTTGATTCTTCTAGTTTGCAGCAGAATTTTGGAATAGTTGCAATTCATTCCAACACTAATATGTCCATATAAAGTTATTGCCATTAAAGGCCAGGTGTGGTGGCTCACACCTGTAATACTAACACTTTGGTGTTAGTATTACACCAAGGTGGGAGGATTGCTTGAGTCCAAGAGTTCAAGGCCAGCCTGGGCAACAAAGCTAGAGCCCCATCTCTACAAAACAAAAATTTAAAAATTAGCCAGGCGTGGCAGAGCATGTATCTAGTACCAGCTACTAGGGTGGCTGAGGTGGGAGAGTCACTTGAGTCTAGGAGGTTGAGGCTCCAGTAAGCCATGATTATGCCACTGAACTCCAGCCTGGGTGACAGAGTGAGATCCTGCCCCGCCCCCCTAAAAACAAACAAACAAACAAACAAAAAGATTTATTGCCATTAGAACTTGCAAAGCCTTTAATCACATTACAGAACTAAAAGCTACTTTCAAAATGAATTGAGATTTTATGCTCATTTCAAATCATAGTACCACATTTCAAATATATAATACACTTAGACACCCAATTCACTAATTTTGGGCTTCACAGGAAAAGTACGTAATTTTTCAGAACACTTCATATTTCACTCATCCTTCCTAAAAGTGAGGAAAAACACTGTATTGTTATTGACGTAATTATTGTTTCTAAAATTACTCTATTTTTGTATACATATATACATATATCATATGTGTTCAAATATTTGTCAAAAATCTTGTCAACCTCTTTAGACTTCTAATAAAAAATATCATAAGATCAGTTACAGGACTGTTTGTGTTAAAGTATGTCAAAGTTTATTGTGGAGTTTCTGTTTTTGTTTTTTCTTCCATCTGTGACAAACTGCTGCATACCACAGAAAATTTTTGTTTATTTATAAATAAAAGATAAAATATAGAAAGGGTTATTGCGTCTGTTGCTGAAAGAGTACTGCAGAGACTGCACTGAGGTGTTTAATAGATCTGCTCGGTTCACTAAACTCTGGCATGCAATTAGGTAAAAATCTCTGCACTATAGTCAACTGTTACACTGATAATAGATAAAAAGTTTGCCATTAAAAAATCTGAAATCAGGGATTTACTGATAATTTATATATATTGAATAAACATACCATATTATTTGTAAAAATATGGCATTTTTGTAGTCAGAGATTATTTTTAGAAATATCAGAGATATCATTGCAAATTTTATAATAATTTATTTAGCTAACATAGAAAGCACTGGTTTTGAATAGAAAATGACAATGTCCTTATGTGTATAAGTACGTATAAATATTTTAAAAACACTAATAACATATACAGTCAAATAATTTCTTAATTTTTATTAATACTACTACCGCCTATTGATCAGTATATATTTAAAAATGTAGAGCATAATAAATGAAAACACTATTAACTAGAGTGCTATGGAAATGAAGCAAAACAACACTGTTACAAGTAATTAAAAGGAATTTTTTTCCTTTAAAATATATATGTTCCCTTCAGTTGGAAATATGGGTAGGATTTAGTCCTTCAATAATATTAAAAGAAACCCCAGAGCACCAAAGTTAATTTCAGGCAGACAGGTTGTAAGCTGAGGCTAAAAATTTATTTTACATAACATGTCCTTATCAATGCAGGATAGCATTTCTGGGCAATGAAAGAGGGAGTGGTTTATCAGCTAATCACTAGACTTAGCTTCATTATTATGTTGTTTGTCCTCCAAATTACTTAAGATACATCAATAATAACAACAATACAACCTGTTATTTTTCTCTAAAGCTGTAGTCTGACACAAACATTAAAAATGGGGACATATCCATGAGCTTTGAACTATCAAATTCCAATGTTTCAGGGTAGACTGAGGCTGAATATCTGATTACACTTTTATGTAAGTACTTCATTAATTCATTTATTAGTGTGATGTGCTAAGGAATTTATTTATTAGTTTTTTATCAACATTGTAAAACCTATAGAAAAACATTAACTACTGTAACTTAGTGGATTACAGTAAGTTTCTCAGAAACAAAAGGGCCTTGAATTGAGAGTGCCATATTCTGCCACATTGTTGTTTGTGGTCTCAGGCAAATTATTGTATGTGCCTTAGTTTCTCCATCTGAATGGAGAATATAAAATCTACCACAAGGGAGGTCTTGAGATTTATCTTACTTGAAACATGTGAAATGCTTAAGATGCCTGGCACATATTATTGCCTCAAATGTCCATTTTAGGAAATCAGGCAAACATAAAAACGGAGAGAGAAAACAATGAGATATGTTTTCACCACAAATACATTGTTACTAATATAGTAATATATTTACTTTTGGAATACATATACACAAATGTAGAGTGAGTGTATTTGTTTACACGAAATTCAAATTATGCATTTAGACTTGTGTTCTGCTTGGTCCCTTTGTCCCATTTAATATATTCTGAGCATTTTTCATGTGGTTAAATTACTTTTAAAAATAGTTTTAATGAATGACAGTTTAATTAGTGAACGTATTATGCATTTAACTATTCTATCATTATTGATCATTAGATTGCTTATTATTATTATCATAAAAGCTCTGTAACAAATTTTTTCTACATATACTTTTGTTTCCCATCTCCTTAGGATAGAATGTTAGCAACAATTATTATTAGAAAAAAATTACCAAAAAAATGAGATCTATAGATTGGTGCAAAAGTAATTGTGATTTTGGCAGTAAAAACCGCTATTACTTTTTGCACCAACCTAATTTTTTTTTCCAAATTGTTTTCCCAAAAGGCCATACCAATTTATACTTCTATAAGTACCTTCTGAGACTCCCTGTCCTACTATACCAATATCTGTATTCAGAATTTTTTTATACTTCCCGATTTTATAGTATCTTTTAAAATTGTGCATTAGTTAATTATTGGTGTTATAAAATCTTTATGTGCTGAGTAGCCATTTATGTTTCTTTCTGTCTTTCTTTTTTTTTTTTTTTTTTCGAGACAGAGTTTCACTCTGTTGCCCAGGCTGGAGCACAGTGGTGCGATCTTGGCTCATTGCAACCTCCACCTCCCAGGTTCAAACGATTCTCCTACCTCAGCCTCCTGGGTAGCTGGGACTACAGGCGCCCACCACCATGCCCGGCTAATTTTTTGTATTTTTAGTAGAGACGGGGTTTCACTGTGTTAGCCAGGATGGTCTTGATCTCCTGACCTTGTGATCCACCCACCTCAGCCTCCCAAAGTGCTGAGATTACAGGCGTGAGCCACCGTGCCTGGCCCATTTATGTTTCTTTATCTATAAAGTCCTTAAAGAATTTTGGCCATTTTTCCTATTGCATAGCTAATGACTTGTCTACCTGACTTGAAAGTGATCTTTGTGTAGTAGTGTTTGTTTTAAACAATGTATTTTATTTTATCATTTGTTTTATACATTCGGTTATAAAATTATTGATATGTTTAAAATATTTATTTACATCTAGACACCTTTCCCTTTAGGAATTCTACAATGATTCCATGCACCTAGAGATTCATCTTCCATTCCTAAATATATTGATATTCATCCACTATTTCTTCTCATGTTTTGAATGAACTTAATTTTTATATCTGATGTTTTAACATATAAGTGCATTATTTCTAAAATTTTAATAAAGTCTGGTTTTTTGTTCCTGAGAAGTTAACCTAATACTTCTAAAATCATTTAGAGAGTAAGCATTTATTTCTCCACTGATTTGTTATATCATACTTTTATCATAGCCAAATGTTATGTGTGCTGAAGCCTATTTCTGATTAATCAATCTATTGAGCCTCCTAGTAACTCTTGCAACATGACTATACTGTTTAGCTCTTTGTTAGTAAATCTTAAAAACTGAAGAATTATTACATTATTTCTAAAATTATTTTTTAGTTATTGAATCCCACATATTCTTCCAAATTACCTGTCAGTTCCCAAATAAATCCCATTAGTATTTTGCTTGGAATTTTGTTAAAACCAAAATATAATTTGGGAAAAAATAACCTTCCTTACAAAATCTATGCTTCCCATCATACAATATGTTATGTCTTACCTCTCTATACAGCTATTTTTAATGTCACTGAATATTCTTTTTATTCTTTATGCTTTCTATAAGCATTTTGTATGCGTTTGCCACCTTGATAAGTCCTGTATATTATCTTTTTAAATTACATAATATCCCCACCAGGTGAATATTATTATTATCACCATTGCATAGATGAGCAAGTTGGGAATTATAGATGTTAACTTTATTCAATGTCCCGTGCCAGTGAGTGACTGGGCAAGTTCTACCTAACTCTAAGCCTATAGACTAAACTGCCATACCTGTTATTTTAGGAGGCAATCCTTATCAGTATTTATAGGTAATAACTTATGAAGGAATTTTTAACTTGAAAATGTTACTCAATACAAAATAATGCTCATTGCATTAATAAGTGTAACAACTTGACAATCTGTCCCACTTGCCTTTTTGTATAAAAAATGAACAATTTTCTGATAAAGTCATTATGTTTATAATTATTTCAGTGGCTTATTATGTTTATCAGCCTTTTTACTTAGACCAGGATTATTCAACTTGAATTTACTGTAATATTACACAGATAAGGCCAAGCAGGGAAAAAGGGGTATATGCATTTTTAATCTCTATCATTTCAAAAGCATTCGAGCATGGAGTATCAGATCCCCAGTCCGTTGCCATATCCAGAGGACATTTCAAAAGACCATAGAAAGTTAAACAATTTCTCATCACAGGCTTGGCAATACTCCGCAGTGTCTAAGTTACTAGAGTAGCCTGTGAGGGTGACTCTTTTCTTAAACATTGCTCCTTACTTCAGTACAGTTGATTTTCAGCCATGTAATTATTCCCATCAAGGCTTTAATTTTAATTTGGATAATTTTGCCCTTCAAATTTCCCAGGTTTCCAAATACGCACCATTTATTATTGTGTCCTTAAATTCAAAAATAATCTCTGACTACCATTCTTCAGGTTAAGATTAAGTACAATTCAGGATAAAGCAACCACAATAACACTGCCAGGTTTGCACTTTCTATTTTATTATTGTGTAAACTATACTAAGAAAATATTTTTTTTTTCTGGCTTAAGCTTACAAGTTGAATATGAGTTCCCAAATACTGTCTTTTATTAATGGATGAAAAAAATCCATTAATGAATCTAGAATCAATGCATTGATTTAAATACATATTTCTTTTTATGGGGCAATTCACTTTTGCATCATTAAGATACTGTTTTTCAACTTCTCCACTGCCCAAGCAACTATTTATTTTCTAGAATTTCACTTTGTGTAACTGAAATCCCAATGAGAAGTGACTTGCTTCTGAGTCTTTGTGTACATTGCTGAAGTGGTTTCGATTCTTTATATTTGAATCATGACACCGAGCTGCGTTTTCCACTTTTGATCACAGAGGAAAAGTGGTATCTATGGCAACAGAAAAGTGGAAGTGTGGTTCCTGATAGGGTTTTCATGTGACAGAAATGACAGCCATCTTTGTTAAGTAATACTATGTTAAGATGCTATCTTTTGTGTCAGATTTACTGTGATGTCCAAAATTGGGGAATTACAACTTGAAAGAAAAAGATAGCTCACCAATTAAAGTGTGTATTATAGAGTATTTAGACTGAGTTTCTGTGACCTGCCTTTCAGCCCATACTTCATTTATGCAACAGCATGGACTAGTGTTCCCAATTCATGATTAGGTAATTAAAAGATATCAGCCTTGAGCCATGACCCAGTCTATTTTTTATAACAGTGACCAAAATTGCAATTTAAGGGGAATTTTGGCTTCTTTCTTATCCAATTTATTATAAAAACGAAAAGTTCAAGTTATTCAAAAGTTGTGATTAGCAAAATCTAATTAATATTATCAGTGGCCTCTTTTTTCCCCCTTTTTGAAAAAGAGTGACAACTCTCTTCCTGGACATCCTCCAATCACATACACAGAAAAACATCCCATAATATTTTATTAAAGTTTCAGTTAAGGTAGGTTTTATGTTGTAAAAAATTACATGACTGTTTGGCGACATTACATTCACACTTTTGTGCCACCATCACCACCATCCAGCCATAGGATGCTCTTTTTATCTTGTAAAACTTGAACTGTTTACCTGTTAAATAACACCTGCCCTTTCTCCTTTCCCCAGCCCCTTAGCAATCACCATTCATTTTTCTGCCTTTATGACTATTCTAGACATCTTACATAAATAGAACCATACAGTATTTGTTCTTTTGTGACTGACTTATTTCACCTAGCATAATGTCCGGAAGGACATATATGACACCCATGTGTCAGAATATCCTCCCTTTATATGGCTGAATAATATTTCATTGTGTGTATAAAGCACCATTTGTTTATCCATTCTTCCAGTGATGGATACTTGGGCTTTGGCTATTGTGAATGATGCTGCTGTGGACATGGGTGTACAAGTGTCTCTTCAAGTCTCTGTGTTCAATTTTTTGGGTGTGTACCCAGAAGTGGAATTGCTGTATCATATGGTAATTCTATTTTTTCATATTTTGATGAATTACCATACAGTTTTCCATAGATGCTGCACTGTAGGAATATCTTATATTCCTACAAACAATGCATAAGTGTTCCAATTTATCCATATCTTTGCCAATACTTGTTTTCCATAGGCACCACAGTTTAAAACGTATCTCAGTATTTGAGAATGATGTAATGGTTGATTAGGTCGCCTCTGGTATCAAAGTGCTTAGGTTCAAAACCCAGATCTGTATGATACTGGGCAATATTTAACTTCTTTGAATTTTGGGTTTGCTATGGAAAAATAAGGATAATAGCACATACTGTTTGAATATACTTTTGTGAGAGAAAAATGGGATATTGCATTACAAGTATACTTAGTACAATGATTGTAATTTATTTAGCCTTCAATATTGGTTATGTATAAGTGTCATTAATTACCCAATTACACAACTTGATAATATTATAATTATTTTAAAGACAGAGAGGTTGAGTAAGTAGCCCAGTGTCATGGACCCAATAATAGTGAGAAAAAAAAAAAGATTCAAACTCTGTGGCCAAAGGCCATATCCTTGGTCTACTAGGTTTACAATTCTGTAAGTGAAGGTAAATGAGAATATTAATGTATGAAGATCTCAATTTCACATAACAGGAAACCAGAAAGAATAATTATAGTTCATTTAACTCATTCAAATCCTTCTCTGTTTCAAAGCTCCAGCTCCTTCGTCACCATTGCCATGAGGACTTAACAGTCAACCTCTCACTTACGGATTTCTTTCCCATTTTCTATATCATTCCTTGTATTCAAATCACTCATCAAATATTTGTTATTAATTTTTTTGTGTTTTCATCTTTTACTACTTTACTAGATTCTTAAGAAAAGAAATTATTGAGTATATTTTATTCTTTTGTGATTCTTTACTTTTTAACATTTTTATTGATTAAACTGTTTGTAATAGTTTTCTGATAATAATATTTGACTGATCCTAATAAAATCCTGCTGTTTTTATATTTGCATATAGTTTTAAAAAGATTACTTAGTAAAAGAAATGTTTATATTGAGAAAGAGAGTTTTACTGATTATCTTTTCTCTCCCTTAATTGACATTAGATGAGACAAGTATGATTATTTCACTTATATACAGAATTTCATACCTACAGAGGCCAAGTTACTTTAGTGACTTGAATAGGTATGAGACAAAAGTTTTGCTTTCCTAAGATTAATTTTTCAATGTTCCATTTACACTAAATTGCTCCTCATATTGAGACTGTGTCCATATTGCAAGTTTGAATGTTTTACCTTACTTAAAGTCATCTGTTCTGAAATAGTGTTTCTCAAGGCTTACTTTGTAGTGTATGTGTGTGTGTCTGTGTGTTTGTGTGTGTATGTAAAAGATATTTTTTTTCCCCACTGGAAGAAAAATATCAAAGTAAAGTAGAAAACATCTATAAACTGCCCTTTTAAAATGCTTGCAGATTAAGCTATGTCTCAAGTAGTTGTTATTCTGAAGAATAACGATTGAAAGATCTTTTTGGCAATGGCAGCATTTTGCATCAATAATTATTTGAAATAATGCATTAAGAAGCAGAATTTACTCTTAAGTAATTGAGTCTCACCAATATAAGATATAGATAGACTCTGATAGATTATCCAGAATATTAACTAGGCAGACTTAACATTAAAAAAAAAGGATTATTAATTTTTACAGACACAATCACACTAACAAATACAGAACTCAGAGTCATATTTTATGATCGATAGTAACAACTCTGCTAACAAACTATCAAATTATATATCAAAAATTCATAAGAAATCTAATTCAACCACACATAAATATAAGATTTTTTATAATATACAGAGATTCTTAACTAAGTGTTAAGAAAACAGAACATTTAAAACTGAACTAGAGGCATAAGATATTTAAAATATTTACTGAAAACTAGTACAAATTATTCTCAGCGTCAAATTAGCTTGCATTTCATTTAAGTGCCACAGGGTTTACAAGTTTTCTATTGAGATTTTGGCTCATGTATTATTCTACTGGGAAGAATGAAGAAGTCAAAATGAGTTTTTTAAAAGTGAGTTTTAAAATAAAAAAGTTCCAGTGGATTAAAGAACATTTGTATAGTTGTAAATTCTTCGGTCACTTGGGATCAAGCACAAAATCCAAAAGGCAGCTGCACAGCACAGATGAACAATTTTGTTCTTCACAATTACGTTGATTGTAGATAATCTAATTTGGACTGCTCTTTCTCTCCTCTCTCTCTGACACTCTCTCTCTCTTTCTGTGTGTGTGTGTGTGTGCATGTGTGTGTACCTAATCTTATATAAGGGTTGATGCCTTTGGTGGCTGAATTAGGCCAAAATACAAAAGACAAAATAGCTAATAAGTAAGAAACATTATCAAGATTTTAAATCCACAATTGTACTGTATTTCTCCAAACCTAAGCTTTGATGAAAATTGTTTATTGCATGGCTAAATTCTTATCCTGAAGGCATCTTCTGGGCTTTGAAGATTTTACCATAGTCTTAGAAATAAAAAATTGAGCAAATTGCAGTGCTTTTCTGTAATTTTGTAAAACAGGGTGTTTCAAGATAAATTATACCAGTGGACTATATCTGTTTTGTACCACAAAACACATGTAAAATACCTGTAATTTAGTCATTTCAAGGCATGCATGAAAAAGGTAATAAACACAAACACAGACATCCTAGTTTGCAGACATGCAGTCTTCACAAGTTAGAAAGATCTCAGGCTTACTAAATATCAAAGATGAAATCTGTACTGCACACCAAACTACCGAAAATTGCCTTCAAATTTAAGGTGCAATTTATTTCAAATGGGGTAAAGTTGTAGATGGAGGCATTGAAGCAGACAGAGCTACATATAGATTTATTATTTCACATTTACAATACAAACCCACATACAACATACATACAAACAATGTATGCCTCAAATCATGTTCATTATTATTTGTTTTTAATGGCTTGACAGTTTTAATATTTAATTTATACTAAAAATCTTTATTTCAAAGCATATTTTGATCTTCAGAAGTTTTTGAATTTTAGATTTCCTTAAAATATTTTGGGGTGTTTGTAAACATTTACTTAGAATACGTTTTGTTCATGCCATTAAATCATAAGGCTCTCTTATTCCTTGTAGTAAACTAAATTAAATGCTAATAGTTTTTATAAATTGGAAAATTTTTTTTCTCTTTCAATTGACTAATAGTGATTCTGGTCTCATTTTCTTAAGAAATATATGCAACCTCAGTCATAACAGGCATGCAAAAAATGGATAACTCCAGTAAAGCTAAATAACTGCAATATTTAGGTTTCATTTAATTTTCTCATTACAAGAAATGTTCTATTTATTGGTTTAAAGAACACATGAAATAATTCTCTCATGCTCAGTTGCCTAAGTGGGGAACCAGAGATTCAGTAGTGTCAATACTATTTTCTTATTTCAGGAACAGATACATCTAAATATGTGATAAGGTTCACAAACATAATATGTGTGCAGTGTCAATGCAGGAATCTTAATATGACAGAACATTGAACTGTATCTCAGGAAAGCAAACTTTTTGTCTTCTACCTATTCAAAAGACTAAATTAACTTGGCTGTTCCATTGACCTCTGTGAGTATGAGAATTCTAAGTAACAATGTGAAAATAGCAATTGTCTTGCCTAAGCCAATTAAGGGAAAGACAGGATAATCAGTAAAACTCACTTGTGGGTGAGAATGAAGTTAAGAGTAATAACATACATACAAGAGTAGAAGAGTGTTTACTTACAAAGAGAAAATGATTGAGGGTGTAATTAGGGACTTCAGGTTAGAGTCAATTTTATGATACACATTCTGACATTCCTCTTGTGACCTTGTCTACTTCTGTTCAAAGTTTCTGCCTTTCCTTAACGGCCTTATGTTTATTGCCATGGTTCTCTTGGTAGCCTCAGAAGAGCTTCTTTACATGTAATATACTTCCACAAGGCCAGCTTCATGGGCTTGTGACCTGTGATGTCGGACAGGGCCTGTCATTTAGAATGGCTTTGTGCTGGTTTAATGTTGATACTGTTTTGAAATTTTTGATAATATACTTTTTAAACTTGTGTTTTGTAAGTGAAATTCAATGGGACAAAGAAATATGCAGATGAGCAGAAGAGATACAAATATTGTGCATGTCTGGAGCAGTTCTTGATATGTCATTTGTACAGAGCATTTGCGAGGCATATAAGCACAGCCTTGTAGGGAACACCTACTTCTGGGAGCTCAGTGAAGTTCAGAGTATGAAGTAAGCGTGTTGCATTTTCACTGAGTACATGGGGGCACTAACAAGAGATCATCCTTTCTGTCTTTTGAACCAGAACTTCCTTTGAATGCAGAAAGAAAACCAAATGACACTATCATATTCCTTTTCTTGTCTTACTTCCTTATATTTGCCAATTACTTACGTTGAAAATGACATGGAAGGAATGGGAAAGACAGCGTAACACATAGTTTCTTTTCCTTTCAGTTATTTCTTACTCATTGATAGAATGAGTGTGTATCAAGTAGAATAAAACTAGTTTAGTTCTGTGCAACTATTTCTGCCGTTTTGTTTAGAATGAAGTACATAAGCAAGCACAAACTAAGAAATACAAATTGTGTGATTTTGGTAATTCTACACATAAGTTAAAGGTTCTTATCTTTGCAGTTAAACTGGTGTTGCACAGTATGAAGATGAATGGTAAAGTCCACATTAATAATTTTGTTTTTAATTTTTCTTTACTTATAATAACATAAAACAGCAAAATACACCATGGCAAGTTGAGAGAAAGTCTGTGGAAGAAATAAAAACTTTATATTTCATACTTTAATAGTATTTCTCATGTTTTTTGAACAGAAGACCCAAAATTTTAATGTGTCATTGTGTCCCACAAATGGGCCCTGCATTTCTGTGTTACAGAAAGTATGCTTTGAGTGCATACAATGTGTCTACAGGTAGTTCCAAGCAGCCAGGGGAAGGGGGAACAATGTGTTTTATAAACCCTCATTTTATCCTTATAATAAGAATCTTGGTAGAATCTTGGTAATATCCTTGTTTACCAGATGAAGAAAATGAGACTGATGCCATGAAACAGGTAAGAGTCAAAGCCAGAATTTAATCTTAAATCTACCTGACTTAATTCCCATACCTCTTCTAATATCTACAGTCACCAAATTATTGACCTTCCAAACTAGGACACTTTTGACAATGAAATAGGATGATATTAATAAATACTCCAGGACTATTGGCATAAACTGGCTGGATGGGGCAAACCACAATGTGTGATCATATAGACTGCCATTGATTTATCTTTTATAATTCCATTATAACTGTAGGAGGGCAGATCCTGTCCAACACTTGATAGAGGATCCATAAATTATTTGTTGAAAAAACATTTTTTGCCTAAAATATCCTAAAAATCATAAGGTGAAGGTTTTTCTAGATGTAAAATAATAATCAAGTTAAATAAGTACATAAGTTGAAAAACTTAAATGGATTTGTAACATATTTGATTTTATTTCATTTTATGCCTGATAAATTTTAGATATTACTTCAAACTTAATATGATACCAGATTACAAAACAAAATAAAAAAAAAGTTCTAGTTTTCAGGTGTTCACAAGTTTTAGAATATCATTGCCTGAAAAGTTTGCCATAGGATTTTTTTTTTTTTAAGGGGTTTAACTTTTATTTGGTCCTACACAATACAGTACGAAGCCAAGTGCAGATATGTCATTGAGTTGGGGGAATTTAATCTGCCATGCAGCCTGCATTAGACTGAGAGAGAAGAGGTTTGGAATACTTACGATACTTAAATCACTGAAGACCAAATCACTTGCATCCCTGTCTCATTATGAATTTAGTTTTAATTTGATACTTTACTACTTTTCAGACAGAACGTAACTGGTCTAATTCACCATTGTATTCTATACAGTCAGTAATCAGTGAGGAGTTCAGGACAAAATCAGAGCTCTATCAATATTTATTAATAATATTAGATAAATATCAGGACATTTAGGATAGCTATGAATATAGTTCTAAGAGCCATCTTATAAAAATGGTAATCGTTTTGGGAAAGAATTAAGATAATTTGTTGATAATAAAGAATGTTATTCTCACATTCTAGAGGAATGAGACAGAAGTTACACATCCTTCTAGACAAAGCTTACAGTATATTATAAAATTTGATGTGTTTTTAAAAATTGGATTTTCATAAAAGTTCCTTGAGACTTACAGTATTTAAAGCATGGTTCTCCCTTTTCATTCTATTTCTATCCCTTGCTTAATAGTTACTGAATGAGAAAACTTTACGTCCTTCACTCTGCTGATTACCATTTCTGGGAACATAGCCTTTGAATGCAGGACATACAGAAGTGACATCTCACTGCTGGATGTGCTGATTCACTGGCACTAATTTGTCATTTTCAGAAGCGTTCACTCTCACAGATATTTCAGCATGGCAGATTCGTGGGTCGAAGGGTAAAAGCAGGTTACCTATGGATAGAAGCAGATAATGGGCATTTTATTACCCAGACATCTCTCATTTTAAAGCTGCTATTCTCAAGGATTAGACAGCTGACCTCCAGTCATGATTTTGATTCTATAAATTGAAATTGGTTGCAATACTATTCATTGCTCACATATGATTATGCATGAAGTTAATGTTATGTGATTTTCCAACTGAGGTGATTTCTTAACCTTGTCACTGCCTTGCTCCTCTTATGTCCACTGTATTTAAGTTCCCACAGAAATCTACTAAATTCCATAAAATTCTAAGTAATAAAGAGCACACTTAAGAAACTGGTCCAAGTGATTTTGTTATTTTTTGAATCCAGAATTCCCAATTTTTAATAATTTTAATTTACAGTTAGGCACTTGGCTAGGTACTGAGCAGTACACATGGTCTCCACCTGGTAAAGAATAACTAATTATAATAACAAAGTTACAGCAGTTGTTACAGCAGAAAACCCTTCCATAGTGTGAACTTTATACTTGCTACTTTACTGAATATTTACATATATGAATTAGTTTGGGAAACACATGGTGTTTAGGGTAAAATAAAACAAGCGCACATAATTACAACACAAGTAATTTTTCATTAAGTACATAAAAACATGTACAAAAATGACATGCAAATTTAGAAGGATAAACCACTCCTAGCTGCTAAAATCAAGAAAGGTTGATTGGCTATCTTCTATATGCTGCCACTGTGGTACATCTATCAGGGGCCTCCAAGAAGAACATGAGACTAATTTATTCCTCAAAGAAGTTCAGAAGGCAAAATTCATACAAAGCACATAATTAGAGAACTAAATAAGACAATATATAAATTAAAATTTATTATGTACATGTGTGTATATCTACACATAAGTATATATTATATTCCTAAATTTTTTTTATATATATATATATATTCCTTACCTCAATCTTATGGAATAGTCAGGTATGATTATTCTATTTAACAGCACAAATTGAAACTAAAGAACACATCTTCATGATTTAAAGCACATTTCCATTTAAATAGGAGACCCAAAGCAACTAGTAAATATAGTCAACATTTAAGTGAATATTTACTCTATATCATGCCCTATACCCCAAATAGTGCTATGATATAGGCATATAACAAGGAATCCAGGACTTAAAAAACTTAAGCAATTTGTCCAAAGTAATGTAACAGAACTGATATTCATTCTGGGCTGAAAAATTTGAGAGGTGAACCTTATGACAACTCTGCAATTTTCCACATGTTGATGTTGTCTGAATGTAAAATGGGGGCATAAAACAATGGTCTTGCATTCACCCAATGAAAGCCATGATTGTTTGTTGTTAGGAACACAAAATGGAGAAACGTCTATAGTTTCAAACAATAAAATAATTTCTAAAATTTTCTTTCACCCCTCCACCTCCATCATCTATTAAGTCCTTTCAACTTAAATACCTTTCTTTCAGAAGCCTCATCTTACGTAACTATGACAGTTGTCACCTTTCTGAACAAAGCACTTTAAATTTCTCTAAGCATTTGACATCTTTTAAAATATTGCAATTTTAAAAAATAAAAAGATTAGACATTTTGTGACATCTGCATCTACCTCCAAGTCTGGGATTTTTATTTATTAATCCCACAAAAAGGTGTAGAAAACAGCTCTGTACCATGGGGGCAAAATCCTTGTGTTCAGCTCTAGGTTCTTCCTTTGACCAGCTGTAACCAGACCCTTATTTGGATCTCATTTAATCTGATTCGTACAATGAATTATTTTTAAGTGTATAAAGTAATTGGGGGAATATGAACTGTAACTAGATATTTAATTATATGAACAAATTAATGTACATTTGTAGGTGAGACGATGGTCTGGTGGTTATTTTTGAGTATCATTTTTTTACAGATATGCATAAAAATATTTACCAGTGAAATGATGGGATGTCTAGACTTTGCTCCAAAGTAATCAAAAGTGATAAGAGGATAGGGTAAGGCCTGTGGAAAAAATAAGAATCTTTGGCCATGTGATGCTCAACTTCATATTGGGTCACATTTTTTTATCCAGCTAAATAATAACACTGATGAAAGTATGAATTTAATGTGCTAGTTTTATATTTTCATTCAAACATAGAATAAATACATAACCATTAAAACAAAAATGTAATATGTACATGTACAATATGAACATTAAAAAATTTTCATTTTATTTTTATCTCTACTTTCATGTTTGTTTGAAATATCGCATAATAAGACATTCAAATACATATAATAAAAATATTCACGGAAAAATATCAGATACAAATGAGAAGACTGGCCTAAAGATTATTAGCCAGTGATGGGTAGTGGAATGCCTAAATAATAATTCATGTGAGTGAAATTTGGCAGCAGGTTTTGCTTGTTTGTGGATATAAGAAAATTACTAGGATTTTGCAGCTTTATCAACAATGTGATTTAAGTTGCCATTTTGAAGGTCCATCAACAATGTTATTTAATTCCCCATTCAGTGCATCAAAATATAGTAAACCATAGTGGTGATAAGAATGCTATACAGGCTACTGAGTAGCAGAAAGACAATAAATAATCCCCAAGAATAATTTCTTCTTGTATGAAATGAGTACAATAACAATATTTACCTCATAGATTCATTGTGTTTATATTTTTACTAAATGAGATAGTTTGATTAAGGTAATTTGGTGCAGTTACTGATTCATAGTAAACATATGACACATGATAGTATACTATTACTACTATAATAAAGAAGTTTTATGTTTTTATATGCTTTCATATGTGGCCTTTACATGACAAACTTAGTAATTAATCTTGCACAGGTGATAAGGTCTGAGAAAAATTATATAAAGTCTCATGGCAGGGGAATTTGGTTTATAATTTATTAATTTACAGTGAGAAACATTATGCCATACTAACCAGGCAATTTATGTTGCTATGATTTGGCTCTGTATCTCCAATCCAAATCTCAGGTCAAATTGTAATCCCCATGTGTTGAAGGAGGGGCTTGGCTGGAGGTGATTGAATCATGAGGGTGGACTACCCCTTGCTGTTCTCATGATAGGGTTCTCAAGAGCTCTGGTTATTTCAAACAGTGTAGCACTTTCCCCTTCATTCTCTCTCTCTCTCTCTCTCTCTCTCTCTCTCTCTCCTGCTCTGCCTTGGTAAGACACGCCTCCTTCCCCATTGTTTTCTACCATAATTGTAAATTTCCTGAAGCCTCCCAGCCATGCTTCCTGTACAACCTGTGGAACTGTGAGTGAATTAAACCTCTTTTCTTCATAAATTACCCAGTCGTAGGCAGTTCTTTATAGCAATGTGAGAACAGACTGATATACATGTTTCCACGGTCTGTGAATGAAAATTGAAAGCAAATTTGTTAATGTAACATTAAATGATAAGCTGTATTTGGGCAGGAATTAATTGTCCTCATATCCCCTAAAAGTTGCTCAGTGACTAGTTTCAATGCATATTTTCTGGAAGAAAGAAAGAATAGAATGGGTTTAATGTAACTCAAATAAAGATAAACTATCATATTCAATGTGTCAGATCAATATTAACTTCAAAAGAAATACCAGTTTATTATCCAGAAAAACAATTTAAATCTCATGTAATATAGTATACTATAAAAATATCCTCATCATTTCTTTTGGTGTTGCTAAAAGAATGCTCTCTTTCTCCCTTTTGCATTGAAAATACTTACTCAAACTTCTAATCTTCTTGTTTTTTTCCATTATTCTCCCACTTTCTAATTCTTGTCCCATTTTCTACTTTTTAAGCTATAATTTTCTTTTAAAAGCTTCTCTTTAATACTTCGAATAGGGGATAATCCTAAAATGTTTATTTCTTGCCTCTTACAAATAACTGCTGTCTTTGCAAATCAAAGAGCAATATATTTTTTCTACAAAAAAGTCCTTTATTCACATTCAAGCTGCGGCTACTTCTCTGTTACTCCTCCTCCTCTTTTTTCCTTCTCTTCCTTCAGAGTGAAGTTTGGTTCTCCCAGATGTGAAAAGGAAAAGCACAAATTTCAGCTTGGTGGTTTCTATCCTGGTGTAATCCAGCCAAAGCAGCTTT
Source organism: Homo sapiens (assembly GCF_000001405.40). Taxonomy (NCBI): domain Eukaryota; kingdom Metazoa; phylum Chordata; class Mammalia; order Primates; family Hominidae; genus Homo; species Homo sapiens. The sequence continues at coordinate 52,251,371 of NC_000005.10, read as the reverse complement.
TGGGGATTTAAATTTTGAGAGCAGTAAATCTATCTGAAGCTCAGTTTAATACCTCCAAAACTGACTAGAGCTGATTTTTCTGCATGGAAAAAAAGAGAATGAAATGAGTTCCTTTTTGTTATGGCTGTCTTAGTCAGTTTTGGGTTGCTCTAAAAGAATACCTGATACTGGGTAATTTACAAAGAATAAAGGTTTCGTTGGCTCACAGTTCTGATGATCAAGAAGCTCAACTTTGGCCAAATACATTTGGTGAGGGCCTCTGACTGCTTTTACTCATAGAGGAAGGTGAAGGGAGGCCAGAAGATACAGAGATCACATGGCAAGAAAGACAGCAAATGAGTCAGAGAAAGAGAGAGAGAGACAGAGAGAAGGTGGATCGAGGCTCTATTAGCTCTTGTGGGAATGAATAGAGTGAAAACTCAATCACTTCTGAGGATATTAATCTATTCTATGAGAGACCCACCCCTATTACCTGAATACTTCCTCTCCTCCAGCAACAGAAATCAAATTTCAACATGCAGTTTGGAGGGGACAAACATTTAACCATAGCTATGGCTGAAGTTGTCTACTAATTATCCTTCTTTTTATAACTGAAGAAAGCAGGGACTTGTACACTGTAACCCACAAAATTCCCAGGAAGTCCTGGTTTGTGACTCAATTATTCTTACATTATCTCAAAGTCTTCTGAAACATCATGATATTAGCATCTCATTAGGTAAAATTATTCTTTTGTGAACAATGTTTTCTTTCAATAAAAACAAATAAATCACAAGATGCAATTCCTAGTTCATATTGGTTCTGAGCTTATCTTCTGTTTGATTTTGTCATAGAACTTATTCTTCTCCATTCAAATCTTTACTTTTGATATCTGATAGATTAGAGTCGGGTCTGCATTCATTCCGAGTCGATGAGTATTTGGGCATTTCAAGTCCATGTTTCAGTCTGACCTTATTCTTTGGCAGTCTCCACAAGGACATCTTTCTTTTTTCCCTTTTTAATTGGTTTCAGTAACGCTTGAAATGTGGATGTCTCCTCTACTACGGTAAATTATAAGCCTCATTTAAAAAATGACAGATCAATGAGACAGAAAGTCAACAAGGATACCCAGGAATTGAACTCAGCTCTGCACCAAGCGGACCTAATAGACATCTACAGAACTCTCCACCCCAAATCAACAGAATATACATTTTTTTCAGCACCACACCACACCTATTCCAAAATTAACCACATACTGGGAAGTAAAGCTCTCCTCAGCAAATGTAAAAGAACAGAAATTATAACAAACTGTCTCTCAGACCACAGTGCAATCAAACTAGAACTCAGAATTAAGAATCTCACTCAAAACCGCTCAACTACATGGAAACTGAACAACCTGCTCCTGAATGACTACTGGGTACATAACGAAATGAAGGCAGAAATAAAGATGTTCTTTGAAACCAACGAGAACAAAGACACAACATACCAGAATCTCTGGGACACATTCAAAGCAGTGTGTAGAGGGAAATTTATAGCAATAAATGCCCACAAGAGAAAGCAGGAAAGATCCAAAATTGACACCCTAACATCACAATTAAAAGAACTAGAAAAGCAAGAGCAAACACATTCAAAAGCTAGCAGAAGGCAAGAAATAACTAAAATCAGAGCAAAACTGAAGGAAATAGGGACACAAAAAACCCTTCAAAAAATTAATGAATCCAGGAGCTGGTTTTTTGAAAGGATCAACAAAATTGATAGACCGCTAGCAAGACTAATAAAGAAAAAAAGAGAGAAGAATAAAATAGACGCAATAAAAAATGATAAAGGGGATATCACCGCCGATCCCACAGAAATACAAACTACCATCAGGGAATACTACAAACATCTCTACGCAAATAAACTAGAAAATCTAGAAGAAATGGATAAATTCCTGGACACATACACTCTCCGAAGACTAAACCAGGAAGAAGTTGAATCTCTGAATAGACCAATAACAGGAGCTGAAATTGTGGCAATAATCAATAGCTTACCAACCAAAAAGAGTCCAGGACCAGATGGATTCACAGCCGAATTCTACCAGAGGTATAAGGAGGAACTGGTACCATTCCTTCTGAAACTATTCCAATCAATAGAAAAAGAGGGAATCCTCCCTAACTCATTTTATGAGGCCAGCAACATTCTGATACCAAAGCCAGGCAGAGACACAACAAAAAAAGAGAATTTTAGACCAATATCCTTGATGAACATTGATGCAAAAATCCTCAATAAAATACTGGCAAAACGAATCCAGCAGCACATCAAAAAGCTTATCCACCATGACCAAGTGGGCTTCATCCCTGGGATGCAAGGCTGGTTCAATATACGCTAATCAATAAATGTAATCCAGCATATAAACAGAACCAAAGACAAAAACCACATGATTATCTCAATAGATGCAGAAAAAGCCTTTGACAAAATTCAACAACCCTTCATGCTAAAAACTCTCAATAAATTAGCTATTGATGGGACGTATTTCAAAATAATAAGAGCTATCTATGACAAACCCACAGCCAATATCATACTGAATGGGCAAAAACTGGAAGCATTCCCTTTGAAAACTGGCACAAGACAGGGATGCCCTCTCTCACCACTCCTATTCAACATAGTGTTGGAAGTTCTGGCCAGGGCAATTAGGCAGGAGAAGGAAATAAAGGGTATTCAATTAGGAAAAGAGGAAGTCAAATTGTCCCTGTTTGCAGACGACATGACTGTATATCTAGAAAACCCCATTGTCTCAGCCCAAAATCTCCTTAAGCTGATAAGCAACTTCAGCAAAGTCTCAGGATACAAAATCAATGGACAAAAATCACAAGCATTCTTATACACCAACAACAGACAAACAGAGAGCCAAATCATGAGTGAACTCCCATTCACAATTGCTTCAAATAGAATAAAATACCTAGGAATCCAACTTACAAGGGATGTGAAGGACCTCTTCAAGGAGAACTACAAACCACTGCTCAAGGAAATAAAAGAGGATACAAACAAATGGAAGAACATTCCATGCTCATGGGTAGGAAGAATCAATATCATGAAAATGGCCGTACTGCCCAAGGTAATTTACAGATTCAATGCCATCCCCATCAAGCTACCAATGACTTTCTTCACAGAATTGGAAAAAACTACTTTAAAGTTCCTATGGAACCAAAAAAGAGCCCTCATCGCCAAGTCAATCCTAAGCCAAAAGAACAAAGCTGGAGGCATCACGCTACCTGACTTCAAACTATACTACAAGGCTACAGTCACCAAAACAGCATGGTACTGGTACCAAAACAGAGATATAGATCAATGGAACAGAACAGAGCCCTCAGAAATAACGCCGCATATCTACAACAATCTGATCTTTGACAAAACTGAGAAAAACAAGCAATGGGGAAAGGATTCCCTATTTAATCAATGGTGCTGGGAAAACTGGCTAGCCATATGTAGAAAGCTGAAACTGGGTCCCTTCCTTACACCTTATACAAAAATCAATTCAAGATGGATTAAAGACTTAAACGTTAGACCTAAAACCATAAAAACCCTAGAAGAAAACCTAGGCATTACCATTCAGGACATAGGCATGGGCAAGGACTTCATGTCTAAAACACCAAAAGCAATGGCAACAAAAGACAAAATTGACAAATGGGATCTAATTAAACTAAAGAGCTTCTGCACAGCGAAAGAAACTACCATCAGAGTGAACAGGCAACCTACAAAATGGGAGAAAATTTTCGCAACCTACTCATCTGACAAAGGGCTAATATCCAGAATCTACAATGAACTCAAACAAATTTACAAGAAAAAAACAAACAACCCCATCGAAAAGTGGGTGAGGGACATGAACAGACACTTCTCGAAAGAAGACATTTATGCAGCCAAAAAACACATGAAAAAATGCTCATCATCACTGGCCATCAGAGAAATGCAAATCAAAACCACAATGAGATACCATCTCACACCAGTTAGAATGGCAGTCATTAAAAAGTCAGGAAACAACAGGTGCTGGAGAGGATGTGGAGAAATAGGAACACTTTTACACTGTTGGTGGGACTGTAAACTAGTTCAACCATTGTGGAGGTCAGTGTGGCGATTCCTCAGGGATCTAGAACTGGAAATACCATTTGACCCAACCATCCCATTACTGGATATATACCCAAAGGACTATAAATCATCCTGCTATAAAGACACATGCACACGTATGTTTATTGTGGCATTATTCACTATAGCAAAGACTTGGAACCAACCCAAATGTCCAACAATGATAGACTGGATTAAGAAAATGTGGCACATATACACCATGGAATACTATGCAGCCATAAAAAGTGATGAGTTCATGTCCTTTGTAGGGACATGGATGAAATTGGAAATCATCATTCTCAGTAAACTATCGCAAGAACAAAAAACCAAACACCGCATATTCTCACTCATAGGTGGGAATTGAACAATGAGATCACATGGACACAGGAAGGGGAATATCACACTCTGGGGACTGTTGTGGGGTGGGGGGAGGGGGGAGGGATAGCATCGGGAGATATACCTAATGCTAGATGACGAGTTGGTGGGTGCAGCGCACCAGCATGGCACATGTATACATATGTAACTAATCTGCACAATGTGCACATGTACCCTAAAACTTAAAGTATAATAAAAAATAAAAAAAAAATGACTGTTTACCTAACTCTCTTATTGACTGGATCATGTAGACTTTCTGTTGTTGTTATTATTTTGATTTTCATTTTCAAAACACTACCCTCATCCTAACAGCTGATCTGCTACAAAATCCATGAAGTATGAATCATGTAGAACTCCATTTTTTACCTTGAAATGCAATTCTGAATGTCATCTAGAAATTCCAGCTACTCTTCACATGAACCACAATCTTTTTGGATGGTCAAGCTATCCAATAAAGAAACAGAGGTTTCTTGGGAACTTGAGTAAATAATATATATATATATATATATATTTTATACTTTAAGTTTTAGGGTACATGTGCACAACGTGCAGGTTAGTTACATATGTATACATGTGCCATGTTGGTGTGTTGCACCCATTAACTCGTCATTTAACATTAGGTATATCTCCTAATCCTATCCCTTCCCCCTCCCCCCACCCCACAACAGGCCCTGGTGTGTGATGTTCCCCTTCCTGTGTCCATGTGTTCTCATTGTTCAATTCCCACCTATGAGTGAGAACATACCGTGTTTGGTTTTTTGTCCTTGCGATAGTTTGCTGAGAATGATGGTTTCCAGCTTCATCCATGTCCCTACAAAGGACATGAACTAATCTTTTTTTATGGCTGCATAGTATTCCATGGTGTATATGTGCCACAGTTTCTTCATCCAGTCTATCATTATTGGACATTTGGCTTGATTCCAAGTCTTTGCTATTGTGAATAGTGCCACAATAAACATATGTGTGCATGTGTCTTTATAGCAGCATGATTTATAATCCTTTGGGTATATACCCAGTAATGGGATGGCTGGGTCAAATGGTATTTCTAGTTCTAGATCCCTGTCCTCAGGGATCTTCACCACACTGACTTCCACAATGGTTGAACTAGTTTACAGTCCCACCAACAGTGTAAAAGTGTTCCTATTTCTCCACATCCTCTCCAGCACCTGTTGTTTCCTGACTTTTTAATGATAGCCATTCTAACTGGTGTGAGATGGTATCTCATTGTGGTTTTGATTTGCATTTCTCTGATGGCCAGTGATGATGATGATGAGCAAATAATATATATTCTAATGCTAGAAGTACAGTGTCACTTATTCTTCCACGTATTTCCAACTCTGACACCTGCTCCTTTAAGCATTTCAGTAGCATTTTCCAAGCAGATACAAAATCCTCCCTTTTCATCCATGAAAGTTTTATTAGTTCATTTTCACACTACTATAAAGAAATATTCAAAACTGGGTAAATTATAAAGGAAAGAGATTTAATTGATTCACAGTTCCAAATGGCTGGGGAGGCCTGAGGAAACTTACAATCATGGCAGAAAGCAAGTGAGAAACAAAGGTACGTCTTACATGACGGCAGGTAACAGAGAAAGCAAGCAGGGGAAATGTCAGGCACTTATAAAAATATCGGATCTCATGAGAACTCACTATCACAAGAGCAGCATGGGGGAAACTGCCTCCATGATTCAATCACCTTCCTCTTGGTCCCTCCCTTGACACATGGGGATTGTGGGGATGATAATTCAAGATGAGATTTGGGTGAGGACAAAGAGCCAAACCATATCAGAAGTGTTCTTCATTAATTTTCTTTTTTTGGTCTTGGAACAAGGTGTCTTTACCTATGATTGTAAAGGCTACATAATCAATGATTTTCCAGTGACAATTTACTTTTTAGTGGTATTAGAATCATTCAGGAAAGATGAATAAAGTGATTTGAACTAGTCTTAACTTTTCTTTTTAAGAAAATGAGGGAAATGGGCAGTGGTTCATGCCATATGATTTCAAAAATCCCTCTTTTAAAGTAGTCGAGAAAAATCAATATAAAAGACAGGAACAGGAAGGGATAAAACCATTAAAAGAGGATAAAGCTACTGAGTGAATTCCACATTTATTTAAGTTCTTTAATAAGGGCAATTATCACTTATCTCTTGCATGGAGAATTAAACTCAAATACAAAATAAATATTTTATATTTTTAGGTCGGAGTTTGGGACTTCCAAAGCCAATATAAACAAGCATAGGAATCCTGAAAAGCCAGCCTGGGCAACATGGTGAAACCCTGTCTCTACAAAAAATACAAAAATTAGTTGGGCATGGTGGTGCATGCCTGCAGTCTTAGCTACTGGGGAGGCTGAGGTGGAAGGATCACCTGAGTGAGGCAGGTGGAGCTTGCAGTGAAATAAGATGGCACCACTGAACTCCAGCCTGGGTGACAGCAATATGCTGCCTGAAAAAAAAAAAAAAAAGGAAAGAAGAAGAAAAAAGAAAGAAAGAAAGAAATCTTGGAAAGGGAGGGAGGCACAAATAAAGGAAGCTCCCAAACCTGCAAACAAACATCTGCAAATTCCTGTTTGATTACTGGATTTTATAAATGTGGAGTGAGACTCACAGTTTGAAAGTAACAGTGGGAAAGATGACAAACTGAACACAAATTTGAGCAATGGATAAGCACTTGGGAATATGAGTTTGGGGTTCAGATTATGCCAAAGTAAACAGTCTTGCTAAATGATCAGCCTATCCATTGAAAGTCCAGAAGAATAACATTTAAAAATTAAGAAACTTAATGCTTAAGAATAATAGTTATACCTTAGTGTTAAGGGGAAATAACAAGGCATAGGTCCCAAGGACACCTAAAACCAAGCTTCCCATAATATCAAAGTGTCCAAGAATAATTTATCTGCCAGTAGAATACAATTCAATCTCAAATACATTACATAACCAAATCTCTCTGTCTGTCTTTTGTATATGAAAAACATGCGAGGATGGTCAAAAATATGACCCATAGTCAAGAGAAAAGATTAGTCAATAGAAAAAAATCTAGAGCAAACATGTTGTATTTAGCAGAAAAATAATTTAAATACCCATTGTAGATATGTTAAAACATTTATAGAAAACAATTGATGTAAGTAGTAAAGAGAAAAGAAAAAATCTGAATATATCAGAAAATGTTAAAAAGTTCATTTACAGATTTAAAATATAATTTAAAAATATTAAACTTTACTAATTAACAGGAAAATAAAAATTAAAGCTACTATGAGTTACCACCTTACTCCTGCAAGAATGGTCATAATTAAAAAGTCAAAAAGCAATAGAGGTTGGTGTGAATGTGGTGAAAAGGGAACACTTTTACACTGCTGGTGGGAATGCAAACTAGTACAACTTCTATGCAAAACAATATGGAAATCCCTTAAAAAACTGAAAGTAGAATTACCATTCAATCCAGCAATTCCACTACTCAGTATCTACCCACAGGAAAATAAGCATTATATGATAAAGACACATGCACATTCATGTTTATAATTGCAAATATATAGAACCAACCTAAGTGCCCACCAACCAATGAGTGGGTGAAGGAAGAGTGGTATATATACATCATGGACTACTATTCCTCCATGATAAGGAGCAATTTTTTTTTTTTGCATCAACTTAGATGCAGCTGGAGGCCATTATTCAAAGTAAAGTAACTCAGGAATGGAAAACCAAATATTGTATGTTCTCACTTATAAGTGAGAGCTAAGCTATGAAGATGCAAAGGCATAAGAATGACATAATGAACTTTGGGGACTCAGGAGGGAAGGCTGAAAAGGGGGATGAGAGATAAAAGGCTACATATTGGGTACAGTGTACATTCCTTGGGTGATGAGCACACTAAAATCTCAGAAATCACCACTAAAGAACTTATCCACGTAACCAAAAACTACCATGCCCCCAAAACTATTGAAATACAAATAAAAATTATTTTAAAAAAGAAAATTAGAATGTGTTACGTGGTTCATAAAATATGTCTACATGGTACAGCATAAAGTTTAGAAGAAAGTATAAAAATTATGGTCTTTGAAGTTTCTCATATGTGTTGGCATAAAAATAATTCATGGCTGACTGTAACGAATGAAGGATGAATATTCATGATGGACTGTAATGACTGTTAGAGCAATCATTAAAAGAGTAAAATGATCAGTGAAAAATCGAATAAAGGTGATATAATAAAACTAGTAAAATAGCTAATCAATCCAAATGGAGAACACACAGAAGGACCAAACAAACAAACATACAAACACACAAGAAAGGAGACAAGTAGAAAACAAAGAGCAAGGTGGTAGGTGTTAACTCATTCACATCAAATAATCACATTAAATGTAAATGAAAGAAACATTGCAATAAAAAAGCAGAGATTGTAAAAGTGAACTAAAAGAAATACTAAGCATATAAACACTAGTGTGAATAAAATAGATCAAAGTAAACTTTAAGATAAGAGATCTTACCAGAGGTAAAAGAGAGTCATTTCTCAATGATAGAAAGATTATCAATTTATCGAAAAGATAAAATAATCCTAAATATGTCCGTACTAAATAGCAGAGCTTCAAAAGTACGTAGAGCAAAATCTGAGAGGACTAATGGCATAAATAGACAAATCTACAATTATGGTTGGAAATATTAGCACTTCTCTTTCAGTAATTGATGGGAAAAAATAACTAAAAATATAGAAAATTGAAACAGTGCTCTCAAGCAACTTGTCACAATTAGCACAATTAATATTTATAGAACACTCCACACAAAACATCAGAATATTCATTCTCCTGGATACTATGCCATAATCAAATGTATGTGTATATGTGTTTGTATATAAATAGATACACACGTTATATAAACTATAGTATAAATAATCTATATATTGTACATATGTTTATATAATATATCAAAAACTTATCTAAAAATAGAATATGAAAAAATATATAGAGATATCTATCTATACTCATATATGCAGAGAGAATTTTCTCTGACCACATGGAATTAAATTGGAAAATTTTACTTAAATTACCTAGAAAACCTTAAATATCTGAAAAGCAAACAACTGTATTTCGAGATAACACATACAAAAGTTCAGTCTCAAAAACAATTGAACAATTGTTTAATATTTTTAAATACATGATAATGAAAACTCAACATTTTAACATTTGGAAATGGAGTAAAGGGTTTCCTTTTTTAAGAAAAGAAGAAAATAATTTTTTCCTTAGAAATCTATTTAAATGCTTTTATTGGAAAAGTTTTAAAATAAATTATGTGACCATTCACTTTGGAAAATTAAAAATAAATAAGAGAAATGTAAATTAAATGCAAAGTTGAGTAAAAAATAATAAAGATATACATACAAATTAATAAACTATGAAACAGAAAATAATAAACATAATTAGCCAAACACCAATTCTTAAAAGATTAACAGAAATAATAAATCTTTAGTCAGACGACTACAAAAACAGAGAAAACACACAATACCAGAAATATCAGAAATAAGAGATGACACAAATTATTTTCAGTGATATTGGGTGGATTATAAGGGAGTTTTACAGACAGCATAATGCTAACAATTTGATAATACGTAATACAGACAAATATCTTAAAAGACAGGAATTACCAAAACTCATATGAGACGGTACACAAAATCTGAATAGTGTTATCTCTAAAAATAAAATTAAATTTGTAATTAAAAACTGTCTTATAAAAAATCTGCCATGCCAGATTGTTTTACTGTTGATATTCATCAGATATTTCTGGAAAACAATAATGCCAATCTTATACAGACAGTTTTGGAAAATAATAGATGAGAAAACATTATGTAGTTGTGTTATAAGAACAGCAAAACCCTGATATCTAAACCAGACAGGAAATTGACAAGAGAAAATTACAGATGACATCCTTTATAAACGTAGATATAAAAACATCCTTAACGAAATATTCACAAACATATCTGACAACATAAATAAAGAATAGTAACTCCTGACAACTGGATTTTATCCCAGAAATATAAATTGGGTTTACCACGTGAAAAATTAATCAGTAAAAATCAACAATTAACATATTACCTTAAAAAACAGTCATCTCCATATATGTCAAAAAAGCATTTGAAAGAATTCAACACACATTTATAAAAATAATAAAAATTCTTAGCAAATTAGGAACAGGAGGGAATTTTCCTCCTCTACGAAAGTGCGTGTGTGAAAACCTTATAGAGAACATTATATTGAGATGAGGAAGTCATGAATATTTGATCTTATCACTTATACTTGACATAGTACTGGAAGTCTGGGCCAAATCTAAAGAGCAAGGAAAAGAAAAAGCATAAAAACTGGAAATGAGTTAAACTCTTTCCTATGCTAATAAATCTACAAAACACAACTACTACTGAAATTGATAAAATTGATTTAGGAAGGTCACAGGGTCATGATTAACAGAAATATTAACTGCATTTCATATTAGCAACATACAATTAGAAAATGGATTTAAAATATTATTTATAATGGCATCAAAAACATACAGTACTTAAGAATTGATTTAGCAAATTATGCGCAGTACATCTACATTGAGAATCTACTATTAGATTACAGAAAGAATAAGTAAATAATATTGACTAAGTCCTAAATAAATTGAAATAGATATAGTGTTAATGTATTGGAAGATTTAATACGGTCAAGATGTAATTTTCCCCCAAATTGATATACACATTCAGAGTAATCTGGATTAAAATTTTAGCAGGCTTTTATATTTTCAAAACTTGATTAGCTAAATTTATTATTTGTACTAGTCTGTATAAAAGATCAAACTTCCTGAAACAGCTAAAATACTCTATAAAAGAAGCATATATTAGAACATACACAATCTGGTTTTATGATTTAATATAAAGCTAAAGTAATCAAAACAGTATGCATTTGGCGTAAGGATAGAAAAATAGGCCGTTAAAAAGGATAGGGTCCAGAAATAAACCTAAACATATATAATCAATTGATTTTTGAAAAAGTGCCAAGGTAATTCAATGTGTGAAAGAAAACTTTTTCATCAAAAGACGCTGAAATAACTGTATAATGTCTGAGAAAAGATAAACCCAGACCCCTACCTCATGCCATATGCAAAAGGTAGTTTGAGATGGATCATGGACCTAAACTTAAAAGGTACAAATATAATTTGTTTTACTTAGAAAAATATCTGTGCTACCTATTGTAAGAAAATATATATTATGCCAGACAAAATAACTAACAAAAAATGAAACAAAGTAATTGATGTATTAGACTTAAACAAAATTAAAATTTTCTGCTCATTAAAAGACCATCAAGAAAATGAAATATCAAGCCACAGACTGAAAAAATACCCCCAATACTTATATCTTGCAAAGTTTTGTGTCCAAAATAGACTAATTTTTTAAGTCCAACAAGTCTATAATAAAAGTTAAGATCTTCATATTAAAATGAGCAACAGCTACTTCACAAAATAAAATATATTAATAACCAATAAACACAGAAAAGGGTGTTCTCATAATGTTTGTCATCAGTTAAATACAAATTAAAACGACATTGATATATTATTATATACCCACTAAAATAGTTAAAATGTAAAAGATTGACAAAAATGAGTTTTGGCAAGGATAAGGAACCCTGGACCTCTCATACATGGTGAGAAGTGATGTAAAATGTTTAGCAGTAATTAAATCACTCAGCATATCTTTATAAAAATAAACTTACAATTACTCCATGACCCAGCAATTGCACTCTCAGGCATTTTCCCCAAGAACGGAAACATAGGTCTACCAAAAATATATGTATGAGAATATTCATAACAGTTTTATTCAAATTAAATAGAAACTGGAAATGGTATATTCATATATGATGCAATGGCCTTGGATATCAGAAGAAACGAACTGATATATAAAACAGAATGTATGAGAAAGGAAATAGAATACCTACCACATGATTGCATTTATATAAAATTCTGGAAAAGGCAAAACTTAGTTATAGAAATTAGAACTCTGGATATTACTGTAGGAGTTGGTAATTGGGCTTGATGACAATATTTGAGATAATGAAAATTTTTAATATCTTGATTTGGGTAGTGGTTACAAGGGGGTGTACATTTGTCAAAACTAATTAAAATGTGCTTTTAAAATCTGTGCATTTTTGTGAATCATATTGCAATTAAAATATGATTAGGATTTTAAGTTTCATGATTCTATATCCACATCTCAAGGGGATCCAAAGAATGCTATTGCATGGTGCAAAGAATAAAATGTCCCTAAACTCCTCAGAGCAGCTGGTGAAGGGAAGAAAGAAAGAAAGAAAGAGAGGCAGAGACGGAGAGAGAAAAAGGAAGGAAGGAAGGAAGGAAGGAAGGAAGGAAGGAAGGAAATAGATAATATAAATCTTCCATATTTCCAGATTTTCTAAGTCAAAATTATTTCAGCTCTAAACAGCTCCATAATTTTTCTCACGATAATTAACTTAGCCTTCTTTGAGTCTCCATTTTGAAATTCTGTCTGTCCTTTAGCACAACAAAAGCCCATGCTTATACTTTATACTTTTATTCAAGCAGCCAATAATTATTTCTCCATGAAACACTGGGCCAGAAGAATGGCGTGGATGCTCCATTCAAACACATATAGAACAGAATCAAAATTGTGCTTGCAAAATGTTTTGTGAGAATAAAAGAGAGCTAATGCATTTAATGGTTAATATGGCAATTGTCTCAGAGTATTCATAAAAAAAGTTTTGCCAATAGCACTGAACAGATTCCAAGTTAGCAGCCACAGCTTTCTCAAGGGTTGTTGACAAGTTTCGGATGGGCACCACCAATATTTTTCTGTGTGACTTTCATTTTTCCAAATGCCATGGCTGACACACCCATTTGGGGTTGACACTTTTATTTTGATTTTTTTGTCATTATTTGAGTGTTCGTTTTGCATATTTACCCCAGGTATATAATTAGTCTATACAGTACTTTTGGGAAAAGGAGAAAAAAGTGTCTGTCTGGTGGATGGCCGACCTACAAGGGAATGGTTTGGTGATCAGTGATATTGCAATAAGTAGAAATGTCACTCCCTCTCTTTGGTAGACGCAGAACTGCACTGCATGACTTGACACATGAATTATGGACCAAATTTTGCCCCACTTTACCTTTCCCAAGGCCCTTTGGGCAGTGCACAAAAGACATTCGTGTCAACTCTGCCTTTATTTTTCAGCAAAATGTCTTTTACCATCTCAGTATTTAAGCTTAAGTTGGTTATCTCTATTTGTTCAAAGTAATGTCTACACTGCTGATTAAAAACATATATGTGCTTGTGTCCTTTCTGCTAATTAATTTCCTTAGGACTAAATGAAATTCATGTCCATCTTCCAAATATATCTTTCCCTTTACTACTTTCCCTTTATTGACTTCGAATAGTTGTTAGTACCTTAAGAGTAGGAGATCCAAGCTTCTCCCTTTCTCTGTGAAGATGTAGTAAGACTTTCATATCAGAAAATCTCTGCATCAGTTTTCTCTAAGATAACACTGTCTAACCTAACACAACATATTTTGAATCTAAATAGCATTGGAAATACTATGATTTAATTAGATCTAACTTTACTGTCTTGCACTTAAATATTTTTCTATACAAAAGTTTTATTCTTTTTCTTTTGCCTAAAAAGACTGTGAACTTTCTCCTTGTCAGAGCTCAATGTTGCCTAACCATACCTACCTTTATTTTTTAAATAATGAGTCAGAAGAAGCTTTGTGCCATAAAGCCAAAGGTGGAGGGCTTGGAGGTGACCAGACTTCTGGTGTGGGTCCCTCCCAATAAGTCTTGCTGGCTCTTTAGAGATGGGGCAAAGGATGCCCCTCTGCAGGAGTTTTTTGCTTGTTTTGGTCTACACCTGGTGGTGCTTCCAGATCACAAGCCTCTTTGGTACCCACATTGGGATATTTGGGAGACAAAAAGAAAACCAAGAGAATTCGGGGCTGTGAATTCATCTTTTTCTTTACACTGTTCAGAGTTCCAAGTCCATTTACGATTGTCTGTTGAATAATTACTGGAACACTTAGCTGTATTTATAGGGGAGGGACCAGGAACAGGGATCCTATGCCATATTGTAAAAAACAGCAATTTAAGTAAGATTCAGATGACAACATACTGTCAAGCAACCCCAAGGAATCTAGTCTCTTTCAATGTGGCCACAGCTCATATATTATCAGTGACTTATTTGTTAACAATTATTCCTGTTGAATCTTTGCTCATTAAAATTTTGAAAACCTTTCAATCTAATTACATAAAATTTTGCTAGCATAATTTTATCCTTTTCTGCTACAGTTGTCCATATGTACACTAATATTTATGAAGGAATATTTTATTATTCATTTATGTGCCTCATAATTAAATGTCTTCTAATTCAAGCCCTAGCTGTTATAATACATTCATTCAGCTCAGTGAATGCCTCTGCAATGGGTAAATATATAGGAGAAGACCATCTGGCTTTGTTTATTAATATATCGGATAGGCTGCCTTTTGACATCCTGATAGAGATAATATTTTTCTTTTGTTTTAAAAATGAATCACTTGACCTCCTACAGCACAAAAGTTTACATTGACCACAAACTGACCTAGGTAGCAAAAGGTGAAACTATTTGCTTTGTAAATTTGACCAAGTAGGAGGGCAAGTTTTACTGACAGTACAAATGGCCTCACTAATATTGAGGCAAATGAGATTCGCTTCTAAGCTTTGCCAAAGCTTTAAAGTCAACTTTTAAACAATGAGTTTTCTAATCATAAAATATTTTAGGATACAAGTGTCAGGTGTAGGTAAACCACAGTTAACGCATAAAAATTGGTGGGTAGTGTGTCAAAAGTTTTGTTCATCTGAGCAAGAAGAACTGTGTACCAATCATCTTAAGATTAGTAAATAAGGTACTCCCTTTTCACAGCAAGCCAGTAATGGAGTAAATTAGCTATAGTTGTTGACTATAGAGAGAATACCAGCATTATTATCAGAGTCCCCTTCCAAAGGCTGGGAAGCACCGCACAGAAACACACTTTCATTCAGTGACCATAGGTTTGTAAGAATGTCTGCTTTGTTAGCCATAAGTGAATCTTTTAAAGAAAAGATTCAGTTTTGAACTTTTTGATCACTATTGATTTTTCCCTTTACAGTCTACTCAAAAACAAGATTACTGAGAAGGTATTTGTTGTGGTCTAAATAATGGTCCACCAAAGATGCCCATAGCTTAATCTTGGAAACTACGAATTTCTTACTTTACAAAGCAAAAGACATTGTGAGATGTAATTAATAAAATGAGGTTGAGATGGGGAAGATTATCCAGGGTTATCCAGTTAGGAACAATGTAATTACGAGAATCCTTCTAAGAAGAAAACAGGAAGGTCAGAGACAGACAAAGGGAGATTGAAAGATGCTACACTGCTTGCATCGAAGATGAGAGATGGAGCTATGAGCCAACTAATGCAGGCTGTCTTTAGAAGCTGGAGAAGGCAAGAAAACAGACTTTCTCCTAGAGTCTCCAGAAAAAACGCAGCCCTGCTAACCCACTTCAGATTTTTGACCTTCAGAATTGTAAGATAACAAATTTATATTGTTTTCAGCCCCTAAGCTTGTGATAATTTGTTACAACAACAGTATAAAACCAACAGTGCTCCACAGCCAGGAGTGTTTGTTATCAAAGAAGGTTTAACCCAGTGATTCAATGCTAGGAATTAATATATAATCATTTTATTTATGTATATATTTATATATACATGTGTATGCATTTATATATGTGCGTTTATATTTTTGCCTTTAATTTTTGTACCTTTCTATAACCTTCAATATTTTTTACCTTGAATATAATGTTTTCATGAATAAAAAAGTTATTTTTCCAATAAATTGAAAGACATTTCAGGCATATGGGAATATATCAGTGTGGAAACATGAAATATTGAAATTATGAAAGCAGATATGGCTGGGCACTCCCTTACAAATGGAAAAGAGAACCTTATTACTTAATGGCATTGATGTAATAATCATTTGTTTTTGGAAAGAGTAAACCTAATATGAGAAGGTACTTAAAAAAAACCTCAGCAAAAATGTTTAAAAATTACTTATCTTTGACTGGAATTCTTATGTAATACTTAAGTTGAATTCTTTTTTTTAAGTGTACCAGGAGACAGTACATGTTCTTAGTGGCACTGTTACAAATGCAACAATCTGGACATTACCCAAATAACTATCAACAGAAAAATGGGTACACAAACTCTGGTATGGATTACTATGCAGCAGCAATAATGAATTAAATTAGATTAAATACAACATGATTTAATTTAGAACACAGTGACAGGTAAAAGGGCAAGTCAGGGATTTCATATGATTTTGTTTATATAACATTCAACACATACACGACTAAACAAAGTATCATTTGGAATAAAATGGGTGTGGTAGAAATAATCAGAAGAGTCAGGGATGATAAACGAGACTTAACATAGTGGTTAACTAAGAGAGAAAAGAAATTAATTTTTGTACTTTTCTGTAAATTAGAAAAGATTACACAAGGGACTTTACATATAAAGTTAATTTTGTCCCTAAATTAATGTGCTTTATTACTGTATTATTAGACTTAATACTTCATATATCTGTTATAAATAATTTATATCTACTCAACATTTAATAAGACATTTGTATAAAATCCATAATTAATTAAAACTACAGGATCTGCAGGCATGAACTGGTTTTGAGTGAAATGAGATAATCCTTAAACATTTTTTTATTTTGACACAAAGTTTTGTTGTTATGGTCTTTTATTTTCTTTTAGGAAAAACTAATTTTTGGAAAATTTTAATGAATTTCTAAGTAATTTTTAATGTTTTGATAGTGACTTTGGGCTTTACATTCCATTGTATTGTGGTACAAAAATGTAAACATATCTTCTCTTCAAAATTTATTAATATTTTCCTCTTAGGTTAACAAGTAGTAATTTATTTACGTACTCTTGCGGGAGGCTTTTATGTTTCAATGCAACATACAGTTCACAGATTTAAATGAAACTTTTAATTATATTTCACATGATCTGCACCTGTACTTAATTTTTACATTCAGTTGAAATTGAGTGAAATGTAAGATTTTACATAAATGATGCTTTTATAAATTTCCAACACTTCGATTTTTTGATATCTCCACATGAGCATACCTGTTCTTCACCAAAGCACTGCTTCAAATTTACCTTTCTTCATGAGTCTTTCCCAGTCATACTCTAACCATATCCAATTATTGTTATGAAAGCAGCAAATCTTTTAGTTTTGTTTAATTTTGTCCCGTTTCATTTGCTAGTATTTGTTCTTTAGGCCTCCTACTGCTTTAAATTTTGTTGCGTGAATTCACAATCTACAAAGATAAGGACTACATCCTTCCTTCCCTTTAGTAGTTTACTAAATTTTGTTTTGAGTTATTGTGACGTGGATGTACTGAGGTAAGCGTAATATCTGGCAATGTGAATCGAATTTAAATTCTCTCTCTTGCTCTCTGTCTCTGTCCTCTCTCATCTCTCATATTTTCTTCTTCACCTCTGTCCAGGCTCAATTCCCATTAGACTCTGACTTGTATGCTGATTGATACGAAGTGTTCAAAGAAATATCAAATATGGCTTATGAATACTTATCCAAAACAAAATCTAAACACTTCAGGAAGACATACCTGTCTCTTCAATTAAGATTCCATCTGTAAAAACGAGAAAGGGGGAGAAATTTTCATAACTTTTATGGTTTTGCCTCTTCTCAGAAGTGATAAATAGTTGCCAGCTCAAGTGGAAAGCATTGTACAAAACAAATAGAATTTGGCTTTCTTTCTCTAAGGTAATATGTAGTATCTATAATCTATAAAAAGGAACCTTCTCATGCAGCAAGTTAAAGTAGATCTACTATAGTCATGTACATATCTGGTGTCATTTTTGAATTAAAGTTTAAAGTAAAAGACATTGTGAAAAGACAAAATATCCTAAAACAAAAAAATAATTAAACATAGCTAAACATAGACAATTGCTCACTTTTTATTTTAAAAAAGTGAAGCCATATGCACATTCCATAGAAAAGCTATGACCTCCTTTAGTGACATAAAACTCTGCAGAACTAATGTGTCCCACTTGATGTTTACAGCTTAAATATTGAGCACGAAATATCCACGGTATATTGACAAGCTTGCCATTTGCTTCTCTGTTGAACAGCATATACAGCCTTTAACTAATCCTTCTCGGCTCAGAGGAACAAACTACAAGAATCAGTCAATATTTTGTCATTTCAATATTACTACATTTGCCCACGAAATTCTGCATAGATGGAGATAAAAGCTCTACTACATGCAAAGAGGGCATTTTTTCCCCTTTACCACAAAATATTGATGAAGTGCTTTATTGAGGTGGAGATCTCATTAATTATTTGATTTACAGAAAAAGAAGGCAGAGGGAAATGTGTGCCTGGCTAATACCATGATGTACCATCTTGAGACTTAAGATCTTTTTAATGTATTCATCAGGGGTACATCTGAAAGGGGAAAGAGTGAGCTGAATGGGCCCATTAATTTAATTGAAGCAGCTCAGACAAGAGATAAAACATCCTAGCCTGCTTCTTTTCATACAGCATGAGCGCTGTAAGTAAACAGGCAGAGATCCAAACACACCAAAAAGAAATAAAGGTACATGAAGACCCTAGAGACTTCAAGGCCATGGGACATCAACAGATGCAGAGGTGAATTAACCCTGAAGAGGCCCTCTCTTCATGCACCACCATGTCAGTGTTCTGCGGGCACTGCCTAGGCTTTATTGTGAAACTGAAGGACTCTGAGGTTACATGTAAGTAATTTAGACTTCCTAAGGGAAAGTTGCCTTTGTTCCTTTTATTCCTCAAACTTCTGAGATGTAGAGTCCATCTCCTGCTCTTGAAAGGCATAGATGGAAGAGGGAAAATGGACTTTAGCTGATCTCAGAGGCAACTTTAAATGACGCTGCTCTCTTTCAGCTATCTGGTTTTGCAATGTAGTGGTCAGAAAATTGTTTTAGACCTGAAGAGGTTGGAGCATGTCAGTGCACTCAACATTTTTGCGTTTGGTGGTCAGCATGATCGTACACAGCACATTAAGTCAGTCCCTGACTGTGCACAAGAACACAAAACAAGCAGAGGGAGTCTCCCAACTCAACACATAAAACTCGTCTATGCACCGTATATCATCTGAAAAAACAACACAATTAATGTGTGTAATCAAGATTGAATTACATGCAGATAGCTATAAAGTCCTTGAATATCCTCCCTTAGAGGTAAAGCCATAATGTGTACATTAAAAACCATTAGTGAATATCAAACTAAATGTATATATTTCTATACAAACTTTTGAAAAAAGTCACATTTAAAAGTGTTACCAAATAATTTTGCGTGCATAAAAATAAATAAACAATTTGTAGAAGAAAGATCTTTTAGTCAAATTAGATTCTATCCAATAATACAATTTTAATGGTAATCATAAGCATGGTGAATAAAAATGGTTCTGTGTTTTAGCATGTAAATTTATAATGGATGACAAAATACAGATATCTTCATAACAACAACTAGGATGTATTTTTAGGGCTATCTATCATGAAAAAAATTTAATATCAGTGTTCACAACTCATTAAAAATGTAGGAATCCTTAAAAAGTCAATTTAACAAGAGACATATACTCCAGTGATCAAAGTAATTGAAATTGTTATATTATTCTTTATTAAAGTGTCTAGGAGGCATTTCAGTTTTTCTTTTAATTTTCTTTCCTTTTTATTGCTCAAATAAAAACATTATTTCCATTCCTATATGTGGAAAATTCTTCTATCTTGCCTTGACAATTATTTCATCAGTGGAACTCATTTTTTTCAAATATAATTTTAGGTGGATCACCATTATATAGAATGGTTGAAAATAATATTTACTAACGATATAAATTATTTTATGTGTTCAATGATATCACAAGCAATTTTTAGAGTTAATAATTTTTTATAGTTGAGTATATGAATTACTTTTCAAATCATCAAAGTAAGTGGGGGGAAAAAGAAGTTACTAGAATGTTTGTAGATTCCCTGAGGTTGTGAAAGAGAATCTTGTCCCACAAAAACAAGAGGAAAACAACACCCATTCAATACCCTCCCAGAACAAGGGCAGGCTCACCTTCCAGATGACACCTCCGTGAACAAAGCAGCTTCGTTAGCACAGATTCAATCACTGAATAATTCTTGATTGATTTTATATCACCTCTTAATTTATCCAAATTGGTGGTTCCACCTAAGTTCAAGATTGTTTATGTCCCCTTTTTCTTGCCTTGAGTCCCTGGAAATCAAAACTTAGAGAACTTCTGTGCATTTATCTATAAGTTGGCAAGTATTTAGCATTTGTCTAATGTTGCATTTAAGACTGAAGTACATGTAGTCTCATTAGCATGGCCTTTTGACTCATCAGTCTAAGTTATTCAATTTGATTTTACCAGATATAATAAACAGCTTAGTTTTGAATCATTAATCCAGGTTTTGTGTTATATGAGGCAACAGATAAAATTTAATCATCCCAGTAAAAGTTTTCTCCATTAATAATAATTTAAACAAATATTATGACTTCTTTATTTGAAAATAAATTTACATATCAGTTATCTGATGACACCTTATGAATACTATTGTCATAAATACATAAAACTATGACAACTTTAAGACTAGAAACAAGACTATAAATTATTTTCATTATTTGCACTATCAATCCAGTTTGGTGTACACAGTGATGGGACTACTGCAATTATTATTGTCTGAATAAATGGCCAAAATGTAATTTGCTTTGGACTTACGCTCAAGATATTTGGCAAAATCTTTCCAAGATCATCAGTGTAATCATCATAATCAGCAGCAATATTAGTTACAGAAGAAAACAGTAATTTAATTTAATGCCTGAACATGTTATTATATTAGACATTGAACGAAAACAAACATAATGGTAAACAATATAAAAGAGTATAGGCCTTAGAATCAGCCAACCTACAGTGAAAATGTAGCCGAATCACGTAATATTTGAGTATCTCAATTTCCTCAAATATAAAGTGGGAATTATAATATTAAGTACAATATAATATTAGTCTTATTAATAATAACTTATAAGATTATTGTAAGAATTGAGGTGAAATACATGAAACATCCCAAGGACTATTTAGTAAACATTATTATTATTACATAATTATTACATGCAATGGAATGTTGTTAACATTTCATTAGAAAAATGTGGTCAACATGAAAATAACTGACCAAAAATAGGTTTATGATAACAGCATCATTTATTGAAACAAACTTTATTATTCACATATGCAACTTCAGGTATTTCCTAAGTTTTTGTATGGAAAACAAAAAAAAATAAATCATATCAATTTAGGAAAGTATGTAGCTATAACCCATAAGTCCTTTTTCCACCCCAACCAACTCCAATTTTGAGTATTTTTGTACTTTAACATGCTGTGTTAGTCCGTTTTCATGATGCTGATAAAGACATACCAGGTCCCTCCCACAACATATGGGAATTCAAGATGAGATTTGGGTGGGGGCACAACCAAACTATATCACATGCTATGTATTTACTAATTTTTAATCCAGCATAACCTGAGTGAAAATATTATTAGAAGGTAAGTAAAAGTTCTTCCTCTCATGGATTTTGTGATGCCTATTTTTATTGCCGCCATGACGGTTTCTGTGTACATGTTACATTTCTTTCTAGATCAGAAGTTTATAGTGGACTCACACTTTTAAGTATCAGCTACCCAATTTCTTGCCTCCATAAATTCTCATGAGTATTTTTTGTAACCTAGATACTATCAGCTGAGGTCAACTATTCCTTTAAGATTTATAGGAAATTGCTTACAGGCATCTATCTGTTGATTCTTTCATGGAAAGAAGCCCTTCCCAAGGTATCTATGAATTCAAGGGACTTAGATTCTCTGAGTCATTTCTGTCTACAGTTAATGTGCTTCCTGAAATTTTGATCTCTCTCACTTTTCTCCTTCTCTTTTCCTCTTTTTTTCTGTGTGCACCCAGATGGGGAATTTAGTCATTTCTCTTTATTTCTACATAACCTGGCATTTCTTTTCCTCCACTGTACATATAAGGCTTTAGTTCTTGACTTTTTGAAGATTTGGAGGAGCAATTGTTTATTCCACAATTTATAACTCAGAAATGTGTTGCTTAATTTTTTTCAGCTTAAATCCTACAGGAATTGTTTTGGTCAGTTTCCTCTATTATAGACTCCAACTTTTGAGACCAAAGTTTCACCACTTCTAGTTTAAACCTGCTTAACCTCTGTAAAAAATCATATAATTTCTCTACTCTCTGTCTTATTCCTCAAAGACTGACTTTTGTACATATAAATAATCCTATAATCAATAAATAATATGAGTTTGAGCAAGATTGATAGAAGACTTCTAATTACAAACTTTTTTAAATACCACTCATTTCCATAAACAAAAGAAATGTATGATGTACATTTTTGCCTCTCTCAAATGAATTATGTCACCTTTTCCATGGAAGGTAGAATAGCTTTTCTAAAAACATAACTTTAAATGAACTTCATGACACACATGGAAGTAGAGAATTTATTTAATATTTGCATCCACTTTAACATCATTGAGGAAACCTGTCAAAATTTGTCTTAAATACATCCTATACTTATACTTGGAAAAAGATGCCACTAGCTGGAGGGTCTCTCACAGGTCCCCTAGACTGTCAATTGGATTATTAAATTTATGTTTTCATGTCGAAATGGGATTTAAATATGTGTACATTGTTTTTCTTCTTATTTTTATAACTATTCTGCTTTTAAAATTAGTCCATTATGTGCGATCTGTGTTAGCCAGTTATGAATCCTACAAAACATGAGGTACTATAGGAAACGTTCAACAACAGAATATGTATTTCTCATCATGAAGGTTACAATTTGTTTCAGGGGATGAGACTAATATGTTATAAAATTGATTTAATAGAAAACAAATTATGGCTCATAAATCTAATAAAGTACAAAATTAGATTTAGGGATTTCAGGTAATAGAGCCAAAGAAGGTTTCTTCAGTAACAAAGTAGGCTACAGAATAATATGTAGGATCTGGGAGAGGGCAGTCAACATGAATGAAACCATGACTTTGGCATAATGGGGGACATTGAGCAAGCTGGAGAGAAAAGAAGCTGTTTGCTATTATTCCAGTCAGACATGCTGGCTCTGCTTTTGAAGGCCTTAGGCTTTAAATGCTCAGAGTACATCTATTCTGTTCTTTTAGTAAGACTGTTTAATACAATTACACTCTTTCTTGTAAACATTATATATTTTAAAATAATGTAAAACTTTCATGACTCTTACTGAACACACACAAATGTATTCACTGTGGTTTTTTGAATTCCGATTGCATACTAAAATGCTGATTTAAAAATTATTTTGTGATGATAACTGTTTACAAGGATGCATTGACAAATATTTTTATTTGAGTACATTTTATTGCCTACCAAGAAATAAATTTCTTTGCTTTAGAGGACTGTAACCTAAATTTATAAAGAAATGCTATTATTCCTAGTTTAGAAATGATTTTAGTACAGTAGATATTCCATCAATATATGTACTTCTTATTAAAGCATCTGACCAATTTTATAACCATGTAGTTAATTTTACATATAAGGCTGTGTATGTGTAGTACAGAAGAGTAGAGTATTAGAGTGGATAGGTGCATAAACTTTGAAGAAAAGCATGGTTTACTAGCTATAGAATGTGTTGAGCTTAAGGTATCTATTATTTAAATAATAATACAAGTAGACAATTAGATGCATACTTCTAGAGCTTAGGGCTTAGGAGGAAGGCCTGGACTATAAATAAAAAATTGGGAGTCCTTTGCATAGAGATAGTGTTTAGAATTATGAATTTGAATATGATCACCAAGGGAGTAAGAATAGAATTGAAGATTGAGCCCTTAGTCATAGCAACGTCAAAAGTCTGGGGAGAATAAGAGGAATGAGGACAGAAGACTGAGGAGAAGAAAGTAGAAAAGAAAGAAAGAAAGGATGTTCTTCTAGAAACCAAGTGAAGAAAGTATAGCAAAGAGGACGTTAATGTGAAACCATCTAATATTTTTGGTAGGTACAGAAGAAGAATGATGAGTGACTATTAGATTTAGCAATGGGAAATTACTGATTCACAAAACCAATTTGGGTAGAATGTTTCTGGCAAAAATTTGATTTGATTAAATTTGAATGAGAGGGTGATAGTAACTATAGATAAATACTTCAAGGTAGTAGAACTCTCTTTATCAAAGCCAAATAAAGAAAACCACAGCAAATAATTACTCAAAGAGTAAAACTCTAAATTACCTTAATTAAAAATAGGAAATGAAATAGGGTTACCCTTTCTTAGCGTTAGCATTTGATATTGTCCTTCAGTTTTAGCAAATATAATAAGAAAAATGAAATACCTAGCAAAATATAAAGGAAGAATTATAAATTTATTTATCTGATAAATGATTATATATATAAAAAATCCAAAAGTTGCTAGTTGAAAGTTTACTAAATTAATGAGATAATAATGCAAATTAATTTGATGCAAATAAAAAAACTAAACATCTTTTCTACATTCTAGAAAAAAACCACAAATGTAAATGGAAATAATGTTATTCACAGTAATTTCTAAAATTATAAGGTGTATAGAAATAAATTTAATAGAAATTAAGAATGTATAATAAAAAGCTTTTTAAAAAGAATAAAATATATATAACAAATGGAAAGAGAGGTCATGCTTTTAGAAGGAAAGACATACAAATGACTAAACTCCAAATATTTTTCTGTAAGTTCAATTGAATTCATATTTGTATGGCAATATTTTTAATTAGATATGTGTTTTTCCAGATCATGTTAAGAAAAGTTTTCTAATAATTTCCAGTGCAATAAAGAGAAAGCACAACTATGATGTCTTTGCCTTTTCAGATAGTACTATAAAGCTACTATAATTATTTAATTTGATACTGCCTTAGCTTCTAGAAATAGAGAAAGCATATAGGAATAGATCCCATTACATGTGAGAATGTAACTGGTAGTAAACTAATGCAAGAAAATTTAATATTTTCCTTTAAAATGTAAGGGTAAAGGAGATGTTTAGATGTTTATAACCAAGTCTGTAAGCACTGATGCTATAAAATGCACATACAACTAAAAGGTGGATATATATATTATATATATAAAAATACATATATATGTATATATGTATGTATACATACACATGCATGTATATATGTGTGTATACGTGCATATATGTATGTATACATGCATGCATATGTATACATGCATGTATATGTATGCATGCATACATATGTACATATGTATGCATGCATACATATGTATATATGTATGCATGCATGCACACAGGTATATATGTATACATGCATGCATACATGTATATATGTATACATGCATGCATACATGTATATATGTATACATGCATGCATGTATATATGTGTATATGCATGTATACATGTATATATGTATACATGCATGCATGTATATATGTGTATATGCATGTATACATGCATGTATATATGTGTATATGTATGCCTACATGTATACATGTATGCATACATGTGTATATATGTATATATGTGTATACATGTATGTATATGTAAGTGTATGTGTGCATGTATGTGTATGTATGTATACATATACAACATATACAAACATGTATGTGTATATACATATATACATACACATATATATACAAACACACACACAAGTTGTATATAGAACTTATGTAGGGTAAAGAATAAGATTAACATATCCAGTACTTAGGTAATAGATGTAAGGGAGAAAAGTGTAACATATGGAGAATTTCTGTAATAAACAAATAGCTCTTATAAATTGGAAAGAAAAGACAAAAGCATCCAATAAACTGTGAACAAATGAATAAGGAGGGATTTTACTAAAGGGTAAATCCAAATAGTCTACAAACATATTAAAAGCTATTCAAATACAACAGCAATCAGAGAAACACAAATTAAAGAAACATTAAGGATTGATTTATAAAAGGTTTAGGAGAAATCAAAGAGTTTTACTGGCACAGATGTGATGAAACTGGGTATTCTCATAAATTGCTGTAAGATGTGTGAATTGTTAGAGGTGAAAGCCAATTTGTTAACATCTATTGCAATTAAACACATAAATAATACTTGACCTGTCAATCTTTCTCCTGGGACTCTATCCCTGAAAAATAAAAAGTTTTGGAACTCAAGGACAATTGGCAACGATACGTATGATAGTGTTGCTTGTTATTTGTAGAGGTAAAAGTGGAATACACACACATCGAAAACACAATTAAAAAGATTTACAAAGTACACAGAACATTTACACTATAGAATAGAATGCTGTCATTAAAAATAATAAATTGAAGAGATGCTAGCTAATTTGCAATGATTTTCACTAGATATTGTTGAAAGAGAAAAAACTCAGATTATATATATAATATGTATATATATATGATCCCTTTTTTTGTAAATTGACAAAAACATTGTGTGTGTGTTTCTCATTAAATAAGCATACAGAAAAATTATGAAGAGTATTAACATGAGATTACAAATGGTAGTGAGATAAAGGATGATTATTTGTTTTGTTCTGGAGGAATATAATTAAAAAGAAGGCAGAAATGTGACAAAATTGTATAATATGATCATACTGATCTAGTTTTGTAAAATTTTCTGCAGATGTCTAGATAAGAATTTTTTAAAAGAAAATCAATATTCCCAGGTTAATTGATGCAATTTGAGGAATAACTCAAATATCTAGATTAGATCTGAAATATACTGTTTCTAATGCTTTCAGTATTTTGGAATTACCCACTCCCTCTTTATTTTCTTTATGAATCTGCTTGGCTCTTTTTTAAAGGTAACATTAAACTTGGTTTTCTGGAATTAAGCATCTTGAAATGTCTGATTTGTGACTATTATACTTTCCGATCATTTGTGAAATTCAGCACTGGGATTCCTTTGGTTATGAATTCTTTGGGTAGTCTCCTAGCAGTGCGAGTTTCTGAATTCTAGGACATTTATAAATTAACATATTTTTAAGAAACACATAGAGCTATCATTAACAAATTAGTGCCCTGCTTTGCTTCTAGGACAAACAAACACATGAAAACGAATATTTTATATTATAGTTTTATTAACAGTTTTTATTTCGCTTTCATTTAAAATAGGCCTAAAACATGAAACAGTTGACTCGTTCCAAGAATATGTATCAAGAGAAAGAGACCTGGATTCCAATTGCCCTTCTACACTACAAAGTTATACTATTTTGGTCCATTGAATTTTTGCATTTATATGACAGGATTGCTAATATTTAAGCTACATAATTCACAAAGTTTTTGGGGAGAACAACATCTTTAAAAGGGAGAAAAAGTGCTATATTAGGTGTTTGGTATAATTAATCATAATTAAAATGGTCTTAGTTAGTCACCAAAAATGTAGAAAACACATTTTTATGCTGTGGGAGACATTTATTTTCAAGTAGTTGATACTATAACATACTATCAAAAGTGATTTTATATATACAAAAGTGTAATCTACATCCATATTTCATAATGTATTTTGTATGATAAATTCTGTGTGATGTTAATTAGCTATTATGTGGCAGAGGAAAAGTGGTTTGTAATCAAATTTATTATAGTAAATTCTGGGCAAATCCATATTAAAAAGCTGTCTTTCTCTTTGTAGAAATTCCTTGAATTTTTATTATCCTGACACATACTGTAACTTTCTCAGAGGGGAAAGAGGACATACCGCTTTCCATACATGTTGGATGATCAAGTTTTTCCCCAGAAATTTCCAGGGTAGGCATTTCTTTAATAACATCGGAGGAAATGTTAAGCAAGATGTCACATTTTAAAAGTAGAATTTAAAGTAAAAAAGAACAAGCAAACAAAGAAAAAACACACACAAAATACTGACTCTAATATAATCGCAAATCTATTTTCTTATTTAAGAATAATTATTTCTGCTAAACTTCACATTTTAAAATTAAGGTTTTATGAAAAATAAATTGGGATTTTTTCTTAACCTACAGTCTTGTCAACCATATATATAAATATAGCAAAGATAAGGTAGTAGTTATTTAACATTTTTTAAAATTAACATTTTTTTAAATACCCTTCTATCAGAAACATTTTTCATAGTTTAATCAAAATACTTATAATGTATTATTTCATATTTTTCTTGTTCTGCAGAAATATTCACTTTAGCAGATGTCATGATTCATGCCTCATTTATATTATAATCCAAGGTTCCACATAAAATTAAAATAATGAAAGCCTGAAATAGTATCGAGATAATTCAAGATTTGGAAAATAGAATTAATTAGTCTCTATGTTATTCTTATTATTGTAAACACATTATCTCTGCCTGCCTTTTTTATGAAGTTAAGATATATTCATATTTAAATATTATGGAGTTAGTGAAAATTGAGACCAGACTAATTAAGAAATTTAAATCTATTTCTACACCAAAAATATAAAGTAGATATTTTTTGGTTCAGAAATAAGATACAAACACCTAGGACCACAACTTCTTCAAAGCACTGCTTTGAAGTCATTCTAGAAAAAAAATTGACAAATTAACCCAAATAATTTTTTCTTTATTTTGAAAAGTACTTTTCAAAGATTATGGGATGAAGCAAGAATTATAATATTGAAATAAAAAAGCAAGTGCATGCATGCTGACAAATTTATCTCTTGGAGTTGTAATCACCCCCTAATTTTGGCATTTTAGTTTCTGCTTTTCTATCTTCCATTGTCACAGTATCTTTACATTTTACTGTTCTAATGGCATGGTGGGTGCTGAGAAGGTCAGGGATAGCAGTGATAAGAAAGCTAATAATATAAAATAGGTCTTTCTATAGGTTAAACTGTGAAAAGGAATATTGAAACTAATCAGGAATGAAATGAATCAGAATTGTGAAACCTTCAGTTTAAAAAGAGAAGAAATTTTCAACATAGTATGCTGAGTTGTTCAGGACTGAATAAAACTGCTCACGGGATGATGGCAGATGTTTGCTTTGTAACGTAGTCTATACTTAAGGTCATAACATTGGGCTATTTTGTTACTAGACCAGGTATTAACAGAAAATCTTGACAGAATCCTGGTGTATTCTAAAAAGAAAAAAATGGATTGCCATATGCAGAAAAATGAAACAAAACCCCTGTCTCTGGTAGAGACAGGTTCTCTTTTGTAGATCTACCATCTATAAAAATCAACTCAAGAGGGCATAAGACTTAAATGTAAGACCTAAAAACATAGAATTACTGCAAGAAAACCTAGAGAAAATTCTTCTGGACATTGGTCTAGGTTAAGAATTCATGACTATGACCTCAAAAGCACAAACAGCAAAAGGAAAAATAGACAAATGGGATTAAATTAAATTAAAACATTTCCGTACAACAAAAGAAATACTCAACATAATGAATAGATATTCGGCAGACTGGGAGAAAATATTTAGCAAACTATGCATCCAACAAAGGACTAATTTCCAGTGTCTACAAGGAACTCAAACAACTCAACACCAAGAACAAAATCCCACGGCTGGGTGAGGTGTCAGAGCCCCAGCTTCGAGAAGTGGTCAACTTGAGAGTTGGTAAAAATAATTTACTGACAACAGTATAGGTTTGAAAAAGGAGAGTTTTATTAGAAAGAAAGAAAGCTGCAGAAGAGTGCAGCCGGGCACCTCAGCGAGAGGACTGAGTGCATCGTGGTAGATTTTTCCTTCAGGGTATTTATGGACCTTGAAGAGGGCTCTTAAGGGTAATTTAGCCATGTAGGTCATAATAAATGATTACATTTGTAGTAATTTTGGTGCCTTAATGTCAGCAAGGGTTGCACAGTGAGTTTTGGCATGGCATTCCAGAGATGCAGAGAAAATCTAGTTACTTATAGATTTTTAGGTGGGGAAAGGAATCTGGAACCAGATGCCTGCTTTAGATAAGAGAGAAGTCTAATTACTTCTAATTTCCCCAGATAAGGACTTTTGTCTCTGGATGGCCTGTTTAATGATCAACAGGTGGTCTTTGTTTCCTTCTAAATTCCTCAGATAGGGAGTTTTGGTATCCAGGGCCTGTTGAATGGTCATCAGGTGATTTTGCTCTCTTCATCCACAAACATTCCCATTAAAGAATAGGAAAAGAATATGAACAGACATTTTTTCAAAATAAGGCATACAAGAAGAAGAAATGGCCAACAAGCATATGAAAAGATGCTCAACATCATTAATCATCAGAGAAATGCAATTTTAAACCACGAGATATTATCTTGCACCAGTGAGAATGGCTATTTAATAAAAAGTAAAAAATAAAAATAAAAAAATAAATAAAACAAACAGATGTTGATGAGGATGCAGGGAAAACAGAATCCTTGTATGCTGTTGGTAGGAATGTAAATTACTACAAGCTCTATGGAACACAGTATGGAGATTTTTCAAAAAAAAAAAACTAAAAATAGAACTACCATCCCATCCAGCAATTCCACTCCTGGGTATCTACCCAAAGGAAAATAAATCATGATATCAAAAAGACACTTGCACCTGTAAATTTATTTCAGGGCTATTCACAATAGCAAAGAAATAGAATCAACCTAATGTTCATCAATGGATGATTGGATAAAGAAAGGTGATACAAACACACACACACACACACACACACACACACAGCCATAGTAGAATGAAATCACATCTTCTGCAGCAATGTGGATGGAACTGGAGACCTTAAATTTATACAAATAAAATACATTTTACAATGTATAGAATTATGGTTTTTTTTAAGACACTTTGGCTTAGCTAAATTGTTGTCTGGTAACATTTTATCTCTGAGATATTAGTGGCTCTATAGATGCACCAGGAAGGATTGAATAAAATTATCTCTTTGATTTCAATCCAAATTAAAAAACAAATACCTTATTATAGTATCTGTGTATATCTCCTTATGACTTAGCCAAATTGCCTTTGTGAGAGAAATTTATCCAATATAGATAAAAATTTCTGCTGAAATGAGGTACACGTGTTGATTAAATAATTTGTAACTACAATAAAATAAATTTTAAAAGGCAAAATTATGGAGTGAAAAAACTGCTAGCAACATTAACATCACCCAGAAACTGCTAGTAACAAAAAACTACTTCTAGTGTAGAAGGGCAATTAGAATCCAGGTCTCTTTCTCTTGATACATATTCTTGGAATGAGTCAACAACAACGGAATAGAAAGGAAAGAATAGTAAAGAAAGAAAAAATATATTGAGAAAACATAATCAGTAAACAAATTTACAAGATCATGAAATAGCAATACATGCCACATTATTCTTGCATTAATAGTTATGTCATGTTGAGTGTTACAAGGTAGGATAAAATTATAAGTGCTTAAATAATTACAGAGTAAGTTATTCTCTCAAACATCAAAGATATTTTAGGTTACTGCTGAGAAACATACACACAGGTACACATTTGGCTAACAATAGTTCTATGAGGTGTTCATGTAAATAAAATAATTTTTATATATTTCATGGTCTAGAATTGTTTTTAAAACAATGGCGACAGTGAAGATTTTATATTATATACTAATTGTTAAATCAGCTTTTAAAATGTGTGCAACTATTTAGTCTGGAAGGTAAATTAACTCACAAATAAAAAGTATTGCCCTACAGATGGTCCTTTTCAATGCAGCCGTAGGTCTGAAGTTAGGGATGATTACAGTTTTTGAAGGCTTTATATAAATTTAGACACATTGTCCTTTAAATTTCAACAATTTAACATTAGATATCTCAGCTCCTTTTTGATTGTACAAAGCAAATATTATCATGTTATGTACACTGTGTGACACAATAAATCCATGCTAAATTAAAAGAAGAAAGCAAGCAAAGAATAAGATGACAAACAAAACAGGTTTACATTAGTAAAATCTAAACAGTCCTTTAAAAATGTACTTTATGAGACACAGTACGGTAACTTTATATATGATATTTAAAATAATTTTAGAATGGAAACTAATATGCATGAATTGGTAGTATCTTTATTTTTGCTTCACGTAATAAAATGGATGGCATAGCTAATCTAGAGAAAGTCATATTTTCATTATAATTTATTCTGATAAAAGTTTTACAGTTGTCATAGTACCCAAGATCTACAAATTTGAAATAAAACATTTCTTAATCTCTATTATTATTAAAACAGGTAGCTATGGAATCATAGATTTCTGACACCTTATCATCAAGACACTTTCTTTAATATGATAAAAGACACAATGTACAAGAATCTCTGGGACACATTTAAAGCAGTGTGTAGAGGGAAATTTATAGCACTAAATGACCACAAGAGAAAGCAGGAAAGATCTAAAATAGACACCCTAACATCACAATTAAAAGAACTAGAGAAGCCAGAGCAAACAAATTCAAAAGCTAGCAGAAGACAAGAAATAACTAAGATGAGAACAGAACTAAAGGAGATAAGAGACACAAAAAACCATTCCAACAATTCAATCAATCCAAGAGCTGGTGTTTTGAAAAGATCAACTAAACAGATAGACCGCTAGCCACACTAATAAAGAAGAAAAGAGAGAAGAATCAAATCGATGCAATAAAAAATGATAAAGGGGATATCATCACTGATGCCACAGAATTACAAACTACCATCAGAGAATACTAAACACCTCTACGCAAATAAACTAGAAAATCTAGAAGAAATGGATAAACTCCTGGACACACACACCCTCCCAAGTCTAAACCAGGAAGAAGTCAAATCCCTGTATAGACCAATAAAAAGTTCTGAAATTGAGGCAGTAATTAATAGCCTATCAAACAAAATTTCCAGGATCAGACGGATTCAGAGCTGTATTCTATCAGAGGTACAAAGAGGAGCTGGTACTATTCCAAACAATAGAAAAAGAGAGAATCTTCCCTAACTCATTTTATGAGGCCAACATCATCCTCATACCAAAACCTGCCAAAGGCACAACAAAAAAAGAAAATTTTAGGCCAATATGCCCGATGAACATCTATGTGAAAATCCTCAATAAAATACTGGCAAACTGAATCCAGCAGCACATCAAAAAGCTTATCCACCATGATCAAGTGGGCTTCATCCCTGGGATGCAAGGCTGGTTCAACATACACAAATCAATAGATGTAATCCATCACATAAACAGAACCAAAGTCAAAAACCACACAATTATCTCAATAGATGCAGAAAAGTCCTTTGACAAAATTCAACACCCCTTCATGCTAAAAATTCTCAATAAACTAGGTCTTGATGGAAAGTACCTCCAAATAATAGCTATTTATGACAAACCCACAGCCAATATCATAATGAATGGGCAAAAGCTGGAAGCATTCCCTTTGAAAGCCAGCACAAGACAAAGATGCCCTCTCTCACCACTCCTATTCAACATAGTATTGGAAGTTGTGGCCAGGGCAATCAGGAAAGAGAAAGAAAGAAAGAGTATTCAAATAGGAAAATAGGAAGTCAAATTGTCTCTGTCTGCAGATGACATAATTGTATATTTAGAAAACCCCATCCTCTCAGCCCAAAATCTCCTTAAGCTGATAAGCAACTTCAGCAAATCTCAGGATACAAAATCAATGTGCAAAAATCAAAAGCATTCCTATACACCAATAACAGACAAACAGAAAACCAAATCATGAGTGAACTCCCATTCACAATTGCTACAAAGGAATAAAATACCTAGGAAACCAACTTACAAGGGATGTGAAGGACATCTTCAAGGAGAACTACAAACCACTGCTCAAGGAAATAAGAGAGGACACCAACAAATGGACAGGAAGAATCAATATGAAAATGGCCATACTGCCCAAAGTAATGTATAGATTCAATGACATGTCCATCAAGCTACCATTGACTTTCTTCACAAAGTTGGAAAAAACTAATTTAAATTTCATATGGAACCAAAAAAAGACCCTGCATAGCCAAGACAATCCTAACCAAAAAGAACAAAGCTGGAGGCATCATGCTACCTGACTTCAAACTATACTACAAGGCTACAGTAACCAAAACAGCATGGTACTGGTACCAAAACAGAGATATAGAACAATGGAACAGAACAGAGGCCTCAGAAATAACACCACACATCTACAACCATCTGATCTTTGACAAACCTGACAAAAACAAGCAATTGGAAAAGGATTCCTATTTAATAAATGTTGTTGGGAAAACTGGCTAGCCATATGCAGAAAGCTGAAACTGGACCCCTTCCTTACACTTTATACAAAAATTAACTCAAGATTGATTAAAGACTTAAATGTAGGACCTAAAACCATAAAAACACTAGAAGAAAACCTAGGCAAAAACATTCAGGACATAGGCATGGGCAAAGCCTTCATGACTGAAACACCAAAAGCAACTGCAACAAAAGTCAAAATTGACAAATGGGATCTAATTAAACTAAAGAGCTTCTGCACAGCAAAAGAAACTATCATCAGAGTGAACAGGCAACCTACAGAATGGGAGAAAATTTTTGCAATATATCCATTCTGACAAAGGGCTAATATCCAGAATGTACAAAGAACTTAAACAAATTTACAAGAAAAAAACAAACAACCCCATCAAAAAGTGGGTGAAGGGTATGAATAGACAGTTCTCAAAAGAAGACATTTATGCAGCCAACAAACATGAAAAAAGCTCATCATCACTGGTCATTAGAGAAATGCAAATCAAAACCACAATGAGATACCATTTCATGCCAGTTAAAATGGCGATCACTAAAAAGTCAGGAAACAACAGATGCTGGAGAGGATGTGGAGAAATAGGAATGCTTTTGCACTGTTGGTGGGAATGTAAATTAGTTCAACCACTGTGGAACTAATTTTCCAACCATTGTGGAAGACAGTGTGGTGATTCCTCAAGGATCTAGAACCAGAAATACCATTTGACCCAGCAGTTCCATTACTGGGTATATACCCAAAGGATTATAAGTCTTTCTACTATAAAGACACATGCACATGTATGTTTATTGTGGCACTATTCACAATAGCAAAGACTTGGAACCAAACCAAATGCCCATCAGTAATAACTGGATAAAGAAAATGTGGCACATATGCACCATGGAATTCTATGCAGCCATAAGAAAGGATGAGTTCATGTTCTTTGTGGGGACATGGATGAAGCTGGAAACCATGATTCTCAGCAAACTAACACAAGAACAGAAAACCAAACACCACATGTTCTCACTCATAAGTGAGAGTTGAACAATGAGAACACATGGACACAGGGAGAGGAACATCACATACCGGGGCCTGTTGGGGGATGGGGGGCTAGAGGAGGGATAGCATTAGGAGAAATACCTAATGTAGATGACGGGTTGATGGGTGCAGCAAACCACCATGACACATGTATACCTATGTAACAAAACTGCACATTCTGCACATGTGCCCCAGAACTTAAAGTATATATATACAAAAAATACCTACTATTTGATAGCACAATAGGGTGACTATAGTCAATAATAACTTTATTTTATGTTTTAAATAACTTAAAGAATGTAATTGGATTGTTTGTAACTCAAAGGATAAATGCTTTAGGGGATGGATGCCCCATTCACCATGATGTGCTTATTATGCATTGCATGCCTGTATCAAAACATGTCACATGTCCCATGAATATATACACCTACTATGTACCCACAAAAATGTTTTAATTAAAAAAACTAAAACATTATGCTAATTGAAAGAGATGAGACACAAAAGACCACATATTATGAGACTCCATTTTAGGAAAAGGGACACGTTCTGAGAAATGCATCTTTAGGCGATTTCCTCATTGTGTGAACATCACAGACTGTACTTATACAAACCTAGATGGTACAGCCTACTACACACCTAGGCTAAATGGTAGAACCTATTGCTCCTAAGCTACAAACCTATACAGCATGTTCCTGCACGGAATACTATAGGCAGTTGGAACACAATAGTAACTATTTGTGTATCTAAACACAATTAAATATAGAAAACAGCCTGGGCAATACAGTGAGACCTCCTCTCTACAAAAAAATAAAAAAAAATTAGCCAGGCATAGTGATACGTGCCTGCAGTCCCAGCTACTGGGGAGGCTGAGGTGAGAGGATTGCTTCACCCTAAGAGGTCAAGGCTGCAGTGAGACGAGATCCTGCCATTGCACTCCAGCCTAGGCAACAGGGTGAGACCCTGTCTCAGAAGAAAAAAAAAGAAAAAAAGAAAAAAAAGAAAAGAAAAGAAAAGAAAAAAAAAAGGTAGAGTAAAAATATGGTATAAAAGATGAAAAATGTTTCACCTCTACAGGACCCTTAACATAAATGGAGCTTGCAGGACTGGAAGTTCCTCTGGGTAACTCAGAGAGTGAGTGGTGAGTGAATGTGAAGGCCTAGGACATTACCGTACACTACTGTAGGCTTTGTAAATACTGTACACTCAGGCTTCACTACATTTACAAAAAAAAATTTCCTTTCGTCAATAATAAATTAACCTTAGGTTTACTGTAACTTTTTTACTTTATAAACTTTAAAATTTATTTTAACCTTCTTGACTCCTCTGTAATAACACCTGGCTTAAAACAAAAACACATTGTACAATTTTAAAATAACTTAAAGCATGCAGTTCAATTGTTTGCAACTTAATAGATAAATGCTTGAGGAAATGGATACTCCATTCTTCGTGATGTGCTTATTTCACATTGTGTGCCTGTATCAAAACATCTCATGTAGCCCATAAATATATACACTTACTATGTACCCACAAAAATTTAAAAATTAAAAAAAATTGTACAGCTGTAGAAAAATATTTTCTTTCTTTATATCTTGATTCTATTATTTCTATTTTTTAAATATTTAATTTTTTTTACCTTTTAAACTTTTTTGTTAAAAACTGAAACATAAACACTCATCAGTCTAGGCCTTCACAAGGTCAGGATCATCAACACCATCTTCCACCTCCACATTGTGGAGGTGACTAGAAGGGGACAATAACCTGCAGGGAGCTGTGTCTCCTATGATGACAATACCTTCTTCTGGAATACCTCCTGAAGTTCCTGCCTGAGGCTGTTTTACAGTTAACTTTTTATAAATATATAAGTAAGAGTAGACTCTAAAACAACAATAAAAGTATAGCATAATAAAAGGCTGGGTGCGGTGGCTCACACCCGTAATCCCAGCACTTTGGGAGGCCGAGCCGGGCGGATCAGAAGGCCAGGGGTTTGAGACCAGCCTGGCCAGCATGGTGAAATACAAAAATACAAAAATCAGCCGGGTGTGGTGGCACGCACCTATAGTCCCAGCTACTCGGGAGGCTGAGGCAGGAGAATCACTTCAACCCAGGAGGCGGAGGTTGCAGTGAGCCTAGACTGCGCCATTGCACTCCAGCCTGGGCAACAGAGCAAGACTCCATCCCAAACAATCAAAAAAAAAGTATAGCATAATAAATACATAATAAGCTAATAATAGTCATTTATTATTAAGTATTATATACTGTACATAATCATATGTGCCAGGCCTTTATATGACTGGCAGCACAGATTTGTTTATACCAGCATCATCACAAAAATGTGAGCACTGCCTTGTGCTACAACATCATGATGGCTACAGCATCACTAGGTGATGAATGGAGCTGGAGTTTTTTAGCTCCATGATACTGCTATGGGACAGCTGTCACTGACTGACTGAAACATCTTTATGCGGTAATTGTAGGTAAGAGAAAATCAGTGGGGCTATGTGATAGGTACACAGAGGTTTGTTATACCAGCCAGTCTAGTTGCGTCTACATCTGAAATTCTGCAAGATAAGAAAGTTAAGAGAAAACAAAAAAATTTCTAACAAGTACCTGTTTGTATTTGGTTAAGTATCTGCATATGTCGTGAAGAAACTCACTTGAGCATGGGAGTAAGGTTAGCAAGTGGTCAAATCGTGCAACATGGGTTTCTGCTTATTTTTCCTTACTCATGACGTCAAGATTAATTTGTTGTATCTGTACTATTCTGCTGCCAATAAAGCCATAAAGCCATTACCACCAGTTAAAAAAAATAAAATTTCAGCATAAAAATAAAGACAACATAAAATGAAAAAATCCAGGTAGATATTATTTAAAATATAATTTGCTATTAGACTAGGAATGAACGTATTATGGTGTTTGACCCCCAAATGGAAGATTCTTGATGTATAAATGTATATAACGTTAAAGTAGACAACATAAACCAGATGTACACACACGGTTTTCTTCTGTACTTAATTACAAGAAAGTTAAGCATGCTACTTTGGTTAAATTAAACATTTATGGCAATTTTTAAAAGTTATAAGCAAATAGCATTGGCCTTATATGAATGCAACTAATCATTCCATTTGTAGAACTATAGATAAAAAGGAAAAATATGCCTTGATATAGAAATTATATCAAGTCAGGGAAATGGATAAATTGAAGGTATCTTTGATTCAGTTAATTACATCTAACTAGCTAATATTCATCAAAAATTAGAATTTTATGTCTGCTTCAAAATATCAATTTTTAAAAAACTAAATGTACTTTATGGAAGTTACTTACGAAGTTTAGACCCCTTATCTTAAAGCTTATTCACAGGGAATTTTGAACTATTCAAAAGAATGCATTGTGCTTTCATTTGTTTTTCCCTAGGTTAACACATTTAATTCCTTTACTAACAGTCCAATTAAGAAAAATAATTTAACTAAAATTAAATTCATGAAAATGAAACTTTTTTATTTTATGAATTGTTCTAGCTGTAATTTTTGAGCCAAATGTCTTTTATGCATAATATATATTCTCTATTATATACTATTCACACTGTAAGGCTTTCTACTAGAAGCAGCAAATGCAAATATATAAAGAGGTATTTTAGGCATATCTGTACTTTTTTTTTTTTTTTTTTTTTTTTTTTTTTGAGACAGAATCTCACTCTTTCGCCCAGGCTGGAGTGCAGTGGTGCGATCTCGGCTCACTGCAAACTCCGCCTCCAGGGTTCACGCCATTCTCCTGCCTCAGCCTCCGGAGTAGCTGCGACTACAGGCGCCCGCCACCACGCCCAGCTAATTTTTTTTTTTTTTTTGTATTTTTTTGAATTTTTAGTAGAGATGGGGTTTCACCGTGTTGGCTAGGATGGTCTCGATTTCCTAACCTCTTGATCCGCTCTCCTCAGCTTCCCAAAGTGTGGGGATTACAGGCGTGAGCCACAGCGCCAGGCCTGTACTCTTTAATACCTCTATGTATATCTTCTAAAAGACATTTATTGGAAAAAATGAGACTATATTAATATCAAATAAAGTAAACTTTAGAACAAATAAATTTACCAGAAACAGAAAGGGGACATTGCATAATGATTATCTAGTCAATCCACTAAAAGATAAAGCCATCCTAGATGTGAATGAATCACAAAGCAGAGCTACAAAATATGTGAAGCAAAACTGATAGAACTAAAGGAGAAATGGACATATTCATAATTATAGTTGATTGCTTCAAAACCAATCTCTAAAACACTGATAGAACAACTAGACACAACAAGGTTAGAGAAAATCTAAAAATCAAAAGAAAAAATTATCAACCATGAGGATCTAGTAAGCATTTATAGAACACACCAAAAGAGCAGAATACACTGTTTTGAAATTGCCACACGACATATATGAAGATAAATCATATTTGGGGAATGAAACAAACCTTAACAAATGTATTAGTTGAATCAGTACAGGGTCTGTTCCTATTTTGTTGTTGTTGTTTTGTTTTGTTTATTTGTTTGTTTTGAGATGGAGTCTTGTTCTGTCACCCAGGCTGGAGTGCAGTGGTGTGATCTCAGCTGACTGCAGTCTCTGCCTCCTGGATTCAACCGATTCTCCTGGCTCAACCTCCTGAGAAGCTAGGATTACAGATGTCCGCTACCACACTAGGCTAATTTTTGTATTTTTAGTAGAGACAGGGTTTCACCGTGTTG
This sequence comes from Homo sapiens, assembly GCF_000001405.40. Taxonomy (NCBI): domain Eukaryota; kingdom Metazoa; phylum Chordata; class Mammalia; order Primates; family Hominidae; genus Homo; species Homo sapiens. Next base: position 52,210,924 of record NC_000005.10, on the reverse strand, counting down.
GCCAGGCTGGTCTCGAACTCCTGATCTCAAGGGATCCATGCACCTCAGCCTCCCAAAGTGCTGGGATTACAAGCATGAGCCACCGGGGCTGGCTGAGTGTGTTCTCTGATGACAATAGAATCACACTAGATTGAACAGAGAAAGATAACATGCAAATCTTCAAACACTTGAAATCTAATCAACAGTGTTCAAAGAGGAAGTCCTCAGAGAAATACAAACTACAGAGAACTGAAAGAACATAAAAAATATAACATGTTAACATATCAAAATGTGTGGAGACACAACTAGAACAGTGTTGAGAGGGAAACTTAAAGTACTAAAAGTTTACATTATAAAGAGGATAGGTCTCAGGTAAATAATATAAGCTACTACCTCAAGAAATCAGAAAAAGAAGAGAAAAATAAAACCAAAGCAGTAAGGAAGAAGGAAATAATAAAGATATGGCATAAATCAATGAAATTGAAATTAGAAAAACAATAGAGAAGACAAAGCAAAAGGTGGTTCTCTGAAAGATCAATAAAATAAAAAAAAACTGACATAAAAAAGGAAAAGACTCAAATGAACAATTATCAAGCATAAAATAAAAGTCATCACTATAGTCCCAAAGAGAAAAAATGAGCTGACATGGGAATACTAAGAATAAATCTATACACATAAATTTAACAACTTAGATGAAATGGTCCAATTCCTCAAAATTTAGATTAAAGCGTACATATTTTTTAAAATAGCCACATAAAATAAGATTATCCTTTGTTTTCCAAGTTGTAGCCTCAGATGAAAAGAGGATAACTTGATGTTAGGTGTGATAATAACATTATCAGATTTGTTTAAAATTAATTTAACAGTCATTCCTGCTACAATGTAGATGAATTGGATGGTTAAAAAAAGAGTAAAACAGGTAAGGCCTAGGTGAACAATAATCAAGACATAAGTGAAGGCATTAGTAGTAGAAAATGTGGAGAATAAGACAGATTCATGAGACTCAAGGAATTCTTAATAGGCTGAATTGGTTGGTTTGGTGGACAAAATGAACAATACTAAGGTCATTAGTGACCTTTCTTATCTTTGGTGAGAATGGTCAGCATTTTATCCACATACAATGTCATATTTTCCTTCCATGCAAAGGCTTTCCTTAGCAGAATGAAGTTAAAACTGGATGAGTACTGGTTCGGGGACATTATTTTTATCATTGATGCGGTTCTTCATTTCTGGTTTATTAATTTTTCTGTCTTATAATAAAATCTCCTATATGTTGTCATTGGGTGACCAGCCATCTCAGTTTGCCCAGGACTGTCCTGATTTTAACACTGAAAGTCCCACATCCAGGGAAACTCCCAAGTCACATGCAATATGGCCTGGTTGGTTACTGTATCAGAATATAATATAACAGAAATAAGTTCCTTACGGCATAAAGTTTATTTTATATTATATAATTGTGTCTGGGCTAAGAGACACACATAAATATGTTCTATTAATCGCATAGTTACTATTTCCATTAACTAAGTAGATTTACAAGGGAAAAGCTCCAGATCTAGGTAGTACAGGCTTATTTAGTGAAGAAGGTAAAATATGCATGTTTTATTATTCTGCATGGAAATTTAAGCAATAAACTTCCTTAGAGAATACAGTAAGTATAAGTTTTTAAAATTTTCTTTATGGTATACAAAACATTTTAGAGAAATGCTCATAAGTAAGTACTTAAACATCATTTACAATTTTATCTGTGTGAAGTGTGGGTGTCACTGCTTTAGTTAATCAAAACTGTAAAGATGAAACATTATCTATTTCTTGAGTGAGCTGTTGGCGGTAGTGTGTATGACTTGTGGCTTGATATACAATTGTTTTCAAATCCCATTTGAAAGATTGTTTGCTTTTTACAAGAAAGAATGGCTTATTTTGAAATCAGCCTGACTGCTTACCTCCATTTTTCAGACTTTACCAAACTGCAATTGCAAACTCAGCTCTGATGTGGAATTCTGTTTATTCTTCTTTGACAGGACTGCCTCATCCTTCTTTCATTGGCTAACACATGGACTTTGTCAAGTTCAACTGCCGATGTCATCCCATTGGCCAGAAAGTATTCATGGAAGGAGAGAAAATTCTCTCCTCTGGAACATGTGAGTGGTAGAACTCAGGAAAATGCAGGATCAGTTATATATGCATACATATGAATATTTCATACATAACATTGACTAATAATTGTAATGGCCTTTTATCAAACTGATGATTCATGTACCTAAATGTTTTGCTATTGATTTAACAATTATTCTATATTTAATCTGTGAAATTATTGAGTTAGAATTGAAATACAGTTATAACTGCTTCATTAAAGAAAATGTTACACTTGCTATAGTTTTTTATTTAGCTCTACCTGTATATGCAATTGTACAATCAATATTATTCATATAATGCTTTAATATTTTTGCAACCAGAAACTATTAAAAAGCAACTATTTAAAGAATAATCTTTATATCTGTGGTCATGTATCTATTTTCTAAATGAGAAGATAAACGTGATTTATCTGTGAAATATATGGGCATTAATAACTAGAAGGGCCAGAACATCACAAGCTTACAAGATATTGTTTAGTTTAAATAAAAAAAGTTGCTGCTAAATATTTCTCTTATATATCTAAATTAAGTTAGCAAATAAGCCAGATATAATCTTGACATTACAGGAACATGACTTCACTAAGTTTTTCTCTTTAGTAGCTCAATTTTATATTCATTTATTCATCTAATACTAATTAAAGGTCTACTGTCTTTCATTCAGCACAAGGCTAAGCATTGGCAATAGCTTAGTTATCCATAGTATATCTCTATATAGATCTTAGAATTTGTTTCCCTTGAAATTTGAAATATTAAGAAGATACGTCTTTTCTATTATATACCTATTTATATATCTGTTACGGGCTGAAATGTGGCCCCGAAATTCATATGTTGAAGTCCTAACCCCAAATATCTCAGAATAAGACTGCATTTGGAGATGGAGCCTTTAAGAAGTGACTAAGGTAGAATTAGGTCAGATGTGTGAGCCCTAATCTAATTTGACTGGTGTCCATAAAAGAAAAGGAGATTAAGACATACATAACACATAGAGAGATGACCGTGGGAAGACACAAGAAGGTGGCCATCTGCAAGCCAAGTAGGGAGGCCTCAGAAGTTGCTAAACTTGCTCACACCTTGATTGTGGATGTCTAGCCTTCAACCACCCCCTCTGCGGTATTTTCTTAAGCCCGTCCTAGCCCTAGGAGACTAATAGAATTATCTAATCTCTCTCTCCTCTCTCTCTCTCTCTGCATATATAATACTATAATACTTGTTTTTTGCTTTTTGCTTGTTTGGTTATCCACAAACAAGCAAAACTATCACTTTCTGTTAAACTATCACTTTCTGTAGAACTATCACTTTCTGTTAAATACAACTGCATCACTTTTTTATGGTTGTATACATGGATGTATCATGTATATGTATCATATGTATATAATATGTGCATAGATATATAAATATATGTGTGTGTAAATAGATATATAAACTCCTGAACTCTTTCAATCAATCACTGAGGTTACAATTATCAAAAATTTGCCAATCTTGTTGCATCTTGGGCTCCTTCTCCATGCCTGCCACTTCTTTTCCCACCAAATTGTAAGAGGACAATAATGAAAGCAGAGGATCAATAAGGGAAAGCCTGCAGTAGTGTCTCTCTCTCTGTCTGTCTCTCTCTCTTTCTATGTAACTATCTAAAACCTTTACTTCATGAGGGCAGGAAAAGCCTAGAGAATAAATAGTTTAATACATAGTATTTCACATTTCCAGGGATAGTCACAGTAAGAGCATCCTACAGAATATTCTGCATTTTCCTGCACTGCCATTATAATTTAATTTCTTATAAAATAATAAGCTGTGATTTAGACATGAGAAAAATAATCCTCACATAAGCATGACTTTTTTAAGTAGAATAGGAAACTTGATAAATCAAAGCATGTTATTTTTCCTTTGGATATTCGTAGTTCTGTGCCTTTATTAATCAATAAGCTTTCTGTAGAAATATATTTTAAAAAACAAGTTGAAAAACATTTATAGTTAGTTTAGGGTTTTTGATTTTTTCTTAAGAGCTTAATCAAATAATAATGGAATTTGTTGAAAGGATGGAGGAATTAAAATAATTACTAGAAGAATTAGAAATAAATGTAGCCCAACAAATGGCCTCTGATGTTCATCATCCTTTATATTGGCTACCACAGGTTTTTCCCTACTGGTCCTCTGCTTCATTATTGTCCTGTTACAATTTGGTGGGAAAAGAAGTGGCAGGCATGGAGAGGGAGGCACAGATGCAAAAAGATTGGCAAAATTTTGATAATTGTAACCTGAGTAATGGGTTGAAGGAGTTTAGTTTATTTTTCCATTTTGAGAATATTTGAATTTTTCACAATAAATAAATTTAAAGTATTAAGTACATGTAGCACATAGCTAAGATCTGAATAATCAAATATATTAAATAGATGTAGGAAAAAGTTTTCTATCCCACCAAACAACCAAAATATGAATTTCATGCAATTTGCATATAATTGCATATATGTACTCAACTATATCATCCTCTTAAAATAATTACACAAAGAGAAAGTTAGGGTACTTCTTTTCTGCACTTTGCCAAATACTTGTTTTTTTGCTTTTTGCTTGTTTGGTTGTCCACACATGTAGAGCTATCACTTTCTGTTAAATACAACGGCATCACTGTTTTATGGATGTATCATGCTTTTAATTTAACCAAATCCCAATTACTTGTAGTGTTAATATTACAAGCTATGATGCAGTATCCATGTGAATATAAGTAAGTGAATTTCTGTGAGTATGTATGTTAGTTAAATTCATAGCAGAAAGATTGCTAGATATGTACATTTTGAATTTTAATGGATATTATCACATTTTTCCACTGAAGTGTTGTACCTATTTACATGCTCAGTAAATGTAAAAGCCATTTCTTCAGTAAGAATATCATTAATTCAGTTTAGTTTAGTTTACTTTGTTTATTGCCAAACTGAATGGAATTCCATTGCTGTTTTGATTTGCACATCTTTTTTTCATTGTCTTTTTAATAATAAATATATTTTGAGTATTTTCTTAATTAAGGAAATTTACCCTTTTTTACATTGGATATTTATTGTTTGTGTACTATTTTTAATGAATGATCTATTCTTGTGTATTAAATATAATCCTAACCCCAACTAGCTCAGAATAGGACTGTATTTGGAGATGGAGCCTTTAAGAAGTGTCTAGATTTTTATATTTTGAATTGGTTAGAAAGGCTATTTTCACTTTGAGATTAGTAATAATTTGGCCTGTGCTTTCTTAATCTAGAGTAAAACATGCTTCAAAATTTATGAATCTTGAAACTATTTATAATAAATTTTTGTTTAAATATTAGAGTAGGGTTTTAGTTTTATTTTTAATTTTGTTATCTACTTATTTCAATATTTATTCATTCATTTTTATTTATTCATTAGTTTATTCATTTATACATGTATTAGCTGTGTCATACCATTTCCTAGTACTGATGATGATATAGCAGTGAAAGGTAATCAGAAAAATTATTTCTCCTTATGAAGTCTATATTCTGTTAGGGAGAACAAGTGCACAAATAAATAATAAAAATATTGTAAGTTAGATGATAGGCATGAATGTAGCAAGCTTGTGGAGATTAAGTGGAAAGGCATTCTACATAAAGGCAAAAAGAGTGAAGGGTCCAATACATTCCAATGAAGGAATATTCTTTGTGTGTATAGATTACAGATAAATCAATATTATAGAAGAAGAATTTTGGAGATGAGTTAGAGTGGTTGGGATAAAATATCTAAAATTGGCTTATTAAACTTTGCAAGGATTTGGGAGTGGTTGGAACCATTATAGAGTTTTAAAAAGGAAAGTGAGATAACTGAATTTGCCTTTAGGAAGGTTAAGTCGGCCTGTCACATTGAGAATATACTAGCGTGAGAAAAAATATCAGGATTGCTTAGGATCCTAGGGCAAAATCCAGGAAACAGATGACAGCAGTATTAAGAAGTGATTGGAATCCAGGCATATTCTGAGGCTAGCGCCACAGGATCTGTTGTTAGTTATGTTATTGGAAATGAAATAAAGAGAGAAATCAAGTTATGTCTCAAAAATATTTACCCAGAGCATCTCGAAGTCTTATGTTTCCCTTTACAGAATCAGAAAAAAGTACTAAGGGAATAGGCTTGCAGGAACAAGAATCAGGGGTTTGGTTTGCCATGTTTAGTTAAAGATACTTAGTAGACATCTGAATTAAAATGTAGGAAATTGAATAGAGAAGGCTAGAGATAAAAATTAGGGCATCACTGGCCAAGAAATTAGATGACATCACCAGGGAGAGAGTATGAATTTAGAACAGGTCTGGTCACATGTTGGTAGAGGAAGTGGTCGTCTGTGGCAAAACGATGGAAAAACAAAGCAAAGTAAAAATCAAAGCTTTTAAGAAGACAAGAACTGTGTCATCTCCTCACCTGTAAACAGCAGAAAATAATAAAGTGTATCTTCAAAGAGTCCCTTAAAGAGTGCATTAGATCAAACCAGTTGCTATCTTTAGACTGTTCGGCTCAATTTTGAAAGTGGGGAGAAATTGTATGATTGACAGGACAGATTAGGGTACTTTGGTTTCCTCCAACTGTATTTAATGAGATTCTCCCAAAAGAAAGATCAAGGCTCTACTCATGAAAGAAGAGTGCAGGGAAGCTGGATAAACAAAAACTTAAGATGTACATTATAGCTTATTTTGGTATAAATTCAATCTATACACCTTAACGTAGCCTACAAGGCTCCAATAAACTAGATATGCCTTCCTTGACAACATTTGTCTCATATAACTCTAGCCCCTCACACTATACTCTAGCAACACTGCTCTTTTTAGGTTTATTGAGAGCTCCAAGCATTTTTAATTTCCACCTTGCTGAATTTCAAGTCTCAACTAAAACATCATCTTTTTCTATGACTCTTATCTAAAGTAGCTAGTCCTGTCTCCTCAATTCCTGTTACCATACTTTGCTTCTATTTCTTTTATAGCATTTACAAATGTTCTGGTTTATTCTTTTTCTTCTCTCATCTGTGTCAAATGCAAGTTACTAGTAGATGTGGATGTTTTTTCTATCCAGTTCACTGATCTATCTAAGAATCTAGAAGTATAAAAACACGTAGGAGTTGCTTAATAAATTTTGATTGAATACATAAAATTGTTAAGGCCTAGTTCCTTATCTGTCTTTTCCAACATTTCTCAAAGTGTAGCCTTCAAACCATTCACATCAAAGTTCTGGCATGTGGATTAAAAATACAGATTTCATGGCCCTATTTTAGCTCTACAGCTAAGACTCTAGGATTGGGCCATAGCAAAATGCATTTATAACAAACCTCAGTGATTCTTATAGAATCTAAAGTTTGTAACCATAGTTACTGAAAGTATATTTACTCATGTTACATAATACTACATTACTTTCTTATTATAAAAGAGAAAAAGATTAGAAGGAATATTCCCTACACCAAGTAGCTCACAATTAATGGCCAGTTCCAAGTGGCAAAAAAATGATAAATTGTGAACAAAATTGCTGAAAATAAATCTAGCTGATATTGTTTATATAAATGTAAACAATGATCTATTTTCCAACTTGTATGTTGTATCATATGCACTGGGTTGAACCACTTATTAGACTTTTCGTGAATGTTATTATATGTATGCCTGACATAAATAAGTACTCAATAATTAAATATTAAAAATATTAATATGAAAGTAAAATTGATATTAAAATATTTTTTATTTAAATGAAATAAATTTAAAATATTGTCATTTAAGCATGCAATCATCCTTAAAATATTATTAAGGAGGTATTTTGCATTCTTTTATTTTATAATAAGGTTTTGGACTCCAACGTGACTTTTTTTTTTTTTTTAGCATAGTCTAGTTCTGTTGCCCAGGCTTGAGTGCAGTGGCCCGATCTCAGCTCACTGCAACCCTGCCTCCCGGGTTCAAGCAATTTTCCTGCCCCAGCCTCCCAAGTAGCTAGGACTACAGGCCTTCCTCCACCACACCCAGCTAACTTTTTATATTTTTAGTAGAGATAGGGTTTCACCATATTGGCCAGGCTGGTCTCCATCTCCTGACCTCGTGATCCGCCTGCCTTGGCCTTTCAAAGTACTGGGATCACAGGTGTGAGCCACCACATCCGGCCCAATGTCATTTTTTCACACTTACAGCACAGCTCAACTTGGACTAGCTACATTTAAGGTGCTCCATAGCCACATGGCATAGCTACCATGTTGGAAAGCATAGCTCTAGAGTCTCATCTCTGATTTTAAGATATTCTAATGTTAGACTTTTTCCATCATAAGCTACTTTGGGTAGCGCTTGCTTTCAAAAACAAGCAAAGAGTCGGCCGGGTGCAGTGGCTCGCGCCTGTAATCCAGGCACTTTGGGAGGCCAAGGCGGGCGGATCAAAAGGTCAGGAGATCGAGACCATCCTGCCTAACATGTGAAACCCCGTCTCTACTAAAAATACAAAAAAAACAAAAAATTAGCCAGGCGTGGTGGCAGGTGCTTGTAGTCCCAGCTACTCAGGAGGCTGAGCCAGAAGAATGGCGTGAATCCGGGACGCGGAGCTTGCAGTGAGCAGAGATCGCAACACTGCCCTCCAGCCTGGGCGACAGAGCCAGACTCCTTCTAAAAAAAAAAAAAAAAAAAAAACAAGCAAACAGTCAATAGAACTTAGACTGAATGAAGCACTAGGATATATGTGTGTTTTTTACCCAGTATCACAACACACATAGATGGGCATTATGAGGCTATTTTAATCCTCTTTTTAACAAAATAATAAAAATTGTATTACTTTTGGCTGGGCACGGTGGCTCATGCCTGTAATCCCAGCACTTTGGGAGGCCGAGGCGGTTGGATCACCTGAGGTCAGGAGTTCGAGACCACCCTGACCAACATGGTGAAACCCCGTCTCTATTAAAAATACAAAATTAGCTGGGCGTGGTGGTGCATGCCTGTAATCCCAGCTACTCAGGAGGCTGAAGCAGGAGAATCGTTTGAACCCGGGAGACGGAGGTTGTGGTGAGCTGAGATCACACCATTGCACTCCAGCCTGGGCAATAAGAGGGAAACTCCGTCTCAAAAAAAAAAAAAAAAAAGAAAAAATTATATTGCTTTTAATTTTCTTCATTTTCTACACATGATCTCAGTTCACTCTCTAACCACCCTCTCATTGACATTGATAGCAAAAACACACCTGACACACATAGGCACACACAACGTGAAACTTAAATCTGACATTGAAAAGAAATGTATTTCCCAATTCAAAATATTTTCTTCCTACTTAGCTGAACGTGAATTCAATTTCTTCAAGGTTTCTTCTTTTACCCCCTTTTCTTCCTTTTGCATCAAGGTCATATAAGGCTGCATGTATCTTACATACTCATGGGAAAGAAAGTGAACAGCTCCTTTTGTGCTGTTCTTTGGTCTACACTGTAGCCACTAGTTCAGTGTCCTTGGCTCATTTACCTTCTGGTGCTTGATCACAGCGTGGTAGAGATCCACATGTTCTGCTTGCTTCCTTGTTTCTTGCTTTGGCTTTTGCTGGCACTCCTGATACTGTTAGGCCTGATGCAACTCCCATTTGATTATCGACTAAGTAGGTAAGCCTCACCCCTCTTTTTGGTGATTATCCTGCTGAAATGGTAGCAAACACCCCATAACTTCCACATCACTCTAGGGCCTGGGAGCACCTCAGAATTCTACACAGGACACTCAAAGCAATGAGGCGCTGCAGCACTAGTTCAGGCTGATCTGTACAGGAAGCTCCTTCCTCCACTTCTCTACCATTCAGATGCACTGTTAAATGCAGAAATCCACTAACCATGGACTTTCATTGTAAAGGACTAAAAAGAGGGGAAATGAAAAGGTGGAAATATTTAGGATGGCATTTAAAAATATTACCATGATAGAAATTAACTGCACTATCATAAGAATTAGGTAGACACAAGTTCCATGAGCATAAAGAGAACAATTCTACAAAGTCATTGAGATGCATTTAAAAACATTTTGAAAACAACCATTTCACGTTATTTTTTCCCAAAGTATTATTATTTTGTGGATGATTGAGTAAAGTTTTAAGAAAAAATAACATCAGACAGGGGAAAAAAGAGAAAAATCAGGAACTTTTTTTTTATATATGCTCTTAAAGGTCTTATTAACCCCAAGTAATTTGGGGCTTTGGTAAGACTCTAACATTTTTCTCAAAATGAAGATATTCTTCCATTTAAAATTCCTTTTAGTGCTGGGGGGCAAAAATAAATCAATTCTTAGCTATAATGATTTGAAGGCTTTGAGCTTTTCCAGCTGAATCAAATGTCATAGGAGTTATCCTTCTGTCTTATAGCTATTATTCTAGCACAGTTCACTTTAATGATGCTCTGTCCACAGAATCATGTGGTTTTAACCCTTTTAACTTAGAAGTTACTCAGTTCTTGCCAGAAAATTATTTCTCCTTTTGTTTCCTTTCACCAGATCATTTAGAACGAATGTTTTTCCTTTCTTTAGTAATCTCTCTTAAGGTTGTTTCCCTCCAACTCTTATAACTTTTAACTTTGTTATTAGAACTCAAAACTGTACCAAATCTAGATAGATTTCTGTTAATTTTATATGCAGAAAATATTAAGAATTAACTGATTGTAAAGTAAGTTGGAGATGGTTCTATTGGCTTTCACTGAGGCTCTTTAAATAAATTGTATCACTCTAATGCACACCATTAAAAAACATACAACTGTTTCATAAATTAATTTCATGTAATAAAATACATTTAGGTTGATATCACTTATCACGTGATCACAAGCGAAATCTCCACAGTAAAGTAAAAGTAATTGAAACACACACACACGCGGGTGCGCGCGCACACACACCCCTCTAGTACTAGCATGTTTTCTAAACCACGTTTAGCCTTATGCCATTGTCGTTGCTGAAATGCCAAATAGCCTACTGATAAGATGATTTCACCAACATAGCATTGATACTGAAAATGATAGTAGAGTTGTCCTTATGCTTACAAAAAGGGGAGGCTGTAAGTAAGGCAGACCATTTGCCTTTACTCAACCTGTGAGGAGCTAACTACTCAGTAACATCTGTTGAAGATAACCTGCTAGGGGTGAGTCAGCTGAAGCAGAGGAAAAAGCCAGATTTTGAGTTTCACTTTTCTGTAAAACTGACACATGGAACCATTTCAATGTATGTGATATGTTTTATAATTAATTTAGTTTTTTTTCAAATAGTTGATATATTTTCTTACATATCCAAGTTCAGACTAATGCCTTTAAGCTTCTGTAGAAGATTTCGATAAGCATAAGCAATTTATTTCTTTCTTGATTTTCATTATCACCTATTTGGGCCTGTGACTAAATAATTCAAGTTATGTCTTTGCTTCATCAGACTCTAACATTTAGTCTGTAAAAACATCGTCTAGATTGTACCAAATTCAACATGCAGTTATAATTAGTGTTTATATTTTAATACGATACATTCAGGAGGCTACTGTTCTTATCATAACACTTGAGAGTGGAGCACTTTCAAAGAAAACGTACTTTTAATTCTACAGTTGTTCAATTTCTTCAGGTTATAAATGAGTAAGTATTTACATACTGTGTAAAGAATCACTGCAAGGCACCCTGTAACTTCCTCATCACTCTCTGGGGCATGCAAGGTTTGATAGTGAAAAATTTGACTAGTCTTTTCAAGTTAAAGTTAATAATAAGGTAATTGATACCAACATGAATTGTTTTGAAAGAATCGGATATGTATGTGTGATCTTACAAATTTCCCATTCCTAGTCTACATTATCTTTAAGCCCTGATTTGTCAAATGCCAGCCTGCTTTTTGCAAAACTCTTTTGACCATTTTCAATATAAGAGTCAATCTGGTGAAGGTAGAGTTCCATTGACCCCTAAGTAATTAATTGCCTTTATCTTTCTTTATAATTCTTCTGATAAATGTTTTGCCACTCTCCTTAGTCTCTTTAACCTTTATTCAGACTTGAACATTAGAGATTAAGTGATTTTGGTGGCAATCTCTCTCTATATGTAATTTTATGACTTCTCAGGTATAGAAGTTATTGATACATTTGAGGGTGAAATTTTAAAAAATTTTATAGCCTCATACACAGAAATTTATTTATTATAAAATAGTACATGCTTTCACCTATGTGTTTTTTTAATGAAATTACTGTAAGTACTTTTTAACTATAGTGATTTATTTTACCACCAGTTAAACAGATGTGATTTTTTGAGTGGAACATATCTAGAATTATTCCTTCTACTATTTTCCTACTTGTGTTAGATTTCCCGCATTCTAATACGATGGACATGTAACATATTTTATCTACCTCTTTTTGTCAATGTAAAATTTGCATTTCATGTCATCATATACTATCATTGCCACCCAAATTTGCATTTTAATACTTCTTAATAACAACAGCCAAAGATCAAATTGCCCAAATATGTATTAACCACGTAGTTGAGATCATCCTCATTGCATACACAAGGAAAAATGTATGTATTTAGACTGATCATTGCTTTTAAATCTTGGATTTAAGCAGGTTGTGATACACTCAGATTTGCTGCTCAATTCCCCTTCAACGATCCATGAGTGTAGTCAGAAACTTCTATCCATAGCAGAGAGCTGCTTTTCCTTAGGTGGCATTCCTTCTTGGGATAATTGGTATTCAATAACTCATAAATGGATGAAGGAAAGTTCCAGTTTTCTTTGTTCAACACAGAATAACTCCAAAGAACCATTTTATTTCCAGACCTCCTTGTGGAGCTGTCCAAGGCTGCCATCTATATTGCAGTTTGACTTCTCTGCTCAATCCTGTCTGCCCCTTTCCTTGCATAGCTGCAACATGTGGTAGAGCCCAGTTTTATGATTGTGGTACACAAACTGTGGGAGTAGGAGTAGACTAGAGATTTACTTCACCAGAATTGTACAAAAAGGAGTCCAGATAATATTCAGATTAAATTTTCTATATTTTTCTCCTCTTGGAGAAATCTCAAGTTTAGGCATACAAAAATTAGTTAAAATGGGTTTTTCTATAGACATAGATCCAGACTGGAGAAGCTACCTTGGCAGATGGTGTATCTAAATGGCATATCTAAATAGTCCTAGAAGGGTAAAGAGATAGAATTATCTTTGAAAAGCCACTTTATAATACAAGAAGTTGGTTTCTCAGAAGTGATTTCAGTGACTATCAGCCACCAACAGAACTATAGTATTTTACAGTCTTATAATGATAAATTAGCATTCAAGGGCTTTTCCTCTCCAGGTTTCTATGGCAACCTCTGTACCACATACTCATTAGAAAGAAGTTCTGTTTAATTGATCTACTAATGTATTGCTTAATAGTAACTGTTAAGCAGTCTTTTGTTTCCAGGTCATATTTAGGGTTCACATATTTGCATAAAAGCATTTCGTTAGCTGAAACCAATCATTACTAGTAATTTTCTTTCTTTAGTTTAAAATAACTAAACCCTCATTGAGGTTTTCTGAATAGCAAATATTTATATCTTGGAGAATAGGCTTTCTGTATGAGCTTGGCTTGCTTTGTTTCTGTGAGCAGCAAGAAAATTACAGAGCTTGAAAATGTTAATCAGGGAAGACAAGAAGGTGTCTTTTTCTCCAGTTGAAATGCAAATTTATAGTGACGCTAACTATAGGCCATATCCAATATTTGATGACAAAGTTGTAATGGATAAATATAATTTAGAATGCACAGTAGTTATCCACTGCATAACTTTCACTAATTAGAATTTTCATATGTTTCACGCAATGCAATTGAGACACTTTTAGCTGAGCTGTTTCTTGTATTTCAAGTCCCTCTAAAGGCCCAAGCTTAAGAATGCATTTATCATAGGGTTTAAATTAGCCTAGAAATAAACGCTAATACACCTGATGGGTCCGTTTGTTAATTTGGACTATGGGACAAGGTAGCATTTTTTTTGATATTTATTAAAATATATCACCAAGTTTATTCTATATAGTGCACTGGGAACTTAAAATATTTTAAGCCACTTAGTCATGCAGGCCATTAAAAAACATACAGCTGTTTCATGAATAAACTTCATGTAATTAAATATATTTAGTTTGATATCACTCATTGAAAATCAAAAATAAAAGTATTTCCATTGTCAAGATAAAGATGTCTTTAAAAAATTTTAAGTCTTCATCTATTCAGTTTACTCAATAAATATTAATTGGATACATGCAATGTACCAACAAGTACTAAATATTAAACTACTAAAGAAGGCAAGCAAGAATTTTACACTCATAAATTACACGTGTAACTCCTATTTCACTAAAAAGCATCATTAAACAAGTGTTTGTGTGCCTGCCATGTATGGAGCAATGTAACATAATGTGATATCCAACATGATTATGCCAATTAATTGTGGAACTGAGTTTTATACTGAAGTTTTTTATTCCAACTCCTATTCTCCTTCCATTATAGTTTCTGTGGTAGAATGTGTACGTATCTAAAAAGAAGAGACGCTATTATCTCTAGTTTATCTCGGCTACTATTGGTGTTTGTTGTAGATCTAGTTCTTCCAGAGATCTTATTTGCCACAGTTCATATTCCTGCCATTCTTCAGAAGAATATTTTCCACACCATCAGCTCTATTGTTCACAATTTCCTGAGATGCTAAGTACAGTGTAAAACAGCTAGTTATCCAGAGAAGAAAAACAGGGTGGGTGAAGACAGAAGAAGTTTAGGGCATGGGCATTGAGGCTTAAAACCCTCGAGATCGAATGCTTGTTCTCTAGCCTGTGCAAACTGGAAGTCTCTCAATTAATCTTATCTATAAAACTGCAGTAATGAATATGATTTGTTAGAGTGCACAAAACAGCATAACCATCACACAATCATATTTTTTTTTATTATTACTGCTATCATTATCCTTGACATTGGCTTAAGATACTGGGCAGGACACAGTGACTCATGTCTGTAATCCCAGCACTTTGAGAGGCCGAGGCAGGCAGATTACTTGAGGTCAGGTGTTCGAGACCAGCCTGGCCCACCTACATGGTGAAACCTCGGTTCTGCTAAAAATACAAAAATTAGCCGGGCGTGGTGGTGCACGCCTATAATCCCAGCTACTCAGGAGGCTGTGGCAAGAAAATCGCTTGAACCTGGGAGGTGGAGGCTGCTGTGAGCTGAGATTATTCCACTGCACTCCTGGGTGACAGAGCAAGACCCTGTCTCAAATAAATAAATAAATAAATAAATAAATAAATTTTTAAAAAGATACGGAAGAGCAGGAATAGAGTAGATACAGAAAGGAATTCAACATCTCTCTTTTCCCTTGGAAAAAAGAATACAAAGAAACATCAAGTCATGCATCTACAAGGACACTTAAAAACACAGATAAATTTGAAAGGTGAGTGAAATATTTATGTATTACACTAAGTTTAGGTAACAAAAATGAGACAAACAACATTAGATGAGTTAGACAATATTTAGAGTTCCCTCATGAGACCTGAAGAACAATAGTAATGAACTTGCTTCTTTTGACACTTGGGTCTAGCAAATTGAGTTTTTCTTCCATCAGTTGAGGCAGAGACAAAAGACATCATACAATATTTAGTAGGCATTATGAGTGCTATTTTAAGAGGAGTAGGCCACTCTGCATGATGGAATCATTGAGGAAAATGCTTGTGGCAAAGTTTGTGTGCTGCAGCTAGCTGGACACAGCCTGCTTATATTTTGGGTGATAGGCAAGGATGCTGAGGAAGCCCTGTCTGAAGAGTAGTATGAAGACTTGTTAGATGTTAGGTTTATTTTGAAATATATTGAATGTATCTAAATTTTAAAATATGAAAGGGACCAAGAAACTGGTGTTATAGTCTTTTTCTATATGCCTGAAAATTCACATTCTTTCTGATTGTACAAAATACTCTTAGGATCACTGTCTAAAGACTGTTCAAGCCACTGTCTTTCCAGCCACACAATCATGTTGAATGTGTAGTCAGTTCCAGTTCTGCAATATCTGGTGTCTTGTTCAGTTATTCATTCATACATTACTTCTCTATTTTAGGTTCCTACTATCAATACCCTGGTCTGCAACAACTCCCTATTTCTTGAAAATTCTGACTCTAGATTATCAAAATTTCAATTCATCCTTTAGGGATTTCAAAAGTGTGTTTCTTTCTTTTTGGGTGTTGTGATGGATGGGTAATTCTATTTTTCTTCAAATTTAAACCCTATTACCAACATATTTTCATTTCCAAAATCAATTTTGATTTTCTAATTGGAAGATTAATGCAGATTCATAAAATATTTGGAAGGTGTGAAGAAACAAAAACAACTTAAGAAAGAATAAGAATAAAATTATCAGCTCTAATTACATCATCCAGACATAAATATAATTTCTAATTTTGTATAGTTTGTTCAGACAGGCATACGCTGCTGTACATATTTAATATAATGATATGTTCAATATAACTATTTTTAAACAAAATCTGATATAAATGCATGCTGCTTTATAATTTGCTTTTTCTCATTACACAATGAGAAATATATTCATATCAATAAATATACATCATTTTTTAATAGTTGCATATTCATTCAATGGCTATTCAATGATTGTGACCTCTATACTATGCAACAGTGAGCAAACACTGCAGAAATTAAACAGAGTACCTGCCTTCATCTAAATTTGTCATGCATATAAATTAGTAACCTTATTCTCTAGAAGAAACATACTATTGAATGTGTTCAAATGACTTCAATTTCTGCCCTCATGGAGTTTATACAGTTAAGGAGAGGCAGACATAATTACACAAACCCTAAGTACTGTTCTCTTAGGTTTCATAGAGAAAAAGTACAGAGGGCTTTGAGAATATGCAACTGAGGGGTTTGAAGCCTCTCTGGCATGGGTGTTGGATCTGAAGGTGAAGATAAATAGCAGTTATGTACAGAGTACATGAAGATGATCTGCAGGAAAAACACAGAGAAAGTGCTAAAGAACAGCATCGGCAAGGCCACCACATGATATTTCTGGAGGCTTTGTGAAATCTTGGAGGACAGAGGGATGCCACAGAACTTAACACATTCAGTCACTGACTCTTTGGTTTTCTAATTCCCTTCTTTACTCTCCCTTCTCCCAGGTTTTGCTCCCTTCTCCTGGATTTTGCTCCAGCCTGGACTTCATTCCAAAAGTCTTTATTTGATCACGGCATGCCCCCAGGAATGTACATTTAGCATAGTCTCTAAATCTGATTTTTTCAAAGGGAGAAGAGTAAATTAAATTGATCAAAGTGACTGTGTTCTGACTTTGTTAATTAGATTGGTGTTTTTAAAAAATCATTTTGAAGCCTTTAAAGGAAGGTTATTACTCATTTGTTTTAAAACAGTATTTATCAAAATGCTGGAGAACATAGAAATTAAGGAAAAGAGACTAAAATGCAAATTGAGAAAAAAGAGTATGAAAACATGATAAGCAAACAAAAGAACACCACCAAGAAACCTCTGTAAGAGTAAGTTAAATTATCTTGTTAAGAAAAAACAAACAACCCCATCAAAAAGTGGGCGAAGGACATGAACAGACACTTCTCAAAAGAAGACATTCATGCAGCCAAAAAACACATGAAGAAATGCTCATCATCACTGGCCATCAGAGAAATGCAAATCAAAACCACTATGAGATATCATCTCACACCAGTTAGAATGGCAATCATTAAAAAGTCAGGAAACAACAGGTGCTGGAGAGGATGCGGAGAAATAGGAACACTTTTACACTGTTGGTGGGACTGTAAACTACTTCAACCATTGTGGAAGTCAGTGTGGCGATTCCTCAGGGATCTAGAACTAGAAATACCATTTGACCCAGCCATCCCATTACTGGGTATATACCCAAATGAGTATAAATCATGCTGCTATAAAGACACATGCACACGTATGTTTATTGCGGCACTATTCACAATAGCAAAGATTTGGAACCAACCCAAATGTCCAACAATGATAGACTGGATTAAGAAAATGTGGCACATATACACCATGGAATACTATGCAGCCATAAAAAATGATGAGTTCATATCCTTTGTAGGGACATGGATGAAATTGGAAACCATCATTCTCAGTAAACTATCGCAAGAACAAAAAACCAAACACCGCATATTCTCACTCATAGGTGGGAATTGAACAATGAGATCACATGGACACAGGAAGGGGAATATCACACTCTGGGGACTGTGGTGGGGTCGGGGGAGGGGGGAGGGATAGCATTGGGAGATATACCTAATGCTAGATGACACATTAGTGGGTGTAGCGCACCAGCATGGCACATGTATACATATGTAACTAACCTGCACAATGTGCACATGTACCCTAAAACTTAGAGTATAATAAAAAAAAAAAAAAAAGAAAATATGCATTGTAGATTGACTGAAAATATGAAATCAGTTTATGAATTTATAAATAAATCTAAAATAATTGAACACAATTTTAAAGAATAATATCTGAGGTGTATGAGACAAAAAAGGAGGAAATACAACATTTATATCAAATTAAAAGGAAACAGTCATTCTATATCAATAGACAACAATGCACAATAAAATGTAACTTTCTAAAAACCCATATGCTATATAACATTGCATTTCAATGGAAATTGTTAGAAAAAGAAAGAGAACTTGATTGAAACACAATAGTTGCAGCAGATTTCATAACCCCTCTTAGATTTTGACATGTGAAAAATATAAAGATGACTTGAATATTAATTAATGCCCCTGATTAAATAGATAGCTACTCACCTACATGCTCTATTTTATATATATATATATATATATATATATATATATATATATATACACACACACACACACACACACAAATATGTGAATGTACACATAGGTATTTATACATATATATGCATTATAAATATAAATATTATAAATTATATGCATATTATGTACATACTATATATGCTTTTCTTGTTTGATTTTCCACTATGTATATTTTCTTTCTTATTATATTGTATAATATAGTCTTATGTTCTCTCTTTTTTGGATCATGACTAGAAAGGCTTCATTTCTTAAGCAATTATATATTTATTACTAGAAAATATACATATAATTAGCAAGAAGCAATTATATTGTTTTAATATCAAAGAATGTGCATACATTATATATACCTAAATATGAAAGATAAGGTAGATTTCAAATAATGATTTAAAAATAGAAAAACATAAACTACTACAGAATTTAGTAATAATGTGATGCCACATACATATAAAAAAATGAAACCAGAAAATTAAATAAGGGAATATGTATTATTACATATTATCATATCACATACAATTATATAGTACATATAATTGTATATTAGAAGGAATCTAATAAGTAATATAATTAATCATATAAATTGCTAAATGTATCTAAGTATAGGTGCATATATGAAATTATTTACATACATATTAAATATTTTGTTATATTTTATATAAATTATGTATTCATTTATTCTTTTATTAATGGAACTGCCTCTCAATGATTTTGTAAAAGAGAGAGAGATGCCAGTAAATAGTAAATATGGGCTATGTGACTATGTTATGTCACAAACCATTAAAATTTGAAAACTAGATAAACTGAAAATATAATATTATAATGATATACATGTAATGATTTCACATTAAAAGTCTTAGTATAAAGTGTTATGTTCAAAATCAATTTTTGGAAACCAATTGTACGGTGTAAACTGGACATTACATACCTGTTTCTGGGTGAGGTAGTTCATTTGAACACATCTGTTTACTTTCTAACCTTACTGTTTTCTATATGCTCCTATTGGTTTCCTGTGCCTCTGCACATCATAGCATTTCTGATATTTTACTGAAAGTATCCATTTGTTTGTCTTTCTCCATGAATCTATTAGCTTCTTTAGGTTGCATTCTGTATTGCATCATAATTTTATCTGAATGGCCTAATATCTTGTCTGGCTTAGTATCTGTGTAGTTAGTGTGTGGAAAGGAAAGAGTTAATAACAACAACAAAAAAGCAAAGAAAAGCAAGAGATGGAAAATCTGAGATTGCTATGAGAAGTTATTCATCACTGTTTCCTTTTGCTTTAAATGGCTTTTTGAATAGAACCCAGGTAAGCTTAAAATAAAAACTGTTTGAAAATGGTATTTTAGATATTTTTTTGTATTCTCTTTTTCCTTTTAACAAGCTCTCTCTCAAACTTTCTGTCTCTCAGTACACACACACACATATGTTCACATCTTACCTGGGTTCAAAAGCCATTTGAGTGAAAGCTTTTTTTTCCATATATGTATATGAACATAAGTGTGTGTATGTGTGTATTGAGAGGGAGAGAGTTTGAGAGACAGCTTATTAAAAGAAAAAAGACAAAAGAATACGTTAACATTTAATTTCTTGAATATTTAAAAAGTGTATATATATTTCATACACATATATATAAATATATGTGTTCCAATGCTTAATTTACCGTGCATATAAATTAGCTTTTTTATTCTATTCTGTGATATAAATGTACTGTTGCAGTTGGTCAAATTACTTCAATTTCTGAATATAAATGTATTTTTACATTTAAATTCAAATTGTGGTTGACGTCGTGATCCTTAACTTAAAAAGAAATTGAAATAAACCCTTTAAATGTCTATCTTTCAATCTGCCCCTAAATAGAATGTTCTTTACCCCTGGAATTGAGACATTTAACTATTCACAACTTCCAGATACTTATCCACATTTTAAAACCATGATTTTTGTAACTTCCTTACAGTAAAAAAATAGGAAACATCCTTTAACTGCATTTTCAGCATACTTTCCAGTAAAGTATACTAAAAAACAAAGAACGTGTTAACATTTAAATTTGCTTGAATATTTAAAAGCTTTTGCAAAATTGTTTTTAAAATTCTTTTATTACAACTTCACATAGTTACAGACTACTATTTCAATTTTTGCTATTATTTTATCAAAGCTGTTTCAAATCTGTCATTTAACATATTCTTTACAATTTTAAGAAGATTTTATATTGGCCCTCGGTAAATTATTTCATAGCAGTATAAAATTAGTCCCATTTCAAATTATTAAAATTAGATATTTTACAGTCAATACTAGGTACTAATTATATGTCTAATTATACATCTAAATAGTGCTTAATTACTTTATTATTTTTTCATTTGAAATCACAACCAATATATTTATGATGTTGATATATTTTTATATATATACATTATATTGTTTTTTCCCCCTAAGCACAATAGATTACTTTTTTTACCTTTTACATCTCTTTGGAAATTTATTGTTCTTAATGAATATTTGTTTGGTTGGATTTATTTCAGTATCACTTGCCACATATGCAAAAGGAGTTCAAACAAGTGGTTTAATTTTAAAAGTTGATTTTTTTTTTAACATTCAAAGAGTGAAGTTCCTTTCATTGTACTGGAAAACATAAGTCTTTGATATAAATTATTCCATTTAACTAACTAGTTGGACAAATTTATATAATTTAATCTCTTATTTTTCTACTTCTACTTATGTTTGAAGACCAAGATGCCCAGAATAAAACTCAACTTCTTAAAGTATTTTTAATATAAATAAAATACATGATAGCTGTAAAAATATATAGCAATGAAGAACATCAACCAAAAAGCAAGCCTCCTTTTCCCTGTACCCCTTAATCTTATTCTTCCAAGGTGAGTAATTATTTTTGTTTTTCTTTAAATTTATTCAAATCATACCGAAGAATAAACCAAACCATCTCTGTTTCTAACCTCTAAATAAGAATTCCCAAAATACTTATTTTTGTAGTTTTGTTAAGAACAGATTTAAAACCTGGTTAATAGGAAACAGCAGAATTTATGATTTCATGATATCCCCTTTCTTTGGTCTTCAGTGTCTCTGCCTAGTGTCTCAGCATTTTTCAGGTCATTAACAAAAATTATTGTCTGTATTGAACCCACTGGAAAATTTGAGCTACTGAGAAACAAGATTTGACTAACAATTTAGAAGTATGAGAATAGATTGAAGGGTCAAAGACAGAGGCAGCTAGATTACTTAGGAGACTATTGCAATAAGGCAATTAAGATATGATAGACAAAGTGTCAGCAGGGTGGTGTTGAAAACTGGTCATCTACTAGAAAGAACTCAGGGATGATTCCAAGGCCTTTGGTCTGACCTACTAAAAGACAGAGTTGCTGTTTACTGCCATTGGAAGGACTGGAAAATAATAGTTTGGAAGTAAACTAGGAGTTTGTAATATATAAAATTTGGTTTGGAACATGTGAAATTTTAGATGACCATTACATATTTATCTTAATTTTCTATTGCTAAGATGCCAATTAAATATTTATATTGATATCCTATTGCTACCATAACAAATCACCAGAGACTTCTTGACTTAAAACCACATGCATTAATTATCTTCCATTTTCACAGTGTAGACATCTAGGCACATTGTGGCTCTCAGATGGATCTTCTCTTCTGGGTCTCATAAGATCAAAATCAAGGTGCTGTCAGACAGGGCTTCCTTTTGTTCTAGAGTCTCCAAGTAGTAATCCACTTCCAAGCTCATTCAAGATATTGAGAGAATTCAGTTTCTTATAGATTTAGAATTGAGGTCTCCATTTTCTTACTAGGTTTCAGCTGGAAGCCACCCTTAGCCCTTAGAGGCCTCGCTCTGGTCTTTGCCTATGGCCCACTATATTAGAATAGCAATGGAATGTCATGTCCCTCTCAAACTTAAAATCTCTCAGCCTTCTGCTGCTACGTAACTCTATCTACAGTCAGTAAAAGGTCAATACTTTTAAAGGCTCAAGTCATTGGATTGGACTAACCTAGATAATTTGAGCCCTATCATATGATTTGTAATCTTTTTGAAACAATTAAATTTATTTGCATTTAATTGACAAATAATTGTACATATTAATGGGCTACATTCATAATATTAGTTACGTCTTTGGAGCCTCTTTTGCCAAGTCATAGTGTGTATTCACACATTTGGAAAATGAAGGGGTAGACATCGTTGGGGAAGGATTCTACCTATCACAACATTCAAGTGAATATTTTCAGTAAGTAGTCAGACATGTCGTGTATGGTATTCATAGAGAATGTCTGGAGCAAACCTAAAATAATTGAGGAGAGGGTCATCAGCCTATAAATGGCATGACTATAAAAATTCACGATACTGGATGAGGTCACCAAAAAAGCGATCGCTCAATAGAAAAGAGACCTAAGGACTGAAAAGAGGATTACTCCAGTGTTGACAGTTGGGAACAAGCAAAGGAGAATGAGATGAAACTGGAAATGAGGAAAGATAGACTATATGAACACAGAGGCAAGGAGAAGAGAAGACGAGGAATGTCTCTTTTCATTGCTTCTAGATTCTTGGTGAATTAGCTAAGTCATTGGCTAAATCGGTTGATGACATTTAGCTAGTTTTAATATTTTGCTTTGCTTGTAATTTATTTACTTATGCAGCAGGGTGCATGTATAATTGCCTTGCCTGTTTTTCCCCCGTTTTAGATTGTTTACATTTGGATTACTCTTCCAGAATTTCTCTCAACTAGGATACAAAGTGTATCTCTTCCAACTCCCTCTGTCCTTCAATTCTTGTTCAAATGTTATTTCTTTGGTAAGACTTACCATTACTATCTTCATCAGTCCTTCTGATTCCTAGGACCCTGCTCTAGTGTCCATTATATTTGTAACACTTATTGTTCGGCATACTAGAAAATTTAGTTATTTATTGTATTCATTTTGTTTTACCATCTTCCAGCCTTATAATATAAGCCCAATAGGGCAGAGATCTTTCATCACTGGTGTATCTGAAATTCATAGAAGAATTAATACACGTATGTTGAATGAGGAGAAGATTTTCGAGTTGCCTAAGAAGACTCCAAGATGAGCTTAGATTATGGTACTTGGATACATATTTACATATGTAATGTAAATATATGTAAACATATGTAAGACCGAAGTACATGAGAGTAATTTGGACGTCTATATTTTTAGAAGTCATCTACATATTGTTATTACTTGAAGTAATTGGATTTATGGAAAAATCTTAAATGTAGAAAAATGATGAAGTCTAAGCATAAATGGGAAAAGTAAAGTGAAGTCTAGGCATGCAATTTTAGAATTCTGGTGAGTATAATAATTTGTGGAAAAGAAGTGGAAGAGAAAACTGGTGAGGTTCCATAAGAGTATTGTGCTCCATCCTGTATGCTGTATTTCAAAAAGATATTGATAAAGCAGAGACGTTCCAGCAGAGGATAAACTGAACAAGGAAGAGTTCAAGAAAATGTAGGCATTAATCCTGAAGGGAAAAAATACTCCAAGGAGACATGGAACTGGTTTAAAATTTTAGACTGAAGGAAAATTCCTATTAGAACCAATGGGTGATGATTCACGAGATTCAGATATACAGTTAATAAAAGTAAGATCGTTATAGCAATTTGGAAATGCTCAAACATGGAACAGATTGCAAAATACAGTGTCCACTGTTACTAGCTGATTGATTTAGTAGCTAATTATTGGCTGGGTCAGGGGGATTCTTTGATTGGGAGGGGGTTCAGACTAAAGTACCTGTAAGATCCTTTGCACATTATATTTTGACACCTATCTATCGCAAAACTTATTTTATGTAAAGAATCAACCCTAGGCTAATTAAGCCAAAAAAAAATGGAGAAAATGGCACCTTAAAACAGTATGCATTTCTTTATAAATAAAACTTATTTCATTAAACATTTAGTTTATACTTGAAAACATTTTTCATTGAGATATTTTCAGAGCAACATAAACTGTAAACATACATTTATTAGAATTAAGATTTTATAAACACAAACTGAGATTTTCTTTCTTCCCATGAATTCTTAAAATTAAGAATATAAATTATTTCACTTCAGTATATTTTTTAAGTTAGGAAACTATTTCACTAATCATTTATCTGTGTGCATCTAATGGAAATTCTTATCTTTAAAATAGCATCTATATAACTTCTGTTAGCCATGTTATTGATGACATTTACAGATTATGTCTCTCATTATCTCATAGTCTCACAGAAGTGGCACATCTAATTCAAATCCTGGGTATCAAACCTCCATTTTAGTAAAAATCTCTTGTGGAATTTGTAATACTACTAAAATCAAAGGAAAACACACACACGCCCTGTAGTTCAGCTGAGGTAATTCTGGTTTTCTCTACATTCCTATGCCAGTTAGCCATGAAGTCAAAACTCAATCTTAAACCTTCCTTTTGAAATTAAAGCAAAATGAATTAACGTAATCTGCTTCTGGAAAAGCATCAAATGTGAGCATTTGATTCGAATAGTATTAGAATCCTACCATTGCTCATAAATGTTGACGAACAAATATTCATTAGCATTTGAAACATTACTCTTAAGTATCCTAGGAAAAAAAGTTTTTTAAAATTGTGTGTTTTCATTATATCTCTTACAAGTGATAGACTAGATGTAGGTTTTTTCCCTCCTTTTTTTAAATAAAAAAGATCAGCTACAGAAAACTAAGTGAAAAGAAATATCTGGGCATTTTTCACCTTGGTTCATTAATGAAAACCTTTTGAATCTCTATGTAGCGGCATTGTGGCGAACATTCAAGTTTGATTGAACGAGGAGTTAAACTTCAGGAATAAACTCAGTTATTGAGTCCCACATCCTCTCTCCAATTCATTTCGTCTGTCTTTACCAATTCATAGACAAGCAGCAGAAAATAAACTACCTTCCACTATATTTGCTTAGTGTTCCAAATATATTAATGAAAATTTTGAACAAAAGGGAATAGAAAAGGGGCAAAGTGGCTGGCATGGGATGAGATACAAGAGATGCAGAAGTCAGTGAAATCACAGTGAAACCACAGTCCTCAGGCAGACGAGGATGGGAAAACCCTGTGCTGACTTCAAGATAAGCTGCAAGGAGAAGATGGTTGGCAGCCTTTATCCTTCTGTTGCAAGATTTAAGATTTAATTGTCCTTAAATTCATATAGAAACAGATGAAAACAAATAATGATGATAGTGATGCTATCTTTAGAAAGATATATACATATGTCTTTCTAAACAGTAATTTTTCGTTATACTATAACATTTAAGAAATCAGGCCACGCATGGTGGCCCATGCCTGTAATCCTAGCACTTTGGGAGGCCAAGGCGGGCAGATCGCTTGAGGTCAGGAGTTCGAGACCAGCCTGGCCAACATGGTGAAAGCCCGTCTCTACTAAAAATACAAAAATCAGCCAGGTGTGATGGCAGATGCCTGTAATCCCAGCTTCTCTGGAGGCTGAGGCATGAGAATTGGTTGAACCTGGGAGGTGGAGGTTGCAGTGAGCAGAGATCATGCCTCACTGCAAAAAGAAGTCAAATTCTGCTTGCCACTCATTCCAGGGATATCATGTTTATGTGGCTCAAATTATATGGCCAGTTAATTCACTTGAGCATTAAATCTCATTACATAAACATTTAGTCTTCATGTGGAATACATTTTTTTCTATTACTTTTTAAAGCATATGGTCCAATTGCAAGTTGAAATCAAAGAGTTCTCATTTGCATTGTCACATCAGACGGTCTGTTTAAAACTATTAAACATTTAGTCTATTATAACTTCTGTTTTGCTGAAGCAATATATTATGGTAGAATTAGGTAACTATAACTTTGCTTTTTAAATGAATTGAGGAAATACCTTTGTTAATAACAATAAGATTATTTAGAGTACAGAACAAGTTACATTAAATTCTGCCATTCCATTCATTACAGATAGGATCTAAATTGGGCAGCAGTCATTTGAAATATTCTGCTACTATCTTTAACTCCTTTCCATTTTCCCCTTTGATATTGTGCATAACTGGAGAGCTGGCAGAAACCAATTGTGCAGCCTAAGCTAGCCTAATGATGCCCCCGTACACTTTCTCTGTCTCTTGCTTTTGCATAGCTTCGGCCCCCTTAGAGGCACAATTCAATAAGCACTACTGTTTTGAAACAGTGCCATTTAATGAACTACTTAGAAACCCTTTCCTATTGCTTGTTTTTATCTCTGTTTCTTTCTTAATCATCGCACTTCCATTGTAAGATAAAAGTGAAATATATTCAATAGCTACAGCTGAAAGAAAGACTCTGCCAAGTGGGTTCTGGGTGTTGCATTCTGGTACTTTTAGAGGGTTTGGATAGAGAGGCTGTAACCTGATCAACAGTAAATTAGACCTCGGTCACAGTTTTGTCGCTGCTGCTGGCACTAAGATATTGATTCTCTACTTGCATAGCTCTTTGATGTCACCTTGGAATGGGGATGTAGAAAAAATATATACTCACAGATTTTGCCAGGCATAAAATGCAAGGTGTATCTCTTGGTGGCAAAGATGTGTAGAGATGGAATTTTCTTTTTATTTTATTTATCTATTCTTTGTTTAAATTTTTAATTATACTTTAAGTTCTGGGATACATGTGCAGAACGTGCAGGGTTGTTACATAGGTATACACATGCCATGGTGATTTGCTGCACCCATCAATCCATCATCTACATTAGGTATTTCTCCTAATGCTGCTATCCCTCCTCTAGCCCCTCATCCCTCGACAGGCCCTGGTGTCTGCTGTTTTCCTCCATGTGTCCGTGTATTCTCACTGTTCAACTCCCACTTATGAGTGACAACATGCAGTGTTTGGTTTTCTCTTCCTGTGTTAGTTTGCTGAGAATGATGGCTTCCAGCTTCATCCATGTCCCTGAAAAGGACATGAACTCATCCTTTTTTATGGCTGCATAGTATTCCTGGTGTATATTTGCCACATTTTCTTTATCCAGTCTATAATCAATGAGCATTTGGGTTGGTTCCAAGTCTTTGCTATTGTGAATAGTGCCACAATAAACATACGTGTGGATGTGTCTTTATAGTGGAATGATTTATAATCCTTTGGGTATATACCCAGTAATGGGATGGCTGGGTCAAATGGTATTTCTGGTTCTAGATCCTTGAGGAATCGCCACACTGTCTTCCACAATGGTTGAACTAATTTACACTCCCACCAAAAGTGTAAAGTGTTCCTATTTCCCCACATCCTCTCCAGCATCTGTTGTTTCCTGACTTTTTAATGATCACCATTCTAACTGGCGTGAGATGGTATCTCATTGTGGTTTTGATTTGCATTTCTCTAAAGACCAGTGATGATGAGCTTTTTTTCATATGTTTGCTGGCTGCATAAATGTCTTCTTTTGAGAAGTGTCTGTTCCTATACTTTGCCCACTTTTTGATGCAGTTGTTTTTTTTTTTTTTCTTGTAAATTTAAGTTCTTTGTAGATTCTGGATACTAGCCCTTTGTCAGATGGATAGATTATAAAAATTTTCTCCCATTCTATAGATTGCCTGTTCACTCTCAAATTTTGTTTTTATTTTAGTATTGGAAAGTGAATTGTTCTCAGATGCTATATGGTTGTTATAAATTGATGTTCAAATTTTAAGAACTGTAAGAGTTTGTATATAATTTGTATAGAATTCACCGTTTCCTAGTAAGAAGTTTAATTTCCCCTCACCTCCCAGGTCTCTAAATCCAGGATTAGATCTTTTTTTTCCTTTTATTGAAATATCTAGGAGATATTTTGCTTCCATAAATATTTCAATTTTTTAAGAGCAATTGTGGCACATTTGAGTAGAAGTTCCTTAAAGGTTTAAATTATACATGAGATGATTCTCTTGTCTATACTTAAGTTGTGGCAGAGCCCATTTCTGTTAAAATGCATTGGATTTTTGATTTGTTTATGTTAATGAATTTTTTACTGCCTCTCTAATAAATTTTACTACCAGATACACACCTATAATGTACCAATTCTCAGAAAACGTTTTGTCAGAAGAGACTGTGAATTTATTTATGAGCTACTTTCAACATATGGGTTAAATCTTACTGACTTGCCCTTACTTTCAACATGCCATTAACTCAGAGTCATATCACAACCTTTGTTAATCAAAATTGCTTTGGCTATCTTTTAGCAAAACAGAAGTAAATACTTTTCTCTTGAATTAACAAGCAACTTATGAGACTTAAAATTTCTTTAGCCAACTCTTAAAATCACCATGAAGACTAAGAAATCCATAGAGAAGATCATGAATATAAATAAACATGGATTTAAAAAAAATACTGATTAGTCTCTATCTTTTCCTGGCTCGAATTTCTACCTTGATAAACAATGAGCTCCTAAACTAGCCAATGTATGTTTAAAACGATCCCTCTGAAGCAGTGTGGTGTTTCACTTTCTTATTGCTCTATGACATATTTAGTTCAATTGATACTTTGGCTTTAGAGATGTGTTTCAAAGAGATCACATGACTTTTAGCTCTAATTCACAACTATTTATCACCTAACCACAGGCAAATTTTCTGAATTATAGTTGGACTTTGTAATTTATATTTGTTGTATTTTAATGCTAAAAAGGTTTAATATTTACAATGTCTTCCTCATTTTTCTCCAGTTTTGTTGAGGTATTATCGACTCATAAAGTTATATATATTTAAGTTGTACAGTGTTATGTTTTGATATACACATGCATTATTAAGTAATTACCACAATTATCACATTCATCCCCTCATATAGTTACTACTTGTGTGTGTGTGTGTATGTGTGTGTTGAGAACACCAGATCGACTATCTTAGCAAATTTCAAGTGTACGATACATTATAATTAACTGTAATTACCATGTGGTACATTAGATATCCAGAACTTACTTATAACTAAAATTTTGTACCCTTGGACTAAACTTTCTACATATCCTCTAACCCCAAGACCATGGAAACCACCTTTCTACACTCTGTTTCCATGAGTCTGACTCCTTTAGATTCCACATGTAAATGGGATCAAGTAGTATTTGTCTTTCTGTGTCCAGTTTATTTCACATAGCATGATGTCCTCCAGGTTCATTTATGTTGTGCAAATAGCAGGATTTCCTTTTTAGGTGTGAATAATATTCTTCTGTGTGTATATAACATTTTCTTTACTCATTAATTCATCAGTGAACCCTTAGCTTGTTTCCATATCTTGGTATTATGAATAATACTGCAATGAGCAATTTCTTCCTCTTTAATGAAGATACCATGCCTGAAGCATCTGAAGTATATTTGCATTATATGTTGAAAGGAATTAAATTATCTAGCAATAGAAAATAACTTGCAACACAGCACCATGTTAGAAACATGCTGAGTTGCAAATACTAAAGAGAAAATAAATATCGCAATGAGCTACATACTAGAATCCTCCAAATAGGATTATATTATAATAACTTAGGTTATTAGTTCTTATCTGAGTGATCGTCTTAAGTGTTATTTGAATATTTGTTGGGGAGTAAAATTTTTAGAGAACTATAATGGGCCTTATGAGCCTAGATACCAATAGACAAGCTACTGGAAATACTGTTTCTTAACTGGGTTTCGTTCTTTGTTTTTAATTATGATTACATTATCACTACCTGATTGCCAGTTTTGAAAACTGATGTGCTAAGAAAATTCTCTGACTTTTCAAACTGTGTTTTTTTTTTAAATAAAATAAAAATGCTTATGGAGCGTTTATATTAATTGAAATTTATAATTCATGATTGGGTAGGTATTGGTTATAGTCACTTTAAGGGTTTTAAAAATATCAATGGATAGCAGAAAAGAATATTGTTTATTTCGCAAATGTGGAATAAACTGCTCTATTTGGCAGTAAAAGAGTTAACAATGATTTCCTAAGGGGCAATTTTGTTTTCTTACTTGGAGAAAAAAAAAGTCTATTATTTTATTTTTCACTGAAGCAGGATACAAGGTACTTTTAATTGTTGATATAAATATGTGGTTCATCTAGTTTTATTAACCATAGTTATATAACCATGGCTGGAGCATATCTGGAAATCTTTTGAGCTCTGATTCATCCTTAGGGAAGATAATTTTTCTCCAACATATATATTTCTCAAGAACATAAGAAACATTCTAGTGTGTACCTAACAGAATTATATTCTATATTCTCTAATAAAGGTGCCAATACATGTTTCCTGGAGAGCTTTGTTATCTTTCATGAAGTTGTTTTATGTGTGTGTCCAGTCTGCACTATTTTGAATTGGCATATTCATATCACAAACCAGGGACTTAATTTTAAACATTTTGGTAACATCTTGACAGCTCATACAGTGACTAGACACTTGACCCTAATTGCATAATTAAAACTAGTATGTTTTTAATTATTTACACTGTCTTATAAGGATGTAGAAAACAAAGCAAAATTCTAAAATTACTGTAGAATTATAGAATATAGGTAAAAAACTGAATACATATAGAGACCAATAATACATAAAAGCAACATGCTAAATAACCTGTAAATAAATATAAAATAATTAAGACAAAAGAAGAAAAAGGTTTAAATTTTGATATGATTTCCCAAACCATTGGTTATAGACTTTTACCTATTTATTGCAAAGTAGAATTCACTGTAAGAAAGTAAGAGAAAACAATTTTCCTTGAACACTGACATATGTTATTTCTTCTGCAAAAGATTGAAACAAAATGGACAATGGCTAGGAACACTGAACCAAGCTTCATGAATTTTATTTTTGATTATGCCATTGGTCAGTTTCATCAACTAGGTAAATCTCTTAAATTTAATTATCTAAAAGGTGAATAGAAGTCAATATCCAAGTGGAAATTCTAATCTAAAAGAGGTTAATAACTTAATGTCTGCCTCATGATTAGAATTTGTAAAGTTTAAATTCATATTGAAGGATCTCCTTATGATTTGGATAAAAATATGCATGGTAAAATTATATGAGATTAGTAACTTAAGATACATCTAAAATTATGTGTATTTTTGAAAAAACACTAAAACACTGAGTATACAATATAAGCTAATTACCGACGGTAATTCTTCCTCTTTGTATTTTTCATCTGGTCAATACCTGGATCCCTGACAAAAGCAAAGTTAATACTATATTATTTAGATATTATAGATTCCAAAAAACTTAACAGAGAGTTTGTGGTGGTGTCTCAAGGATAACTAATTTTTAATGCTAATTCTCATTTAATCATTTTACACTTTCAATCTACTAAGGATGAAACATTTTGTAGCAGATTAAAAACAAGTCCAGTGCTATGATCAGAATGTCCACCAAAATTCACGTGTTGAAATTTAATTTCCAGTGTGACAGTACTAAGAGGTGGGGTGTTTAAGAGGTAATTAGGACATGAGGACAGAGCCCACATGGATAAGATTTGGGCCGTGGTGGCATGTGTCTGTAGTCCCAGCTACTTGGGAGGCTGAGGCAGGAGAATCTCTTGAACCCAGGAGGCAGATGTTGCAGTGAGCCTAGACTGTGCCACTCACTGCACTCCAGCCTGGGTGACAGAGCGAGACTCCGTCTCAAAAAAAAAAAAAAGGGCTTGATGAATGGGTTCTTTCTCTTCTACTCTTCTGCTTTGTGAGGACAGGAAGAAGGCACAATATTAAAAGCAGACAGTAGCCTTTACCGCACACCAGACTTGCTGGCATCTTGATCTTGGACTTCCCACCCTCCAGAACTGGGAGAAAGAAATTTTTCTTATTGAAAGCAATCCAGTCTCAGGTATTTTGCTATAGCAGCACAAACAGAAGAAAAGACCCAAGAAATTAGACATTCTAAGCTTTAAACCTTCCCTCTTTGGTCTATTTTATACAGAAAAGCCCAAGTTTCCTAATTATAATATTTAACATACATTGTGAAGTTTTGTAATTCTTTAATTGGCTGTACTAAAGAGTACTTAATCGTTAACAGTTTCCAAATTATTTAATTTTAAAAGTCAGATCTACTTTATTATAATTTATATGTAGTAAATTTTACTCTATTTAGGTATATAATTGTATGAGCTTTTGCAAATGTATAGTCATTTACCCACATTTCTATCACCCTAAACAATTAGCTCACCCTGACACCCTGGGCACAGCTAATCTATTTTCTGCCATTATAAATTTGCCTTTTCCAGAATATCCTGTACGTGGAATAATGCAAATATGTAACTGTTTGGCCCTGGATTCTTTCTTTTAGCTCAATATATACGAGATGCATCCATTTTGTTACACATGTTAGTTGTTTACTCCCTTTTATTGATGAATTTATTGGTTTTATTCTATCTTACGACTATCCAACATATGCTTTTAGATCAAAACTTGTGTTCTGTTTCTGACATAGACCTTGAATGTAAAATACTGTTTTGAGAAATTAGCATGATGCTAGAGAGTTTTATTCTTAATTCACATGGTATGTTTTAAGAAGGCCTTTGAAATAGAAAAAAAAATGTATATGTTCACTCTCTAAAAACATGACATTGTCACTTTTGTAGAAAAGTTGTATAATAAGTAAAAAGTATATGGGGTCTCTATTCAACATCAAAATTCTCTTTGAGTAAGTTTAACTTTGAGTCCATCAGAAATGACTTTGGCTTTGCCACTGCCAGGGAATTAAGTAATCTAATTAAGGACAAGCTGATTCAGCACAGATAACTCCAGAAAAGACTGTCCCAGGCCTTTCTGTACCCTTGCAAGCATCATAAGTAAGATTTCTTGGCTCAGGACTCTGTATTTGTTTCCAGTACCAGTGTTTGTGATTCTTCCCTTTGGCATTACTCCATTTTGTGGACTTGTTAACGTCTCTGGCTTGAGAATAATTTTTTTGGACTTCTTACTGTGTTTACAACCTGAAATGCTAAACACAGCTACCACTTAAATATTGTTAAAAGAACAGTCATCTATATAATGACCATTTTATACCATGAAAGCTCTGAAAGACACTATCAATCACTGCCAAGTTTGACTCTCCCTGTAGAGCCTATTGTGGGAATTACCAAGCTGAAGACTGCAGACTCCAAATTAAATTCTCTGGCTATATTATACATGGCTAAAGAGACTCTATTTACCTATGTTCAGCTCTATGCTAGTCTCTTTTATGTTTAAACAAACACAGACATAAGTCTTCCTCCTATAGTAGCCAAATTTTTAAAATAAAAAGGATTTTCCTGACTTGACACCATAACTATTACTATGTATTGAAACTTTGCAGGGCATTGGCCTTGATCTGCTGAGTGTTTTTTCACATTGTGTGGATTACTTTAAATGCTTATTTATATCATGGATGATAGGGGATATTTATCACCCAAATTGTTGTGCCTCCAACCACAATATAACATTCCTCAATTTCAGATTAATCCTAAAAGACAAGTTACCTTTAAACACAATTATTTAAATTATGGAATTAAAGGCACAATGTGTTTAGTAGAAGAAAAACATATAGAATTTTCGGAATTTCTCACTGGGTTGTAGCCTTTAGTAATTGATAAATCCTATAATCCCTTTTAGACCAAGAAATAAACCACGAGGAAGTTAATAATTTTAATAGGTGCTTCTAATGCTCTTTACATTTAATATCCAATCTTTTTACCTACATAAAGATGCACCAGTTACATGACAAATTCACTAATATCAATTAATAACTTGCTAAATTTAAATTTTAAAACAGTGCTTGTATGTACCACCATTAATGGGTGATATCCTCAATATTTGCAAAGGATTTCTTGATTTTACCACTGTGGTTTATTGCAATCCCTCTTTCCATGGATGATTCTGTTTAAGTCGAGATTCATAATAGATAATTATTATTAGCTTCCGAAACAGAATTATTGCAAGACTGGTGAACATGACGAGAAGTAAGGGTGTCTCCAGAAAAGAAACATTAGAGGACCTTCCAAGTTGCCTTCATGGCAATCTCCTCAGTGTTCTAAAACTCCCTTTCAAAATGTGGTGATTGAAAAAAGGAATCTAGTTTTTGTTCATGGGTTAGCCTGTCAAAGTTATTTCCAAAGCACTTCTGTGCTTTCTAAAAAGGTAGTCAAATACACAGGTATACGTGTTATGTTAAATACGTTAATGAATATAAGGAATAAAATAACACACTTTCAGAAGATCCCTCAGAGATAAAAGAGACAGAGAACAATAACTTCGATGGAAGTATTCAATTTTGTGTTTTTACATACACTAGAAAATAAAATCACCATGTATTTACATATATTATAACAACTTTTCCATAGCCACAAAATCAAATAGAGTGTACAGTTCCAAAAAATTGTTGTAAATATAAAATAAATCACAATGGTTAAAGAAAACTGACATGAGTATTTTTATTATTTAGGTTGATAATAATGTTGGCAAATTCATTATACAATTGCTCAGTCTTCATATTGTCAAGATTGCATATTTTATTTATGCATTAACTATGAAGTATCTTATATGTGCATGCCCAGATAGAAAAACGTTCCAGAGAGGAGATGAAGAAGTCATCTTTTGAATAAGCTGATGCAACGTATTTGCATCAAGAGATTTGACAAATCGCTGACAGAATAAACAGCAGAGGAATGCGAATTTAGATCTAACTAAGGCCTACATAATATACGAAGAGAGAAATCAAATGAGTAAACATAGTTGTTATGCACAGGGGCATGATTATGCTAATACAATTTCAAGAACTACGTAGATAATACACAGAACATATCAACAATGTTGATACGACATGCTGAATGCTTTAGTTATGATAGCAATGCCTTATATTTTTGTATTTTGGTCATATTAGTCCATGAACCACTTGTATACACATTGAATATATTACTGTTTAAGGTGAAGCAAAGTTTTTACATTATCCCATACAGTCTCTAGTTTTTATCATTTATTATTTCTCTATCAAGACTATGAAGTTAAAATGACTTCGTAATTATTTTTAAAAAGAGAATATTTTAACTTTTAAACATTTAACTTTAACATTTGACATTTAACTTTAACATTAACTGCTTTGTTACTCATCCTTTACATTTTATATATTTTTAAAATGTAAAATAATAAATGGCATTTATTAGGAAATATGTCAGTCAATAAAATAGGAGCAATACTGATTATTTAACTCAGTTTTATTAAATAGGTATGCTAACTCAAATTAAGGCACTAATATGATCTAGTTTACTCCCAAGTAGAGTCCAACAAAATACTGATAGATGTTTCTTTAAAATAATTAGTTACAACAGTTTTCTTCTAAAATATACTCAAATATATAGTAAATATTGCATCCAGATCTTGATGTAAAATAATATTCTCCAAGTAAAAGAAGCAAAGTTCTTTGGAGAAACGCTTGATTCTAGAACTGAGATGGGAAATCCAAAAGATGAACCTGGAATGCTTTGCAGGAACAGAAAATAAGAAAATGGCTAAACATAGGCATGCACATAGACATACTCAAGACTTCAAAGGAACCAAGGAAAGAAGGAGCCAACTGAAATAACTGCAAAAGACCAAAGCTAGAAAAAGTAGAGCAGCAAAATAAAGAGTATTGAGTTATGATCCAAGGTACAAAATAAATATTCATTATTTGATGCAAATATAAAAATGATTCAATTAATGAATTAATGGACTAATCTCCCAGTTGAAGAATGTTAAATAATTTATAAAGATACTCTACCCTTGGGAGGTGAAGCATAATTTCTCATTCCTTATGTGTGGGCTAAATAAAGTAAATTTCTGCCATATAGTACAATATGGCAAGAGAGGGAGAAAAACAGACTGGATAAATCTGACCAACAATATCTCAAGCCAGGTGTTCAAAGTAACATCAATAATGTTAATAAATAATAAATAATAACCTATTTATAAATAAATGCCTATTTATAAATAAATAAATACCTATTTATAAATAATAACCTATTTATAATAGGTGTTCTTCATACGACCTAATGAGAATAACACTTCATCTTTGAGGTCTTCCTCCCCAAAAATCTATAATCCAGTCTAATCATAGGAAAACACCAGGCAAACCCCAGCTGAAAAGACATTCCACAAAATACCTAGTCAGTTCTCAGAACTGTCATGATCATGAAAACAAAGTCTGTCACAGCCACAGGAGACATGACCATTCAATGAAATTTGGTATCCTGGATGGAATCGTGGAACAGAAAAAGAACACTAGGAAAAAATGGAACATATCTGAATCAAGTGTGAACTTTAGTAAGAAATAATATATCAGATTATTTCTTATATATCACAATATATATTTATCAATATATCACAGTATTGATATATATTTCAATATATCACAACGTTAGTTGTGGCAATGCATGTGCGCAGCTGGCCCTCCGATATGTAAGCAGCATTTACAACCTAGGCATTAAATTGACATATATCATTGAATTAATGCTCACACAAGTCTAAGTTAAGGAGGTTATCTTATTATCGGTTGAATCTGTAAACACTTCTTGAACCCATGACAATATTAAACATGACATTCATATGAACATGATAAGAGTGTAACTCTAATACACTCAATCTTGTTTGCTACAAAATGTACATTGATCAAAGTATGACAAACCTACACTCAAATTTTGGTCAAAACAAGT
The DNA here is from genome assembly GCF_000001405.40 of Homo sapiens. Taxonomy (NCBI): domain Eukaryota; kingdom Metazoa; phylum Chordata; class Mammalia; order Primates; family Hominidae; genus Homo; species Homo sapiens. The sequence goes on along the minus strand of NC_000005.10, from coordinate 52,173,460 downwards.
TGACCACACAAGTGTGTTTTTCTGTAAGTTTTTATATGTGAAGAACTTTCCCAGTTAAATTTCAAATGTAAACCAAATAATGACCCCCAGGCTAATATAATTATAAAACAATGTAATTCCAATTTTGCTGACAAGACACATATGAAAATCTTCTAAAAGAGCAATACAAAATCATCATCAAAAGTATTTTTGTCAATGCACTTATTTTTTAATTGATGAATAATGATTATATATATTTATGGGGTACACGGTGATGTTTTAATCTATGAACACACTGCAGAAAGAGTCAATCAAGCTAATTAACATATCCATCATCTCACAAATTTATCCTTCTTCTTGTGGTAAGAACATAAAATTGATTCTTTTAGCAATTGTGAAATATACAATATATTATTATTAACCATGCAGTCCAATGGATCACTAAAACTTATTCTTCCAGTCTTCCTGAAACTTTGTACCATTTGATCAGTATTTCCCTTTACTCAGCCCCACCATCAGCCTGTATCATCTCACACCTGTTAGAATAGCTATTACCAAAAAAATTTTTTTGACATAGAAAAACAAATAAAGATGTATGATAATAACTTTATTGGCTTACTTTAAAGCTATTGAAATTATTAAAATGTTTATAATATGAAAATTAGGCCAGGCATGGTAGCTCATGCCTGTAATTCCAGCACTCTGGGAGGCTGAGGCGAGACAGATTGCTTGATCTCAGGGGTTCAAGACCAGCCTGGGCAACATGGTAAAAGCCCAGCTCTAAGAAAAATACGAAAATTAGCTGGGCATGGTGATGTGCACCTGTGGTCCCAGCTACCTGGAGGCTGAGGCAGAAGGATCACTTAAACCTAGGAGGGCAAGGCTGCAGTAAGCCGTGATTGCGCCACTGCACTCCAACCTGAGCAACAGAATGAGACCCTATCTCAAAAAGAAAGCATATATATATATATATATATATATATATATATATATATATATATAAATAAAATAAATGAATAGAATGAAATATAAAGACTGAAATAATCTTATATATGAATATAAAGCCATTTCAACTCAGTAGAAAAAACAATGATTTATTCAATTAATGGTGCTAAAATAATTGGCTACACAGTCTAAAGCTAGATTAAAAATTCCAATTCCTTATTATAGACAAAAATATCAACATGAATTAAATAACTATAAAAAGTTAAAATAAAAAGAATAAAAGCACTAGAAGAATATACAAGTAATGCAAATAAAAATCCTGAGAGCGGAAATACCTTCCAAAACACACACACCCCAGAAGTGATAAGGGAAATATGTATATTTCTTTATATAAAAATGAAAACCTACCAACATATGAAAAGATCAGCACTCTAAGCAAAGAGATAAATAACAGAGTAATAGTTTTGTGACACAACAATAGACAGATGACTTCAAATTTTAAATATAGAAATTACAGCTAAATATAGAAGTAAAGTATATTCTGTGGCAATTTTCAATTTCAGTATTATTTAGACAAATGAATTTTACAAAACAATTGTAAAAATCATTTCACCCATCAGATTCACACACACACACAAAATATTTTTATATACATAATTACAAACAAGAACCTTGAAATAGGTAAAAATCACCAATAAGTACAAAAATACCCCCTTACTCCTTTATGTACTTCACTATTTATTTAATCCAAAGACATAATCTTACATTAAATATGAAATTTTAATGATTCAGAAAAGCACTTATAGTATGTCTACCAAACTAGTGAATACCAAAATAACACAGGTTTAGATGTCCCACAAATTCACTATGGCGGCAGATTAGAAACATTTATCAGTTGCTCATCTGCAATTATAATTTGTGACTTTTTACAACCAAGAGTCTTGGTAATGTTTTTAAGCAAAATATGAATGTACATGCATGATATGGAACATCCATCATCACTATACAGCCTTGTCAATATACTCCATTTAAGAAGGCAAATGATAAATATACATAGATTAAGGAAAGAGACATGTAAAAGACGTAAGTTACACCTTTCATGCTTTACATTTTGATTTACTGACGATTCTGAAGTATTGGTAGTGACCAAGATAGAAAATACACACTAAATTTAAAACATTCCATAAATTAAAAGCATAATGACAGAGACTAATAGATTTCATTCCTGTTTGATCTCTGCACTGACATCATATTTAGCTTGATAATTTTAGCAAGGAGCATTGAATCAATAACTCAATGATCTCAGCTTTGTTGATGTACAATTTTACCTTACATCATCTATAAAACGTTTATCAGCAACAATTTATAATATGAACGTTTAAATATGATGGGTTTAGGTCGAATATCTATTGAAATGATAAAGAGCTATTAGTTCATATATCTCTGTTAAGTGATGTTAAAAGTAAACTCCTAAATGGATGTTGCAAAATTATTCAACACAACATGCAGAGTCACTTCATCACCTTTTTGGCAGACACAATTCAGGGCAACTCAGATTTAAGGCAAGTCGGCCACATACCTGTTCAAACTCATTTTAGAATTTAAAATAAAATACTGAGCTATTCTAGAGGAAGGAGGAAAAGGAGGAGGAAGAAAAGGGGAAAAAAGCAGAAGCACCGTATATTTGTAATATCATAAACGCATCATACTCTGATTCTAATTTAAACATAACTTACTTTATAACTATGTACATGACCCCAAACTTCTAAGTACAATATCATTTCTTATTGTTTTATGTCATCATTTCAGAAATGTATTTCACTTTTTATTTACTTCGATTATCAGTGCTTGTTAACACTTTTGTTATGAGACTCATTGTCTCCCAAACCAGTTATCAATGTTATGCGTTTTATAAATTTTCTAAGTATTGTACTTATTTCTCCTTAAATAGTAAAATAACAGAATTTGACATTTTAAAATTATGTAGGGGAATTGTAAGCTTACTTATAGTCTTAATTTATTTTAAAAGTAAATTTTCTTTATTATTTGGATAAAAAATATTTTTATTTGGTACACAAAAAGATGAAAACAGGCAAGCCCTTATTTTTCACTAATGTTGCAATTTCTAGAAAAAAAGTTAAAATGTTTACTTTCTAATGACAACGAGATTAAAAAATATTGCAAGGAATGAAACAAAAGAAATGAATAGAGGCCTGGATCCATGATATAAATACTCTAATATTATAATACATGGTACATTGGAGAATTAATTTAAAGCCATACAGGAGTAGGACGCACTTTCCAAAGATAAGTAATTAACTTAGGTATAGGATATTTAAAAAATCCTCCTACATGAAGGCAGAATCAAAAAAGAACTATCAACTTTGTTCCATAAAAACTGTACATCCATTCATCTGTGCTCTCCTACCTGCCCCCAATATCTCACCAGTGCTGAAATGGTGACTTTCCAGGCTGGAAAGCAGACTTGGACAAAGAAGAGACAGGTGCAGAAAGTCACCCACACAATATACGAACAAAGAGAAAAGTAACTTTAAGGTTATTATGCAAATGAATTATTAACCTTCAAAAATTAAAAATGAAAAGGCAAATAATTACTTGGAATATCAAAACAGCTCAATCCAGAATATAACATCCTAGAACAAAAAGAAATATCTCACAGTTCTTCCAGCTATCGAACAAATAAATAAGAATATACAGTTTTATTTTTTTAAATGCAATACAAAGATGAAAAATACAGGAAACAAATATAGAACCAAACATAATAATTTATGGAATAAAAATATATTAGAAGCACTAAGGAAAAAATAGAAGTGGACAGAATGCAGCATGAATATAGAAGGAAATGGATGATACAAAAAAGAAGTTAAGTTACAGCTAATTAATAGGTCAGGGCAGAGAAGGATGAACAATGGATCAGGAAGGTAAAGAGAAGATTCCAACACTATGTGGTAGCAGTAATTACTTGTAATGGCAAAAACTGCAAATAATATACATAATTGAAACCCTACATACGACAATTACAAGATGAGATGAGTATTATTAAAGGGCAATATTATCCTTACATTTTTACATTAGGAAATAAACAAGAATGAAATTAGTATAATCATTTAAGAAATTAATGAAATCACAAGATATTTCCAAAAGTGTTAATATGAAGAGTTAATAAGGATAAAAATAAATTTATTAAAAAGCAAATAAACACAATGCACAAGATGAGTTTCTTCTGTGAAAATGCTAATGAAATACAGAAACTTCTAAAAAGGTTATTTATTCAAAAAATAGAGAACATGAGTTAATGCCATTGGGGAAAAAATTAACCTTATATATAACACAGATTATCATGTTATAAAATGATGTTATGACAAAAAATATGCCAGGACATTTAGAAACTTAGACAAAATGGCTACATTTAAATAAACATGTAACAAGCCAAACTAAAAAAAAGCACTGAAACAGTTCTATAAATTAGAATGAATCCAGTTACAATTAATTCTACAAATAAAAGCATTTTTTAGAAACATTTATACTGTTTTTCATAATGACTGTACTAATATACTTTCTTTCTCACCAAAAGGGTACAAGGGTTCTCTTTTCTCCCCATTCTTCCAATGCTTGTCATCCTTCATCTTTTCTATAATAGCCAGTCTAACAGGTGTCAGATGAATCAAAAGAGATCTTCTAATAAATGTTGTAAGTACTTATTAGTGTAAACAATAATAAAAACAAGGTACCGGATGTCCTAGTAGGTATACAAAGACAAAAAAAAGTTTGCAAAACAGTAAATGAAACTGCTTATGAAAATGATATGATTAACTGCATAGAGAATACCAAAACAATTTATGAACATCTTTTTACAAAAAAGAAAATTTAGTAGGGTTAGAGGATTTAAGATAATTGATAAAAATCAATTGCCCTTTTGTTCATCAGCTATAAATAATTAAGAAACATTTACAGCAACAGTAACTAAAATATCAATTACCTACCCATAAAACATACAAACACTAAAAGGACTCTGTAAAAACACAAAAAACAAAAAACAAAACTTTACTGATACACATTAAAGGAAACACAAACAGAAAAACTTACCTTGAATATAAAGAGAAAGACTTCATGTTGTACATGTTGTAAATGTATTAATTCTGTTACAAACAAACAAACAAACAAAGGATCTAAGGGTTCACAGTAATTGCAATAAAAATTCCAATAGGGTTTTGTGGTGGACCTCAATAAACTGATTTAGAAACTTTTGCTACCTGATTTAGAAACTTCAAACTATACTACAAGGCTACAGTAACCAAAACAGCATGGTACTGGTACCAAAACAGAGATATAGACAAATGGAACAGAATAGAGCCCTCAGAAATAATGCCACATATCTACAACTATCTGATCTTTGACAAACCTGACAAAAACAAGCAATGGGGAAAGGATGCCCTATTTAATAAATGGTGCTGGGAAAACTGGCTAGCCATATGTAGAAAGCTGAAACTGGATCCCCTCTTTGCACCTTATACAAAAATTAATTCAAAATGGATTAAAGACTTACATGTTACACCTAAAACCATAAAAACCCTAGAAGAAAACCTAGACAATACCATTCAGGACATAGGCATGGGCAAGGACTTCATGTCTAAAACACCAAAAGCAATGGCAACAAAAGCCAAAATTCTCAAATGGGATCTAATTAAACTAAAGAGCTTCTGCACAGCAAAAGAAACCACCATCAGAGTGAACAGGCAACCTACAGAATGGGAGAAAATTTTTGCAATCTACTCCTCTGACAAAGGGCTAATATCCAGAATCTACAATGAACTCAAACAAATTTAAAAGAAAAAAAAACAAACAACCCCATCAAAAAGTGGGCAAAGGATATGAACAGACACTTCTCAAAAGAAGATATTTATGCAGCCAAAAAACACATGAAAAAAATGCTCACCATCACTGGCCATCAGAGAAATGCAGATCAAAACCACAATGAGATACCATCTCACACCAGTTAGAATGGCTATCATTAAAAAGTCAGGAAACAACAGGTGCTGAAGAGGATGTGGAGAAATAGGAACACTTTTACACTGTTGGTGGGACTGTAAACTACTTCAACCATTGTGGAAGTCAGTGTGGTGATTCCTCAGGGATCTAGAACTAGAAATACCATTTGACCCAGCCATCCCATTACTGGGTATATACCCAAAGGATTGTAAATCATGCTGCTATAAAGACACATGCACACGTATGTTTATTGTGGCACTATTCACAATAGCAAAGACTTGGAACCAACCCAAATGTCCACCAATGATAGACTGGATTAAGAAAATGTGGCACATATACACCATGGAATACCATGCAGCCATAAAAAAGGATGAGTTCATGTCCTTTGTAGGGACATGGATGAAGCTGGAAACCATCATTCTCAGCAAACTATCGCAAGGACAAAAAACCAAACACTGCATGTTCTCACTCATAGGTGGGAATTGAACAATGAGAACACATGGACACAGGAAGGGGAACATCACACACCGGGGACTGTTATGGGGTGGGGGGAGGGGGAGGGATAGTATTAGGAGATATACCTAATGCTAAATGAGGAGTTAATGGGTGCAGCACACCAACATGGCACATGTATACATATGTAACAAACCTGCACGTTGTGCACATGTACCCTAAAACTTAAAGTATAATAATAATAATAATAATAATAAAGATCTTTCCTCATCTTCCCACGAGAGTCAGAATAAAATTAAAATCCCTACCAAGCAAAAAAAAAAAAAAAAAAAAAAAAAGAAAACGCAAAGGTCCACCAATAGTGAAAACTGCCTGGAAAGCAAAAGGATAAGGTGAGGAAATGCACTACTAGATATCGACTTCTTATAAACCAATATTTGTTAAGATAGAAATGTATTGGTTCACAAAGAAACGAGTAGAGATAAACAGAAAACACAAAAACACAGTTTAGAAAGGAAAAAAATTTTCAATAACTTTGTAGCTAGTTATCTATGTGGGAAAAAAATTTGAGGTTATGTATATCATACCGCAGAACAATAAGTGAACTCCAAATACATTCATGACTTAAGTATAAAAGACAAAAAGATAAAAACAAAATCAGCAGAAAATTGGAAAAATATTTTAAATATTTATTAAATAAGACACAAAATTTATAACCCTTGAAAGAAAAACAGTGACAAGTTTCACCATGTTAAAATAGTTAATTTTATTTATCTTAAAAACAGTGTGATGGTTAATATTGATTGTTAACTTGATTGGATTGAAGGATGCAAAGTGTTGTTCCTGGGTGTGTCTGTGAAGGTGTTGCCAAAGGAGATTAACATTTGAGTTAGTGGACTGGGAGAGGCAGACCCACCCTCAATCTGGGTGGGCACCATCTAATCAGCTGCCAGCAAGGTTAAGATAAAAGCAGGCAAAGGGCTAGACTGGCTAAATTTGCTGGCCTCCATGTTTCTCACAGGCTGGATGCTCCCTGCCCTGGACAATCGGACTCCAAGTTCTTCAGCTTTTGGACTCTTGGATCTACACCAGTAGTTTGCCTGGGTTCTCTAGCCTTTGGCCACAGACTGAAGGCTGAACTGTCAGCTTCCCTACTTTTGAGGTTTTGGGACTCGGACTGGCTTCCTTGCTCTCAGCTTGCAGGCAGTCTGTTACGGGACTTCACCTTGTGATCTTGTGAGTCAATACTCCTTAATAAACTCCCCTTCATGTATACATCTGTCCTAGTAGTTCTGTCCTTCTAGAGAACCCTAATACAAACAATAAACAAATTTTTTATAAACAACATATTGCAAACCTCTCCTTCATTCTCTATTCACTTTCCCTGCTTTGTTTCTTCAAAGCAATGATCATTTTCTGATTACTGTATAGTTCATGCACTTATTTTGTGTATTGTCTATATTCCTTCATAAAATTTAAATCTTTGAAGGAGGCATATTTGTCTATTTTGTTTTATGTTGTGTTCCAGTAACTAGAAGAGTGTCTGGCAAGCAGGACACAATCAATAAATATTTGTTGAAAGAGTACATTAATGAATCAATAAAATAAAGAGACAAACATCTCAACAGGGAAGTGACCAAAATAAAAGAACAGCATTTTATAGGAGATGAAAGGTACATATAAATCAACATATGGAAAATGCTTAAACCTATTAATAATAAGATAAATATGAATCAGGATGACAATAGTATAATATTTTGCATTCCCTATATTACAGATTATTATTACAGATATTGGTGAGGGTGTGTGCCAATGGAAATCTTATAAGCTACTCACTGCAATATAAATAAGTGCAACTCTGGGAATTTTACCGAAAAACTGAAAAGCCATATACTTTACAAATGAGCAATTCCTTTTTCAAGGCATGTATTATACCATGGGCAATCTCTTACAGAAGTACAATAAGCCAAAGTACTCACATAGTCATAACATTGTTTAAAATAGTAAAACACTAAAGGAAAAAAGTCTAAATGTCCATTGACAAAAGAATAGACACATTAGTTTTGTTATATTTACAGAATGGAATACTAGACTACATTTGTAATTGTTGAATTGTAGCTCTACACAACAACATGAATTGATAATATACAAATATTGAGCGAGAACACAAATTGCAGAAGGCTGCTGTATGAGGGATCTCCAGAGAAACAGAACCAGATTTCATATATATATATATAGAAAGAGAGAGAGAGAGAGAGAGAACAATGATTCAGCGCATGCATTTACGAGGCTGGCAAATCCAAAATCTGTAGAGCTGATGTTCCAGTTCAAGTTCAAAGGAATAAGCTACTGTAGACACAGGAGGTGTCAAAGTTTCAGTCCAAAGGCTCTCAAGCAGGAAAATTCTTGCCTACTTGGAGGAGGGGTGGCCTTTTTCTAGTCAGGCCTTCAGTTAAATGCATAAGGCCCACACACTGGGTAGGGGGAGAGGGGACAACTGCCTTACTCAGTCTAACAATTTAAATGTTAATTTCAACCAAAAATACCTTCACAGAAACTCCCAGAAAAATTTTTGACCAAATATCAGGGCACTCCATGGCCCAGTCAAGTGGACATATACATTAATCTTTATACCTATGTATAGTGCTCCTTTTTTATAAAGCATAAAATTAAGAAATACTAACCATTAAGCTATTTAGAAAGTGTTATAAACTATAAGTGTACAAAACTGCAATAGTTAACAACAATAAACAATGAACGAATACCTACACAAATCTGAAGGAAATAAATTTTAATCCAAGTTTAGAGAATGTGGAGGTGTGTCAAGGAGGGAAGACATCACTGTGCAACGTCAGTAACTTTAATTTTTAAAGGATGGCATTGGTATAGAGGTACATAGAAACATAAAAAAATCAGAAAGGACATGGAAGCCACCAAATTGTACATATCACACACACACACACACACACACACACACACACACATAATATAAACAAATAGTACATGCATATATGTAAGCTTATATATATAAAAATACACCCTCATGTATTTTACATTTACCTAATATTTCTGGGGAAAGAAAGATAAAACAAGTCTACATCTGTTCTTTCAATTAAGTTTCTAATCTATAAAACCTGTGAATAAATAACAAACATTATTTAATAGATATTATGAGGAAAATAAATTATTACATGTAATTATATTCCAGAGTAATTAAGTAATGAAAACAGTTTGGGAGGAATTTGTAATACTGAAAATTAAGTATAAAAGTCTAGTTGTAGTCACTTATGTAATTGAATGCAAAGAGGAATTGAATATCAATAAAAAAGGATATTTTTCTTGAAAAAAATATTTTTCTATTTTTTCTTCAGATCATTTGAAGAAATATGTTATTAATCATGTGGCCATTTATAGATCAGTGTTAAATTCAAATTTCTACACTAATGGTGAAAGAATGAGCATGAAGCTCTGATTGTACAGTTTGCTTTCCAGGATCACAATTACAACAACTGTGGTGGGGGGCAGCCAAGGTTTTGTCATTGATTAGTTAATGGTTTTGAAGCCAGACTATGTCTGAGTAGAAAAGAACTCCTATAAACTCTATTTATTTAAAATATTGCTCTTAGAAGACATGGGTTTGGTTTATTATTTTTTTTTTTCAGATGGTGCCTTGCTCTGTTGCCCAGGCTGGAGGGCAGTAGCCCAATCTCAGCTCACTGCAACTTCCACCTCCTTGGTTCAAGTAATCCTCCTGCCTCAGCCCCCACCAGTAGCTGGGATTACAGGCATGCACCACCACACCCGGCTAATTTTTGTATTTTTAATTGAGACAAGGTTTTGCCATGTTGGCCAGGAAGGTCTCGAACTCCTGACCTCAGGTGATCCACGTGCCTTGGCCTCCCAAAGTGCTGGGATTACAGGTGTGAGCCACCACACACAGCCAATATTTATTTATTTATTTATTTCCAAATTGTGAGAACTTTTATTTAGAGGGATATTACTCGCTTGGAAACAGAGGCTTACAAAGTTGCCAAACCACATGGCCAGTAGGTAGGTGTTTATTTATTATCCCTTGTTCATGAATATAAACGTAATATTTCTTAAAAAATAATTCATTACAAGACAGAAAAGAATCAAGATTCCCATGTCCTTTCTTTCTTTCTTTTTTTTTTTTTTTAGAATTACTAGTTTTCTTACTTAAGTACCTTTTTTTAAAATTTTATTATACCTTAAATTCTGGGATACATGTGCAGAAAGTGAAGGTTTGTTACATAGGTATACATGTGCCATGGTGATTTGCTGCACCCATCAACCCGTCATTTAGGTTTTAAGACCCACATGCATTAGGTATTTCTCCTAAGGCTCTCCCTCCCCTTTCCCCCCACCCCACAACAGGCTCCAGTGTGTGATGTTCCCTCCCAGTGTCCATATGTTCTCATTGTTCAACTCCACTTATGAGTGGGAAAATGCAGTGTTTGGTTTTCTTTTCATGTTAGTTTGCTGAGAATGATGGTTTCCAGCTTCACCCATGTCCCTGCAAAGGACATGAACTCATTAATTTTAATATGTGCATAGTATTCCATGGTGTATATGTGCCACATTTTCTTTATCAGTCTATCATTGATGGGCATTTGGGCTTGTTCCAAGTCTTTGGTATTGTAAATAGTGCTGCAATAAATATATGTGTGCATATGCCTTCATAGTATAATAATTTATAATCCTTTGGGTATATACCCAGTAATGGAATTACTGGGTCAAATGGTATTTCTGGTTCTAGATACTTGAGGAATCACCACACTGTCTTCCACATGGTTGAACTAATTTGCACTCCCACCAACAGTGTAAAAGCGTTCCTATTTCTCCATATCCTCTCCAGCATCTGTTGTTTCCTGACTTTTTAATGACAATTAAACCATTCTAACTGGCGTGAGATGGTATCTCATTGTGGTTTTGATTTGCATTTCTCTAATGACCAGTGAGGATGAGCTTTTTTTCACGTTTGTTAGCCACATAGATGTCTTCTTTTGAGAAGTGTCTGTTCATACTCTTTATCCACTTTTTGATGGGGTTCTTTGTTTTTTTCTTATAAATTTGTTTAAGTTCCTTGTAGATTCTGGATATTAGCCCTTTGTCAGGTGGCTAGATTGCAAACATTTTCTCCCATTCTGTAGGGTGCCTGTTCACTCTGATGATAGTTTCTTTTGCTGTTGAAGAAACTGTTTATTTAATTAGATCCCATTTGTCAATTTTGGCTTTTGTTGTAATTGCTTTTGGGTGTTTTAGTCATGAAGTCTTTGCCCATGCCTATGTCCTGAATTGTATTGCCTAGGTTTTCTTCTAGGGTTTTTATGGTTTTAAGTCTTACATTTAAGTCTTTAATCCATCTTAAATTAATTTTTGTAGAAGGTGTAAGGAAGGGGTCCAGTCTTAGTTTTCTGCATATGGCTAGCCAGTTTTCACCATTTATTAAATAGGGACTCCTTTCCCCATTGCTTGTTTGTGTCAGGTTTGTCAAAGATCAGATTGTTGTAGATGCATAGTGTTATTTCTGAGGCCTCTGTTCTGTTACATTGGTCTATATATCTGTTTTGATACCAGTCGCATGCTGTTTTGGTTACTGTAGCCTTGTAGTATAGTTTGAAGTCAGGTAGCGTGATGCCTCCAGCTTTGTTCTTTTTGTTTAGGATTGTCTTGGCTATACAGGCTCTTTTTTGGTTCCATATGAAATTTGAAGTAGTTTTTTCTAATTCTGTGAAGAAAGTCAATGGTAGCTTGATGGGAATAGCATTGAATCTATAAATTACTTTGGGCAGTATGGCTATTTTCATGATATTGATTCTTCCTATCCATGAACATGGAATGTTTTACCATTTGTTTGTGTCTTCACTTATTTCCTGGAGCAGTGGTTTGTTCTCCTTGAAGAGGTCCTTCACATCCCTTGTAAGTTGTATTCTTAGGTATTTTATTCTCTTTGTAGCAATTGTGAATGGGAGTTCACCCATGGTTTGACTCTCTGTTTGTCTATGATTGGTGTATAGGAATGCTTGTAATTTTCGCATATTGATTTTGTATCCTGAGACTTTGCTGAAGTTGCTTATCAGCTTAAGGAGATTTTGGTCTAAGATGATGGGGTTTTCTAAATATGCAATCATGTCATCTGCAAATAGAGACAATTTGACTTCCTCTCTTCCTATTTGAATACCCTTTATTTCTTTCTCTTTCCTGATTGTCCTGGCCAGAACTTCCAGTACTACGTTGAATAGGAGTGGTGAGAGAGCACATCCTTGTTTTTGACCAGTTTTCAAAGGGAATGCTTCCAGCTCTTGCCCATGCAGTATGATATTGACTGTCGGTTTGTCATAAATAGCTCTTATTATTTTGAGATACGTTCCATCAATACCTAATTTATTGAGTGTTTTTAGCATGAAGTTGTGTTAAATTTTATCAAAGGAATTTTCTGCATCTATTGAGATAATACTGTGTTTTTTGTCATTGGTTCTGTTTATGTGATGGATAACGTTATTGATGTGCGTATGTTGAACGAGACTTGCATCCCAGGGATGAAGCCGACTTGATTGTGGTTGATAAGCTTTTTTGATGTGCTGCTAGATTCAGCTTGCCAGTATTTTATTGAGGATTTTCACATCAATGTTTATCAAAGATATGGGCCTGAAATCTTTTGTTTTTCTTGTGTCTCTGCCAGGTTTTGGCATCAGGATGATGCTGGCCTCATAAAATGAATTAGGGAGGAGCCCCTCTTTTTTTATTGCTTGAAATAGTTTTAGAAGGAATGGTACCAGCTCTTCTTTGTATCTCTGGTAGAATTCGGCTGTGATTCCATCTGGTCCTGGGCTTTTTTTGGTTGTTAAGCTATTAATTACTGCCTCATTTTCATAACTTGTTATTGGTCTATTTAGGGAATCGACTTATTCCTTGTTTAGTCTTGGGAGGGTGTATGTGTCCAGGAATTTATCAATTTCTTGTAGATTTTCTAGTTTATTTACCTATAAATGTTTATAGTGTTCTCTGATGGTAGTTTGTATTTCTGTTGGATCAGTGGTGATATTCCTTTTATCATTTTTTATTTTATCTATTTGATTCTTCTCTCTTTTCTTCTTATTATTCTGGCTAGTAGTCTATCCTTTTTGTTAATCTTTTCAAAACACCAGCTCCTGGATTCAGATTTTTTCGAAGGATTTTTTGTGTTTCTAACTCCTTCAGTTCTGCTCTGATCTTAGTTATTTCTTGTCTTCTGCTAGCTTTTGAATTTGTTTGCTCTGGCTTCTCTAGTTCTTTTAATTGCGATGTTAGGGTGTGGATTTTATATCTTTCCCTCTTTCTGATGTGAGCATTTAGTACTATAAATTTCCCTCTAAACACTGCTTTAGCGGTGTCCCAGAGATTCTGGTACATTGTATCTTTGCTTTCACTGATTTCAAAGAGCTTCTTTATTTCTGCCTTAATTTTGTTATTTACCCAGTAGTCATTCAGGAGCAGGTTGTTCAGTTTCCATGTAGTTGTGCAGTTTTGAACGTGTTTCTTAATCCTGAGTTCTAATTTGATTGCACTGTGGTCTGAGAGACTGTTTGTTATGATTTCCATTCTACTGCATTTGCTGAGGAGTGCTTTACTTCCATTTATGTGGTCAATTTTAGAATAAGTGCTATGTGGTGCTGAGAAGAATGTATATTCTGTTGATTTGAGGAGGAGAGTTCTGTAGATGTCTGTTAGGTCCGCTTGGTCCAGAGCTGAGTTCAAGTCCTGAATATCCTTGTTAATTTTCTGTCTCATTGATCTGTCTAACATTGACAGTGGGGCGTTAAAGTCTCCCACTACTATTGTGTGGGAGTCTAGGTTTCTTTGTGGGTCTCTAAAAACTTGCTTTATGAATCTGGGTGCTCCTGTATTGGGTGCAAATATATTTAGGATAGTTAGCTCTTCTTGTTGCATTGATCCCTTTACAATTATGTAATGCCCTTCTTTGTTTGTTTGTTTGTTTGTTTTATCTTTGTTTAAAGTCTGTTTTATCAGAGACTAGGATTGCAACTGCTGATTTTTTGCTTTTCATTTGCCTGGTAAATGTTCCTCCATCTCTTTATTTTAAGCCTATGTGTGTCTTTGTACGTGAGATGGGTCTCCTGAATACAGCACACTGATGGGCCTTGACTGATTATCCAATTTACCAGTCTGTGTTTTTTAATTGGGGCATATAGCCCATTTACATTTAAGGTTAATATTGTTATATGTGAATTTGATTCTGTCATCATGAGACTAGCTGGTTATTTTCCACATTAGTTGATGCAGTTTCTTCATAGTGTCATTAGTCTTTACATTTTGGTTATGTTTTTGCAGTGGCTGGTACTGGTTTTTCCTTTCCATATTTTAGTGCTTCTTTCAGGAGCTCTTGTAAGGTAGGCCTAAGGGTGACAAAATCCCTCAGCATTTGCTTATCTGTAAAGGATTTTATTTATCCTTCACTTAGGAAGCTTAGTTTGGCTAGACATGAAATTATGTTTTGAAAATTCTTCTAAGAATGTTGAATATTGCCTCACTCTCTTCTGGCTTGTAGGGTTTCTGCCAAGAGATCCGCTGTTAGTCTGATGGTCTTCCCTTTGTGGGTAACCCGACCTTTCTCTCTGGCTGCCCTTAACATTTTTTCCTTCATTTCAACCTTGGTGAATCTGACAATTATGTGTCTTGGGGTTGCTCTTCTCGAGGAGTATCTTAGTGGTGTTCCTTGAATTTCCTGAATTTGAATGTTAACCTGTCTTGCTAGGTTGGGGAATTTCTCCTAGATAATTTCCTGAAGTGTGTTTTCCAACTTGGTTCCATCTCCCCATCACTTTCAGGTACATCAATCAATCACAGGTTTGGTCTTTTCACATAGTCCCATATTTCTTGGAGGCTTTGTTTCTTTCCTTTCCATTCTTTTTTCTCTAATCTTGTCTTTACACTTTATTAAGTTGTTCTTCAATCTCTGATATCCTTTCTTCTGCTTGATCAATTCAGCTATTAATACTTGTGTATGCTTCGCAAAGTTCTCATGCTGCATTCTTCAGCTCTATTAGGTCATTTATGTTCTTCTCTAAACTGGTTATTCTAGTTAACAGTTCCTGCAACCTTTTATCAAGGTTCTTAGCTTCCTTGCATTGGGTTAGAACATGCTCCTTTAGCTTGGAGGAGTTTGTTATTACCCATTTCCTGAAGCCTACTTCTCTCAATTCATCAAACTGATTCTCCATCCAGTTTTGTTCCCTTGCTGGCAAGGAGTTGTGATCCTTTGGAGGAGAAGTGGTATTCTGCTTTTTGGCATTTTCAGCCTTTTTGCACTGGTTTTTCCTCATCTTCGTGGATTTATCCTTTGGTTTTTGATGCTGATGACCTTTGATGTTTGATCTTTGATCTTTGATGCTGATGACCTTTGATCTTTGATGCTGATGACCTTTGAATGGAGTTTCTCGTGGGTATCCTTTTTGTTGATGTTGATGTTATTGCTTTCTGTTTGTTAGTTTTCCTTCTAACAGACAGGCCCTCTGCTACACGTCTGCTGGAGTTTGCTGGAGGCCCGCTCCAGACCCTGTTTGCCTGGGTATCACCAGTGCAGGCTGCAGAACAGTAAAGATTGCTGCCTGCTCCTTCCTCTGAAAGCTTCGTCCCAGAGGGGCACCTGCCAGTTGCCAGCCAGAGCTCTCCTGTATGAGGTGTCTGCTGACCCCTGATATCTCCCAATCAGGAGGCACAGGGGTCAGGGACCCACTTAAGGAGGCACTCTGTCCCTTAGCAGAGCTTGAGCACTGTGCTGGGAGATCCATTGCTCTCTTCAGAGCTGGCAGGCAGGAATGTTTAAGTCTGCTGAAGCTGCGCCCACAACCACCCCTTCCCTCAGGTGCTCTGTCCCAGGGAGATGGGAGTTTTATCTATAAGCCCCTGACTGGGGCTGCTGGCTTTCTTTCAGAGAAGGCTTGCCCAGAGAGGAGGAATCTAGAAAGGCAGTTTGGCTACAGTGGCTTTGCCACAATGTGGTGGGTTCCGCCCAGTTTGAACTTCCTGGAGGTTTTGCTTACACTGTGAGGGGAAAACCACCTACTCAAGCCTCAGTAATGTCAGACACCCCTTCCCCCACCGAGCTCAATTGTCCTAGGTTGACTTCAGACTACTGTGCTGGCAGTGAGAATTTCAAGCCAGTGGATCTTAGCTTGCTGGGCTCTGTGGGTGTGGGACCTGCTGAGCAAGACTACTTGGCTCTCTGGCTTCAGCCCCCTTTCCAGGGGAGTAAATAGTTCTGTCTCACTGGGTTTCCAGTCACCACTGGGGTATAAAAAACAAACTCCTGCAGCTAGCTCGATGTCTGCCCAAACGGCTGCCCAGTTTTGTGCTTGAAACCCAGGGCCCTGGTGATGCAGGCATCCGAGGGAATCTCCTAGTCTGTGGGTTGCAAAGACTGTGGGAAAAGCATAGTATCTGGGCCACATAGCACAGTCCCTCACAGCACAGTCCTTCAAGGCTTCCCTTGGGAAGGGGAAAGAGTTACCTGGCCTCTGGTGTTTCCCAGGTGAGACAGAGCCCCACCCTGTTTCTGCTCACCCTCCGTGGGCTGCACCCATTATATAACCAGTCTTGATGAGATGAACTGGGTACCTCAGTTGGAAATGCAGAAGTCACCCACCTTCTGCATTGGTCTCACTGGGAGCTGCAGACCAGAGCTGTTCTTATTTGGCCATCTTGCCAGATCCCCCAGGTTTAATATTTTAACTGTATGAGAAAACACTGTGTAGAAAGTAATGAAACATAAGCAGTCATAGAAACATTGAAAATATTTAAGAGGAAATAAATGTAACCTAAGAACAAAAGAAAATACTTTCTTACTTAGTAGCCATTTATTTGCACATATACATGTATAGAAAGCAACTATCAACCTTGTTTACTTAAAGTATTGAAGTTGTTTGGTGATTAATCAGGATTTTACATCTAGTTCTTCAATAATTCAATAAATGTGTTTCAATCAAGACTTTTCTTATTTTCACTTAATCTATACATCATTAATATGAATGTTTCATGATACTTTTTACCATTTGAAATGTATAAAAATGTACTTGGCCTTAGATTATTTTTGCAAAAATAACCCTACATTTTAATGTACAATAAAATTGCAAGCAGGGATTTAAGAAAATCTTAATTCAATGAGCATAGGTATGTGAAGACACAAATACACACACATATATGTGTTCATGTTTCCATAAGAAAGCATTTAGTGAGTTTTTACATCTGGCAAAGCATATTAAGGAGAGTTTATTGGAAATGATAACTGTGAACCAAATTAAGATTGTTTATGTATCAGATTCAATTAGCTTTAATATTATGATAAATCCACTGAATGATTTTCTAGAGGTGGTGTATTGAAATTGTGAAGTATCTGACCAAACTGTATCCAATCTGAATTAAAAGAAAAAAAAACATGTAAAAAGGCACTAAGAGAAGGAACAATTGGCAATAACAATCTTATTGATTAAATATAGGAATATGACAGGGTCAAGACAGTTGTCAAGGAGGATGGTGGTCCTTGCAGGTGGTACATGAGAAAACAAAGTACCCTCAAAGAGTGACTTAAGGGTGAATAATTTTTCCTTTCTTTGAGCCCCAAGGCATGTGTCTAAGCATATACTTGTTCACTAGTTGGTCCCAGTGGCTTTAAATATAGGCATTCCTTATTTAGCCAACATTCCTTATCCAAGCCCTTACTATTAGAATGAACAATAGGAAATTATTTATTAATGAAATAAACTTACAAAAGTAGCTCTCCTGCAAATATGTGTCTTGGTTAAAAATAACATTTATGCATACTCATCATGTTAATTTTTATCATTCATTTGCTAATGATTAATACTGTAAATACCTGACAACACAATACCCAAATACCTCAAATCAGTCTCTCCTTCATTTATGCCAGTCTTAGTAATTAAAGTCATTACTAACACAACGATCCTGTCAGAAATCCAGTAGTCCTCTGAACTCTTCTGTTTCTGTTTTAGACCCCGCATCACAAAGCTTTGCCTAATTGTTAACACATTTCAAACATATTACTTCCATTGCCATCACCACAGTGCTAATCTAGGTTACAATTACCATTATCCCTTCTCTGGATACCTGCAGTAGCCTTATAATAGATGTACTCACAGCTACTCTGAATCCTTCTACTCCAAACATTCTCCACACAACATGACATAGTGATAACACATTCTGATTGTGTAGACCCCATCCTCTCACTACCATCTTTTCAGAAGCTACAGTTGCTCTAGGACAAAATATAAACACCAAATATAAATGGCAAAGCTCTTCATTGGACCCTTAAACTGAATCTTCCTTCTCCTCTTCCTCTTTTTCCTTTTGAAGCTGGCACCAGGGCCTTCTTATAGTACCTCCTAACAGCCATGCTCTTTACTACTTGAGAGCTCCCTCACATGAAATCTCTTGCCCCTTCCCTATAAAATATCCACACATACACAGCACCTGCATAGCTCCTATTCTGGTCTGATCTTTAATACAGTCATGTGTTCATTAACAACTGGGATGGGTTTTGGGGAATGTGTCCTTAGGCAATTTTGTTGTGCAAACATCATAGAGTGTACTTACACCAACCTAGATGGTATAGTCTATTACAGACCTATGCTTTATGGTATAGACTATTACTGCTAGGCTACAAACCTGTATAGCATATTACTATACTGAATACTGTAGGCAATTGTAACAAAATAGTAAGTGTTTGTGTATCTAAAATATTTAAACAGAAAATGTTATGCTAGGACACTAAGGTGGCTACAATGTCACTTATCAATAGGCATTTTTCATATCCATTATAATTTCATTGAATTATGCTACCATTGTATATGCAGTCTGTCACTGACAAAAACATTATGTGGTATGTGACTATATACCTTTTTAGAGAAGAATTTTTCTGTTCTTTAGTATATATAAGACACTCCTGTTACAGGTAATTTCTTATTTCTCCATTTATTCTTTGTTGATGAAACTGACCATACCTTCTGGTTATATAATTGTTGTATAATGTACCATTTAATTTTTTTCCTATTCAAAATAGAATATCTTCTAGAAGTGAATCAAAACATAACTTTTAGGGTTTCTTTAACAATAGTCTAGAAGTTATTGGTCCTAAATGTGATTAGATAACACAGTGATATCGAGGCTCTGTATCAGCATTTCTGCAATTCCCTTGACCAATCCTAACAGTTTCCAATATGGCAATATAATTATAAACAGTGTGGCCACGTGTAAGGTACTCATATGATAAGAAAAAAGGGATACCTTTCGGACTAGACTTTTTCCTTACTAGGGAAGAAAATAACTCCCACATGCCTTCTCTATGTATATTAATGGTAGAACTGGTCACACATGCATCCATAGGCTAAACAATGGCAAAAGAGAATGAGAATATTCTGATTGACATAATACCAAGCATTATAATAGCATCACATATGGAGTTATCACAGTGACTAGCTGGCCTTGGTCAACGCTGTCACTCTACAACTGTAAAAATTCCATGGGAGAAATTGCATAGGAGAAGGAACTAATACAGGAAGAAATGGTGTGACATCAATTGCTTGACATATTAAATTTGAGAAGGTTGCCATGGGTTAAATAGGTGACAACAATAGATGGCAACTTGATATGATTTAATTCAACTACCAGTTTAGTAATTCATTCTATGGCATTCATTAATGACAACCATTTATTCTGCTTAAAAACTTTGAGACGGTAATACCATTATTTTTATATCACTTATTTGACTTTCGGATTGAACTAATTGCTTTAAAATTATTCTTTATTTTTGTATGTTATATTTTCCATAAGAAGTAATGAAATTTCGACACAGATCCCTTAAGTAATGGTCATGTAATATACTTTACAGAGTTTATCTTCTTAATGCTTTTTTAGTGTACTTTACTAAATTAATGCCTATCTTGAAATGTGATTCCTAGAACATACACAAACAAGAAGAAATAACTTCTTTTATACTGCAACCTTTGTACTATACAGCCTTGGTCCTATATCTATAGCAGTTCTATTTTTTTTTTATTTTAGTAGATGTTTTACACTGTTAACTTCCATTAAACTTGTATCCAGCTAAACACTTAGCCATCTTTTACTTAAACTACTTATAATCTAGGTAAGAGGGCTATATTTTGTTATTAGTTGCATTTATTTATAGCAGATATTTACATAGTTCTTGTATATCAAGGTTATTTTTTTATTTAACCCTTAGCTGTGTTTTACGATATCCACTCATGCCAATTTTCTCATTATTAGTATTTTGCTGTTTCTGAGATTTTCAAGACACTCATGAACTTTATAAATATAAAATTCACCATCAAATATGTATGTAATCTAATTTTGAACAAAATCTGATAAGCAGCACTTTTATAAATGCTATGAATATCATAGATTAGGTTATTGACAAGGAAGGGCCAGTATCTTATGGTAAGACAACTTCCAAATTAGAGTAATTCATTAATCAGTACAAAATGGACACTGCTTTTCAACATGCTTTGAATCCACACATATATATTATTAGTCATCTAATATTGTCCTCAAATTTATACAATTATAAGTAATATTATGAAAAGCGCTTGATCATTTGCTTTGTTGAAAGGAAAATCCACACACTTTTGACCATCTATTAGACAAGCAAGATTGGTAAGGCTATTGTAAATAAAAGGAGAATAAGATTTGGCTTGACTTGATGCTAATAAATTCCTCTGTTAGAGATTTACTTTACTAATTATTTCATATATTGGTGTTATATTACCTTAGCAATTTACAGAATTTGTTTCTTTGATATTGAGAGAAACAGGTGGAGGATGGGGAGAGATCATGAAGGTATATTGTTTATCTCAGTTCTCTGCTAAAATTCCAAAACATTACCATTCTCAAAAATTATTGATAATGGCTTCAGAATGACATCCGCAAATTCTTACAAAATTCTAGAGTTTGATTTTTCTGGGCTTGGAAAAACTAGTTCTTGAATTTATTAAAAATATTTATTCTACCACTTGTAAAAGAAGCTGAAATATGTTGACAAACTCTCCTTTTTTTAACAAAAGTGTTTCACTGTAAAAAAATAAACCTTTCGACTCTGTCTGAAAATAGTGAACCCCTTTATTTCTGTCCCCATACCCCAGTAAATACATGCAAGTCTAGTCTGCAAACTTCCACTAGTAAATGAGACATTTTAAAAACATTTACCCATTACACTAAAGTGCAAAGACATTGAAAATATTATTGAGCTCTGATTTAGAGAAATATAGAAAAGACATTCAAATGTAGTAAAACATAGTAACATACTTTGAAAAACAGATAATAAAAAATATAGCTTGCATGTACTTCACTTGACTGTGACCAAATTTGATCACTGCTAAAACAATACATGGCTGAAAGCACAGCATACTATTTTATGAGTGACTAGCACTTCTAGGACACCAGCAAAATATAGAATTGAACTGCAATGAATTAAGTGGAAGAGATGTGAGAGTGCGTCACGATTTGTTGCTCTGTTGATCAATAGCAATTATAGAGTTTGGGATGATAAATTAAGCTCCAAAGGGACAGGACAGGAGAGAAGGAAATTACACTAAACTAGAATCAAAGCATGTGTTCCTAACTCCGACTACCACTGCAGCATAAAGCCAAATTCATCACTTCAAGACCTTCGTTACTTCATCTTCAAAATGAGAGTTGTATAAAAATAAATTTGAAGCTTTCTTTTGCTTTCAAAATGCGTTAATTCTAAGTTCTCAATCTCGCCACACTTGGTTTTCTGATCTGCTTCCTGCATTTTATTGATTCTCTGAATTTAAAAAATACTAATTAAATATCATGTATAAAACGTTAATACATCCTGTTCCTGACTTTTTTTTTCCATATTTGAGCACTACATATCTGAACTGATGAACTGAGTTTAATCTTCAGTGCCTAACACATTCTTACAATGATTACTCTTTATCAATCACCAAAGTTTGTTGTGCTAACTTTGAAATAGCTGTTGATAGTGTAGTTATTTCATCCAATTGTAACAAAAAGAATTTAATGAGTGTTTGAAGTGTGTGTGATTATATTATTTAAATATTATACATTTTCCAAGATAAGGATTAAACACAACTCAAAAGAAGTCAACATTTCATTATGAAGGGAAGTGATTATATATTATCGGGAAACTTTGAAGCTTTCTACACTGGCATTCTGAATAATCAACTCTGTTGTTTTGTCATTATCAGTGGGGGTGCACTTTTGTAGCTTTTGAAATTTCTGCTGTTTGCATAGTTAGAGGTAGAGAGGAAAGTTTGTTTTCCCACTGGCATTTCACTGATTGTTTGCTCTTCACTGATAGTTTGTGACACTTTGTCTCCCTGGCAGCTGGACTTTTTACCTGGCTTATATGGAGTGGTTTCATTAGAATCTAATTGATTTTGCAGCTGAAGAACTCACTGCTAGTATGTGTCCCTTATAAACTATTTTCTACCTATTTCTTCTTTTTTCTAGTGATATCAGAATAATTGGTTCAGTACTTAAATTACAGCTTATTGAAATAGTAAAAAGTTATTTTAAATCAGTTATGATGTGGTATTTATTTCTTATCAAAATAAAGTTATTTCCCACATCACTTCCTGCCAAGTTTGGGCTCACAAAAGTTGATTATTAAAAGAAATGATAAAAATTTATGTAATTCATTTTAGATGGCAGACAATGGTTTTATAAAATGAGAGACAATCTTATAGCATGCAAGCTAAATATAGTCTTATGATTAATTTGATGAGTTTTAGTTTAATGAATGTTTTTAACAGGTAAACTATAAAGTTTGTTTCTATGTATCTAATACTTACCTCTGAATATTCTTTTCCGTGTGTGTGTGTGCATGAGCATGCGTGTTTATTTTTTTGTGCCTGGACTTTTCCATGGTGACTTTTTAGCATTTAGACAATATTTTTGGCTCTTTAAGAAAAATGTTTTTTAAGCCAAAATTACAACTTGATATATGTGGTAGTTCTTTTATCAAACTCAGTATACCTATTGCCCTATTGTAAGAAAAATACAGCATGTTTGACTTTCCATAAGAAAACCCCAAGACTTAATGAGCTAAAGAAAGTCCTAAGTGAAATCCACTAGCCTATTATTTTGTCGTCCTTGGGATTTAATAACCATGCGGAAAGCATTGTTCAGTGAACTAGAGGGTGGCCCCTTCAGGTGAAATCTTAAATGTACCAGCAAAGCAGGATGGAAACCTCCTCTTTCTATTCAGCCTTAATCTCTTTCTTTCAGGGACACTAAATTCATAGCTTCAAGTTGATTAAATTAAAATTCAATTAAATACATATTTTTAAGTGGACATACTCGCTTTGAATAAGACAGCATCTTTTGAATTACAATCAGTTTTCAGAAGTAATATTCATCAGATACAGGCATTGCCATTTTCTATAAGAAGTTATTTAGCATGTTTTAAATTAGAAAATTTAATATGCACTCCAAAGATCAAAGGACCAATAGCTAAAAGCTGGATATGAATATCGTCATGTAATTTTCTATTATTCTCTTTCATTGAGTATAAAAGACTATCCAGAATGTTGTATCCAAAGAAATATCCTTTTATTATTTCTTTATTTTTAAATTTTTCCCCTGCATTAGTCATCCTGTAATGCGTGGCCCTTATTATTTATTTTAAATCAAAGTATGTGATAAGCAACTCTTTCACAAAATTCTTTATTATGGAAAAATGCCCTGCACTTCTAACATCAAGAATTGTGTTAAAACTAGCTGTGTATTATTAGTAATAGTCATTATCATGTCTGGAGTATATATATAAGTAGAAGAAAAAATACTTGATTAAAAAAGTATTAAGTCTACTTTTTAGCATCTTAGAGATGAAGTGGTTTTTAATAAAATATTGTATTATATTTGAGACTATGTGGAAGTGTGTTTTTCAAACATAAATTAAGTGTAGTATTCCCATAATTAAGTATAAAGCAAACTAAGAAAATGTGTTAGCATTGAACTTGTTTTAGGGCTATATTCTCAGTGCTCATAACATTAGGTTAAAGTAAGGTTTTCAGGTACATGGATGAACAAAGAGAATTCTGAAATACATCCTTGATCAATCACCTCCACTGGGGAGATGGAAAGCCCCAGCTTTCATCATGTCCTGTCAAGTGGTTTGGTTTATTGAAAAGGCTAAATTAGATATACAACAAAGCTAACATCCTGAAACTCATAGCAGAATTTAGTCATTGAGATGATAAAAAATTACAATTGGACTTTGAATGTTTTAAGAAAAAGGGTTTTCTCCTACATTGTGTTTGAATTTATAGCACTTACTGTATCCCTTAGGACTTGCTGTATGGTAAATGGTCAGTAAATATTTATTATGCTTGCTTGTTTTTTGTTGAATTAGTAGCTGATTACCTCAAAGTAATACTGAAACAGACAAAATAAAAAGAGAAAGAGATGGCATGCATTAAATTTCTAAGAGCTTGTGACTGATTTTATTAGTTACAGCATGCTATACTTTAAGACTCAGCCAAGTGACCAATGCATATTTATTTGTTTATTCTACTTCCTGAGAACCTCAAAAATTTATCACATTTCTGAAAAGTATCGAGGGAGTTCCCCTGCTAAAGTTTTAGTTACAGACGGATCCATATATCTTGTGGATTAGTTTTCAGTGGCTTCAAATCCTATCATAAGCTTCTCTTCTAAAAAGTGGTTGAAATTCAGAGATTGTGTTACCTATCTACAAAATAACTTTTTGATTTTTGAGTATTTGGACACTCCAAAAAGATAATGATTTTTTTTACCTTTCCTTACTTCATCCAAAAGGCAATAGATATGATACTTTAGCTAGGAAAAAATAGTACTACAAAGATTTCTCAGGCATAAGTAAGTTGAAAGTGGTTAAAACATAGGATTTTATAATTAACACTTACAGTTTTTCAATTCATATTCTGATAATGGATCAGAATCATTCCAACAATTAGCTCACTAAAAAATAATGGCAAAATGCTATTTTTAGAACAATTTTTGAATATCCTTTCCTAGCATGATTTCTACCAACAAACCCCTGCTGATATTTTGTTGAATTTCTTGGCAATTTGCCTGATGGAAAAAAAATTCAACTAATAATTTACTTTCCTTTCTCTTTTTATTTC
The DNA here is from genome assembly GCF_000001405.40 of Homo sapiens. Lineage (NCBI taxonomy): Eukaryota > Metazoa > Chordata > Mammalia > Primates > Hominidae > Homo > Homo sapiens. The sequence goes on along the minus strand of NC_000005.10, from coordinate 52,147,865 downwards.
TTTTCACATGTTCTCAGAGAAGACAAATGCTTTTTTTATTCCTTCAAAAGGAATATTTTAAAATGGATTGGTTTTGTCTTAATTCTTAAAAAAAATTTTACATTAATTCTTAATTATATAATTGAAGAAATGATATATTATTTTTAGCTTCCTTAAATTTGATTAACTTTTAAGAATTGTTGTTAACACCTACATATTTAAAATATGGTTTACTTTAAACAATAGTTAAACTTTTTTTTCTAAGGAATCATGCATTATTACACTCTACTTATGAAGATGAATATACATTTTACGTTCTTGTAAGAAAAACAATTTTAAAACTTCCATGTGTGCAAAGAATATTTCTCTCACTCTCTTGATATCCCTTTCTCCTATGAAATATTCATAATAATACATGAAGTATTCAAGACTTAATTTCATCCCAAAATGCAAATCAAAAATTATTAGACCCTAAATTTTTGAAAATTCTCTCTGTATTTTCCACATGGTATTAACTCATTAAATATTTGTTGAATACAATTACTGAAAGTATTTCAAAGTCTTTCTTATGCTTAAATGAATTTTCAATAAAGAATAAATAAACTAGTAAACATAGTAAATTTATACACTGGAATACCTTTAATATATAGGTGTAATAAAACATATTCTATATACTGCATTACGAATTTGTGAACATACAAAAAAATCTTTATTGGAAGCGCAGAGACAATCAACTGCATTCAGTTTGCGTGGGAGGACATTTTTAGTGAAAACTATTGTAACACTTTCCATACTTTAAATCAGAGTTTTGTAATGATAAAATTTAATTAGTACTGGATAATTTTGGGACTTAAAAATATAGTACAATAAAAAATGCCATCCGTGAACTTCTCTATATTTATGTTGTATGAGATATATCTAGAAAACCCAAAGAAATAAATATTTTTAGTTAGGAATTTATTTTATAAATCCTCTCTCCAAAACACTAATAATATATGGTCAATTGCATGGTCATAGTAAAAGCATTGCGAGCAATGCATAGAGCCTTGCTTAATCTTGCTTATTCTTTACTAAGATAGAAAGTATTGATAGCACAGCAAAGCTCTCAAATATGAACATATGAGTTTGTATGTTGGCTTATTTTTAATAGTTTGATACTTGTGATCCATTTCTAATTGTATCTTAGAATTTTGAGGATTATTGTAGATGATGAGCTAACGTTAGGTTTTCCAACCTCCAACTTTCATCTTTAAGAATTTAACATATTCTCTTAGATATTTGCTTAGGAGAGGTAAATTTTTTTTCCTTAAAAGGATATAATTTGAAACCTGGGAAATATCTTAGTCCACCTCTTGAGTAACTTTTCCAGATAACAGAGAAGGGAAATTAGTCTAGAAAAGTTGGTGAATTTTAAGGATGATGCAGTAACAAAGTCAAATACCTTGAAATAGGACAACAGTTACCACATCTAGATTAATTTTTTTCCACGGTGTCGAACCTCTATCCAGAGCTTTATTAGATATTTAAATCATATTTCTTATGAAGGCTTGAGATGAAAATTTGATTTCAACTAACAACCTTTCCCTTTGCTACCTGCCTTTTCACTTATCCTTCTTGTTTTCCTGCATATCAAATTCTGCCAGCTGAGAAAAAAGTGTCTTGGGGCTCTCCTCCCAAAGATAGGATAATTTTGATGTCAGAATTTATCTAAACTCCTATTGAATATTTCATAGGTGTAAGTTTTTATTGATAATTTAGATGAGTTTTTAATACCAATCATCTTTTACGATAAAAAATTTATAAACTTATAACAGTAAGATTGAGCAATCAATTTTTTTCTGATTAGTGAACTTTATTTCGCAGAGCAATTTTAGGTTTACAGAAAACTGAGTAAGAAGCGCAAAGACATACTTTCCACTCCGTTCCACCCCTGTACACAGCTGCCTCTTACAGATGTCTTGAATTGATATAGTACATTTTTTATAATTAATGAACCAATATTGATACATTATTGTTAACAAAAGTTCATTGTTCACATTAGAGTTTACTTTTTGTGTTGTGCAGTTGTGTGGATGTTTCCAAATGCACAACGCCGTATATCTACCATTATAGTATCATACAAGAGTTTCAATGCCTTATCTTCCACAATACCCCGAACCAACCTCTGGCAACTACTGATCTTTTTTACTCTCTCTATTGTTTTGTCTTTTCTAGGACGTCATATAGTTGGAATCATACAGTATGTTGCCTTTTCAGACTGGCTTCTAACAACTAACAATATGCATATAAAGTTCCTCCATATCTTTTTGTAGCTTGATAGCTCATTTTTAGGTTGCTGAATAATTTTTCATTTTATGGGCATACAACAGTTTGCCTACCATTCAACCATTAAGGACATCCTCATTATTTCCAATTTTGTTATGAATAAAGCTGCTATACACATTCATGTGCAGGTTTTTCTGTGCACATAAGTTTTTACCTCCTTTGGATAAATACATAGAAACACAATTGCCAGATGGAGTGGAAAGACCATGCTAGCATTATTAAGAAACTGTCAAACTGCTTTCCAAAGTGTCTGTATCAGTTTAGATTCTCATTAGCAGTGAATGAGGGTTTCTGTGGTTCCACAGCCTCCAAAGCATTTGTTGTCAGTGGTTTGGATTTTATTCCTTCTAAAAGATATGTATTGATGCCTTTGATTTCATTTTGCAGTTCCCTAATGATATATAATGTTAAGCAACTTTTCATATTTATTTGCTATCTGTATATCTTCTTTGATGGAATACCTGCTCAGGCACATCAAGAAAATTATACCCAAAGAAAAATTTGATAAGTTGGATTTCATTAAAATTAAAACTTGTGCTCAGTGAAAAACTATTAAGAGAATGAAAAGACGAGCCCTAGACTTGGATTTAAAAAATGCAAACACATATCCAATAAAGAACTTGTATCCAAAATGTACAAAAAAGTCTTAAAACTCATAATAAGGAAACTGAAAAATCCAATTAAAATGTGGGCAAAACATCTGAGTAACCAATTTTTTAAACAGCAATAAGCATTCTGTACTCATAAATTTAACTATAGAACTCTATAAAAACTAAAGAACTACTTAGTTTGTATAATTTTGATGTTTATCAGTCTTTAATTTTTAAAAGACTGTTTTCACACTAAAAGGGAATTAAATGGAGCACTCAAAGGCCATTAACTGGGAAAAGCAACTCTAACACATCATTAACAAAAATGAGAAAAATGCTTTAGTATATATTATATTAATCAGTATAGATAAATAAAATAAAGACCAAAAGAATAATGCTGCTTTATTATTATTTTTAAATAACAGATTTATTGAGATATCACTTGCCTACCATAAAATTCATGATTTTTTTTTTTGAGTTGGAGTCTCGCTCTGTTGCCCAGGCTGGAGTGCAGTGGTGTAATCTCCACTCACTGCAACCTTCACTTCCAGGATTCAAGTGATTTTCATGCCTCAGTGTCCTGAGTAGATGCACACCACCATGCCCAGCTGATTTTTGTATTTTTAGTAGAGACGGGGTTTCACCATGTTGGCCAGGCTGGTCTCGAACTCCTGACCTGAAGTGATCTGCCTGCCTTGGCCTCCCAAAGTGCTGGGATTACAGGTGTGAGCCACTGCGCCCAGCCACATTCATAATTTAAAGGTGTATAATTTAGTGTTTTTTGAGTATAATCACGGAGTTGTGCAATCATCACCATCTAATTTTAGAACACTCACTTATCACAATGCTTTCGATATCTGTCCATGTTGAAACATGTATCAGCACTTCATCCTTTCTATTGCCCAATAATATTCTATTGACATCATTTATTATTGGCTTAGAAAACATTTTATGATATCTCATGCAAGATATCTGCTGAATGTTGACTATGTAACTAAAGATTTTCTTCTAGCAGTTGGTAATCAATCTTAAAAATGGCAAATAGTTTCAGCAGGGCCAAAGACAACTTTGATAGGATAAAAAAAAAAACCAGTCTTCTCAATTTTTCAGTATGTATTTAAGGATGCAGCAGATAAAATTCAAGAATATAATTAAGCCTTGTGCAATATAACTTAAAGAAAAACCAAAGACCTCTTCTACTGACCTTCAAAATGTATAAGTATCAATGGCTGAGTGAAAATAAAGCTAATTATTACAAAAAGAATTAGAATTTTAAAAAATAAAAATGTTGTGAGAAAGTGAAACTATTCAAAAGAAACGTTTAAATGTTTTTGTAAAGTATTGATTGTTTTATAATTAATAAATTTAAATGTTATAAGGTGATACATACATATTTCAAGATGAACAATTCTAAGTTTCCTCTATTTATAGAAAACCTGTTAGGAAATCTTACAAACTCACTAGGTAACTTGCTTAGGTAGTATGAGTGCTATTATTCTGAAATACCAACATGATTTTATTGTGGTAGATATATAATTATTTTAACAGATTAAAGACTCATTTATTCACTGAACCAATTATAATAAAATAATTTGTTCCATGTGTTTATTATGCAAGGATTACATTTTCCACAAACTAAATATAACATTTAACATGTTACATGTTTAAGAAAAATAAAGTCCTTTTACATTTAATTAAAATTATAAATTGCAAAAGTTATCAAATTGATGTGAAATCTACACTAAAACCTTTTCAGAGATTCATAAGAATGCCGAAAATGCACAAAAACAGGTTTTGTTGAGAACAAACTAGTCAAAAACTACTTTAGTTCTTTGCCCTGCCTTGAATGACTTGAACATTGTGCTAGTTTGACATCTTTAACAGTTTTAACAGATTTTCATCTGGTGGTGGTATAGGCTGAGCTTTCTGGCTTACTTTAGAAAATGTAGCACTGAGAAATCTTATGACCACTGTTACTAGCTCCCTTGGTGTGATGTGGCCTCAACAGTTACACCTTATAAAAATGGATCATTCTAAATCAATAAATAGCAGATTAACCTTTAAAATTTACATCGCTGTCTAGAATTTATAAATTATTTTGGTAATCACAAGCCTATTTCTTGTGATCCAGAGTTTACTATTCATCTTATTTATATTTATCTATAATTTTAGCATTAGAAAAAAGTAAAACAACAAGTAGAAGTATACAACAGTGTTACCATTGAGACCATGATGAAATAGTACACATTAGGTGATCTCATTCAACACATTTGTATAGATAACATAAAGAATGATGACTATAAGAACTTTATAATGTAATATATGTAAAGTTGCATATCCTATATGTCACTTATAATACAGATTTATTTGTCTCAAGAATAATTTAATCTACTGATGCATTATTGTTTGATTAGAAAAACAATTTTCCTGCAAGTAGTTTTATGTAGAAAGTTTTGAACTAAATAGGCAGACAAAGTTCTTTAAGAAAAATATTATAAAAAGCATATTGAAAATCAGTTACAATGTTCCACATAAATCAAAATAGTCCTGAAAATAATAGCAGAAAATAGCCATTGATGATGAAGTTTAAGGACAAGAAGTTTGATGGGTAGGAAGGAGACATACTTAACAGTTTATAGAAAAAAAATCTTTGATTCACCCATGGATTTTCAGAAAAATTTAGTTCAGTCAGCAATGACTCCTGGCAATAGATAGATGTGGTAAAACACACATCTAAAAATATATTAGAAGCCAAAAGTCTTCAATGGATTCAGAATTCTGTCTAAACATTTCTTTATATTTCTGTGTAGGTTTTTAATTACACTGATATATTTGTAGTACTGCGTTAACTTGAAATGATTTTATAAACCTGCCTTTCTAGTATAATTATGTTGATAATATTTAATTTAATTTATATATAGATTCAAACTGTCAATTAAATGCTGGTAATTATTGACTTCCACAAAGGAAACTCTTTTTCGGTAATAACTGCCAATCAAGTATCTTTCTATATCTCTGCTATTTCCTAGGCTGAATTCCACCAAACAGAAATTATGTTATTTGAATAAGGGTTGCAGATTACTTATCATATTATTTGAATACACGTAGAATTACTCCACAAATTGAGGAGGTTGCTTTGGATTTTAATGTCTTTGCTAGGTACTCTCCCTAGGCACAAGCAAAAACAGTCATGGATTTGTTTTCATTTGCCAGTTCAGCTAATTTTGTAAGTGCATACAAATTTATATCTGTAGCACTGAAACATATGTAGTACATTCCAAATTGGATAGACAAAATGAACTTGCCATTTTAAGGGAGCATGACCCTTGCCAAGACTTTTTGGCATTAGGTCTCAGCTAAGGGATCATTATCATTAGATCAAGTGTCTTACTTAATCCCTCATTGTAAATTAATCTCTCTCAAATGGTCACTCTCCATGACATCATTCTATTTGTATTTTATTCATAACTTTTACCAGTGTCATATTTGTTTATGTATTTGTTTTCCTAGGTATTGTCTATCTCCTCCAGTAGAAAGTGTCTTTTCCTCAAGGGCAACGTCTTCTCGTCTTGTTCAACTTCATATCCCTAGCACCTAGAACAATGTCTGGCATAGAGAAAGTGCTCACAATTATTTGTGGCATGAGTAATTCTCCCATCTCACATGTCTGTAAACCACAATACTCAGATCAATTAGTTTAATGGAGATGCCCACAACCTAATTTTTAATCTGACCTACCCAATATAGTCTCGGCACTATTGACATTTTGCGTTGAATTGTTGTTGTGAGGCACTGTCCTGTGCATTGTCCTATGTTTAGCAGCATCCTTGGCCTCTACCTACTACATGCCAGTGACACTCCCTTCCCTTGCCATGGCAATAAAGAATTGCAAAATGTAGCTCCAGGAAGGCAAAATTTCTTGGTTCAAACCAATGAAATACAAAGATGTCTGTCTTGCAGACCAATCACATTTAATCTTTGTATCAACTTGATCTCATAAGCATTTTCTATATTGTTTATTGAGAACTTAGTTCGCCTAATCAAGACACTCGAAAACACAAATTTCTCCATATACTCTCTTATTCCCACCTTTAAACCACCACCAAATTCTTTTCATAGTTCATTCATAATATCTTTTCATTCTCATTGAGAGTTATGTTTCAAGCTTTTTTCAACATTTCCTTGAATGACTGTATTTCCTTGGTATGACTGATTAATTTACCTAATGAAAACTTGGAACAGTTTCATGCCTTAATCCTGTGTCTTAGTCCATTTGTGTCGCTATAAAGGAATACCTAAGGATCAGTAATTTATAAAGAAAAGAGGTTTATTGGCTCACGGTTCTGCAGGCCATACAAGAATCATGACACCAGCATCTGTTTCTGGTGAGGGCTTCAGGATACTCCACTCATAACAGATGGCAAAGAGGAAGGAGCGTGTGCAGAGATCACATGGCAAAAGAATAGAACAAGAGAGGAGGGAGGTGCCAGGCTCTTTTAAACAATCAGCTGTGAAGGGAACTAATAAAGCGAGAACTTACTCATTACCACTAGGATGGCATCAAGCCAATCATGAAGGATCCACTGCCAAGATACAAACACCTCCCACCAGACCCCACCTCCAATAGTGGGGATTAAATTTAACATGAGACTTGGCAGACCAGATAAACCATATGCAAACCATAGCACCTTGTCTCAGCAAGCTTGGGTAGCATGGTTATCAGAAGAATCTGGTACAGCTGATATAGCTATGCAGCCTGTCATTTCCAGTGTTTCCTGTTCTCTTTTCTAACAAAAAGCTAATAATTTTCTCTTTGTCTCTGGGACTGTGGTACACTTTAGTCATTTCTTCATAGGAATGGACTTTATGCCATTTTATTGTGAGTGACTCTCACACCACCCACTGGCTCATAGGACTCTTGATTATTCATTAATCATTTTAATTTCTATGCTTGCCACTGTTGAGATTTTCCACATTTCTTGAAGCCAGAGAGTCAAGTACAATTAACTTTATTTTATTGAAAGCAAATTATTTCGACTTTACTCTTTAAATTCCATCCTGTGACAATAGATGTTACATTACTGATTGACTGGAAATCAATGATATTTGGGCAATATCCTGAGATGATTTAAGAGAAGTACGTTGAAAGTCTCCTACTTTCTGCCTCAACAGAAGAAAAAAAAAAGTCAGTTTATAATCGTTTGCAACTTCCAGAATATCCTTAGTTGTACAAAAAGGTGACATTTTTAAATTCTTGATATCAATGCCTTCATGCACATGTGCCTACACACACAGACACACTACATTTTTATACACCAAAATAATCAAAATGCATACTTAAATGGTTATTTTCTTCAACTCTAAGAAAAAAAGAAATGGTTGCAACAAATCATCTGTACTAATAAGGAACAAAGTAAAATTGTTTTGTTGCACAGTGGTAATAGATTGATTTAGCAGCTGTTTCTTAAGCTTTATTTTTGACATATTCTGGCTGGATGTACTACTTTTTTTTTTATTTTTTATTTTTATTTTTTTGATACAGAGGCTTTGCTCTCTTGCCCAGGCTGCAGTGCAGTGGCATGATCTCAACTCACTGCAACCTCTGCCTCTGAATTCAAGTGATTCTTCTGCCTCAGCCTCCCAAGTAGCTGGGACTACAGGCATGCACCACCATGCCCAACTAATTTTTTTATTTTTAGTAGAGATGGGGTTTCATCATATTGGCCAGGCTGGTCTCGAGCTCCTGACCTCATGATCTGACTGCCTCGGCCTCCCAAAATGCTGGGATTACAGGTGTGAGCCACTGTGCACAGAATGGATGTACTACTTTACAGTCATTTTGTAACTTGAAAACTACATTTTTTAAATTTTTCACTTGTATGTATTCACTGTGTTGCAAAATAAAAATTAACTTATTAATTTTCCAAAGAGGAGACATAAGTAAAATTATATTGTCCATTTTGAGACATTTCCTAGGTAGAAAGTAAAATCTCCTAAAATTTTATAAACACAATTAAATGACCAACAAAAACAAAAACTTCAAAATACACTTGAAAGTTAGGTTTACAAAATTTATCTTTATATTTTGTATCAGTAAAATATGTTAATCTGAATCATTTCATTAAAATAAGACTTAGAGGTAGATTTCTCCAATTTCTGTGATCACTTCTATTATACTGTTAAGAGTCAATGATTAAGTTAATTAGCTTGATTGGATCTTTCTACAAGGTACACATTAATCAAAACTATACATCATACCCCATAAATATACACAATTATTATTTTTCAATTAATAATAAATTAATTTTAAGAATGTTTTTCTAAAAGAGTCAATGACTGTATTTTTATGAGATTTAAAATATTTTTAAATTTATGTGCTCATTTTAAAATTTAGATTCATCTATAATATTTTAAATTAAAGAATAAAACAATTTAAGATCTTATTCCAAAAAAGATGAGAAAATAACTAATATTTTTAAATGGAAAAATTACATTTCTAATTCAATAAGGTAATTGAAGTGCATGATAATTTATACAAATTTGGTATTTTAGATCATAATTTATCAAATTCAGATTCTGTCCATAGTATCAATAATATATCATGTCTGATTTATTGTTCATTTACATAATATGTTTATTTTAATTACATTCAATAGCTTTACATACAGAAGCTGATATACATTTCTTATTTTTATTTACATACCTGTTTACAAACTAAAATTTTATTCCAAAGCCTTGAGTTCTATCAAATAGATATTTTTCTGATGATGGATAATATAATAGGTTATTTATATGTCAAAATAAAATTAGACCCGTCCCACTCAAGCTCACCATGTTATAACTTTATCAAAACATTTATCCAATAGGAAAATGTTTCAATTTTTAACATTTGAGATAATCCAATAAATGTATTAATATTCTAAGGCTAAATTTTAAATTGAAGAACTTTTCATTTCTTGAATTTCTAACTCATTTTTCTTTCTTTTCAGTTCCCCCTTACAGAGGGCACTAACATTTTTATCTTTTGATTTAACATAAACATGGAATTTCGTAGAAAGAAATGATTTAAACAGCAATTATATAACTAAAAAGATAAACTGCTTTTCTTTTCCACAAATAAAAAGGGTTATAAAAATGACCTACACAATAATCTCTTTCCTGATTAAATTTCTCATTTTACTTTATTCAAATTTAGGAAAATCAACCATTTTTTACCTGGTATTTCCAATCCCATTTTTATTTATAATTTAAGTATTCTGTATGATTTCTTTAATACACAAACATGAGTGTAATTAATAAAGTAAAGTTCTTTGAAAATAGTTTTTTGGCAGGTACATGCAGACCTTCAATTTCAAAAACACACTTGAACAGTAATTATAAATAATGGTTTAGTGTCCCAGAGGGTCTTGTCAGTGCAATCATTTATCTGTGTAAAAGTCTGTCTTAAATTTTGAATAAAAACCAAGGCACTAAATGTCTGGATTAAATGCTGACTTCTCTGAAGCTAAAAAAGGCATGTCTACCAATTTTAGTTGCTTTTCTTTTATTTGGCATTCATACACTGTTTCCCCTTAACGTGACAGTCTAAAGCAGACAAAGAAAAAGAGGCACTACACTTTTAGAGAGCACAAGTGACTGACATTAGGACCTCTTGACTGTGTGTCTTGCAGTCAGGGACATCCAGAGTGGTGCAGGTGGGGCTTGCACAAGGCCAAGGAACATCTGCTTTGCCACGATGAGAGTCAATGATAGTGCTCTGTGTTATCCTGCAACAAGCTTGAAGGTTAGGAAAAAAAAAAAAAAACAGAAAGAAAAGAAAAGGTTGTAGAAATTTCTATCACAAACAGAGCTAGTGCCAGCAGGTGAGACTGTAGCCCATTTGCGCATGAAGAGCTCCCTTAACAAATAAAATCATATTTTCTTTTCAATGTAATCCACAAAGATGAAGGGCAGAGAGTATCATCTTGGATCAGAGAACAAAAAAGATAGAAATAAAACAAATCTGATACATCCTAAGTAGCACTACTCTTATCACTTCTCAGAATATGTATTAAATACCTCATTTCAGCCAAGCCCTGACTGAGCTATCGCGAAAGAGCTGCTGTAAAGAGCTGCTGGTTTGTTGCAAATGTTGTACCTAACAAATAGATTGATGGTTGAGACTTGGCTCAGATATTTAAAATAATATGTTGTTTTTCTGAACATTTTCACATCTTGGCATATTACTCTCACATTTTGCCTGGATTCTTCTACTGTGATCCGTGGAGATGTTCCTTTCTAGAGAGTCTATGGGCACCTTCAAGGATGGGAGGGTATTTTTGACATCTCTGGTCATTAGCAATTATGCCTGGCAATAAGTGTTTGTTAAATGAACCTAATAATCTTAAAAGAATGTGCTCATTCTTCTAATTTGATTTTACTTGCTCATCAGAAAGTCAATACAGATCATCTAAAATATAAATCTTAAAATATTTTGTTTTATTTTGCTTTACTGGAAAACACAGTGCAAAAATCAATTAAATATTTAATTTTATTTAAACATGTTTATTTTGTAGTGTTCTTGTTAAAACTAATTTTGGCTTCTGTGAGGAGACAAGGAGCATGGTATTCCAACTTAGAATGCACTAATAATCTATTTTGTAGCTTCCAAAAATATGAGAAGTGTTCTCAAAAATGATCTTGCAGGGCTGGGCGCGGTGGCTCACGCCTGTAATCCAAGCACTTTGGGAGGCTGAGGCAGGCAGATCATGAGGTCAGGAGATCGAGACCATCCTGGCTAACAAGGTGAAACCCCATCTCTACTAAAAAAAAATACAAAAAATTAGCCCGGTGTGGTGGCGGGCACCTGTAGTCCCAGCTACTCGGGAGGCTGAGGCAGGAGAATGGCGTGAACCTGGGAGGCAGAGCTTGCAGTGAGCCGAGACCATGCCACTGCACTCCAGCCTGGGCGACAGAGAGAGACTCCATCTCAAAAAAATAAAAAATGATCTTGCAGGAGTATGTTCCATGGGTTTTCAAGACACGTATGAAATTCCAATGAACATCAGCAAGTCCCATTTCAATGATCTTACATAATGATATAGAAGCTAAAACAAAGATGATTTCTTCTAGATTGCTGAAAACATTTAAAAATTCACTATGTATTTTCAGTCTCTATATTTTTTATGGTCTGAATGTTTGTACCTCCTCCAAATTTATATGTTGAAACCTAATCACCAGTGTGATGGCATTGGGATGTGGGGCCTTTGGGAGGTGATTAGGTCATGAGAGCAGAGCCCACGTGAATGGTATCCAACCTTTAAAAAGAGTCCCCAGGGAGCTGCCTTTTGTTTTTCACTATGTGAGGATGCAGAGAAAAGTCCCCTTATATGAACTAGGAAATGGGCCTTCACCAGACACCAAGTCCACTGGCACTTTGACCTTGGACATTCCACCCTCTGGAATGGAGAGAAACCAATTTATGTTGTTTATAAACTACGTAGTCCATGGTACTTTGTTGTAGCAATCCAACTGGACTAAAACAAATTTTTTTTTTTTTTTTGAGACCCAGCCTCGCTCTGTCACCCAGGCTGGAGTGCAGTGGTGTGATCTTGGCTCATTGTAAGCTCCACCTCCCAGGTTCATGCCATTCTCCTGCCTCAGCCTCCCCAGTAGCTGGGACTACAGGCACCCGTCACCACGCCCGGCTAATTTTTTGTATTTTTAGTAGAGACAGGGTTTCACAGTGTTAGCCAGGATGGTCTCGATCTCCTGACCTCGTGATCTGCCTGCCTCCGCCTCCCAAAGTGCTGGGATTACAGGCGTGAGCCACCGCACCCAGCCTAAAAGAACATTTTAATCCTCAAAACAGAATATTTAAGGATATCAAATTGGGGTAGAATAGCAGCATCTGAATTTCTACACTGACCAAATATAGTTTTTTTTTTCATATTAAAGCTTCATAAAGAGATTGTACATTTATTATTTCAACACTACTGTTGAATTATTTTAAACCCTTCTGGGCTGCCAATAAGCAAACCCAACTACACAATAAATGAGAAACCCACATACCATTCCCATGATAAACTCAAAGAAAATTTTCTCCAAGACAAATAAAGGATAAGATTATATTTTAATTAAATATTATTGTATGTATTTTGATAAGTGCACCATAAAGAACTGCTTATATTGAGCTGATATTTTTATACATTATAGATTTTAAGAATTATTTTAACTCATAAACATCTTTTTTAAAATTACTCAATTTAATATTTTAAACCAAAGTTCAAAAGAGGTATCTTTTTGCTGTTGTTGTTGGGGTGTGCTGATTCTGGGTATTTCTGTAAGCCTTTGTACATATTACAATTACAACCCTACTGAAATGCACTGTCTGAGCTTTCTAAGCCAATTATGAATCTTGGAAGTGCAGCTCTGCTTCCTGACCAAAAGGAAGCCACCCAAGCACAATATTATAACTCCTTAGAGAGTAATTTTTCCATAATGGGTTTTACTTGAGTGACTCATACTGATTATATAAGATGCAACACAATTAAATACGCTTCTGTGTGGCTTTGCACACATGCAGTTGCTTCCTCAAATAACCTTAAAAAAGGAACAAGTAACGGCATACAGATTACCAATAGCCACTTCAATGGAGAAGCGTAGAAGAGGCTAGATAGGACAAGAAGAACTTTAGCAGAGGGAAACAGCAAGGCTCAGGAAAAAGAGGTTGATTGTTTCTTTAAGGTTAGGAGTCATAAGGCTGATGGAGAGATGGGGGTTAGAGATATGATTTGAAAAGAGCCAATTAAGTCCAGAGAGGCAGGGAAGTGGTTCCAGATGGCAGGTAAAACACAGGAGAAAGGGAAAGTGGTGGAGTGGGTAGAGGTGAAGAGGGTGAAGAGGGGGCCTTGAGAAAGAAACTAGGGAGGCTTTTAAATCTGAATTTAATGACAGAATAAAACAAGTACAAAAAAGCCAATGTTCTGAAACAATTTTCAATAACAATCTAATGTAATTCAAGTTCAGAATTTTAAGTATATTTGCAGCTGAGAGGTCCAACAGCATAATCCTTCACAAGAAGCTTCTTTTTCCTGCCCTAGCCTCCCTCCATCACCACCAAAACCTATGACATATACACACAAAAAATCACATGACTTATAGCCCACATTTTGAAAGAGGCTGGTATATTTTTCAAGGTTGTTTAACTCTGTAAGCATGAGATTTACATGTATTACAGGAAAATAAAAATGAATTTATAAACCCATGTTTTCCAGACTTGGGTTGAATTTCCCATGGCAACCTACCAATTTTCCTTATGGGGTTTAAGAGGTAAGGGAGGAAGAAACTTCATGTAAAAATGCCCTTGATCGCTACTCTTTGTTCAGACAGTAGAGACGGCCCTTCTTAGAACAGCAGAGATTTTCCCCAATACAACACTCAATCTGTTTTCCCAAATGACAGCCCTCTTTGAGTATTAACTGCCAGAGGTGGAGAGCAAATACTTTTTTGTTTCTGCTCTTCTATGGGGTGGCATTCTCAACAGTAGAAGTCAATGGCACTGAGTAAACCTGGTTCCATTGAGAGCGTAAGTATTTATTAAATATGTACTGGTTTAACTTTTTATTGGGTATCTATTATGGAGTAAGCCCTGTGCTGTGTAATACGGATGCAGTGACCAGTTAGGCAAAGTATTCTTCAGAAGTGTATACACAAGTGAGGGCATAGAATTCAGAAGACAGCTACAAAGCCAAATAAGAGAAATGGTAAGGGTAAATAAAAGGGTAACACATAAAACTAATGCTTATTCGTTGATGAGACATCAAGAACAGTTTCCATGATAAGTAGATCCCAGTAGCTTTAAGAATCCATACTATGCACAAGAACCCAAGGACAGAAACAATAGTTTCCAGGAGTTAACAGTAGCTGTTCAAGTTGCCTGGTCTCACAACAGTATATTTTAGCTCTTTTTAAAAGCTTTGGAAGCTTTGGCTACCGGTCAGTGTAACTTATTAAGCCACTCTCAGAATCACTTTCTCAGTATTATTGCCTCTGCAGAGAAAGAGTCTGGCTGAGAAGCCTTGAGTGTCAAATATACTAATGCAACTAACATAATAAAAATGTCCCCAGAGACATAATCTGGTGTAAGGCAGAGTAATATCAAAGTTTTAAAAAGCTTTATTGACTCTTTTTCTTAAATGTTCCAGATCAGTGGTTCCCAAACTTGGCTTCATAGTAGAATTGTCTGGGGAGATTTTTGTAAAAAGACAGATACTTGCACACACAATTCCAACCATCACCCAGAGACCTGTTACACAGCAGTGGTCAATGAAGCAATTCTAGGAATATACATATATAAGCTAGATTTCACGTACGTTAAACTCCCTTTTCAAAAATGCAGGTTTAGGATTTGGCAAATACTGGTTCAGGGAAAAAAATAATTGGCATTTGGAGACAGCAGTAAATTCTCCATTTGCCGCTAAGTTACTGTTTTCTTCTCTATGACTCAGGATCCAACATTCAGCACTGGCACAGGACAACATTAACCAGAGACGTCTACTCTCCTGACCAATGAGGTGCAGACTCCAGGGCAATGCTTCACCACAACTCTTACCTGATGTACTCAAAGACGATTGCATCCAGATGCCATCAACAAAAGTCTGAGTTTTGCCCTTGCCAGTACCAGAGATGGATAATGCTTCACTGTGTAGGGAGGATTTGAATGGCGAAGAGCCTGGATAGGAGAAAAGACAAGTTAATTAACCTGTCAAATCATTCTGTTCAGAGAACATAAATTCAAAGGAAATTGCATAATGAAATAACATTTCCATTTTCTTGGTTTTTTTTGTATTCTGATTCATTGTTCAAGAGGTACCTACAAATTAGTATGGTTTTGGCAAAGATCAGATATAATGTCTGAGGAATTTTGCAATGTAAAACAAGTTATATGATTCTTAAATTTGTATGTGCTTAGGACTAACAGGAAATGTAATTCTGATCCTTTACAATGGTTACTAGATAGATATCAAATACTAGAACATATATGAAAAATGTTTATAATAGGCGTAAAAAAATTAAAGACCTCTGTAATGTAAAAGAAGATGTTTAAAAAGTTATTTACATTTACTAAATTACACTCTTAATAACAATGCAGAATTTATTTTAAATATAATTATGTTTCAAATTTCTAATCCTTTAGCTAAAGGATTAGCAAGCTATGGTCCACTGCCTGTTTTTGTAAATAAAGTTTTATTGAAACACAACTTCTCTCTTTGTTTACTTGTTGTTGACGGCTGCTTTTGTGCAACAACAGCAAGGCTGAGTAGTTGTAATACACTGCATGTTTCTCAAAGCATAAAATACATATTATCCGACCTCTTTACAGAAAATATTTGCGGACCCCTGCTTTAGACCATTACTTGAATCAGATGTAAAATATGTCAAAATCTCCATAAAACATCATAGCAAAATTAACACTGAAAAATCGCCAAAATTAAGTAAATGTTTTATGAAATAAAATATATGTTTTATGAAATAAAATAAAGTTAATAATTTATTAACTATGTGTCTGTATTTCAATTTCATTTCTAAACATTGCCAATAAAACCAAAAGCCTTTCACACACATGGACAAGAATAATTAACTCAAAACCTCTTTAATATTTTGCTGAATCATATAAAAATTCTACATTTTTTTGGTTGTTTCCTCAGTTTAACAAGTTGGGATGATGGACTGCATTTTATTTAACAATTTGTTAGTTTGATTCATAACTTTTAAATATTTAGAAATATGCTATGTAACCTCATTTGTACTCTTACCTAGGCTCCACCAAAGTTTCCACCTGGCCTCTAGGCTATATTTCATGCCTCAGTCATACCAGAGAGTACACCATTGTGCAAGAAACGCACTCTGGAAGATCCAGTTGTAAACTTTGGTCAAGCCCAGAAAGCAAGATTTCTAAATTGTCGTGGCATTATCAATCAAGTATGAACTGTCCTCCTTCCATGCTCTGTCTGTACGGGCCTTCAAATCAATCTAACTGAAGTGAGAATAGAAGGGGGTGATAGAAGGAATGGTTCCCTCCCACAACAAGAGATAGCCAGCCTGCAAGATAGCCAGGCCTGGATACATAGAAGGAGGAAGTGTCATTTTAAATCAAATCTGACTTTTGCTTTTATCTAGGCGTGTCTATGATGCAACTTAAAGTAAGTTAATATTTCTTGTTACTTAAGAGTGACTAGGTAAGTAATGAGACCCCACTGTATAAAATTAATGGGAGACATAAATAAAGGTGCTTTGTGAGTACAAACCATCAGTCACATTCACAAAACCTAACAGTTTATATATATATATGTATGTGTGTATGTGTATATATATTTGTGTGTGCATATATATATACATATATATATATATATATATATATCCCAAGGACTTATATAAATGTTTCACTCATGAGTCACATTCATAAAACCTAACTGTGTGTGTGTATATATATATATGTGTGTGTGTATTTATATATGCATGCGTGTATATATATGCATACATGTATATATGTGTGTGTGTGTGTGTGTGTGTGTGCATGTATATACAAATATCCCAAAGACTTACTCTAAAATAGGTCATAGGATAGTGCTTAAGATTCCAGAATCGGACAATCTTGCCTAGAGTTGAGCTCCAGGTTCACTACTTAAACTTGTGGCCTTGGGCAAGTTATGTATCTTCTCTGTGCCTCAAAAAGGCAAAAAAAACCAAAACCAAAACAAAACAAAACAAAAAACAGGGAAGAACATAAGCAAATGAACTGTAGCAAATAAGTGTTGTGAATACTGAATGAGTTAATAAATGCCCAGTGTTTAGAGTAATACCAACACAGCAAAGTGAGCTGGAAATGTTTGCCATTTTTATTTCTTAGTTTTTACTATTTATTGCAATAAAATATAACCATCATAGAGTGAGAGAACAAATCTCAAGCGTAGAAGTCAATGAGTTTTTACAGATGTATACACCTATCTAAATACTGAGATCCATATAAAAATATTTCTCCAATTTACACTCCCAGAAGCAATTTATGGGAGTTTTAGTTGTTTCGCAGTATCGTCAAAACTTGATGTTGATATTCTCTTTAATTTCAGTCATTCTAGTGTGAATGTGGTAATATCAAAAGAGAGTTGATTTTACATTTCGATTAGAAATGAAGACTGAAGACTTGTGATGTTTAGAGTCAAATATGTTTATTGTCCATCTGGATATCCTTGTTAGTGAAGTGTCTGATCAAGCTTGTGCCCATTTGAGTTTTGAACGTTCTGTTCTGTTCTTTTTGTTTTTAAGCGTTCTTTACACTGGATATGAATGCATTTTGCATATATGTATTGCACATATGTCCTCTCAATCAGTGGCTTACCTTTACAGCCTTTTTAAAAAATCTTTTTTAATGGAGAAAAACTATCCTAAATATTAACAAAGTCAAATGTATTTTTTTTTAGTTATATAGTTGGTTGTTTTGTCTCCTGTAAGAAATATTTTTCTATTCCAAGGTTGTGAAAATATTTCCCTTTGTTTTCTTCTAGACATTTTTTTCTTTTACCTTTCTGAATTAAATTTATGATCTTTCTTCAATAATGTGAGTGGTGAGATGGCGTCAAAGTTTATAGTTTTAACGTAATAAACTTTGTTTCAGATAAGTTTTAGGTTCACAGCAAAATAGAATGGAAAACATGGAGTCCCACATACCCACTATCCTCACACACAAACAACCTCCCCCACTATCAAGATCTCACACCAAAGATGTACATTTGTTACAGTGGATAAATGTACATTGATAAATCATTATCACCCAGAATCCAGTTTACATTAGGGTTCATTTATGGTGTTGTACATTCTATGGGTTTTGACAAAGATGTAATGACATGTTTCTGCTTGTATGGAATAGCTGTATTGCCTAAAAATCCTGTTCTGCCTATTCATACCTTCTTCCCTGCAAACCCTTGGAAACAATTAATACTTTTTACTGTATCCATATTTCTGTCTTTTCCAGAATATCAAATAGTGTAAATAATAGAGCATGTAGCCTTTCAAACAGGCTTTTTTTAACCTAGTATATATGTATTTAGATTTTCTCATATCTTTACATGGCTTGATAGCTCATATATTATTTTAACACTGAATACTATTTTATTTTCTGGTTGTGCCGGTTTATTTATCCACTCCCATACTGAAGGACATCTTGGTTGATTCCAAGATCTGACAGTTATGAATAAAACTGCTATAAAGATCTCTATGCAAGTTTGTATAGTGAATATAAGTTTTCAAGTCATTTGGATAAATATCAGAGAGCATGATTGCTGGGTCATATGGTAAGAGTATGTCGAATTTTGTAAGAAACTCCTAAACTGTCTTCCAAAGTGGCTCTACCATTTTTCATTCCCACCAGCAATGAACGTGAATTCCTGTTGCTCCACATCCTTGACAGCATTTGTTGCTGTCAGTATTTTGGATTTTTGCCATTTTGGAAAATGTCTAAATTCATTTTTAGCATGAATATCCAGCTGTCTCTGTACCATTGTTTCAAAAACAATATTTTCTTCCTTGTATTTTATTTCCTTCTTTCTCAAAGGTCAGATGAGTATATTTATGTTTGTCTTTTTCTTGACTGTGTATTCTATTCCATTGAAAAATTGATCTATTCTTTCACTAGTACTACACTATCTTTATTATTCTAGCTTTATCATAACTTTTGAAGTCAGGTGGTATCAGTCCTCCAACTTTGTTCTTCTCTTTCAATGTCATGTTAGCTATTTTGGAGATTTGCCCCTCCATATAAATTTTCGAGTCAGTTGTACAATATCTCCACAAAATAACTTGCTGGGATTCTGATTGTGATTGGATTGAATCTATAGATCAAGTTGGGTAGAACTGGTATCTTGGCAATATCATATCTTCCTATCCATGAATATGGAATCCTTTTCATTTACTTAGTTCTTGATTTTTTTCATGAGACTTTTATAATTCTCCTTAAATAGATCTTCCACATATTTTGTTAGATTTACATCTAAGCATTTGTTGGGATACTAATGTAAACGGTATTGGTTTTTCATTTTAAATTCTAAGTTTTCAATGTTGTATATAGGAAAATGATTAACTTTTGTATATTATTCTTGTATCCTTCAAACTTGCTGTAATCATTTATTAGTTTCAGGAGTTTTTTCATCAATTCTTTTAGATTTTCTACATAGACAGTCATGTCATCTGCAAAGAAGGGAGTTTTGTTTCTTTCTTCTAGGTATGTAGACTTTCTATTTCCTTTTCTTATGTTATTTCATTAGCTAGAATTTCCAGTAGGATATTGAAAAGCAGTGGTAAAGGGGAACATCCTTTCTTTATTTTTTATCTCAGTGGAAAAGCTTCAGGTTTCTTACTGTTAATTATGATGATAGCTGTAGATTTTTTGTAGACATTCTTTATTAAGTTAATGGAGTTACTCCTTTATTTTTAGTTTACTGCTAGTTTCTGTCATAATGTGGTGTTGGATTTTATCAAATGATTTTCTGTATTTATTGATATAATAACATGCTGTTTCTCCTTCAGCCTGTTGATGTAACCCATTGCATTAAGTCACTTTTGAATGTTGAAATATTCTTGCATGTCTGAGATGAATCTCATTTGGCCAAGGTGTATAATTCTTTTTACACATTATTGAATTTACTTGCTAATATTTAGTTGAAGATTTTTTCCTGTCTGTACCAATATTGATCTGTATCTTTTTTTTTTTTTTTTGCTTGTAATGTCTTTGTCTCATTTGGTTTTAGTGTAATGTTAGTCTCATAGAATGAAGCAGAAAGTCTTCCCTCTGAATCTATATTATAGAAGAGATTGTAGAGAATTGGCAACATTTTTTTTCTTAAATGTTTGGTGCAATTTATGAGAATTCTGGTTCTGGTACTTTGTGCTTTGAAATATTATTAATTATTGATTTAGTTTTTAAGTAGATATAGGCCTATTTAGATAATCTATTTCTTCTTTTGTGAGTTTTGGCATATTGTGTCTTTCAATAAATTAATTTATTCCATCTATGTTAACAAATTTTGTGGCATAGAGTTGATCATAATATTCCTTTATTATTATTATTTTATTAGATGGGGTCTTGCTTTGTTGCCCTTTTTTAGTGCAGGGACATGATCACTGCAACCTTGACCTTCTGGGTGATCCTCCCAACTCAACCTCCCAAGTTGCTGGGACTACAGGGGTCTGCAACCATGTCTGGTTAACTTTTTATTTTTTATAGAGACAGGGCGTCACTATGTTGCCCAGGCTGGTCTCAAGCTCCTGAACCCAAGTGATCCTACTACCTCAGCCTCTAAAAGTGCTGGGATTACAGGCATAAGCCACGACACCCAGCCCCTTTATTATTATTTTAATGTCCATGGGATCTAAACTGATATCTCTTATTTTATTTCTGATACTAGTAATTGATATCCTCTCTCTTTTTTTCTCAGTCTAATTAGAAGCTTATTGCTTTTATTGATCTTTTCAAAAAACCAACATTTTATTTTATTGATTTTCTCTATCCATTTTCTATATTCAATTTTATTGATTTCTGCTCTAATTTTTATCACTTCTTTTATTCTGCTTACTTTGGATTTAAATTATTCTTCTTTTTCCTAAGGCAGAAGTTTAGTGTCCTAAGGTAGAAGTTTAGATGATTGATTTTTAGCTCTTTCTTCTTTTTTATTACATGCATTCAATGCTGCAAATCACTCTCTAAGCATTGCTTTCACAATGACATGATTGTCTATGTAGAAAATCTGAAAGAATTGATGAATAAACTCCTGGAACTAAGTGATTACAAGAATAATATACAAAAGTTAATCACTTTCCTGTACACAGCATTAAAAACGTAGAATTTAAAATTAAAAACAAATAGCACTTACATTAGTATCCTAACAAATGCTTAGATATAAAACTAACGTGCTTTCATCCAACAAATTTTAATGAGCTGGGTTTTATTGTCATTTAATTCAAAATATTTTTAAATTTTTATTGAAATGTCTTATTTGACTTATCAGGTATTTAGAAGTGTGTTGTTTAGAGTCCAAGTATTTTGGTATTTTTCAGCTATTGAATTCTAGTTTAATTTCACTGTGGTCTGAAAGCAGACATTATACAACACTCTTTTAAATTTGTTAAGGTGTGTTTAAGACCCAGAATGTGGTCTATGTGAATGTTCCACGTGATCTTGAGAAAAAATTAGTATTCTGCTATTGTTGGATGAAGTAGTGTGTAGATCTTGATTATATACAATTGATTGATGGTGCTATGGAATCCAACTATGCCCTTACTGATTTTCTGCCTGCTGGATCCGCTCATTTCTAATAAAGAGGTATTGAAATCTCCCACTATGAAAATAGATTCATGTATTTCTCCTGACAGGTTTGTCAGTTTTTGCTTAGCATTTTTGACACTCTGTTTTGGGGTTCATACACATTAAAATATGTCCTCTTGGAGTATTGACTTTTTATTATTATGTAATGCCGTTCCTTATCCCTGATAACTTTCCTTGCTCTGAAATCTATTCCAACTGAAATTAATTCAGCTACACTCACTTTATTTTGATTAAGTGTTAGCATTGTATATTTTTCTCTATTGATTTGCTTTTAATCTTTTCTGTGCCCTTATATTAAAAGTGGGTTTCTTGTAGACCACATATAGTTGAGTCTTGTTTTTTGATCCACTCTGAAAATCTCTATCTATTAATTGGTGTGTTTGGATTATTTATGTTTAAGTGATTATTGATATACTTGTGTTGATAGCCATGTTCTTTGTGACTGCTTTTATTTGTTGTACTTATTTTTTGTTTTTATTTTTATCCTCTATAATTTTTGCCTTCTATTGTTTTAACTGAGCATTTTGTAAAACTCAATTTCCTCTCCTTTTCTAGCATAGCCATTATGCTTCTTTTTTTTTTGTTTTTTAGTGGTTGCTCTAGAGCTTACAATACATACAAAACTAATCCATGTCCAGTTTTAAATGCCAATATATCACTTCATGGGCAGAGTGTGTACTTTATTGTAACAAAGTATTACAAAGGCCTTCCTCTTGTTCTTTGTGTCATAGTTGTCATTAATCTCACTTAAATATAAACACACACACATATATATAAGCATAAATCACTGAATACGTTGTTGCTATTGTTATTTTTAACAAACTTACGTTAGATTATTTAAGAATAAGAAAAGCAAAGCTCTTTATTTTATGTTCATTTATTCATTCTCTGGTGCTCTTTCTTTATGTAGATTTAGGTTTCTGACCCATATAATTTTCTTTATCTCTGAAGAACATTCAACACTTCTTAAAGACAGATTCTATTTTCATTTGTCTGAGAAGGTATATTTTTCTTCTTCACTTCGAAGGATAATTTCACAGTGTACACGATTATAGGTTGGTGGTGTTTTTGTCTCAGCAATCTAAATATTTCACCCTTCTTTCTTGCATTGTTTCTGAGAAGATGTGGGATGCAATTTTTATTTTTAATCCTTTATAAGTAACATTTTTAATCTGATTTCTTTTAATTTTTTTATATTTGATTTTCTGAACTTTAAACATGATATTCCAAGTTTAGTTTGTTTTTTTTTTAAATTTTTTTTATTATTATACTTTAAGTTTTAGGGTACATGTGCACATTGTGCAGGTTAGTTACATATGTATACATGTGCCATGCTGGTGTGCTGTACCCACTAACTCGTCATCTAGCATTAGGTATAATTTTTTGACATTTATTCTTCTCAGTGGTCTCTGAACTTTATGGATATGTGGTTTTGTGTCTGACATTAATCTGGAGGAAATTTTCAATCATTATTTCTTCAGGTATTGCTTCTGTTTTTTCTCTTTCTTTTTTTTTTTCTGGTATTCTCATTACACATAGGTTACACATTTTGCAGTTGTTCCACAATTCTTGATTATTCTGCTCTGTTTTTTTCCCCCAGTCTCTTTTTCCCTTTGCTTTTCAGTTTTGGGTTTACACTGTCACATCCTCAGGGATAGAGCTTCTTTCCTCAGCTTTGTCCAGTCTACTAATAAGCTCATTACAGGCATTCTTCATTTCTGTTACTTTCTTTTTGATCTGTAGTGTTTATTTTTGACTCATTCCTAGAATGTTCATCTCTCTGCTTCCATTACCCGTCTGTTTTTGCATGGTGTCTACTTTTTCCACTAGGGCCTTTAGCCTAATAATCTTAATTTTATATATTCCTGGTCTAATAATTCCAACATTTCTGCCATTTCTGCTGCTAGTTCTGATGCTTGTTTAGCATCTTTGAACTTTACTTTTTCCTTTTAGTATTCTTTTCTTGAAAGGTGGGCACTATATACTGATTAAAACAAACTGGTAAATAGGCCATTAGTGATGTAATTATAAGGTGTTGAGGCAGAGGAATCATTCTGTAGTCATATTATTAGGTCTCAGGATTTTAGTGAACCTAATGTCTCTGGACTGTGAACTTTACCAGTGGTTCTCAGTTCCCTACCCTAGTTGGGACAGAATGGCTGGAGAAGGGTGAAAATTTTGTATTTTCCTTCCCCTACATGGAAGGCTAGAGCTGGCTACAGTTGGATATTTTCCTCCGTCCAGGTAGGTTAAGCTGTTGTAAAATAGTTTCTCCTGAGGGCAGACCTTGTTAAGAAGAAGAGTGTATTTTAAAATGGTTCCTTTTTCTCTTCTTCTGCCATAAATAAGAGAGGCTTTTACTCCAACATTTACTGTGAACATCTTGGAGAATTCCTGAAAGTAAAATTCACAAAATTGTGGGAGCCCCCTGTGATTGGTCCTGCTAGAGTTTTGTTTTGTAATTTTTTAATAGACTTCATTTTCTAGAGTACTTTTAGGGCCACAACAAAATTGAGCAAAGACACAGAGATTTCCCATATACCACCTCTTCCCACATGTACAGAGCCTCCCCACTATCAAAATCCTACACCAGACACTTGCAGTTTTTCTCTCTCAGGTTTGTCCACATCGATTCTCTAGCAATTCATCAATCACAGTTCAGGGGTTCTATCCTGGTATTGGTTCCCATGGAGGTTCTGCTTGTGGGTTTCTGCTCTGAAAAGTTGTGATTCTCTCTGTTTCTCCAATTTTTAGAGCAGCATTTTCTTTATGACCTCACTTCCCTGATGAACTAAGAAGAGTTGATAATTCTTTTAGTTTGTTCACATTTTTACCTCTTGATAAGATAGAGTGAAGACTTCTAAGCTCTTCTCATGCCAGACTGGAAGCCAGAAGCTCAACACTTAGATAAAAGTTAATGTAAAAATGAAACATGCTCTTCTTTTATTTGAAAGTTACATTTTTACATTAATTTTTATCTAAGTGATTTACTCATTATACGTTGTCTTCTTTGCCAAAATTCAGATGACCATCAAGGTGTGGTGCTCTTTCTGTACTATCTATTTTGAAATTAGAATACTTGTATTACACACTTGATTACTGTACTGTAAGTCTTCCATCTTTGTTCTCCTTCAAGGTTTCTTAATGTATGCCTAGTCTTAGCCATTTGCATTTCTATAGAAACCTCAGAAACTGTTTGTCAGTGTTCACATGCACACACAGTTTTATTGGTATTGGATTTAATTCATATACCTACTTTAATTTGCAGTGAATCAATATGTTAAAAATATCCAATCCTCTGACATATGTTTCCACTGATTAGACTTTCTTTTATTGCTCTTACCTATATTGCCTAGCTTTTAGTGTTAATATATTGCACAAAATTCCACAAAAGTAATATACAATTAATATACATTTACGAACTCTTGTAACCTATACAGTTTTTACAATGTTTTGCTTACTTTTTTTTTACTTTTTATTTTTTTGAGATGGAGTCTCATGCTGTCACCCAGGCTGGAGTGAAGTGGCATGGTCTCGGCTTACTGCAACCTCTGCCTCCCAGGTTCAAGCGATTCTCTTCCTCAGCCTCCCAAGTAGCTGGGATTACAGGCGCCCGCCATCACGCCTAGCTAATTTTGTTGTATTTTTAGTAGAGACAGGGTTTCACCATGTTGGCCAGGCTGGTCTTGAACTCCTGATCTCATGATCCACCTGCCTTGGCCTCCCAAAGTGCTGGGATTACGGGTGTGAGCCACTGCAGCCAGCCGGCTTACATTTTTTATTATAGAAAGACAGTATGCCTTTCTATAATAATACCCAGCAACCTTGCTAACATTACCTCTCAATTAAAATAGATTACAGACTTTTTTGGATTTTCTGCAACACGCAGTCGTATCTTCTACAAATAATAAAAACTTTACACCCCCCTTTATAATATGTATACCTTCTTTTCCTGCTTTTTTAGAAGGTCTGCGGTCTCTAGAAGTATATTCAAAAGAGATATTTATGGTAAATATTATGGTATTTATTTTTCAATCTTATGGGGGAAAATTCCAATAGTTCTTCATTAAAAATGGGATAAGTTGTAGGTGTTTTGCAGATATCTTTTTATCAGATGAAAAATATTTATTTTAATTATAGTTTGAAGAGACTACTTGCTAGTTTCCTTGTAAACATATGATAAATTTTATTGATTTTTAAAAATATTTTGAGATGGTCATGTATATTTTTCCTTATATAGCACATATATCTGTAAATTTTCATTTAATCACCATTAATGATGATTTAAAATTTTTGGTATTAAATTCTTATCAACTGCAATTTACTGATCAGTTCAACACCAGCCTGGGCAATATAGTAAAACCCTGTCTCTACAAAGCACACACACACACACACAAACACACACACACACACACAGTGATTAGAGAAATGTCATAAAAACGTTTAATAACTTTTTTGGACTATAACGTTCAGTAAAAATCTGGTTGAATTCCAAAACCCTTTGTTGTAATTACAATTCTGTATGAGTGTGTGTGTGTTTCATGAATAATTTAGAGCTTTATATTATAATCACATTTGTCTGGTGAGTAAGCAGATCCTTAGAATTTTAAGTCACTCATATCTCAACCTATACCACATTTTCTTTTTTATCTTAGGGAAGATAACACAGGGAATGGTTTAAACACGTGTCGGCATACTAAAAAGGCAAAACCAGAACTTCCAGGTGGCAGAGATAATAATTAAAGCAAGCGGCTACTACCTGTAGGATTGGGGAGGTAGATGCAAAGGAATGAAGTTAGGGTTTTCACAACTTACAAACTTGAAGAAAAGGCCGTGCGCAGTGGCTCATGCCTGTTATCCTAGCATTTTTGGAGGCTGAGGCAGTGGATTGCGTGAGCCCAGGAGTTCAACATCAGCCTGGGCAATATGGTGAAACCCCGTCTCTACAACACATACACACACACACACACACACACACACACACTAGCCGGGCGTGGTGGTTTGCATCTGTAATCCCAGCTATTTGGAAGGCTGAGGCAGGAGAATCGTCTGAACCCTGGGAGGCGGAGGCTGCAGTGAGCCGATCGCACCACTGTACTCCAGCCTGGGCAACATAACCAGACTAGGTCTGAAAAAAAAGAAAGAAGAAAGAAAAAGGAAGGAGAGAAGGAAGGAAGAGAGGGAGAGAGGGAACTAAAGGAAGGAAGTTAGTTGAAGAAAAGATCTGCCGAGCTGAGTTCCAGAAAGCACATGGCCAAATTGGTGTTCATATCTCAAGGATGTCAGAAATGGAGCCCTGTGGAACTGTATCTTAGAACTCTGAGGAAGGAATGTTGTCCATTGTTGCTAGCATATAAAATGTGCTTAACTTAAAGATCTTGAGACAGAGAGATTACCCTGGATTATCCTGGTGGAATTTAAATGGAATCTCCAGTGTCTTTTTAAGAAAGACATAGAGGGAGATTCACACACAGACAGAAGATGAAGAAGGCTATGTGAGGATGGAAGCAGTAAGAGATTTTGAAGATGTCATGCTGCTAGCTTTGAATATAAAGGAAAGGGCCATGAGCCAAGAAATAAAAAAACATATATAGCTGTAGAAATTGGAATAGGCAAGGAAACAAGTTCTTCCTAGAGCCTCTGGAGGGAGTATATCCCTGCCAGCATTTTGGTATGAGCTGACACCATTTCAGACTTCTGACCTCCAGAACGTTTGTGGTAATGTATTACAGCAACTACAGAAAGCTAATAAATAATTTGTTTTAAAAATATTATGACTCATATTGTAATTGTAACTAAATCATTTTCTACTTTTGGATTCAGTAGATTAATAAATCAATTTTCTGAAAATTATGCAATTCAAAGTTGACACCATTGAAAATGTAAAGATGTGAAGACATGGTAAGATTTTGATTTTTAGCCACTGCAAATTACTTTCAAAATCAAAGGGGGGTGTTCTTCTGGCTGGTAAGGAGAGTTTGGCAATCGCAGATTAATAAGCACGGTAATTTGTGTTTTTAAAGTTAGAGTTTGTCTTGGTCGGTCTAAGCTACTATAACAAAATGCCATTAACTGGGAGACTAATAAATAACAGAAACTTACTTCTCACAGTTCTCAGGCTGTGAAGTCTAAGATCATGGCACCAGCAAATTTAGCGTTTGTTGAGGGCGCATTTACAGGTGGGTCTTTTTATTGTAACGTCATGGAGTAAGAGGGGTGAGGAATCTCTCTTGGGTCTCTTTTATTAGGGCATTAATGACATTCATGAGGGCTCTACCCTTATGACCTAATCCCAAGTCCCCACTTCCTAATACCATCACACTGAGGGTAAGAATTCTAGCATATGACTTTTGGGGGCAACATAAACATTCAGATTATAGCAAAGGGTTAATACCCAAAATATATAAGAAACTTCTACAACTCAATTTTTAAAAATTGAAAAATTGGCAGAGTACTTGAATAGCAATTTCTCCAAAAAAAGACATACAAATGGCCACCAGTTGTATGAATAAGTGCTCAACATCATTAGTCATCAGGGAAAAGCAAATCACAACCACACTGAGATATCACTGTATACGTGTTAGGATAGAAATCATCATAGTAATAATAATAATACAGAAAGACAAGTGCTGACAAGAGTGTGGTATAATTAGAACCCTTGCACACTGCTAGTGGGAATGCAAAATGGTGCACCTACTATGAAAAACAGTATGGAGGCTTCTCAAAAAATTAAATATAGAACTACCATGTAATCCAGCTATCCCAATTCTGGTATTTATCAAAAAAAAAACATAGAAATCTAGATCTCAAAGAGATATTAGCACTCCTGTGTTCATTGCAGCACTATTCATAATAGCCAAGATGTAGTAACAACTTAATTATCTGTCAATGGATAAATGGATAAGGCAAATATGATATATATATATTAGAATATTTTTCAGCTTTTAAAAAGAAGGAAATATTGCAATATGCAATACATAGATGAACCTTGAAAACATTATGCTAAGTGAAATAAGCCAGTAACAGAAGGACAAATACTGCATGATTCCACCTATATATGAAATCTAAAATAGCCAAATCCATAGAATCAGAGAGTTAAACGGTGCTTACCAGAAGCTGAGAGAAGGAAGCAATAGGAAATTGCTAAGTGATAGGGACAAAGTTTATTTATACAAGATGAATAAATTGTAGACTATTGTACAACATTGTGCCTATAATTTGCAACACTATTGTGAACTAAAAAATTTGCTGGCCCGTTGCAGTGGCTCACGCCTGTAATCTCAACATT
Source organism: Homo sapiens (assembly GCF_000001405.40). NCBI lineage: Eukaryota > Metazoa > Chordata > Mammalia > Primates > Hominidae > Homo > Homo sapiens. The sequence goes on along the minus strand of NC_000005.10, from coordinate 52,118,326 downwards.
TTGGGAGAGTGAGGTGGGCAGATCACCTGAGGTCAGGAGTTCAAGACCAGCCTGGCCAACATGGTGAAACCCCATCTCTACTAAAATACAAAAATTAGCCAGGTGTGGTGGCATTTGCTTGTAATCCCAGCTAATCGAGAGGCTGATGCAGGAGAATTGCTTGAGCCTAGGAGGCAGAGGTTGCAGTGAGCTGAGATCATGCCACTGCACTCCAGACTGGGTGACCTTCATCTCCAAAAATTAAAAAATAAAAATAAAAATAAAAATATTGCTAAGAGGGTAGATCTTGTGTTAAACATTCTTACCACAATAAAATATATTTTTTTAAAAAATAGAGGAAATGCCATGACGAATAATGTTAAATAGACTGTTTTAATCAGTAATCAGCACAGTATTCTATTTGAAGGCAGCAACCAATAAAGTATTATTGGGCTAGAAATTATCCACCCTATTACCACCCTGAAAAGGTTATGCCCTATAAAAATTTAAAAGTTCATAAATAACCTATTATATAGCTGTTTTTCATAAGTTTATCAATGTTTTTGTCAGCCATTTGTATTTTCATCCTGTATCAACTTATTAGTCCAAAAAGCATAGTTTCAATGTTACTTTATCTTCTCATTGGCTTGATGTATGTTATGTCATCAAAGAATAACCCTGTTATGGTGATATTTGGTAAATTCTGCCCACACTCTACATATTTAAGACATCTCATTTACCATTATCCATTTTTCCATGTTAATGACATATTTTTTCCTAATAACACTTGTGCTATTATTTTTCCATTAGAAAGGGATTTTTGTTTACTTGCTTGCTTGTGTCAAGATCTACCCCACCACTATTTGCACACTTGCATTTTCTATACCTGAAAAATTCCTGCTACATGTCATCTTTTTTTCTTGACATTTAGTGAAATATTGTGTTATAGTCCTGTTGTGGACTTGTCACAAGTATTTATAATATCCCTTTTACTCTCATCTATTTATATTTTACTTGGGGGTCATTTGATTGGTTCAAGATAAAATATCTGATTAGAAGTGTGAATTATCCTAATTACTGATTATTTGATAAACTCAAAAGAAGCCCAGGAAGTTTGAGTACATATTACAATTACAAGTCATGTCTGAAGAGGTCTACAGTTGCTCTTCAGGTGTCACTAATATGCTCCATGTTTATTAACCTGCAGCCCTAGACAAAGTGGCCAGGACTCAACCAGGAATTTATAACAATAGGCAGCCAACTAGAAACTGTACAACTGGACATGAAAGGTGCCAGCTGTCTGCAAAGAGTTCTGTCTTGCAAATTCTGACTACCAGGGATTCTCTCGTATGGTTGGTAAATCACCAATGTGGACAAAACCTTTTTGGATATTCTTAATATAAATCACACAGAGAAGGGATAATCTAGAAGTAATGTAGAAAATCCACATTAAATTGGAACAGAAGGTATAGCATGCATAGAAGCCCACAAACATAAGCCTTCTGGAAGAAATATTAGTGGAAATAGTACTAACAAATTGTAGTAGAAATGGAAGCAGAGACAAAAAAAAAAGCTGGCTCATGACAGTGGTGGACCATATGGGGTTGGCTGGGGGAACACAACTACTGCTGAAATGTCTGGATTTCTTTATGTCCCATGTGTTCCAAATCTATCCCACAGTAAGTTGGGCATCTATCTTTTTCTTGAAATCTGCAATAGTCCTAATGAACACTGGAAATATAACTACCATCTTTTACTCTGAAATCGTCTACAATATTTTAAGTTACTGAAATAATTTAAGAAATAAATACATAACCTGGTGTCTGTCCGTCAGCTAATTTTTTACAGCTCTTTGTTCATCCTTAAGGGACACTTGGAAAATAAACTCAGCCTTATGAATGGCCAAACTCAATTTTGGCATATTTTAAATTAGTATTTAAAGAGGCCTTAAATTTTCAAAATAAGGATGTTTCTAATGGATCTGATTAACTACATTGCATTGATCCTTTTAGATGTTAAAGAAGGCACAGCAGGATAATTGCTAGCACTGTAACAAATGGTGTGTTTTTATTATATTCATTCTTTGGGAATCATAGTGTCAAATCTAATCTTATAATGACAATTATAATGCTGTTAGGAGTAGAGAACGACTTCTGAAATAATCAGGCTGCCACTAAATTGGTTAGTGTTCTAATGTACAGTAATTTTGTTGCTCTTAGCTTAGAATTTCTTTGTTACCATATTTGTGACTTGACCCTAAGGATATAGATTTGGACTGAACTCCAAATGATGTAAAAAGATGTTAAAAGATTTTGCTCTAAACACAGTCAGGAGGCACCATATTTCTTGAATTTAGGTATCCTTTTTAATCCCAGGGGATTTTCTTTGTAAAACATGTACTAGAAGAAAAAAAATGTTAATCGAATCTTCTCATTTACACCTTCCATCTGTTTTCATTCCAGCTGTGTCTCCTTAGATACTCGAGAAGCTAGTCAGGTTTGCATTTAATGGTTTTAACTGATGGCAATTGTAATTTAATGAAACTGTTACAAATTAAAGGAAAATGTAAAAAAAAATAAATACTACATATTTTATATTAAATATACAAAATAAAGAATCTACCTACTTTGGACTAATTCAATATGAAAAATTTAACCCAGCACATCAACCTTTTCTTCATTAGGTTATTTGATTATATGTTGCACACACATAATAGAGCATTTATATTTAGTTCATGTAAGTCAGGGTTACCTAATCTTATACTATTGATATTTTAAACCAAATATGGGGTTTTATTGTGTGTATTTTGAGATAGCAGTGTTCCTGGCCTCTATTAAGTTGAAGCAAATAATACTCACCCCATCCCTCATTCATGACAATCAAAAATGTCTTCAGACTGTGCCATATGTCTTCTGAAAGGCGAAGTCACTCTGTTTGAGAATCATTAATGGAAATAGAAAAATGAACTCTTTTTTCTTTCTAGAACAGAAGGGTGTACTAGATGCTGCAATCACTGCAAATAATTTGATAATATTTTGTGAGTCAGGCAACTAGAAATCCACCAAATGTATTTTTTCTCTCAAATCCTTAGTATACTAAAAGTGACTAAATCTGTTTTATAGCCCTAGTTGCACTAAAGTATAAACATTTTACCAACTCCAAAAAGTGCTCATATTTATTTATAATTTTGAGTACATAAAATACAAGATAATAATATTTCATCAAGAAAGACTGAACCACTGCTTGGCCCAATACTTTCCATACAGTAGAAATTTCATAAATATTTGTTGAATATGAATGAAGGACCATACTTCTTACCAGACATTTTAATAATTAATCTCCATTAAATATAACGGAAAAAAATCAAAGAGAGTACAGCTTCTTTTTAAAAGTATGACTAAAATCTACAGATCAAAAGATTAACAAGAAAATAAGATTGAATAAAAACTTTCACCCCAGATGCTCAGAAAGGAACAATTTTGACAGCTTTGGCTTTGAGCAACATAAAAAACACATAGGAATTCCCAGAAGATGTGCAGATGACATCAAGTTGGTGCAGGTAAAATAGAAGAGAAAAACATAACTGCCTTAAACTCCCAGTAAAAGAAGGGTGAATATGCTGCACAAAGGTTTGTCTTGTAGAATAACAGAACCCACAACTAGAATGGTATCATATTATAAAGATTTTTATGAATATATTTGCCTTATAAAACAGCAGTGGTAAAATTTTATAAATCTTTCAACTTGCTTATTTTGGGGATGGGGCTCAGGGACAGAAGAACAGGAGAAGTGAAGGAGACTCAGTAGCCAAAAACTGTACTAGTAAAATTCTGATAAAGTATTCTTTGTATAAACTCTGTAGAAGATTAAGAAAATACCTAAGTCATTCAAATAAGCAATTGTAAAGATTTCATGCAACAGATATTCTTTAAGTCCTTAAATGTTCAAAAATGAAAATTTTTGATGACATAATTTAAAGAACTTTGTTATTAAGTTTCTCAGTTCCCTTATGTAGGTAGGTACTCTCTAGGATGTAATTTTGTAAGTAAGGTGATGTCAGCATTATCTGGCAACACCTTACAAGGTCACTATCGTAAAATCTAATTATGACCTCTCAGTCTATCTCTAAACAAAAAGTGACAGGAAACTTGGGCTTTGGGACTACAGTAGTACCTTCTTATTTATGGTTTTGATTTCCAAGGCTTTAGTTCCCAGTGGTCAACCGCAGCCTGGGCATATTAAATGAAAAATTCTGGAAATAAACAATTTATAAATTTGAAATTGCCTATCATTTTGAGTTGCATTTTGAAATCTTGAGATGTTCCTCTTTATCCCACCCAAGATGTGAATCATCTCTTTGTCCAGTGTTTTCACGCTGTATACACTACTTTAGCTAGCAGCAATCTGGGTTATCAGATCAACTGTCACAGTTTCCACAGTTTGTGTTCAAGGCACCCTTATTATACTTATTAATGGCCCCAAAGTGCAAGAGTAGTGATTCTAGCAATTGGGCAATGCCAAAGAGAAACCATAAACTGCTTCCTTTAAGTAAGAAGGTGAAAGTTTTTAACTTAATAAGTAAAGAAAAAAAAAGTATAGGCTGCAGTTTTGAAGAGCTATGGTAAGAATGAATCTTCTATTTGCAAAATCGTGAACAAGAAAGACAACTTATGCCGATTTTGCTACTGCATCTCAAGCTGCAATAGTGATGGCCACACAGCATGATAAATACTTAGTTAAGATGAAAAAGACAACAAATTTGTGGGTGAAATGAACAGAAATGTGTTTGGATGATTAGCATTTGGGTTCTATACAATCTGCAGTTTCGGGGGTCTTGGAACATATACCTCACATATGGGTGGGACTACTACTTTCAGAAATGGCTCATGTCTATACATCTATAAAGACACACATAGACTAAAAATAATGGATAGAAAAAGATATTCCAAGCTAATCACAACCAAAAAGGAGCAGGAATAGCAATACTTATATTAAACAAAATAGACTTCAAGACAAAAACTATGTAGCAAAGAGGATCTCTATATAATAATAAAGGAGTCAGTTCAGCAAAAGAATATAACACCTTTAAATATAGATGCACCCAACACTAGAGTACCCAGATATAAAAAGCAAATATTATTAGAGCTAAATAGAGATAGTTTTAATACAATAATAGCTCGATACTTTAACACCCCACTTTCAGCAGTAGACAGATCTTCCAGACAGAAAATCAACAAAGAAACATTGGGCTTAGTCAGCACTCTAGACCAAATGGGTCTAATAGATATTTACAGAATATTTCATCCAAAAGCTGCAGAATACACATTCTTTTCTTCAGCACATAGATCATTCTCAAGGACAGACCATATGTTAGGTCACAAAACAAGCCTTAAAACATTTTTTTTAAAAAGCCTGAAATAATGTCAAGCATCTTTTCTGATACATGGAATAAAACTAGAAATCAATAATAAGAGGAATTTTGGAAACTACAGAAATAAATGGAAATTAAACTATATGCTCCTAATGAAATTAAGAAATTAAGAAGAAAATTGAAAATTTTCTGGAAACAAATTATAATGGAAACACACCACCAAATTTCTGGAAACAAATTATAAAGGAAACCAACATACCAAAACCTATGGGATACAGCAAAAGCAGTACTAGCAGGGAAGTTTACAGCTGTAAGTGTCTACATCAAAAAAGAAGAAAAACTTCAAATAAACAACCTAATAATGTATCTTAAAGAACTAGCAAAGCAAGAGCAAACCAAACTCAAAATTAGTAGATGAAATAATAAAGATCAGAGTAGAAATAAACAAAATTGAAATGAAGAAAACTATACAAAAATCAATGAAACAAAAAGTTGTTTTTTTGGAAAGTTAAACAAAATTGACAAATATTTAGCTAGACCAACTGAGAAAAGTAGAGAGAAGATCCAAATAAATGAACTCCTAGATGAAGAAGGAACCCTTACAACTGATACTGCAGAAATCCAAAAGATCATTAGTGGCTACTATGAGCAACTACATGTCAATAAGTTGGAAGATCTGGAAGAAATAGACAAATTCCTAGACACATGCAACCTAACAAGATTGAACCAGGAAGAAACCCAAAACCTGAACAGACCAATAACAAGTAACAAGAGCAAAGCCATAATAAAAAGTCTCTCCGTATAGAAAAACCCTGGACCCGACAGTTTCACGGTTGAATTTTACCAAACATGTTGAAAAGAGTTAACACCAATCCTACTCACACTATTCTGAAAAATAGAGGAGTTGAGAATGCTTCTAAACTCATTTTACAAGGCCAGTATTACCATAATACCAAAATCAGATAGACACATTAAAAAAACAGAAAAGAAAGAAACTGCAGGCCAATATCCTCAATGAATATTGATGCAAAAATCCTTAACAAAATATTAGCAAACCAATTCAACAATACATTAAAAAGATGATTCATCATGACCAAGTTGGATTTATCCCTGGGATGCAAGGATAGTTCAACATAGGCAAACCAGTCAATGTAATACATCATATCAAAAGAATGGAGGACAGAAATCATATGATCATTTCAATTGATGCTAAAAAAGCATTTAATAAAATTCAACATCGTTCCATAATAAAACCCATAAAAATATTAAATACTAGGTTTAGAAGGAACATACCTCAACAAAATAAAAGCTGTGTAAGACAGAACTATGGCTAGTATACAGAATGGGGAAAAAACAAAAGCTTTTCCTGTAAGATCTAGAACACAACAAGGATACACACTTTCACCATTGTTGTTCAACATAGTACTGGAAGTTTTAGCTAGAGCAATTAGACAAGTGAAAGATATTAATGGCATCCAAATTGAAAAGGAAGTAATCAAGTTATCCTTGTTTGCAGATGACATGATCTTATAGTTAAACAAACCTAAAAACTTCACCAGAAAACTGATAAACAAATTCAGAAAAGTTGCAGGATAAAAAATCAATGTATAAAAATCAGTAGCATTTCTATAAGTCAACAGTCAACATTCTGAAAAAGAAATTTAAAAAGTTTTCTCATTAAAAATAGCCACAAACAAAATTAATACCTAGGAATTAATTTAACCAAAGAAGTGAAAGATTTTTATAATGAAAACTGTAAACACCAATGAAAGACATTGAAGAGGATACCATAAAATAGAAAGATATACCATGTTCATGGATGGGAAGAATCAATATTATTAAAATGTCTATACTACCCAAAGCAAACCAAAGATCCAATGCAATCCCTATCAAAATACCAATGACATTCTTCACTGAAATAGAAAATCTGATCCTAAAATTTATATGAAATCACAAAAGACCCAGAATAGCCAAAGCTATCTTAAGCAAAAAGAACAAAAATGAAGGACTCACATTACGTGACTTTAAATTATACTACAGATCTATAATAGCCCTGTGGGTTGGGGGATGGGGGGAGATGAGGATTGTTATTGGATACAAAAAAATCATTAACTGAATGAATAAGGCCTAGTTTTTGACAGCACAATAGGGTGACTATAGTCAATAATAATTTAATTGTACATTTTGAAAGAAGTATAATTGGTTTGCAACACAAAGGATATATGCTTGAGGGGATGGATACCCCATTTTCCATGGTGTAATTATTATGCATTGCATGCAGGCATCAAAAAATCTCATGTACCCTAGAAATATATATACCTACTATGTACCCACAAAATTTAAAAATAAAAAATTTAAAAAAATTTGAGCTGAAATCCATTATTCTCTAAATATACATAAGAACCAAAAAGAATTCATCTGTAATATACAATTATACCAATGATCAAAAATATGTTATGACGTGGACATATATTAATATTGGAAAGACTTGAATGCTTTACTTATGTCCTTTGAAGGATCCTTTGTTGGTGTGGTTGTCGGAATAATGGCCCTCAAACATGCTGTCCTAATCCTTGGAACCTGTAAATAGTAGAGTTGAAAAGAAGCATATTTCCTTCCCATCCCTAGGTTCATGCTGAGGCACCTATAAAATATAGATTAATAAGAGAAAAATATGACAAGTGTATTTAATATAAATTTTATGTGACACAGAAGACTTCAGAAATAAAAACCCGAAGAAACAGGGAAACCTGCGTTTTTTTATGATTAGGTTTAATGAAGAATGAGCAGTCACTCAGAAGTATGATTGGACAAAGACTGTATGATCTGATGGGAATAAATTGGGGGTAACTTAGCAAGTTCTGTTTTTTCAGATTCTTCTTGGCATCTCTGTGTCTTTGTGGGTAAGAATAAGGATAAGGGAAGGCTGCTCTGAAATAAAGGTTTATGACCTGCTTCAGGGCAGGAGGGAAAGGGAAAGGTGAATGTGGCCATCCTGCTTGTACTGGAATATTTGATCATTAATGATTTTAGGACATCTATATATACTCTTGGTATTAACTCTTTTTGTGATACACACATATATGTAATACATATAAACACATTATACAGATATACAATTATACATATATACACATATAAACATAATTATATATTTTTTTCTCTCCCATAAGGACAGTCCCATTTCTCTTTATTGTCCACACTGGGTCAATGAACATTCAGGTTACATGCTTGTTCCTTAATGCATGTGAAGTTCTGAAACAGTACTTGAAGAAAGCTGTTGTAAGGAAGGCTCACCTTTGAAGAAACGACATCTGAGAAGTGAAGGATAAGAATGCATGAGCTATGGGCTGATCTGGGAGAAAGGCCATTCCACCATCAAAGCAAAGCAAAACAAAACAACACACAGGAGGCCTCTTTTTGTTTCTTACATGTTAAGCAAGGAGATATACAGTAAAATGATGAATAAAGAAGTAGAAAAAAAATGAAAGAGAGACATATTATACTAGGAAAGAATCAGGAGGCTTCTCCAGGGAGATAAGGCAATGGTGAACAATTGCATGTCCTAAAAACCAGGATGCTCAGAAACGTCTTCCTTGAAAAGATAGTATTTAACTTGAACCTGAAGAAGGAAAAGTAGCCAGATACAGGAATGGGTAGGGTAGAAAAGAAAAAAATAAAATAACTTTAGGTGCAAGCATCCAAAGTGATAATGTATCTGGCATGATCAAATAACTGTGGGCTGCAGAAAAGCAGGGTGCTGCTTGTGGCTGGCAGGAAATATGCTGTCTAAGAGGAAATGGGGTCTCAGAACCGAATCCTGAATGAACTTTAGGATATTACACAGAAAGTATTTGTATGTTATTCTGGAAGAATTGCAAAAGTTTCAGAATTTATTTAAGCATAGAAGTTACTTGATGTCTATATAATGTGATAGCTCTGATTACACATTGTTAGATATTTGCATCTACTTTTCTCTCTCTCTAGAGCTTTCTTCCGCCAAGTGTTTTCATAGCTCATGCCTGAACCTCTGCAAATATTTTACTCAAGTAGCACATTCCCAGTAGTCTTCTCTTTCTACTCTATTTTAAAAAAGACCCCATAATTTCTTATTCTCCTTTATCCTTCTATGCTTCCTTTTCCTTCTTACCACTTTAACCATCAAAATTATACTTATTTTACTTACATTTCTCATTTACTGTGTGTTTCCCTCATTAGGATGTAAACTCCATAAAGGCAGGAATTTTTGTCTGTTCTGTTTAATGCTATATTCCCTATATGTAGAACAATGACAGGCACATAACATATGTGCCCAATAACTATTACTTGAATTAACGAATGGTATGCAAAATTCAAACCAGGAAAAACAGGTAGGATTTATATCACTCCATGAGATAGATTTGACTGACCTGGATTATGAAATGTTCATAGAACCTGAGAACTAGCAATGAGTTGAAGGGGAGGGAAGAAGAAAAGGGTAAGTGGGTGGGATCAAGGATAATTGCCTGATTTGACTGGTGATGTATGGAAGGAAGGAAGGAAGGAAGGAAGGAAGGAAGGAAGGAAGGAAGGAGAGAGGAAGGAAGGAAGAAGGAAGGAAGGAAGGAAGAAAGAAAGAAAAAGAAAGAAAGAAAGAAAGAAAGAAAGAAAGAGAATTGAAAAGAAAAGTTTATTGCATCAGTCAGGCACTGTTTGGCCAAAGTCATTACACTTCCCTGAAGGCATTCTATTAATGTATGCCTTGAAAGACTCTCCCACTGTTTTGAGAAGTTGTATATATGAAAAACCATCCTCTGGTCTCTTAAATATCTATTGTTCATGTTGATTGTACCTGTCAACACCGGGAAAGTAAGCTGTTACCTTTCCATCTTTTAAACCCCAATAAAGTATGCTTATTTTCAAAGTGTTATAGTACTCGGCATTTCATGTATCATTACTCACCATCGGGCCTAATGAAGGGATTTACCACAAAGGAAAAAGCAATTTCAGACAAAAGAGCTATTTTTTTTTCAAGTTTAAGTTCATTGTGAATATGGGAAAGTTTGCCTTGGGAAAATATATGGGCTTCTCTGTTCAATTCCATTTTAGACAGCAGATGACATTTAGTTACAGGCATTACCATAATAAGTTTGCATTTAGTCACAGGCATTACCATAAGTCTGTTTCATGCAAGTTCTAAGTCATCAATTTTTTAAAGTGCATTTTTTGTTAGGTGAAGTAAGGGTGTGTCTGTTGGTGTACAAGAAAAAAATTAATTAACATATTTACAAAATAGCCAACTCTTTCCCCTCTCTGACGTCTATTCTTACTCATTCTTCTTATTTCTATCACAAGTGGCATACTGGAATAAAGCTCATGAACCCTCTCTTATGAAAAGAAAAACACTGTAAATGGTTAGGTCAGTTGGAGATATTGCTCCAGTAATGACTTCTGGGCTTCAATTCCATAAACCCTCTCATACTAGGGTACTGCACCTGATATGGTTTGGATCTGTGTAGCCACCAAATCTCAAGTTGAATCATAATCCCCAGTGTTGGCGGTAGGGCCTGGTGGAAGGTGACTGGCTCATGGGTGGAACTTTCATGAATAGTTTAGCACCATCCCCATGGTGCTGTTGTCATGACAGAGTTTTCACGAGATCTGGTTGTTTAAGAACGTGTAGCACCTTCTTCTTCTTCTCTCTCTCTCTCTCTCTCTCTCTCTCACTCTTGCTTATGTCATCTAAGATGCTTCACTCCCCCTCTGCCTTTTGTCATGATTGGAAGCTTCCCGAGGGCTCCCTAGAAGCAGATGCTGCCATGCTTTCTGTACAGCCTGCAGAACCATGAGCCGATTAAACTTCTTTTGTCTTATAAATTACTCAGTTGCAGGTATTTCTTTATAGCAAAGCGAGAATGGGCTAATATAGTACCCAATAACCTCCTAGAAAATTGTTGCTACTTGATTCCGTTTCCCGTTGTTCCTCTGATATTCTGACACATTCCAATAAAATCTATACTTTTGTACTTTCCCCATGATTGGTTTCTCCTTTTACTCTCCAATTTTTTATTTTTAAATTTAAACCTGTTGGTGTTTTAGAATGTCTTAACACTGAACATCTCACCCTTCTTCTCATTTTTATACTGTGTTATTTCAACCTTGCTTTTAACTCCCACGTCATTTCAAGTTAGAGACATATTTCAATAAATACATCTTTGGATTTATCAACATATTTACCACTCTCTTCACTCTCCATTACTCTTTTCCCACTTATTCATTCAGAGTTCAATTTCATTTTGGCCAAAGTGCATCGTTTGGTAATTCATTAAGCAGGAATGAATAAGTAGCAAACTCTTTGCATGTCAGAAAATGTATTTATTTACTCTCAATATTGAAAGATACTATTTCCAGGTATATTATCCTAGTTTAAATATTTCTCTGCTCTATTTTAACAATATTAAAATATTGTTTAGGCAATTGTTTGTTTCTGCTATTATTACTAACAAGAGATCGGCTGTCAGTATAATTATTGCTTCATTGTACATGGGTTTATTTTCTAGTAGGTCTTTACAAATTTCTCATTTTGTCTTTAGATTTTTGTAGTTTCAGTGTGCTAAGTCTAAATCAGAATGTGTTTTATATTTCCATTCCAGGCATAGTATGCTCCTTCAAAATTCTCATCTATTATCACTCATAACATTGATTCTGCTCTGTTCTTTCTATTCTAATCTAGAATTCATGCTATTCATACGCTGATAGTACTGAAAACCATTTTTCAATTCAGTAATTTTCTATGCTTCTGTGGATCTTTCTGCTGTAATTTTCAAGTCTGTCTTTTTTTATTTTGGGGCCTTCTATGTGTTTGTTGTTTTGAAATCTACCTATATTTTTATATATGGTGGTCTTATAATTAGGAGAATGTTCTGAACTAGATCTGAAGAGGTTCTTTGACTTATTTCTACAAAGTTGACCTTCTTTCATGCCACTTTGCATTTGAATTTGCTGCATCATGAAATTGAAGACTTCACACGAAATCTCTATTAAATCACTAAATAGAATTCCACATGTATAGCTGTTGTTTCAAAGGGCATTATTTGCCTCCAATAATGACTGAAAAATTATATGTTTTTTTTTCTGACAAAGTGTGAAAATTACAATATTACTATACTTATTTTATTGGAAAGATCATCTGGTTTTGATAAATATAAAAATAATCTTTGGTTAGAACATGATTGCCCCCAGAAATGCCACGGATAGTACAGTCAAGAGCTTACTTGCAAGGGCAATACCTCAGGATATGTGGCTTTTAGTTATGTTATGCTTAATGTATATATTTTATAGCAGGAGTTTATATAAGTTTGTTTTAAGAATACATTGCCAGTTTGCTGGCATGGGCACATAAGCTCAATTTTTATTTAGTAACGGTAGTTTTTTCTGTAAGTTTTACCACTTCCCTCATTTTTAAGATTTTTGTAAATAATTAAGGTAAATTGATAGTAGACTTACATGAAATCTTAGTTTGAATAAGCATCCGTGTTTGTTCTATTTATCCAACCAAAAGCATTTAATTGAACAACTACTTTGCCCTAGCCACTGTGTAAAGTTGGTGAAAGAAGATGATGAAAACAGTGGTCAATGAACAAATAAGTTGTTTTCTTGCAAGAAGTTCACTATTAAGAGTTTTATATATCTTTAAAGTAATAACATTGAAGTGACTCATGTTAGGAGAAAAATAGCTGTTACTTTGGAGTGGAAAGTATTACCCATATGGCTACTTTTGCACAACAACATAGAAATACATGGAGAATATTTACTATTTGGGAAGTACTGTGCCAAGTGTTTCCAATAGGCTGTATAATTTAATTCCCGTGCCACATCCATGTGTAGATGAAGAAACTATGGAATGGAGTTAACTCATTCACTCAGCTAGTAAGTGGCAAAGTATTGTATCATTCACAGTGTAGTCCTATTTCAAATACATAATAAAAGAAGTCAATTACCCAGGATATGATGCATGTCAGGTTTGCCAACCAGCTCTAACACTTAACTAAATGTATTGCACAAGTAACTTGACCTCTTTTTGCCTTTGTTTTACAATCTATCTATATATAGAAATAATAATAATAGTCCTACTTTCTTAGGGTTCCTGAAGGAATCAAGTGAATCACATATGTTAAATAGCTTACCACTGTAAATATCTAATAATTTTTAGTCATTTTGTTTTCTTTTTTTTTTTACAACTACAACTATTAACCTATAACAAGACAGATTTGAGGTACAGTAGGTTTAATTTCAAAATTTTCTGACAAGTAGAGTTCTACACTGATACAATTTGCTGCCTCAGAATATACTGTGCTGCTTATCACTAGACACAGGTACTGCTAATTTCCCATAAGACTGTTATTTCACTGCGTGGCTGGAGAGAGAGCATTGAGATATCTGTTTATTCACTCATAAACCTTTAATGAGTTTCTATTTGTGCTAGTTACTGAGACAAATGCAGTAAAACAAAATGACAAGTAAGGCACAGCCTACATTTTCAATAAGGTTACTATCTACTAGGGGAGAGGAAAAAGAAACATAATTAAAATACGATAGAGTTCAGTATTATGTTAAGGGTATACTAACCCCTTTATTTCAGGATGCAAGAATCATTAAGTGCAGAAACTTTGTCTTGTTCTCTGCTGAAACCCCAATGCTTTTGGAAGCCCCTTGCATGTAACAGGGTCTCAAATAAATACTTGACACTTAAAGAATGAGAGGAAACAAGGGGAGTCTTATTGAAGATGGCAACAAGTAGGGATTAACTCAAGAGAAGAAAAAAAATGTATTCCGGAATGTAGTTATCACTTCTAGAAAATCTTAGAATCGAATAGTCATATGTAGTTTCAGGAAAATGTAAGCAATTCATCACTACTGAAGGTTAGGTAAAGAAGGAGAGAAATAAAAGGAAGATCTTGAAGACTCCTGGTAAGGGATCTATGGGTCTATGGGGGATATGTGCAAGCAAATCAGCCCCAAAGTGCTATCATCAGATTTGCCTGCTAGAAAAAGAATTATAGTCACAGTTGCAGAGTGAATAATGGTTGAGATGGACAAAAGGAGAAATGAAACAAAATTAAACATTAAATATCATTTTTAAATATTACGGTCTTCACATAAGGCTGGACTCAGTGGCTCACACCTGTTAATCCCAGCACTTTGGGAGGCCATAGCAGGCAGATCACCTGTAGTCAGGAGTTCGAGACCACCTTGGCCAACATGGTGAAACCCCATGTCTGGTAAAAATACAAAAATTAGCTAGGTATGGTGGTGCCTGTAATCCCAGCTACTCGGGAGGCTGAGGTAGCAGAACCACTTGAACCCAGGAGGCAGAGGTTATAGTAAGCTGACATAGCACCACTGCACTACAGCCTGGGCAACAGAGCGACATTCTGTCTCAAAATAAATAAAATAAAATAAAATAAAATAAAATAAAATAAAATAAAATAAAATCTTTATATAGATGATTTGAGCATACTTTTAGATTAAACCTATACTTCTGACATTAGGAAGCCACTCACGATGTACTCATAGTTTCTGAAACTCTCAGCTGAGCATAATGTTAGAAAGTAGACATGAAGAAATAGAAGGTAAAAATTAAGTTATTGATGTTTCGTTCTGTTGATACACGACAGAAAGCACAGTTATGAGATTTCATAGTCTGACTAAAAAGCACTCAATATTTAATTAGAGGGAAGCAATACATCCTTATTATTGAAAAGCAACACTATGAAACAAATCACTCTAAGAATTCACTAAAATGACTTTCTTGATTACCATTACCAATTTTTATAGAAATTGACCTGGAAATTTTGAATATGTCTTCAAAAGAAAAGCATTTTCCATTTTAGTGACAAACAGCAGAATTTCATGAGGTTTTTCTTTTTTATAACAATTTCAACTTTAATGATTAACAATTGTTTATATTTTCATAAAATTAAATCTCCACTCTGAATTTCAACATTTGAAATGTATGTCCCTCTTAAGTTAATCTTAAGATAGAAATCTTTATCAGGTGGAGCCAAGATGCCCAAATAGACACAGCTCTAGTCTACAGTTCCCAGCATGAGTGACACAGAAGACAGGTGATTTCTGCATTTCCAACTGAGGTACCGGGTTCATCTCACTGGGGAGTGTCGAAAAGTGGGTGCAGGAGAGTGGGTGCAGTGCACCGAGTGTGAGCTGAAGCAGGGCAAGGCATCACCTCACCTGGGAAGTGCAAGGGGTCAGGGAATTCCCTTTCCTAGTCAAAGAAAGGGGTGACAGATGGCACCTGGAAAATCAGGTCACTCCCACCCTAATACTGCACTTTCCCAATGGTCTTAGCAAATGGCACACCAGGAGATTATATCCCATGCGTGGCTCGGAGGGTCCTACACCCACGGAGCCCTGCTCATTGCTAGCACAGCAGTCTGAGATCAAGCTGCAAGGCAGCAGCGAGGCTGGGGGAGGGGTGCCCGCCATTGCCAAGGCTTGAGTAGGTAAACAAAGCAGTGAGGAAGCTCAAACTGGGTGGAGCCCACCACAGCTCAAGGAGGCCTGCCTGCCTCTGAAGACTCCACCTCTGGGGGCAGGACATAGCCAAACAAAAGGCAGCAGAATCCTTTGCAGACTTAAATGTTCCTGTCTGACTGTTTTGAAGAGAGTAGTGGTTCTCCCAGCATGCAGCTTGAGATATGAGAATGGACAGACTGCCTCCTCAAGTGGGTCCCTGACCCCTGAGTAGCCTAACTGGGAAGCAACCCCCAGTATGGGCAGACTGACACCTCACACGGCCGGGTACTCCTCTGAGACAAAACTTCCAGAGGAATGATCAGGCAGCAACGTTTGTTGTTCACCAATATCTGCTGTTCTGCAGCCTCCACTGCTGACACCCAGGCAAACAGGTTATAGAGTGGACCTCCAGCAAACTCCAACAGACCTGCAGCTGAGGGTCCTGACTGTTAGAAGGAAAACTAACAAACAGAAAGGACATCCAAACCAAAAACCCAACTGTAAGTCACAATCATCAAAGACCAAAGGTAGATAAAACCACAAAAATGGGGAAAAAACAGAGCAGAAAAACTGGAAACTCTAAAAATCAGAGCACCTCTTCTCCTCCAAAGGAACACAGCTCCTTACCAGCAATGGAACGGATGGAGAGTGACTTTGACAAGTCGAGAGAAGAAGCCCTTCAGACAATCAAACTACTCCGAGCTAAAGGAAGTTCGAACCCATGGCAAAGAAGTAAAAAACCTTGAAAAAAAAATTAGATGAATGGCTAACTAGAATAACCAATGCAGAGAAGTCCTTAAAGGACCTGATGGAGCTGAAAACCAAGGCACAAGAACTACGTGACAAATGCACAAGCCTCAGTAGCTGATTCGATCAACTGGAAGAATGGGTATCAGTGATGGAAGATCAAATGAATGAAATGAAGCTAGAAGAAAAGTTTAGAGAAAAAAGAATAAAAAGAAATGAACAAAGCCTCCAAGAAATATGGGATTATGTGAAAAGATCAAATCTACATCTGATTGGTGCACCTGAAAGTGACAGGGAGAATGGAACCAAGTTGGAAAACACTCTGCAGGATATCATCCAGGAGAACTTCTCCAATCTAGCAAGGCAGGCCAACATTCAAATTCAGGAAATACAGAGAATGCCACAAAGATACTCCTCAAGAAGAGCAACTCCAAGACACATAATTGTCAGATTCACCAAAGTTGAAAAGAAGGAAAAAATGTTAAGGGCAGCCAGAGAGAAAGGTCAGGTTACCCACAAAGGGAAGCCCATCAGACTAACAGCTGATCTCTCCACAGAAACTCTACAAGCCAGAAGAGAGTGGGGGCCAATATTCAACACTCTTAAAGAAAAGAATTTTCAACCCAGAATTTTATATCCAGCCAAACTAAGCTTCATAAGTGAAGGAGAAATAAAATACTTCACAGACAAGCAAATGCAGAGAGATTGTGTCACCACCAAGCCTGCCTTACAAGAGCTCCTGAAGGAAGCACTAAACATGGAAAGGAACAAATGGTACCAGCCACTGCAAAAACATGCCAAATTGTAAAGATCATCGAGGCTAGGAAGAAACTGCACCAACTAACAAGCAAAATAACCAGCTAACATCATAATGACAGGATCATATTCACACATAACAATATCAACCTTAAACATAAATGGGCTAAATGCTCCAATTAAAAGGCACAGACTGGCAAATTGGATAAAGAGTCAAGACCCATCAGTGTGCTGTATTCAGGAAACCCATCTCACATGCAGAGACACACATAGGCTCAAAATAAAGGGATGGAGGAAGATCTACCAAGCAAATGGAAAACAAAAAAAGGGAGAGGTTGCAATCCTAGTCTCTGATAAAACAGACTTTAAACCAACAAAGATCAAAAGAGACAAAGAAGGCCATTACATAATGGCAAAGGGATCAATTCAACAAGAAGAGCTAACTGTCCTAAATATATATGCACCCAATGCAGGAGCACCCAGATTCATAAAGCAAGTCCTTAGAGACCTACAAAGAGACTTAGACTCCCACACAATAATAATGGGAGACTTTAACACCCCACTGTCAACATTAGACAGATCAATAAGACAGAAAGTTAACAAGGATATCCAGGAATTGAACTCAGCTCTGCACCAAGAGGATCTAATAGACATCTACAGAACTCTCCACCCCAAATCAACAGAATATACATTCTTCTCAGCACCACACCTCACTTATTCCAAAACTGACCACATAGTTGGAAGTAAAGCACTCCTCAGCAAATTTAAAAGAACAGAAATTATAACAAGCTGTCTCTCAGACCACAGTGCAATCAAACAAGAACTCAGGATTAAGAAACTCACTCAAAACTGCTCAAATACATGGAAACTGAACAACCTGCTCCTGAATGACTACTGGGTACATAACGAAATGAAGGCAGAAATAAAGAAGTTCTTTGAAACCAACGAGAACAAAGACACAACATACCAGAATCTCTGGGACACATTGAAAGCAGTGTGTAGAGGGAAATTTATAGCACTAAATGCCCACAAGAGAAAGCAGGAAAGATCTAAAATGGACACCCTAACATCACAATTAAAAGAACTAGAGAAGCAAGAGTGAACACATTCAAAAGCTAGCAGAAGGCAAGAAATAACTAAGATCAGAGCAGAACTGAAGGCAAAAGAAACACAAAAAATCCTTCAAACAATCAATGAATCCAGGAGCTGGTTTTTGGAAGAGATCAACAAAATCGATAGACCGCTAGCAAGGCTTATAAAGAAGAAAAGAGAGAAGAATCAAATAGACGCAATAAAAAATGATAAAGGGGATATCACCCCCGATCCCACAGAAATACAAACTACCATCAGAGAATACTATAAACACCTCTATGCAAATAACCTAGAAAATCCAGAAGAAATAGACAAATTCCTCAACACATACACCCTCCCAAGACTAAACCAGGAAGAAGTTGAATCTCTGAATAGACCAATAACAGGAGCTGAAATTGAGACAAAAATTAATAGCTTACCAACCAAAAAAAGTCCAGGACCGGACGGATTCACAGCCGAATTCTACCAGAGGTACAAGGAGGAGCTGGTACCATTCCTTCTGAAATTATTCCAGTCAATAGAAAAAGAGGGAATCCTCCCTAACTCATTTTATGAGGCCAGCATCATCCTGATACCAAAGCCTGGCAGATGCACAACAACAAAAAAGAGAATTTTAGACCAATATCCCTGATGAACATCGATGCAAAAATCCTCAGTAAAATACTGTCAAACCGAATCCAGCAGCACATCAAAAAGCTTATCCACCATGATCAAGTGGGCTTCATCTCTGGGATGCAAGACTGGTTCAACATATGAAAATCAATAAATGTAATCCAGCATATAAACAAAACCAATGACAAAAACCATATCATTATCTCAATAGATGCAGAAAAGGCCTTTGACAAAATTCAACAACCCTTCATGTTAACAACTCTCAATAAATTAGTTATTGATGGGATGTATCTCAAAATAATAAGAGCTATCTATGACAAACCCACAGCCAATATCATACTGAATGGGCAAAAACTGGAAGCATTCCCTTTGAAAACTGGCACAAGACAGGGATGCCCTCTCTCACCACTCCTATTCAACATAGTGTTGGAAGTTCTGGCCAGGGCAATCAGGCAGGAGAAGGAAATAAAGGGTATTCAATTAGGAAAAGAGGAAGTCAAATTGTCCCTGTTTGCAGATGGCATGATCGTATATCTAGAAAACCCCATCATCTCAACCCAAAATCTCCTTAAGCTGATAGGCAACTTCAGCAAAGTCTCAGGATGCAAAATCAATGTACAAAAATCACAAGCATTATTATACACCAATAACAGACAAACAGAGAGCCAAATCATGAGTGAACTCCCATTCACAATTGCTTCAAAGAGAATAAAATACCTAGGAATCCAACTTACAAGGGATGTGAAGGACCTCTTCAAGGAGAACTACAAACCACTGCTCAATGAAATAAAAGAGGATACAAAGAAATGGAAGAACATTCCATGATCCTGGGTAGGAAGAATCAATATTGTGAAAATGGCCATACTGCCCAAGGTAATTTATAGATTCAATGCCATCTGCATCAAGCTACCAACGACTTTCTTCACAGAATTGGAAAAAATTATTTTAAGGTTCATATGGAACAAAAAAAAGAGCCCACATCGCCAAGTCAATCCTAAGCCAAAAGAACAAAGCTGGAGGCATCACACTACCTGACTTCAAACTATACTACAAGGCTACAGTAACCAAAACAGCATGGTAGTGGTACCAAAACAGAGATATAGACCAATGGAACAGAACAGAGACCCCAGAAATACTGCCACATATCTACAACCATCTAATCTTTGAAAAACCTGACAAAAACAAGAAATGGGGAAATGATTCCCTATTTAATAAATGGTGCTGGGAAAACTGGCTAGCCATATGTAGAAAGCTGAAACTGGATCCCTTCCTTACACCTTATACAAAAATTAATTCAAGATGGATTAAAGACTTACATATTAGACCTAAAGTGATGAGTTCAGCAACAGAACAAGTTCTTTAAAATGTAAAAAGATTAAAAACCAAACACCGCCTGTTCTCACTCATAGGTGAGAATTGAACAATGAAAACACATGGACACAGGAAGGGGAACATCACACACTGGGGCCTGTTATGGGATAGGGGGGAGGGGGGAGGGATAGCATTAGGAGATATACCTAATGTTAAATGATGAGTTAATGGGTGCAGCACACCAACATAGCACATGTATACATATGTAACTAACCTGCACTTTGTGCACATGTACCCTAAAACTTAAAGCATCCACTCATGTGCTTTCTTAGTTAATTGTATTTGTAAATAATGAAGAAAAGGAAGCATTGAAAATATCTATTCCATTTTTCTTCATATCTTCACTACTTTCCCCAAAGGAAAAAGAAATTTACTGGTTAGAATCCAGAGTATGTGCTGAGTTACATTTACTGAAATCACTCTCTAGGAGGTTGAAAATACATTTCCTTGAATGAATTTTTCTGATAAAATATCATCTGTCATGGAGGGCAACTTCCTCAACTTTATAGAGAATATCTACAAAGATTCTAGAGCTACCATCATACCTAAAAGTAAGAAACTATTACCTTTCCTACTAAGATTAGAAACAAGACAAGGATATCTCCTCTCAACATTCCTTTTCAGCATTCTACTGGACGTACTAACTAATGCAAAGAAAAAAAAATAAAGGGTATGCAGATTGGGTAGAAAAAAATAAAACTGTATTTTTTTCCCACAGTGGACGTGACTGTTTGGTAGAAAATCTGTAAGAATAAACAATCAAAAAAATCTTGGAACTAGTGTTTATAGCAAGGCTGCAGGATACAAGATTAATATACAAAAGTCAATCAATTTTCTATATATTAGCAATGAAAATGTGGAATTTGAAATTAAAGAGATGATATTATTTACATTAACAGCCCTCGAAAGGAAATACTCAGGTATAAATCTAACAAAATATGCACAAGATTTATACAAGGAAAGTTACAAAACTTGAGTACAAAAAATCAAAGAACTAAACGTATGAAGAGATATCCCATGTTCATGGATTGGAAGACTCAATATTGTCAAGATGCAGTTCTCCTCAACATGATATACAGATTCAATACGATCCCAATCAAAATGCCCCCCCCAAAATATCTGGAGGTATAAATTGATATGAATCTTAAATATAGAGACAAAAGACCCAGAATAGCCAACACATTATTGAAGGAAAAGAACCAAGTAAGAAGACTGATTCTACCTGACTCCAAGATTACAATAAAGCTTAATAATCAAGACAGTGTGCTAGTGATAAAGGAATAGACAAGTAGATAAATGGAACAGAATAGAAATCCCAGAAATAGGCCCACACAAATATAGTCAACAGGTCTTTGACAAAGGAGTAAAGTCAATACAATATAGAGAAGATAGCCTTCAACAAATGGTGCTGAAAAAACTGAATATCCTTATTTAAAAAAAATCAGTCTGAAAAGATACCTTACACCATTCACAAAAGTTAATTCTGAATGGATCACAGACATAAATGGAAAAATCAAAACTGTAAAATTTCTGGAATGTAACAGGAGAAAACCTAGATGACCCTGGGCATGGCGATGACTTTTAGACACGATGCAAAAGCACAATGCACGAAAGAACAACTTGACAAGCTGACGTTGTTAAAATTAAAAATCTGTGCTCTGCAAAAGACACTGTTAAGAGAATAAAAAGACAAGACACAGACTGGGAGAAAATATTTGCAGACATATCTTATAAAGACTGCTATCCAAAATGAACAGAGAACACTGAAATCTCAATAGTAAGAAAATGAACAACCTATTTTAAAAATAGGCAAAAGACCTGAACAGATACTTTATCAAGGAATATATAGAGATGACAAATAAACATAATAAAAGATGGTCCACAACATATGTCTTCAGATAAATACAAATTAAATATCAGTATTAAAATGGCCAAAATCCAGAACACTGGAAACAAAAAATGCCAGCCAGTATGCAGGAACACTCATTTACTGCTGGTAGGATTGCAAAGTAGCACACTTGCTTCAGAAGACACTATTGCACTTCGTTACAAAAGTAAATATACTTTTACCATGTGATCCAACAATCTCATTCCTTTACCCAAAGGAGCTGTAAACTGTGTCCATATAAAAACCTGCACAACACAGGTGTCTATAGCAGCTTCATCAATAAGACAGAGAGAAATTAAATGCATATTACTAAGCGAAAAAAACTCAATCTGAAATGGCTACATATTGTATGATTCCAACTATATAACATTCTGGAAAAGGCGAAACTATGGAGACAGTGAAAAGATGAGTGCTTCCCAGGGGTTATGAGAGCAGAAAGAATAAATAGGTAGAGTACAGAGGGCTTTTAGGTCACTGAAAAATAAATGATACTATATTGGTGAATACATGTCATTATGCATTTGTCCAACTCCATAGGATGTACACCAGGTGTTAGCCCCTATGTAAAATGTGGACTGTGAGTGGTATTGATATGTCGATGTGGGTTAATCAACTGTAGTAAATGTACTACTTTGGTAAGGGATGTTGATAATGAGAGAGGGTATGTGTGCATGGGGTCAAGGATTATGTGGAATATCTCTGTACCTCCCTCTCAGTTTTGGTGTGAACCAGACACTGCTTTACAAAAAATAAAGTTTAAAAGAAACATCAGCTCTCATTCTTATCATTGGGTTTCTCTGTATAACGTATCTTTTTCCTGACCATTTCAGTGTTTTTTCTCTGTGATTTTCTAAATTTCAATGAGATATGATTCATATATTATAAAGCTAAATACATTAAAGTGTGCAATTCTGTTGTTTTTACTATATTCACAGTGAGGCAACCAGTACTACTATCTAATTTTAGGATGTTTTTATCACTCCCCAAAAGAACCTCATACCCATTAGCAGTCACTCCCATTTCACCCTAAGCCCACCAGTTAGAGTTAAAGAGTAACCTACTTTCTGCTTATACAGATTGGCCTGTTTTGGACATTTTACGTGAAGTAAATCATACAATGATATGATTTGGCTCTGTGTCCCCACCCAAGTCTCATTTTGTAGCTCCTATAATTCCCATACAATACAGTAAATTGGTACCAGTAGGGTGGGGTGCTGCTGAAAAGCTACCCGAAAATGTGGAAGCGACTTCGGAACTGGGTGACAGGCAGAGGTGGGAACAGTTTGGAGGGCTCGGAAGTAGACAGGAAAACGTGAGAAACTTTGAAACTCCCTGGAGACTTGTTGAATGGCTTTGACCAAAATGCTGATAATAATATGGACAATGAAATCCGGTATGAGGTGATCTCAGATGGAGATAAGGAACTTGTTGGGAACTGGACTAAAGCTGACTCTTGTTATTTTTTAGCATGGCTGGGGAGGCACCAGAAAACACAATCAGGGCAGAAGGCAAAGAGAAGGTAAGGCACCTTCTTCACAAGATGGTAGGAAGGAGAAGTGCCCAGCAAAACTGAGGAAGAGCCCCTTTTAAAACCATCAGATCTCATAAGAACTCACTCACTACCACAAGAACAGCATGGAGGAAACTGCTCCCATGATTCAATTATCTCCGCCTGGTCCTGCCCTTACCACGTGGGGATTATGAGGATTATAATTCAAGATGAGATTTTGTGTGGGGACACAGGCAAACCATATAAGGGCATTTGAGTCTTTTCTCTTTTTTTATTTTTGATCAGTCCAGGTAAAGTTTTTTTCAATTATATTGATCTTTCAAAGAGCCTGGGCTCAAGTGATCCACTCACCTCAGCTTCCTGAAGTGCTAGGATTACAGGCATGAGCTACTGTGCAAGGCCTGAATTCTTTAATTGTCTCTTCAGTCTTTTATTTCATGTATTTTGAAGCTCCATTGTCAGGCACATATATAATTGTTATAGCTTCCTAATGGATTGACCCTTTATCATAACAAAATGTTCATTTTAATCTCTAATAACATTTTTTACTATTTAAAGACATTTTGTCTATAGAAACTCCAGCTCTCTTGATGTTTGATTTCAATCTTTTTTCTATGATATGCCTTAGTATAAATTTTTTTTTAATTTATCTCACTTGAGACTCACTTAATTGATTGGATATCTGAGTTGCTATTTTTGAAGAAATCAGAAAAAATGGAGAAAATTTTCTTGACATTTTTTTCTGCCCCATTCACCCTCTTCACCCCATTAGGAACTGTAATTAGAGGTTGTGTTATTATATGCAAATAATGATGTATTGTTTTCATTTTGCTTCAATTCACATTTCTTTTGGCATGTCTTCAAGTTCACGTACCTAAAGATTTATTCTTTTAAATCAATTTGTAATATCTTCTTAGATGAATTTGTGAAAAATGATATAATAATGAGACTTAAAACAAATTTTGCTGAGTCTTACCTATGTATTTCTATGAAATGTTGTGCATTTCTCCTTATATATTGAATATTGTTTATATTTTTTGGAACATCTTATATTTGTTACTGTTGGACATGACCCATATGCATGTGTGTGTGTATAGTACACATACATATTCTAATTATATTTCCAGTTGTTGATCTTTTAAAGTCATTTTAAAATTGATTTTATATCCAGAATAATTTTATACTTTCATTTTAGTTTTCATTGTTTGCATGTATATTATTTTATAAAAAAATTTTTCCCCTCTCAATTTTTTGTTTTAGGGAAGATGTCAAGGACAGAGCACAACACAAGCTGTTAAGGTAGGCTTCTTTGATATTAAAGGCAATACCACAAATGATTTACAACTAGGTATCACATTTTTTACAGCTTTTTAGTGGATACCCTATCAAATTATTACAGTTTTTTTAATCTCAGTTTCTTAGAGACAATTTGTATGCTTTTACTGAATCTACCAAGATGGCTATATATTTGTCTCCAATAATTTCTTAATGTAGTAAATTAATTATTAAATTAGTAAATATTAAAATATTTTCCATCATTGAATAACCTTTGCATATTGGGAAAAATTTAATTTGTTTATAGTACATTAGTTTTCAAAGCTCTACTGGATTTTTAAAAGTCTTAGGATTGTAAAAAACACTTTTATAAGATATTGGCTTAAAATGTTTCAATATTTTTAACTATTTCAACATTTCTTAACTATTTTTGACACCACGATTATAATTAGTCTAAAAAATAAGTCAGCATGTATACCAAAAAGTTTCTTTATTCCAAAAAGGTTGTATAACATTGAAATTTAATATGAATATTTCATCAAAACCCACTTGTAATGCCATTTAAGCATTAGGACTTTTGTGAGCTTAGATTTTTTAAAACACAAATTCAGTTTCCCTAATGTTTTTTTTTTATTTTTTTATTTTTTTTAATTATTATGCTTTAAGTTTTAGGGCACATGTGCACATTGTGCAGGTTAGTTACATACGTATACATGTCCCATGCTGGTGTGCTGCATCCACTAACTCGTCATCTAGCATTAGGTATATCTCCCAATGCTATCCCTCCCCCCTCCCCCCACCCCACAGCAGTCCCCAGAGTGTGATGTTCCCCTTTCTGTGTCCATGTGATCTCATTGTTCAATTCCCACCTATGAGTGAGAATATGCGGTGTTTGGTTTTTTGTTCTTGCGATAGTTTACTGAGAATGATGGTTTCCAATTTCATCCATGTCCCTACAAAGGACATGAACTCATCCTTTCTTATGGCTGCATAGTATTCCATGGTGTATATGTGCCACATTTTCTTAATCCAGTCTATCATTGTTGGACATTTGGGTTGGTTCCAAGTCTTTGCTATTGCGAATAATGCCGCAATAAACATACGTGTGCATGTGTCTTTATACCAGCATGATTTATACTCATTTGGGTATATACCCAGTAATGGGATGGCTGGGTCAAATGGTATTTCTAGTTCTAGATCCCTGAGGAATCGCCACACTGACTTCCACAATGGTTGAACTAGTTTACAGTCCCACCAGCAGTGTAAAAGTGTTCCTATTTCTCCACATCCTCTCCAGCACCTGTTGTTTCCTGACTTTTTAATGATCGCCATTCTAACTGGTGGGAGATGGTATCTCATTGTGGTTTTGATTTGCATTTCTCTGATGGCCAGCGATGGTGAGCATTTTTTCATGTGTTTTTTGGCTGCATAAATGTCTTCTTTTGAGAAGTGTCTGTTCATGTCCTTTGCCCACTTTTAGATGGGGTTGTTTGTTTTTTTCTTGTAAATTTGTTTGAGTTCATTGTAGATTCTGGATATTAGCCCTTTGTCAGATGAGTAGGTTGCAAAATTTTTCTCCCATTCTGTAGGTTGCCTGTTCACTCTGATGGTAGTCTCTTTTGCTGTGCAGAAGCTCTTTAGTTTAATTAGATCCCATTTGCTAATTTTGGCTTTTGTTGCCATTGCTTTTGGTGTTTTAGACATGAAGTCCTTGCCCATGCCTATGTCCTGAATGGTAATGCCTAGGTTTTCTTCTAGGGTTTTTATGGTTTTAGGTCCAACGTTTAAGTCTTTAATCCATCTTGAATTGATTTTTGTATAAGGTGTAAGGAAGGGATCCAGTTTCAGCTTTCTACCTAGGGCTAGCCAGTTTTCCCAGCACCATTTATTAAATAGGGAATCCTTTCCCCATTGCTTGTTTTTCTCAGGTTTGTCAAAGATCAGATAGCTGTAGATATGTGGCATTATTTCTGAGGGCTCTGCTCTGTTCCATTGATCTATATCTCTGTTTTGGTACCAGTACCATGCTGTTTTAGTACCAGTACCATGCTGTTTTGGTGACAGTAGCCTTGTAGTATAGTTTGAAGTCAGGTAGTGTGATGCCTCCAGCTTTGTTCTTTTGGCTTAGGATTGACTTGGTGATGTGGGCTCTTTTTTGGTTCCATATGAACTTTAAAGTAGTTTTTTTCCAATTCTGTGAAGAAAGGCATTGATAGCTTGATGGGGATGGCATTGAATCTGTAAGTTACCTTGGGCAGTATGGCCATTTTCTTGATATTGATTCTTCCTACCCATGAGCATGGAATGTTCTTCCATTTGTTTGTATTCTCTTTTATTTCCTTGAGCAGTGGTTTGTAGTTCTCCTTGAAGAGGTCCTTCACATCCCTTGTAAGTTGGATTCCTAGGTATTTTATTCTCTTTGAAGCAATTGTGAATGGGAGTTCACTCATGATTTGGCTCTCTGTTTGTCTGTTGTTGGTGTATAGGAATGCTTGTGATTTTTGCACATTGATTTTGTATCCTGAGACTTTGCTGAAGTTGCTTATCAGCTTAAGGAGATTTTGGGCTGAGACAATGGGGTTTTCTAGATATACAATCATGTCATCTGCAAACAGGGACAATTTGACTTCCTCTTTTCCTAATTGAATACCCTTTATTTCCTTCTCCTGCCTGATTGCCCTGGCCAGAACTTCCAACACTATGTTGAATAGGAGTGGTGAGAGAGGGCATCCCTGTCTTGTGCCAGTTTTCAAAGGGAATGCTTCCAGTTTTTGCCCATTCAGTATGATATTGGCTGTGGGTTTGTCATAGATAGCTCTTATTATTTTGAAATATGTCCCATCAATACCTAATTTATTGAGCGTTTTTAGCATGAAGGATTGTTTAATTTTGTCAAAGGCCTTTTCTGCATCTATGGAGATAATCATGTGGTTTTTGCCTTTGGCTCTGTTTATATGCTGGATTACATTTATTGATTTGCATATATTGAACCAGCCTTGCATCCCAGGGATGAAGCCCAGTTGATCATGGTGGATAAGCTTTTTGATGTGTTGCTGGATTCGGTTTGCCAGTATTTTATTGAGGATTTTTGCATCAATGTTCATCAAGGATATTGGTCTAAAATTCTCTTTTTTGGTTGTGTCTCTGCCAGGCTTTGGTATCAGAATGATGCTGGCCTCATAAAATGAGTTAGGGAGGATTCCCTCTTTTTCTATTGATTGCAATAGTTTCAGAAGGAATTGTACCAGTTCCTCCTTGTACCTCTGGTAGAATTCGGCTGTGAATCCATCTGGTCCTGGACTGTTTTTGGTTGGTAAGCTATTGATTATTGCCACAATTTCAGCTCCTGTTATTGGTCTATTCAGAGATTCAACTTCTTCCTGGTTTAGTCTTGGGAGAGTGTATGTGTCAAGGAATTTATCCATTTCTTCTAGATTTTCTAGTTTATTTGCATAGAGGTGTTTGTAGTATTCTCTGATGGTAGTTTGTATTTCTGTGGGATTGGTGGTGATATCCCCTTTATCATTTTTTATTGCGTCTATTTGATTCTTCTCTCTTTTTTTCTTTATTAGTCTTGCTAGTGGTCTATCAATTTTGTTGATCCTTTCAATAAACCAGCTCCTGGATTCATTAATTTTTTTGAAGGGTTTTTTGTGTCTCTATTTCCTTCAGTTCTGCTCTAATTTTAGTTATTTCTTGCCTTCTGCTAGCTTTTGAATGTGTTTGCTCTTGCTTTTCTTGTTCTTTTATTGTGATGTTAGGGTGTCAATTTTGGATCTTTCCTGCTTTCTCTTGTGGGCATTTAGTGCTATAAATTTCCCTCTACACACTGCTTTGAATGTGTCCCAGAGATTCTGGTATGTTGTGTCTTTGTTCTTGTTGGTTTCAAAGAACATCTTTATTTCTGCCTTCATTTCATTATTTACCCAGTAGTCATTCAGGAGCAGGTTGTTCAGTTTCCATGTAGTTGAGCAGTTTTGAGTGAGTTTCTTAATCCTGAGTTCTTGTTTGATTGCACTGTGGTCTGAGAGACAGCTTGTTATAATTTCTGTTCTTTTAAATTTGCTGAGGAGTGCTTTACTTCCAACTATGTGGTCAGTTTTGGAATAAGTGAGGTGTGGTGCTGAGAAGAATGTATATTCTGTTGATTTGGGGTGGAGAGTTCTGTAGATGTCTATTAGATCCTCTTGGTGCAGAGCTGAGTTCAATTCCTGGATATCCTTGTTAACTTTCTGTCTTATTGATCTGTCTAATGTTGACAGTGGGGTGTTAAAGTCTCCCATTATTATTGTGTGGGAGTCTAAGTCTCTTTGTAGGTCTCTAAGGACTTGCTTTATGAATCTGGGTGCTCCTGCATTGGGTGCATATATATTTAGGATAGTTAGCTCTTGTTGTTGAATTCATCCCTTTACCATTATGTCATGGCCTTCTTTGTCTCTTTTGATCTTTGTTGGTTTAAAGTCTGTTTTATCAGAGGCTAGGATTGCAACCCTTGCCTTTTTTTGTTTTCCATTTGCTTGGTAGATCTTCCTCCATCCTTTTATTTTGAGCCTATGTGTGTCTCTGCATGTGAGATGGGTTTCCTGAATACAGCACACTGATGGGTCTTGACTCTTTATCCAATTTGCCAGTCTGTGTCTTTTAATTGGAGCATTTAGTCCATTTATATTTAAAGTTAATAGTGTTATGTGTGAATTTGATCCTGTCATTATGATGTTAGCTGGTTATTTTGCTCGTTAGTTGATGCAGTTTCTTCCTATTCTTGATGGTCTTTACATTTTGGCATGATTTCGCAGCGGCCTGTACTGGTTGTTCCTTTCCATGTTTAGCGCTTCCTTCAGGAGCACTTTTAAGGCAGGCCTGGTGGTGACAAAATCTCTCAGCATTTGCTTGTCTGTAAAGTATTTTATTTCTCCTTCACTTATGAAACTTAGTTTGGCTGGATATGAAATTCTGGGTTGAAAATTCTTTTCTTTAAGACTGGCTTCTTGGGGGAGGAGCCGAGATGGCCAAATAGGAACAGCTCTTGTCTACAGCTCCCAGCCTGAGTGATGCAGAAGACGGGTGATTTCTGCATTTCCATCTGAGGTACCAGTTTCATCTCACTAGGGAGTGCCAGACAGTGGGCGCAGGTCAGTGGGTGTGCGCACCATGCGCGAGCCAAAGCAGGGCGAGGCATTGCCTCACTCGGGAAGTGCAAGGGGTCAGGGAGTTCCTTTTCCTAATCAAAGAAAGAGGTGATGGATGGCACCTGGAAAATCGGGTCACTCCCACCCGAATACTGCGCTTTTCTGACGGGCTTAAAAAACGGCGCATCACGAGATTATATCCCGCACCTGGCTTGGAGGGTCCTACCCCACGGAGTCTCACTGATTGCTAGCACAGCAGTCTGAGATCAAACTGCAAGGCGGCAGCGAGGCTGGGGGAGGGGTGCCCACCATTGCCCAGGCTTGCTTAGGTAAACAAAGCAGCCGGGAAGTTGGAACTGGGTGGAGCCCACCACAGCTCAAGGAGGCCTGCCTGCCTCTGTAGGCTCCACCTCTGGGGGCAGGGCACAGACAAACAAAAAGACAGCAGTAACCTCTGCAGACTTAAATGTTCCTGTCTGACAGCTTTGTAGAGAGCAGTGGTTCTCCCAGTACACAGCTGGAGATCTGAGAATGGGCAGACTGCCTCCTCAAGTGGGTCCCTGACCCCTGACCCCCGAGCAGCCTAACTGGGAGGCACCCTCCAGCAGGGGCACACGAACACCTCACACTGCAGGGTACTCCAACAGACCTGCAGCTGAGGGTCCTGTCTGTTAGAAGGAAAACTAACAAACAGAAAGGACATCCAAACCAAAAACCCATCTGTACATCACCATCATCAAAGACCAAAAGTAGATAAAACCACAAAGATGGGGAAAAAACAGAAGAGAAGAACTGGAAACTCTAAAAATCAGAGCACCTCTCCTCCTCCAAAGGAACACAGCTCCTCACCAGCAACGGAACAAAGCTGGACGGAGAATGACTTTGACGAGCTGAGAGAAGAAGGCTTCAGATGATCAAATTACTCTGAGCTACGGGAGGACATTCAAACCAAAGGCAAAGAAGTTGAAAACTTTGAAAAAAATTTAGAAGTATGTATAACTAGAATAACCAATACAGAGAAGTGCTTAAACGAGCTGATGGAGCTGAAAACCAAGGCTCGAGAACTACGTGAAGAATGCAGAAGCCTCAGGAGCCGATGCGGTCAACTGGAAGAAAGGGTATCAGCAATGGAAGATGAAATGAATGAAATGAAGTGAGAAGGAAAGTTTAGAGAAAAAAGAATACAAAGAAACGAGCAAAGCCTCCAAGAAATATGGGACTATGTGAAAAGACCAAATCTACGTCTGATTGGTGTACCTGAAAGTGATGGGGAGAATGGAACCAAGTTGGAAAACACTCTGCAGTATATCATCCAGGAGAATTTCCCCAATCTAGCAAGGCAGGCCAACATTCAGATTCAGGAAATACAGAGAACGCCACAAAGATACTCCTCGAGAACAGCAACTCCAAGACACATAATTGTCAGATTCACCAAAGTTGAAATGAAGGAAAAAATGTTAAGGGCAATCAGAGAGAAAGGTCGGGTTACCCTCAAAGGGAAGCCCAGCAGACTAACAGCGGATCTCTCGGCAGAAACCCTACAAGCCAGAAGAGAGTGGGGGCCAATATTCAACATTCTTAATGTTTATTTTTAATTCAAGTTTGTTATTACACTTTGAGAAATAATTGATGGGTTTTCCTTTAAAAACTTCAATTCCTTTTACTTTGCAAATGTATTAGTGTATGGAATTCACAATAATGTATTTGTATTTTATTCTCTATAATATATATGTATTTACATCTCTGTTTCTTATTATTGTGACTTACTATTGTGCCATTA
The DNA here is from genome assembly GCF_000001405.40 of Homo sapiens. Taxonomy (NCBI): domain Eukaryota; kingdom Metazoa; phylum Chordata; class Mammalia; order Primates; family Hominidae; genus Homo; species Homo sapiens. The sequence goes on along the minus strand of NC_000005.10, from coordinate 52,086,301 downwards.
CTCACTTTTTGTTTTTAGTCTAACCAATGTCTGTCTACCTTATTACTCAAAGAACAAACATTTGGTTTACTTTGATACTATATGTTTTTGTTTGGTTTGTTCCTATTACATTAATTTTGGTTACTATATTTTATCATTTCATTCAGTATAGAAACTAATATAATAAAGGAAGCCAGTAATTACATTTTTGGTGAATGAATATCTAAAGGGCTCAATGCAACCCAAGCCCAGGCTTGATAACAACTGTAATAAACCCAGGAATCTATGAAGGTTTTAGACTATTCTATACCTTAACATAGCAAACTATATCAGCACCACTAAGTGAGCATGAAAATATAATTTAATTCCTATCAAAATATTAGTGAGAGATTTGATTGACTCATTCATATGTATTTACAATATATTACATGTAAAAATATTATAGATTTATTTTATATAGTAAGAATAATTAGGAATTTTTAGGAAAAATAAAGTGGCTTATGTTTTTCTTACTAGGTATGCAATACTTTTAAAAAATACTTTTAAAACGGTAACATTTATGCTTGCATTGTCATAGGAATGGAATGAAAGTTCAATGAAACAGAAAAGTTTATCCAAAAATGAATGTAGGCATATGCAAGTGTTTAATATGAGATAAAGTTGACACAAATAATCAGTGGGATGAATATTTTTTGAATAAATTGTTGGGACAACTGACCCTTCACGTAGGTAGGGGTGTGTGTGTGTGTGTGTGTGTGTGTGTGTATGTATACACAGATACATATACACACATACCTATCTACATGAAGGGCCAGTTGCCTCAACCTATATATATGGTTGAATTTATCTCTCTTAAACCCAATTTGTAAGATTTGAATGAAAGAATATAAACATGAAAATAAAATTACAAAAGTACCAGAAAAAATAAATGGAAATATTTTTACATTTTTTATAAATTATGTGATACAATAAGAAATCAGATAGCAAATTGCTAAAACATTTTACTATTATCAGGTCTATACTTTAAAAAGCTTGCATAAGAAAGCAACTTAAAACACATTTTAAGATGGGGATAAAAATTTAATTTACATGGCTAGCAAATGATTAATATTCCTTGAATATTTACAAATATTAATTCCCCATCCTGGTTTTATGTTTTAATAACATGCATGTCTTAATAATTGATATATTTGTATTTTATTGTCTCTCTTCTTTTGATAAAATGTGAGTCCTAAGAAGGCAATTATTTTTGTCTGTTTTATTTAATGATTTATTTCCAGTACCCAGAATATGGCTTGGCTTAATATAGATTTTAGTAAATGACATCAATAAATGTCCACTTCCATAGTACAAAAATGACATAATATAAGAAAAGATTGCCAAAGAAGAAACATAAAGTATCAATAATGTTGTGAAATATGCTCAATTTTGAAATCTACAAGTTGAAGCATTTACATTATTTTCATGTAATACTGGCAAGCTTTTAATTGCTTAACCTTAGCAATTGTTTGTAAGAATATGAAGTATATAATGATATAATATGCTGATAGTACTATACACTGAGGAGTAATACAACAATAAAAAGTATAGATACATTGTGGTGCAGACATTTTATTTCTGGACACATTCTAAAAATACAATGAAACAACCATGCAAAAACGTTTGGTGATGAATGTGTGCGTGTGTGTGTGTGTGTGTGTACTTTTATGTAAGTGCTAGATACATATTACATATATATCAAGTAGAAATTTATATTTAAATTACACACACTTTACATATTCTTTCTGTAAAAAATATTCTCATCCCTATCTCTACATATGTTTATAATTCTAAATGTATCTTGAGAGGATAGATATATAACTATAGATATAGAAGTCTGGTATAAAGCTGATATGGTTTGGCTGTGTTCCCACCCAAATCTCAACTGGAATTGTGTCTCCCAGAATTCCCACCTGTTGTGGGAGGGACCTATGGGGAGGTAATTGAATCATGGGGTCCAGTCTTTCCCTTGTTATTCTCATGATAGTTAATAGGTCTCATGAGATCTGATGGGTATCAGGGGTTTCTGCTTTTGCTTCCTCCTCATTTTTCTCTTGCCACCACCATGTAAGAAGTGCCTTTTGCCTCCCACCATGATTCTGAGGCCTCCCAGACATGTGGAACTGTAAGTCCAATTAAACTTCTTTTTCTTCCCAGTCTTGGGTATGTCTTTATCAGCAGCATGAAAATGGACTAATACAGTAAATTGGTATCAGTAGAGTGGGACATTGATGAAAAGATACCTGAAAATGTGAATGTGACTTTGGAACTGGGTAATAGGCAGAGATTGAAACAGTTTGAAGGGCTCAGAAGAAGACAGGAAAATCTGGGGAAGTTTGGAACTTCCTAGAGACTTGTTGAATGGCTTTGCCCAAAATGCTGATAGCGATATGGACAATAAGGTCCAGGCTGAGGTAGTCTCAGATGGAAATGAGGAACTTGTTAGGAACTGGAGTAAAGGTGATTCTTGTTATGTTTTAGCAAAGAGACTGGGGTCATTTTGTCCCTGCCCTAGAGATTTGTGGAACTTTGAACTTGAGAAAAATTATTTAGGGTATCTGGCAGAAGAAATTTCTAAGCAGCAGAGCATTCAAAAGGTGACTTGGGTTCTATTAGAGGCCTTCAGTTTTATAAGGGAAACATGGCATAAAAGTTTAGAAAATTTGCAGCCTGACTATGCAATGGAAAAGAAAAATCCATTTTCTGGAGAGAAATTCAAGCTGGCTGTAGAAATGTGCCTAAGTAGCAAGGAGCCTAATGTTAATCCCCAAGACCATGGGGAAAATGTCTCCAGGCCATGCCAGAGACCTTCATGGCAGCCCCTCCCATTACAAGCCCAGGAGGTAAAAATGGTTTCATGAGGCGAGCCCAGGGTCCCTGTGCTGTGTGCAGCCTGGGGACTTCATGCCCTGTGTCCCAGCCACTCCAGCCATGGCTGAAAGGGGCCATTGTACAGCTCAGTGCCTTCAGAGGGTGGAAGCCCCAAACCTTGGCAACTTCCACAAGGTGTTGAGCCTGCAGGTGCACACAAGTCAAGAGAATTGAGGTTTGGGAACCTCCACTTAGGTTTCAGAGGAAGTATGGAAACGCCTGGATATGCCGTGGCTGGGGCAGGGCCCTCATGGGGAACCTCTGCTAGGGCAGTACTGAAGAGAAATGTGGGGTCGGAGCCCCCACACAGAGCCCCTACTGGGGCACTGCCTAGTAGAGCTGTGAGAAGAGGGCCACCATCCTCCAGAATCCTGAGATCCACCATCTGAGATCCACCAACAGCTTGCACTGTGTGCCTGGAAAAGCCGCAGACACTCAACACCAACCCGTGAAAGCAGCTGGGAGGGAGGCTGTACCCTGTAAAGCCACAGGGGTGGAGCTGCCCAAGACCATGGGAACCCACCTCTTGCATCAGCGTGACCTGGATGTGAGACCTGGCGTCAAAAGAGATCATTTTGGAGCTTTAAAGTTTGACTCTCCCACTGGATTTCTGGTTTGCATGGGCCCTGTAACCCCTTTGTTTTGGCCAATTTCTCCCATTTAGAATGGCTGTATTTACCGAATACCTGTACCCCCATTGTATCTAGGAAGTAACAAGCTTGCTTTTGATTTTACAGGCTCATAGATGGGAGGGGCTTGCCTTTTTTAAGATGAAACTTCGGACTGTGGACTTTTGGGTTAATGCTGAAATGAGTTAAGACTTTGGGGGACTGTAGGGAAGGCATGATTGGCTTTGAAATGTGAGGACATGAGATTTGAGATTTGGAGGGTCCAGGGACAGAAATGATATGGTTTGGCTGTGTCCCCACCCAAATCTCAACTTGAATTGTGTCTTCCAGAATTCTCACGTGTTGTTGGAGTGACCCAAGGGGAGGTAATTGAATGAATCATGGGGGCCAGTCTTTCCCGTGCTATTCTTATGATAGTGAATAAGTTTAATGAGATCTTATGGGTTTATCAAGGGTTTCCACTTTTGCCTCCTCCTCATTTTTCTCTTGTCACCGCCATGTAAGAAGTGCCTTTTTCCTCCCACCATGGTTCTGAGACCTCCGTAGCCATGTGGAACTGTAAGTCCAATTAAACCTCTCTTTCTTCCCAGTCTTGGGTATGTCTTTATCAGCAGTGTGAAAACGGACTAATACAAATACTCATGCGAACTCACAGTGTTAATATTTAGAACTACTTCCTTCTTATTTTTAGCTATTTTGTTTTAAATATTTACATTGTCCAAGCATCAAACTTCCATACTCTAAAGACAAAAGAATCAATGGCATTTTTAAGGGGACCATGAAAACCTCTGGAAAAAAATAGCATGCTTTACTTTTGCAAGGGAGGAGCTATGTCTTATTTACTATTGTGCTCCTGTTAGCAAGTGAAGTGCTTGGCAACTAGTAAGCAGTCAATAGTGATGCACAAATGAATGAATAAATAGGAAGAGGATGCTTCTAATTTCTCATCCCTACCCTACTTTATTACCTTCAAGGAGAAATGAATGAAGGCTCAATCTGTTATTAATGGTAAAAATTAATATTCATTGTCTAACAGATTTTTAACGTATTTTTTTCTTTACTGCTGAACACAGTCTTAAGATTTTGATTCTCTATATTTGGAATACTCTCTGAGTAGTCCAAAAACTCCGCATTGCTAGTTGGAAGGTAGAAGAAACTAGGGCCAGCCAACAATCTGTCTGAAAATAGAGAGAAACCATCCACCTGGGGTCAATGACCCACTCTATTTCATGAAGCCATCTCATTTCCACACTGAAGTGCTCTGGATGGGTGAAAATGGCAACACTTATTGGTTCAGGTAACCAAGGTCACAGAAGGGGTTCACTTTTCAATTAGATTCACTCAGAGAAGTCTGTAAAGCATCCTACTGAGGAGAACTAAGACTCCAACTTGCTCATGATCCGTCTGAGTGAACTGATTGGTAATCTATGCTATAGCATCCTGCCTCTCTGCCTCCAGAATAGCTCAACCTATCAGAACCAAATATTCACAGATAATTTTTTTAAATGCAGAGCATAAAATAAGATTTAATCAGAATCAATTGCCTAGTTTTTTTTTAAATTTATACATCTGGATAAAAGAGGAGTCATTTCTAAAAGATAATTTTGAACTCCCAAATAATATACCTAAATAAACCCAATTTTGATTAATTTGATCAATTCAGGTTAAATATTAGTGTGAAGGTTTATTCAACCCTATTTCTAAAGATTCACTCATTTATGATGCAGTCACATTTAACACTGACCACAGGAGACTCACCTACACACATATACATTACCCACATGCCTCACACATTTGCAAAGAAAAGTCTGCAGGTATTTAATTCACTGAAAAGTAGTAGAAAGCTTGACAATGTCCACAGACTTATAAAAGGTCCATTCTGATACCAGAGAGCTGAGCTAAAACAGAAATCCAAAACTGGTTAATTTATGATCACTTCTGAAAAAAGTAATGAAACATTTGTTTCCTTAACTTTGAGATGGATTATTCTGCAAACAGCATCACAGCCAACAACAGAGATTCTCTGGGATAAAGCAGGAATCTAGTTGAGAAGAAAAGAGGAGGCAGAAAGAAAACAGCTTAAGCAGTGGGTATGAAACCATGTAGCAGTTTAGATGGAATTTGATAGTTACCTTCCCCAGGTTGGCACATGAAAGCATGTAACACATAGTGCATGGCTTCAGCAATCACCCTCAGATCCCTTCCCAAACACTCTCACCTACTTACAGGTTCCTATATTCCAATTTTAGAATTCCTATCTCCAGAGACCTTGCTTCAGTCTACTTCTAGATCATTCCCCTGACTTTTCCTTTGGGCTTCATACATGGCCCTGGACTTTTATTATTTTATTTGAAGTACATCTTTCTGCCTACACTTCAGTTTCGTCATAGGGTCTCTATAAGGTGGGGAGGCCTTAGGATGTAGCAAAAGAGGTTGGGTTTCAGATGGCAGATATTTTTAGAGACCTCCCTCTGTGAGCCTGGGTCCCTGAAAAAGTTTATTCAGCTTTTGACATTAAGCAAAATTTAGCCAACATTTTTGAAGCATTTTTATGATGGTGAAATTTTATTCCATTAAATTATAAAGCACACGAAACATAGTTCAAGTAGACTATGAACTCTTTACATCAAGCACCTTGTCTCATCATTTATCACAATGCTCAGTATACTAGAAGTCAATGAATACCAAATGAAAGAATTCAAGAATGAAAAATGGCAAACGAAATGTATCTTATTTCTTAAATAAATTTAAGAAATAAATTTAGGTAACATAAATTGATGAAATTTTTAGTCAGTTTTTATGCAACTTTAGAAACTTCATCTATTACCAAAGTCTTTTTGATTATTTTTCTCTTAGATTCAAGCAGCAGCAATGAATGGAAAATCCTATATAAAAATTGCTTCTAAAATTTAAATTCAAGTTTCTAACATTCAAAAACTTTTAAAGCCATTTTAAAATTAAACTTAGTTTACTTTAATTTTTATAGACTTGTACCAATGTCACATTTTTATCACAGGCTTTGCATTTTCTTACAGCCGTTCCTTCTTTTAAGAAGTTCTAAGTACCAAAGCTTTCCTGATTTATTTCAGTCATTCTTGACTCTATCATATTACTGCAGCTAGTTGACTTTCTTATATTTTTCTATACAGTTATTTTTTATTTGACATTTTAGCAACAATAATTTGAGTAAAACACAAAAATACTAAAATCTTTTTCTCTATTTTTAATATCATGGTAACCTCTCTTCTTTATTGTGGCATTTGATTAATTGTATATGTTCAGGTAAATTAATTTTCTTTAAACTTTATCTTTCAATTGCTTTCCAGTCTGACAACTGACAGGTAATAAAATGTTTCGATTAGCACTTTTGTACAAACTTATACAAAGTTGAACTTGATGTCAAGCTCTCTCAGAATTATTTAATCACTATGATTGGAAGGGAAGATGGATTTTGATTAACACTAGGTGAACCAATCAGTAAAGACCTTGAACTTACAAAAGTTACTACTGGCTATTTCAAATAACAGTGATAATCTAAAAGCCAACCTTTAAGCCATTAGCACAAAATGGCCAATGATAACTCGATAAAAGGACCTTTTTATGTCAAGTTTGTATTCTGTGCCAGTATTCTAGAAATTCAAATTGTGCTGTTCTTACTGTTACTACTGGTTTTGCTCTAGAATTTTTTCTCCAGCTTATCATTTAGATAACTTTATTCCCAAAGCTCCATTCGAAGTACAAATCAGAGAAATATCACGGAAAAAATAACCAGCTGGGTACCTTTTCTGCCCACCTGTTTTGCAGATCCCAATTTTGATGTAGTAGTTGAAGTCAAAAGGTAGGTAAGGTCAAGGTGAAGGCGTGCCACTTCAAAATTCTCAAGATCCATTGGATATGAGACTTAAACAAACAAGAAATTACTTTCATTGATTAAATGTAGATTGAATTATGAGGGAAAAATGACAGGCACCGCTAAGGTTATGTCCTCTACTCATTGTTTAACTCAGCATGACTGATTCAATCTGCTGAGCCCCAAGGAAGGCCAAAGATGTCACTCATGGACTCCACACAATGCAGAATCCTTAGAAGAGCAAAATCGAAAAGTTGCACTTTATCCACTCACAGCCTGGAGCCACTGTTCTCATTCCGTCTTGTGTTAGCAGAACAATGAACTGCAGCAGGCACTGGGCTGCTCCGCATAATAATTATAGGTATCCCACAGGCAAAGCTGTTGTTGCTTTTAAGACTTGACAGAATGTGTCTTGTAGGCATGACCTAGCAGATGGGGACTTTTTCCTTTCATCTTTTCCCAAAAGCCACCTAGGTGAAATATATAAAGCATCTTGATAAGGGATATATTTTCTCCTATAGGGGTAAGTTGATTACTATAAGCTGCTCTTCTTGTTCATTCACCTTAAAAATAATTGCCACTCTGGTGGAAGAAGTCAAGTATAGCCACAGAGGCAGGGATAGACCTTTTGCTCCATCCTGCTAATTTGTGTCACCTACTGCACTGCCTTATGTATTGATGGTAGAAAAAAAATGAAGCAGAAAATTAAGTCTGAAAGGATTTTTTGTCCTGCTGTCACTTTGTACAACATTTAGTTCAGTTGACATGACACTGTGCCTTTTGTTACATAAAACTGTCACATTGTCCCCTTCTAGTTAGCTGCAGTTGCTGGCCAAATCAATAATATCTGTCAAAACTGTCAAATAATGAAAGGATCCTATGATATGTTGGCTACAGAGAACGATATTTTTTTACCATCTTTTAAAAATGTTACCAAATTAGGTTCAAATACATATTAGAAATAAAGAAAAGAGATAAGCTTTGTGAATGATACGATAAAATTGAGATGAAGACATCACCTACGCACATTACATATACATTATTTGATATGCTGCTTGTAGTTTTAATGACAATTCTTAAAGTCAATTTTAGATGGCTCTTTTGTAGAATAAAAACTTGTAATGCATAAGCAAATGAGTAACTCAAAAACACGAGATTCAATTCATTTTTCTCTGTATGTAATGATAACATTTAGTTGGTTAGGCAGACAGATAATTTATTCCACATTTAGCTATCTATGGAGGGACTACTAAGGTATGCTTAGATCATGAGAGAGGGTTGTCATTTACTGTTACAGCTTTTCATCTGAGAGACTCAGATATTGTCCTGTAACATCATTTGCAAACAGGAAACTAAGTCGTAGGCAACTATCACTAGAGCCAATGGTCTTAAATGTTCCTTATCAGTCTCTCTAATTGAAAACTACTGGGGGAAGCACAATAGCTGTCATTTTAGGTGTTTCAGGTGAACCAAAGAATTGTATTGTATATTTTAATTAAATTGATCTCAATACACCTTGTTCCACTTAGAGAAAACATCTGTGTCTTTATGTTTTTAGCCTCTCACCAAGCAAAGAGAACACATGCAAGATTATGCTACTGACATCTACCTGAACCAACTGCTTCATGCTTTTTATCAATTTGCTTTTTCACATTTGAGTTTGGCATGCTCAACATCCCTCTTCTTCTAACTCCTTTAATCATCTTTTCCCACTCCTCAGGTTTTTCCACTTGTCAGAAATACTCAGAATGCATTTTTCTCTTTATACCTGATATGACGACTTAGGGTATTGGATTCATGATACCTACATAGTTTACCTGATTCCCCAGTTCTATGGCCTATAGAAATCTAACCCTCTGCCTCCATACAGAGTGCTGTGTACTCCCCCTAATGCTATCTCTATTCAGCACTGAGTTGACTCAAATGTATGACTCAACACCTGTGAGTTCTCCAAAAAAATATACGTACAGAAACATTAAGATACAGAATAGATTTTTACAAATATATTGTGGATTAAAGATGATGAGTTAACATACAGAACATCTTCCAATGAATATTTCATAAATATTCTCTTTAACATTGAATTCTAACTAAATTATTACACATAAAGGTAATGTGAACACATTACAACATGTTCTTATTTAGTTCCAAGTATGCTTAATCTGTGCCATTTTTTAGGATTTTAATCAAAATTATTTATAATTTTTAAGTAAATCTGAAATAAAGCTGACTACTGTCCTTCATACATGAATTTCAGTGATAGGTTTAAAGACAGAGAACATTTACTTCTCTCAGTAATGTGCTAAGTCACATGCCTGTTCTGTACAATCCTATAAGCCTTTATAAATGCTAACCAGAAAAAAAATGGTCTTAGGTACAAGAACAAATAAATAGATAAATTTATTTAAAATAAGTTAATCTTTATGATATTCATATAAGAGAATATGGTCACTTACACTGATAAATATAACAATATCTAATAAAATTAAATAATTAATTTATTATAAAATAATTTTTTCAAATTTCTAACTTTTTAAATTTATGAGAGTTCTAATATCGTGATCCATCTAAATTTGCTGTCTTAAAAACATTCAGCAGTTGAAGTCTGAGTCTGAATCTAGAATTCAGGCATATGTAGGTCATTCTGAAGGATGCTGGGTTATGTTCTCTAAAATCTATTTCATGATTAATTAAGGACATTTCTGAGTAATCATTTGTCATAAAAGTAGGGCTGAAATTGGACTTAGGGACAATACACCATTATCTAAAATTTTATATCATTTACAGATTAAAGCCATATCTGTTGCTGATTTCTCTCTGACTCAACTCTAACAAAATTGTCTAATCAGGAGCATATAATAAATTTGCAGGGGAAAACTAAGAGTTAATCAGTACATGAGCAATGCAGTTGCAGCAGAGATGTCAGCAGCTGCAACAGTGTTTGAACAAAATGACACTAAAAACAAAATTTGTGGGAGATAGTGCTTAATTAGGGATTAATACTGTTAAGGTTAATAAAATCAACAAATCTACAGCTGTACTGATCAAGGTGGGGAAAGAAGCAAAGAATGCCACACATTACCACTGCCACTATTTAAAAAGGGGCACCACCACAGATCCTAAAGATATTAAAATAAATTAAGAAACTGTTACAATTTACTTTACATCAACGTGTTTAACAATCTAGGTGAAATGGACTAATTCCTGAGAAATACAAGTTATCAAAACTGACTCTAGAATATTGAAAATCTGAACAGTCCTACATCTGCTAAGTAAATTAACTTTGTAATTGAAAGCTTTCAACAAAGAAAAGGACAAGCCCACACAGTGTCACTGGTGAATTCTATCAAACATTTAATACAGAAATAATACCAATAATACACAAATGCTTTAAAAAAAGAGGAAGTGGGAACATTTCTGAAAGATTTTTGAGCCAGAATTATTCTAACACCCAAACCAAAGATATAATTAAAAAAAATTACAGACCAGTATCATTGCATGGATGCAAACAGTAAGATTATATTAGCAAGTAGAAATATATATATGAAAGATGCTACTTCACATCTAAGAGGAATGTATTCCAGGAAAGCAAAATTGACTTTCAAAAGGCAATCAGCATAGTTCAATGCATTTACAGAACAAATGAAAAAGCATATGGTCATATTTATAAATGTAGCAAAAGAGTTCAGCATTCATTCATAATATAACTCTCAAAAATTAAAAATAGAAGAGAACCGGAAAAATACATCTATAAAAACTTACAAAAGCAGTATATTTAATGGCAAAGCAAGGAATGGTTTGCTCTAAAGACTGAGAGCACGGAAAATATTTTTATTCTCCCCACTTCTATTCAACTTTTAATCAACTTCTTATTAAACTTTTCTACCCACTTTAATAAGGCAAGAAAAGAAAATGAAGGCATACAAATTTGAAAGATAGAAGTGAAACTGCTTGTATTAATAGATAACATGATTGTGTATGTTGGAAATCCTAAAACATTTAATAAAATTATCTACTAGAAATAATAACTGAATTAAGCAAGTTTGATAATAAATTATATATTCCTATTTTGAGAGAAAATTTATATGTTTTTGTTTATTTGTAATGCAATTGATTCATGTTTTATAGAAGCGTGTCTTCATTTCTATATTTTTCTCAATATTAAAGAAACAGAAGAAGGGTTTTGATATTAGCAGTCAAGGGATAGACTTTAGTAGGTACCTGTCATTTCTATATGCTCCAACATTTTGGAACACTCCTTCAATGTTTGGAAAAATGTTTCTGCATTGCAATTCCCTCATAATTAACATAGAGTTAAGATAATTACCATATGTAATTATTTGCTGCACAATATAGGCTTCACTTACCTCATGAATCTGAATAAGAGTTCGATACAAATCTATTGCGCAATCAGGTCGGGAATGTGATATCCATCTTGTGGCACTGGCAACAGTAGACACGTGTTTTGGTGGGAGGAAACAGAGTAGGAAGGAAGATTCCAGACACTGCCAAAGGCAGAATGGTTTTGGTGCTGGACATGGTGCCACATTCTTGGTCCTATCAGATTCTACATGGTTTTGTGGTTGGGGGAAATGTCACCTAAATTTACAGATGCAGTTTGAAGTATGATTCTGGAAATTATTCCTGAATCTTAATAAAACTCTTCCTTGCCTTCAGCTTGCTAAAGAAGGCTCAGTGATGGGAATGTGAGAATTCTGATGGATGTAACAAGATTTATGAAATGACATATTTACATAGGCTTTTCTTATTTCCCCAGTTAAAGTGACTCCTCTCACATCTACGCTGACAGCATATTTTTTTCCCTGAAATGTATTATTTGTTCTTAATGCTTGCCTGTCACCTGTACTTCTTGAATGTGATACATGTAGGAATTACTCATATTTCTTTCATTTTTGAAACTCCTCTAAGTCATATCAGAGTGTGCAATTAGTTTTTGTTCAGTGAATAGATCTAGACATATTTAAGTTATGTTTTGAAAAGTGTATTTACTTCAAAGTAAAAATGTACCCATAATAAAATAAAAGCTTTCTCTGCCATCAAGCAAGGACTGATGTACTTTGCTAATTTGGAACCAAATTTTGGTATCTTCTTCCCTGCTTCAAATAATTGATCCTAAAGTCAGACATGTTTTGAGATAGCAATGGGAATCTGTAGAAATTAGGGACAAATCTAGGAAATAAGTGACCTTTGTAGTTATTGTCAGTGGCCTAGTCACATAAGGAAGAGAGGTGCTATGGTTTGAATGTTTGTGTACCTCCAAAATTCATGTTGAAACTTAATCCTGAATGCAATAGTATCAAGAGGTGAGGCCTTTAGGAGATAATTAGGAGGTGATACCACTTTGAAAATATGCCCTCCTCAGACACCAAATCTACTGTAGCTGAGATTTTGTACTTTTTAGCATCCAGAAATGTGAGAAATAATTTTTTTCTTCTTTGTAAATTATTTAGTATAGTATTTTTATAATAGCCCAAACAGATGAAGATAGGAGGGCTCAAAGGAAATAGTCTTTGACTTGATTGCTTTTTCCAGAAAAGATATTTGGGATATAATTCATTTGCTGGTTTTACTGTACCTTGACTATGCTCACATTAATGCATCAGTGTTTGCCATTACAATGGCCTCAGGAGGAGGATAAGAGAAACAGAGATGGTTGAGACAAATAAGGAGTGTCCTCTCTATCCAGGTTCTGAGAAGGCAGGATACAAAGCAAATATGTAATAGCAGGCTTATAGATCCAGAATGCTGGTGAGTCTGTGAATGAATTCCTACTGAGAGTGATGTGATGAGCATAACGACTGTTCACTAATTTCTGGTTTTCCCTTACTTCGGAAGACTTGGACCCCCATGACCTTTTAAAGTTAGGTATAAGAATGTGACTTGCTTTTGCCAATTAATTATGAATGAAAGTGACATGTGTCACTCCCAGAAAGAAGTATTTAATGTCTGGCTCTTGACTGTTTATACCAGTTTGGATGAAATGAGCAATTATTGAGGTGAACCCTCCAAAGCCTGAATCTTTAAGTGATGATGATGAACAGATTCCTCGGCCGACTGATTAGCAGCTTTAGCAAGAAACAAGCCTTCATTCTTTGGATCCATTGAAGTGGTTTAAAGAGTAAGATACAGGATGCTTCTTGCCAAAGCATGGTGCAGCTTATTTTGACTGATGGGAGAAAAGAAAACAGTGGGAAAATGATGGCAAAAACCTCACTAAACCCAGCATGAAGTGATGTCAAAGACTAAGAATAACTCTGTGAAGTCATCTCAGAATCAACATACAGGGCAAAGAACAGGGAAGGTTTTTTGTTCCAACCTCCCTTAAATAAAGCATATGTATGGCTCTCAGTCACTGATTTATTTATACCTCTAAACCATGCAGTTTCCTGTGTATACTTTAGCCTCATTCCCACCCTCCCTACTTCTGTGGACCACACAGAGGTAGGATCTCATTTCACTCTATAGACTAACATCAGGTGTATGAAATGCTAAAGTTGAACCTTTTGTATTTGTCATGTGTTTTTGCGATATACCCCTGCCACAAGAGACTAATTATACAACCTCTTGCTACTGCCCAACTGATGAACACAGGGTTCATGGAAACAAATTGGAAAAGAGAAAAATACAGTTTAAATTTCAAAATTTTACCCTGCCTATTTGCATATTTATACATTTGCTCAAATATTATATACCCTTTTCTCAGCATTCATTAAATACAAATACTTTTTTTAAAAATAGCCCCCAAAACCATAAATAAATTAGAAAGAGATAAATTGTACAGGGCATATTTTATGCCTACAAGAGAAATAGTACAGAAATTAATTTTTCTAAACATCAATTGCTTAGTAATTTAAAAATATCAAATAACTTGTATCACAGCCAAAAATAAACTGATTACAGACTCTTGAAAATCAGTAACAATGAGAACTTGAAGTTTCTATGTTGCAGCCAAAGCCATATTCACTCTAATAGAACATTTTTCCCATTTTGGTGGACATTCCAAGTCTCAGTTGGACATCAATTTTTCTTTTCAAGCTTTTCATCACTTGCTTTCTTCTTTAAGGATATTATTCTTAATTTATATTTGTAGAAATTCTAATTCCACAAGTTACCTCCTGTGTTCATAAAAGACCTAAATTAGAATATAATTTGACTTTTCTGCGCTACTGTTTCTTAGCTGGCCATGAACAAGCCCTGTCACTCTGCTGCTCCCAGCTGTCATTAGATTATATTGAAAGGCACATCTCCATAATCCAGAATTTCCCTGAAGTAATCAAATTCTATATTTTTATTGGATGAACAGCCTTCCAATAGCTTCCTCATATCCTCAGACTTTCTCCTGGATAATGTTTGATCCATCTTTTATTAAAGCACAGCCACGAAAGTGCTGGGAAATCATCTCTCCAGTGTTCAAAGGTAGCTCTCTAATGGGCTCTGTGAACGAATGACTATCTTCAAATGTGTATGTTTTCCAAACTCTTTTTCACCCCTCGATTATTTCCCATCCATCAGAAACTGAACTGCTTTTCAGTAAAATGATGCAGAAATTGAACTAATTTAATGGTAGACCCCAGACTGTCCTTTCTGCTGGTGATCAACCTGTATCAACAGCCACCTTGAAGCTTTCCAGCTAGTCCTCCCTGATTCAATCAAAATGTATCAAACCGTGTTCTTGTTCTTTTCAACCTTATTATTTATGGAGGTGTTATCAGTTCTGGGACCCAGGCTTGATAGTCTTTTCCTTCCTGCTGCTATATACTATAGAAACCAGTCTGGTTCTCAAATAATCAAGAAAACATGTCTTCCTAATGATATACATTATAGAATAGGTAGCTCAAGGTGGCATGTGGCCAAATGGAAAGAGTAAACTTTTAGTTTTATGGGGTTTTCTCTTGAAAAAATATAAATTTTGCCTCTCTTACTCGTGTCTTAGAAACTAGTATCCCATAAAGGGAGCATTATGAGAGATACCAGAAAAGTAAGATTGAAAGCTTTTGAACTGGAGATGTTTCTCCTTGAAATTTATTTTCAATAAGATCTTCTGATGGACGCTTCAAATTTTGTGAAACAGTGTATGCACAAGAATCCATCAAGACACTCTGGCCACCTTGGACATACATTGTACATTTCTTTGAGTTTTCTTCCACATCCAATATCCGCAAGCATGACAAAAAACAAAACAAACAAACAAACAAAAAAACTCTTACATAAATCCTGCTTATCAAGAAAGAAAAAAATGCTCCATTAGTTCAAAGGATTAAATGAAAATAAATATTGATAATAATAATGCCTGGTGTAAACAGAAATATATAATAGTAGATAAAAATGAAAAAAGACAAATATACAGATTTGAATCAGAATCTACTTTTATATTAACATAATTTTGAGAATATTATTACATTATTATTAATACATTAATAAAGTCTATTCATGTTACCTGCAAACCACCATTTTTATTATTTTTATTTATAATTGATACACAATAATTATACATATCTATGTGGTTCCATATAATGTTTCAGTGTTTCAATGCATGTATACATTGTTTAATGTCAAATCAGGGTAATTACCATATCCATCCCATTAAACATTTATCATTTCTTTTTGGTAATAGCATTGAAAATTTTCTCTTCTAGCTATCTGGAAATATGCACTATCTTGTTATTAGCTATAGTCATCCTACTGAGTCATAAGATACCAGAACTTGTACTTCCTGTTTAACTGTAACTTTGTGCCCATTGACCAACTTCTCCAGGTACTGCCCTCCCTTCTACTCTCCTCAACTTCTGGTAACCACCATTCTACTCTCTTCCTCTAAGAAATCAACTTTTTCAGATGCTACATATGGGTGTGATCAGGTAGTGCTTGTCTTTTTGTGCCTAGCTTATTCCACATAACATAATATCCTCCACCTCCATCCATATTTCTGCAAATGACAGTATTTAATTGTTTTATGACTGAATGGTATTTCATTGTATATGTATACCACATTTGCTATATCCATTCATATGTAGATGAGCAATTAGGTTGATTCCACATATGGCTATGGTTGAGTAGTGCTGCAGTAAACATGGGACTTTGGTATAGGTTTGCATAGACCTGCTCACCTCAAAACAACATCTCTTTGACATACTGATTTCAAATCTTTGGATATATATTCATACATGAAATTGCTGGACTATGTGGCATTTTGAATTTTTGAGGAAACACCATATTGTTTTTTCATAGTGGCTGTACTAATTTACATTCCCACAAACAATGCATAAGAGTTTTCCTTTCTCCACATCCTCACCAGCATTTGTTATTTTCTTTACAGTAGCCATTCTAGTTGTTGTGAGGTGATATCTTGCTGTGCTTTTAATTTGCATTTTCTTGATGATTAGTGATGCTGAACATTTTATATATGTTGGCCATTTGTATGTCTTCTTTGGAGAAATGTCTTTTGTCCATTTTTCAATTGGATTTTTTGGTTTCATGCTATTGAGTGGTTTGAATTCCTTATGTATTCTGGATATTGTCCTTTTCTCAAATGGACAGGATACAAACAAATACTTTTTTCCATTCTGTAAGTTATCACTCCACTCTATTAATTGTTTCCTTTGCTGTGAAGAAGCTTTTTAGTTTTATGTAATCCCATTTTGTCTATTTTGCTTTTGTTTCCTGTGCTTTTATGTTCTTATTCAAAAAAATTATTGTCCAGGCCAATTTTATAAATCATTTTTTCTATGACTTTTTCTAGTGATTTTATAGCTTTGGGTCTTATATTTAATTTTTTAATTCATTTTGAGTTGATTTTTGTTTATAGTGAAAGAACAGGGTCTAGTTTCATTCTTCTGAATGTGGATACTAAGTTTTGCCAGTATCATTTATTGAAGAGACTATCCTTTCCCCAATGTGTGATCTTGGCATTTCATTAAAAATCATTTGATTGTAATATGTGCATTTATTTTTGAGTTCTCTCTTCTGTTCTATTAATCTATTTGTCTGTTTTTATGACAGTACCATGCTGTTTTTGGTAACTATAGCTTGGTAGTATATTTTTGAAGTTGGGTAGTGTGATACCTCCAGCTTTGTTCTTTTTTGCTCAAGATTGCTTTGGCTATCTGTGGTCTTTTGCATTTCATATGAATTTTAATTATTTATATTTCTGTGAAAAATGTCACTGGTATTTTTATAGGAATTGCATTGACTCTGCAGATCACTTTGAGTAATAGGGATATTTTAAATTCTTCTAATCAATAAACATGGGATTTTTTCCATTTAATTGTGCCCTCTTCAATTTTTTTCATCAATGTTTCATTGTTTTTAGGGTAGAGATCATTTACCTCCATGGTTGACTTTATTTCCAGGTATTTTATTATTTTTTGTAGCTATTGTAAATGGAATTGCTTTCTTGATTTCTTTATACAAGAGTTCACTATTGGGATATTAAAAACACTATAGATTTTTGTATGTTGATTTTCTATCCTGCAACTTTACTGAATTCATTTATTATTTTTTGATGGAGTTTTAAGTGTTTCTCTCTCTATATATATATGATCATAACATCTGAAAACATGGACAATTTGACTTGCTCCTTCTCAGTTTGGATGCCTTTAATTTCCTCCTCTTGGCTAACTGCTCTGGTTAGAACTTTCAGTACTATGTTGAATAAAAGTGGTGAAAGTGGGCATCCTTTTCATATTCCATATTTTAGAGGAAAAGGTCTCAATATTTCCCCATTTAGTATGGTGTTAGCTGTATATTTGTCATATATGGCCTTTATTGTGTTGAGATATGTTCCTAATATACTCAATTTGTTAAGGATTTTTATCATAAAGATTACTGAATTTTATTAAATGATTTCTTAGCATGTATTAAAATGATCATATGGTTCTTGTCCTTGATTCTGTTAATGTGATGTATCACATGTATTGATTTGTGTATGTTGAACCATCCTTGCATTCCTGAAAGGAACCCACATGATCATGGTGAATGATCTCTTTAATGTGTTGATGAATTTAATTTGCTGGTATTTTGCTGGGGATTATTGTATCTATGTTTATCAACATTTATTTGTAAAATTATAAAATATATCCCATTGTTTAGAAATCCCTCATTACTAATAATTGTTTCTGTAGTCTATAAGTTATACTTACCATCACTAATACTTTCTTGTTTTTATAAAAATGGTGTTTATCTTTTTCATGTCTGATGGTTTTTGTGGGTTAAAACACATAAGAGGATTGAGTAGACAATAATTTGTTTCATATTTCAGAAGCTAAAATCTCTTTTTGTAATAACAGATAAAAGCTGTCTGTATGCATACTTACAACTTTCTTCTGCTGCCTACTTACAACTTCTTTGCTTAACACATTTGTTTCCCCAGTTATTGTTTCTTGTATACATTCTCCATGTAAATTAAGTCTTCTTGAGTCACATAATTTTGAAACTATTCCATACTTACTAGTTTCTGAATGTCATGCTGTGATTCCTTCTGACTACCTAACTTTAATTTAACAAGTTATAATTTTCTGACTAGAAGTTCTTTTGATAATTCATGGTCATCTATTACTTTACTCACTAGAAAATGTCAACTTTCTCATAACTAATTTGCTGACATTTTCAATAGATCCATTAATTTTTTGTTGACACGTTTCAATCGATTTTGGAGAAAATTGTTTAAAATATATACTTTGTATCTTTGTCTACTTATCTCAGTTTTATTAATTTTGCTTTTTATATATTGTTAATTCTGTGTCTAGATTCAGACAGATTGATTGATAGACGAATAGATAGATAGATGATAGAGAAAATTAACTATCCCTATTATGAACATAAAAAAAGATAAGAAAGGTTACTATCACATTTAACTGTACTACTTCTAAAATCAGAACACTTGACTTGGAATCAAGACTTTACCATTTATTAGCTGCATAATTGGGCATGCCCATTACACCCTTGGGGGCCTCAGTTCCCATCTCTGTAAAATGGGATGAATGTAATAACAGTGTTTATCTCATAGCTTTGTTACAGATATTGAAAGAGTTAATACTTAGAACATTACCTGGGCTTACTAAGCTCTCAATAAATGGTAACAATATTATTACAGATTATCATTCTTTGACACATTTACAGCTTTGTACCCACAATTCTATTTTTGGTATAAGTACCACCTGTTTTCATCTTGTTAGCAATTGCATAGCACATTTTTTTTCATTTTCTTTATATTCAATATTCCATTTTGGCTTCAGGCAAGTCTCTATAGATAGCACAGTTCAGAATAATTTTGAAGTTACATTTATTTTCTAGTTCTGTTATTTCTGTGGTTAACTATTGTTATCATCAATACTTGAAATTATCTTTCTACCAGACTAGAAATAAAGTTTTCTAATCTGGCAATAATCACCAGATAATTATTTGGTATTTTGATTCCATGTTACCTTTATATAATTAGATTATTGGGAAATAACAATGTTTTACTATTTTTCCCCTTTCCATTTCTCCTTGAGTCTGACTTCTTACTCTAATTACATTTTGTCTGTATAATATATTCTCTGGTAAATTTTTCAGAAAAAGTTCAGTAATTTTAAAGCATTCTGAGTTTTTGTTATGTCTAAAATATTTACTTGGTTTTCATATATAATTGGGCATAGACACCAATATTCAAAATTATTTTTCTTCACAAATGTGCAAGCATCTCTCCTCTATCCTTCAGTATTCAATCCTGCTTTGAGAAGTTTGATGTTAAACAGATCCTCATTCCTTTGTAAATAATCTAGTTTATTCTCTGGAGAAACGTTTAGTTTTCTATTTTTATTGTGATGCCCTAAAACCTCACTATAAAATGTTTCAGTGTGTGAGTATTGAACACTTCTGCACCACTGTGGTAGGCTATATTTTCAGATGGTTTCCATTGTGATCCTTTCATGGCAAGAGAGATTTTGCAGATTTAATTAAAGTTATGAATCAAGCGATTTTCAAATAGGGAAATAATCTGGGAGGATGGAAAGTCTTATATGTTAGCAGAACTGGAAGTTAGAGATTTAAAGCATGAAAGATATTTGACAATGGAGGCTCTTTATTGCTGCACTAGAGGTGACCATGTGGCAAGTACCTGAGAGGGATACCAGGAGCTAAATCAATCCCCAACCAAGAGTGGACTTCAGTCCTACAAGGATAATGAGCTTAATTCTACCAAAAACTTGAATAATCTTAGAAGGAAATTCTTCCCCAGAAGCTGCAGATAAAAGTCCAGCTTGATTTCGGCACTGTAAGACCCTAAGCAAAGAACCTGGTTAAGTCCATGTGTACTTCTTACCTACAGAACTATGAACTAATAAACAGGTGATGTTTTAATTCACTGCATTTATAGTCATGTGTTATACAACAATAAGAAATAACAAATGCACAATGTATCCTCTTGGTACGTATGTTAGCTATCTCTTATGCCCTATTCTTAGTCAATGTTTAGTCCTATCATTTTTGTGGCAATCAGATTTGCATAGGTATAACCTCACAGCTCCTTTTCTCAACTACTTGCCTCTCACTTTCAGAATCAGGCTACCTCTGAAACTGGTGTTGCATGCTTATGGGAACAGGCTTAGTAGTCATTCATGTGCAACCTGGGGGTAAAAGGGACTTATAAGGCACCCTTGATTACTGGGGCAGGAGGCAGACGTAAAATGTTCTTCAACTTTTATTATCTAGTGATTAATCTATGATATGCTCTGGGCTTATTAAAAGGTCCCTACAGAATGGTCTCAGTTGCACAGATTTTTGACCACTCAACAATGTATCCTTTTATTGATTCATTATCAGTTACCTAGTCCAGATCTCTGGAACCATTGACCAAAATCAACAACCTTTAGGAACCCCCTACTTTCAGAGTCTAATTTCAGCTAAGGCAGTGGGAAATGAGCAATGAGTCCTTTCCATGCCTCCTTTAGGCACTGGTTTCTTTCTTTTGGGAATACAGAATAATCTCATTTTATTATTTTCATTGACATTTTGGAACTGCCATTTTTTTTATATATTTCAATCATAGTATTTGAGTATTTAGTATTAGAAGCTGCTAAATATGTCAGCTCAGATTTTTTGTACCCACATGATTTGAACAACATAAACTACATTACAGACTTCCTGATACCATTTCATTTTTCTATTTTAGTATACTAAATATTCCTGAACACATAGCTTTATTTGAATAATTTTTTGAATCAGTGTGTATGCATGTGAGTATAGACAAATGCATGTTGTTAATTGTTCCCTGATCAATCAAACTGAGTTCAAAAGTTTATATGCTATTTTTTAAAAGCAGTCTTTTAGGTTCTTTGTTGATATGTCTTTACATGATTATCTAAAGAGTAAAAAAAATACTATTTATATGTTCTATTATAACTTCTCTATTTTTATCATCCTAATTGGCCAGAATGTTGGAAGCCTATAGGGTTTAGCTGTATTTCAAACATCCCAATTTGTAGCAGACACTGTTGGTTACCCACAAAACAGACATACCCCAGGGCCCCTTCTGAGATCCAGAGGGAAAATTCGGCTTAGGCTAAATCAACAATGACATTTTCATTACCTTTGTCTATTAGTCTGTTCTCACACTGCCATAAAGAACTACCTGAGACTGGGTAATTTATGAAGAAAACAGGTTTAATTGACTCACAACTCTACAAGCTCAAAAGGAATCATGACTGGCAGGCCCCAGGAGACTTATGATTATGGCAGAAGGCAAAGGGGAAGTAAGCGCATCTTACCATGGTGAAGCAGGAGAGGGAGAGAGAATGGGAAGTGCCACATACTTTTAAACCATCAGATCTCGTGAGAACTCACTCAGTATCATGAGAACTGCAAGGGGGAAATCTGCCCCCATGATCCAGTGAACTTCTACCAGGCCCCTCCTCCGACACTTGGGGATTACAATTTGAGATGAGATTTGGGTGGGGAAACAGGACCAAACCATATCAAGTTACCAGGTATATAATTTGGTATTTGACACAAATTTTACCAGTAGAAGGTAAGAGCACATCAGCCAGGAAGCTTCTAGGAAAATATCCTGCTCTTGAGCCCTGGACATAAGTAAAGGATTCCCCTTTTACTATTTCTTTGAGTGGGATTGTTTAAAATTTTTAATTAAGAGACTTTATTTTTTAGACTACTTTTAGGTTTACAGAAAAATTGAGCGGAGAGTATAGAGAATTCCCATATATTCTTCTTTTCTCCTCTCCTGCATAGTTTACGCTAAGGCTCATTCGTTGTTTTATACATTCTATGTGTTTTGACCAATGTATGGCATATACTCACCATTACAGGATCACCCAGAATAATTTCAGGGACTGAAAACTCTCCTGTGTTCCACCTGTTTGTCATGCCTTCGCTCTCTTTTCCTGAGCCCCTTGCAACCACTGATGTTTCCGGTCTTGCCTTTCCCAGAATGTCATATAATTGGAATTATATAGTACATTGTTTTTCAAGCTTAGTAATATGAATTTAAAGTTCCTTTATGTCTTTTGTGTGGCCTGATGACTCATTTCTTTTTATTACTGAATAACATTCCATTGTATAGATGTAACACAGTTTATCCATTCACTTATTGATTGGCATCTTGGTTGCTTCCACGTTTGGCAGCTATGAATAAAACTGCTATAAACTTTGACATGAAGGTTTTTATGTGAATAGAAGTTTTCACCTCATTTGGGTAAATACCAAGGAACACGATTGCTAGACTGTATGGTAAAGGTATGTTTAGTTTTGTAAGAAACTTTTAAACTGTCTTACAATGTGATTGTACCATTTTGCGTTCCCACGAGCAATGAATGAGAGTACCTGCTGCATAACATCCTCACCAACATTTAATATTGTTAGTGTTTTGGATTTTAGTCATTCAAATAGGAACGTAGTGGTATCTCTTTGTTCTTTTAACTTGCTCTTTCCTGATGACATAAGATGAATATCTTTTCATAAGTTTATTTTGTGTGTGTGTATATATATATATATATATATATATATATAAAAAACATAGAAAATATATATGTATAAGGTGTCTTATATATAAGGTGTCTGTTCTTATATTTAATATTTTAATTCGGTTATTCATTTTCTTATTGTTGAATTTTAATAGTTCTTTGTGTATAAGTCCTTTAGCAGATGTATATTTTGCAAAAACTTTCTCTCAGTCTCCTTTTATGGAACAGGTTTTAATTTTAATAAATTCTAACTCGTCATTTTTTTTTCTTTTATGGATCGTGTTTGTTATGAGAACAACTTAGAATTGTAATGTCCCCTCCTTCCCCAAACTGGAAAGGTGCTGAGAGATCAAAGAATGGCTTGGGTAAGTCTGGTTTGATGAGTAGATGAGTTTATTAGGACTTACATATAGGGCACTCCTGGATAATGGTAGGACAGCTCTAGACGTCTATGCCACCTCCCTTCTCTAAACTGTTTTTGAGCTAATTTTCTGGCTCTTTGTTCATTGTGTTTGAACAATGAAACTGTTTTCCTTGGTAGGTTCTCAGATACTCTCCAGGATGTTTAGGTTCTCAGGGACACCTGTCCATACCTGGGCACCATTGCCTTGGTTCACTGTATAGCCTTCAAGGTTCAGGCAAAGGACACACATCTGTAAATAAGCTAGTCAGGGGCCCATCACACTACAGTGATTTTAGTGTTTTCTCTAAATGCTCATTGCCAAACCCAAGGCCACCTAGATTTTCTCCCATGTTGTCTTCTAGGAGTCTTGAAGTTAGGGAGTGCCAGTTCTCTAACTTTAATTTTCCCCTTCAAAACCATGTTGGCTATTTTGGGACTTCTGTCTTTCCATATAGACTTTCAAATCAGTTTGTTGATATTTACAAAATAAATTGCTGGAATTTTAATTGGGATTGTGTTGAACCTACAGATGAAGTTTAGAAGAACTGACATTTTAACAATATTTAGCATTCTCCTATTTTAAACATAAAATATTGTCTATTTCCTTATAATAAATCTTCTTTGATTTTAAAGTAGGTTTTTAAAAATACTTTTGCAGCTCCTTACTTTGTGAGCTAGGTATTATTCATGCTAAGTGCAGGAATCTGTCACCCTGGACATTCTAAATTTAGCCCAGGCTTCTGGTTCCATGACTAGTATACAGACTGAATTTTTATTTTTATTTAATTCTTACATGTATCAGTGATATAACAGGGAGAGAGTGATTGCACTAACCCTTTCTACTATACTCTCTAGTCCCAAGATCATACTTGCTCTGAACTCTTCATTTGACTGCATTTTGAGATTCATCAAGTCATTGATTGTGTTAAAATTCTTCACATTCATAGTTTCCTTGACAGTCTGATGGATTCACTTGTTCCTCACATTAGCAGTCTTTGCTACAGTGAATGAGAAAAGGAGGAAGGGAGGAAGTGTGAAAAGGTAAGCTTGAGAGTGAAAGGTCTCTGGCACCTGTGTGTGGGTTGTTATTTACATTCTGAGCACACTTCTGCAAGCTTAGTAATATTCACCATTCTGCAGTGTGCCATGAAATTAACTAATGGAGAAACATTTTATGAGTATCCTCATTGAGATTCACAGACTTAACCCAAAAAACAAATAAACAACAAGAACAACAGCAACAACAACAAAAAACCACTAGAGACCATCAGCAATATCCCTAACAAAATAAAAGAGTTTATGAAGGTTGAGAATAATTTTACTCTTACACAGGCATAAACTTTGTATTTCAAATAAGTGATAAATAATCTTTTAAAAAGACAATGTTCATAATGTTTTCGTGGGTTGGATTAGAATTCTATTTCATGTCAGTTCTGCTTGTGAATGATGTCATTTATTGGTAAACATTTCCAAGATATTTTTACATTGACAAAGAAAACAGGTCAGATATGAGTTGTTTTCCTTGATGCTAGTAATCATGTTTGAAATACATTAAAAATTGTCTCAGTTTGAGGTTTAATTTAGGATTACTTTTCTTTCTGTGTATCAAACACGATTATTAGTTTTCTGGAGAACAGTATACATATGTCCATATAACCAGGTGAATCTTCTGTGTTTGTTCCATGTACCGCAGAAAAACAAGTTCATTGACAAACTGTATAAAATGTGCAAACATGGACAATTTTGCCCAGTCTCACCTCTCTACTGGACCAATGAAATTCTCCTAGTTGCCAACTCTATACAAGCCCTGTCTGGGCAGAATTGTTCCTAATAATCCTTGTCTGAAATTAAGTACCCCGTGGCCTAATCCTGCATGATAAAACTTTCTAAAACCCAAGTACTCAAGTTACTCCAGAATTTCATGTGAATAAATTCATCTGATCAGTGGCAAGTTTCTAATGAATTCAATTTGATGCTTGATCCCTACAGATTTTCCAGTGGTCTTTGAGGAGAATTTGGCATTAATTATAAATACGCCATTATATGATTTTTACACTACTTTATCTTGCAACTTTGTAGTTTTAAGAGGCTTAGAAAAATTTTATTGATGGTATAAGGTTTTATGTTTTAAAATTTTACTGCTACTCAGCATTCCATAATATTACTAGTATAATTTATTGACCAATTTCCCTACTGGGTTTATCTATTCTCAGGCTAATGCCACTTTTTATAATATCTATACTTTATAAAATAGCTTGAGAATAACTGTTCTACTTATTTAAAAAATTGTTTCTTCAATTTTTTTTCTTTTACTCTTCTGTGAAATGCTTGTTAAATTTTAAGAAAATCTTGTCATGATTTGGATTCAGATTGTATTGCATTATAGATAAATTTAGGAAAAATAGTTTTTTAACATTGAACCTTCCCATCTAGTAACAAATTCATATTATCTTTATGCAATTCTACTTATGTATTTAGAGTGAGTCTTGAGAGAAAGAAAGTTATCAATACCATCAGTTTCAGTACTGAGTGAAAGATGTAGAACATAAAAAAATCAGCAACAAAAGCCAAAATTGACAAATGGGATCTAATTAAACTAAAGAGCTTCTGCACAGCAAAAGAAACTACCATCAGAGTGAACAGGCAACCAACACAATGGGAGAAAATTTTTACACTCTACCCATCTGACAAAGGGCTAATATCCAGAATCTACAAAGAACTTAAACAAATTTACAAGAAAAATCAAACAACCCCATCAAAAAGTGGGGGAAGGATATGAACAGACACTTCTAAAAAGAAGACATTTATGTAGCCAATAGACACATGAAAAAAATGCTCATCATCACTGGCCGTCAGAGAAATGCAAATGAAAACCACAATGAGATACCATCTCACACCAGTGAGAATGGCGATCATTAAAAAATCAGGAAACAACAGGTGCTGGAGAGGTTGTGGAGAAATAGCAACACTTTTACACTGTTGGTGGGACTGTAAACTAGTTCAACCCTTGTGGAAGTCAGTGTGGCGGTTCCTCAGGGATCTAGAACTAGAAATACCATTTGACCCAGCCATCCCATTACTGGGTATACCCAAAGGATTATAAATCATGCTGCTATAAAGACACATGCACGTGTATGTTTATTGTGGCACTATTCACAATAGCAAAGACTTGGAACCAACCCAAATGTCTACCAATGATAGACTGGATTAAGAAAATGTGGCATATATACACCATGGAATACTACGCAGCCATAAAAAAGGATGAGTTCATGTCCTTTGTAGGGACATGGATGAAGCTGGAAACCATCATTCTGAGCAAACTATCACAAGGACAGAAAACCAAACACTGCATGTTCTCACTCATAGGTGGGAATTGAACAATGAGAACACTTGGACACAGGGTGGGGAACATCACACACCTGGGCCTGTCATGGGGTGGGGGGAGGGGAGAGGGATAACATTAGGAGATATATCTAATGTAAATGACAAGTTGACCAGTGCAGCACACCAACATGGCACATGTATACATATGTAACAAACCTGCACATTGTGCACATGTACCCTAGAACTTAAAGTATAATAAAAAGAAGAAAATAAAAAAATCCAGAAAATAAATAAAGGATATACAATGTATTAATCTTTAAATAAAAAACATATGTATTTATTAAGAGTCTACTTGTTAAGTGTATTTTTGGATATACATATAGAGAGACATGTGAATTTTACCAATATGTTCTTTAAAATTTATTTTTAGGTAGTGAAATTTTAGGTTACTTTAATTTTTCTACTCATTGTTTAAATTTTTGAAATCATTGTAATTAGAATATTTTGTATGATACAGAATCATAAAACTGTCATATTATACTCAATGTTAATGAATAAATAATTTTTTATATTATCAAAATGGCCATATTGCCCAAAGCAATTTACAGATTCAATGCTGTTCCTATCAAACTGCTAATGACATTTTTCACAGAATTAGAAAAAACTATTTTATAATTCATAGGGAACCAAAAAAGAGCTCAAATAGCCAAGGCAACCATAAGCAGAAAAAACAAAGCTAGAGACATCATGTCACCCAAGTTTAACTATACTGCAAGGATACAGCAATCAAAACAGCATGTTACTGGTACAAAAACATACACATAAACTAATGGAACAGAATAGAAAGCCCAGAAATAATGCCATATACCTACAACCACCTGATCTTTGACAAAGTTAACAAAAACAAGCAATGGAGAATGGACTCTGTATTCAATAGGTGGTCCTGGGAGAACTGGCTAGCCATATGCAGAGGAGGGAAGCTGTACCCATTCCTTATACCGTATATAAAAATCAATTCAACATGAGTTGATTAGACTTAAATCTAAAACCAAATACTATACAAACCCTGGAAGATAACCTAGGAGATACCATTCTGGACATAAGACCCAGCAAAGACTTCATGACAAAGATGCCAAAAGCAATTTCAACAAAAACAAAAATTGACAAATGAGACCTAGTTAAACTAAAGAGGTCTTGCATAGTGAAAGAAATTATCAACAGAGTAAAGAGACAACCTACAGAATGAGAGAAAATATTTTCAAACTATGCATCTCACAAAGGTATTTTATCCGGAATCTATAAATAACTTAAACAAATTTACAAGCAAAGAACAAACAACCCCATTGAAAAGTGGGCAAAGGACATGAACATATCCTTTACAAAAGAAGACATACACGAGGCCAACAAGCATATGCAAAAATGCTCAACATCACTAATCATTAGAGAAATGCAATTTAAAATGACAATGATGTACCATCTCACACCAGTCAGAATGGCTGTTATTAAAAAGTCAAAAAATAACAGATGCTGGAGAAGTTATGGAGAGAAGGGAATACTAATGCACTGCTGGTGGGAATGTAAACTAGTTTAGCCATTTTGGTAAGTAGTTTGGCAATTTCTCAAAGAACTTAAAACAGAACTACCATTCACCCCAGCAATCCCATTATTGGGTATATACTCAAAGGACTATAAATTATTCTACCATAAAGACATAGGCATGCTTATATTTATCACAGCACTATTCACAATAGCAAAGACAAGGAATCAACCTAAATTATCCATCAATGGTAGACTGGATAAAGAAAATATGATACATATACACCATACAATACTATGCAGCCATAAAACAGAATGATATCATGCCTTTTGCAGCAAAATGGATGGAACTGAAGGCCATTATCCTAACCAAACTAATGCAGAAACAGAAAAACAAATACCACATGTTCTTACTTAGAAGTGGAAGCTAAATATTGAGTACATATGGACTCAAAGAAGGGAACAACAAATACCAGGGCCTAGTTGAGGGTGGAGGTTGGGAGGAGGGACAGGATTGAAAAACTACCTATCAGGTACTATGCTTATTACCTAGGTGACAAAACAATTTGTACACCAAAACCCTGTGACATGCAATTTACCTATATAGAAAACCTGCACATGTAACCCTGAATCTAAAATAAAATTGAAATAAAAATTAACCAAGTTTGTTTTATTCTGCTTGTTATTATTTTTTCTTCATTTATAATTTTAAATGAGGAATATTTCATTTTCTTTCAATTACATTTCAACATCAATTAAAATAATATTAAGCAGGGCACAGTGGCTCATGCCTATAATCCCAGCACTTTGGAAGGTCAATGAGGGAGAATAACTTGATCCTGGAAGTTCCAGACCATCCAGGACAAAAGAGAACATGGCTCTACATAAAAAAAAAAAAAAAAAAAAAGCATGATATGGTGACACACACCTGTGTTCCCAGCAACTCTGGAGGCTGAGTCGGGAAGGTTGCTTGAGCCCAAAATTTGGAGGCTACAGTGAGGTATGATCCCACCACTGCAGTCCAGCCTGGGTGACAGAGCAAGACCCTGTCTCAAATAATAATAACAATGATAACAAATTTTATTTTATTCAAATTTTAATAACAAAATTCATTCATATGTTTTTGAACATTTAAGTATGCCTGTATTTCTGAGATAAGCTGCATTTGGTTATTATATTTATTATTATTAATATTTTAATTGCATTAATATTCATAATTTGCATTACTTTTTAAAATTTCATACTTACATATTTTGATTGGTAACCAGTCAAAAAATATTTCCATCTTTTTCCTAGGATAGTAATATGGTCTGAAAGTTTGTGTCTCCCTAAAATTCACATGTTGGAACTTAATTCTCAATATGATAGTATTAAGAGATGTGGGCTTTAGGAGTGATTAAGTCTTGAGCAGGGAACCCTCATGAATGAAATTAGTATTCTCACAAAGGAGACTTGAAGAGCCTCCTTTCTCCTTCTGATATCTCAGGATACAAAGAAGATGCCATCTAGGAAGAATGAGTCCTCATCAGACACCATATCAGCTGGCACCTTGACCTTAAACTTCCCAGATTCTAGAACTGTGAGCAATAAATTTCTGTTGTTTATACATTACACTGGTTAAGGCATTTTGTCTTAGCAGCCTGTGTAGACAAAGACAGATAGGTACTACTTCAATAGCGAAGGAATTATCTCTTTCTTCAAAGTTTGCTAAAACTCACCTGTAAAATATCCTTGTCCTGGCACCTTTTTAAGAGGCATATACTCGACTTTTCTTTCAATATCTTCAAAAAATTTAAGCCATTCACTTTTTTTTTAATTTTTTGAGGGAACTTTGATCATTTAATTTTTTGAAAAATAGATGACTAATCCAGGTTGATGGTTGTCAACTTGGGCAACCCACAGACGATGTCTAGAGTGTACGAGAGTATTTTTGACTTTTACAATAACTAGGTAGACTCACTAGATACCAGTAATGTATAGAAGGCCCAGTAAACATGATCCAATACATTGGACAGCCTTTACACAAACTAACAAAATAATCCTCAAAATTGCACCTATGAGAAACATAAACCTAATAATGGAGATTCACTGGTGTAATGATGTACATAATATTCTTTCATACGTTGAAATAGGTATCATTTAAATGTCTTTATTATTCCTTTTCAACATCTTAATAAGACTTGCAAAGATTTTTTAGACCACCACTACAGTCAAGATACAGAGCAGTTTCATCACAAGTACAGACTCCTCTATTGCTCTACCGCTTTTTAACCAACCATTGGCAGCCATTAAGCTGTTCTTTATCTGTATTATTTTCTCACTTCAAGATTTATATAAGTGAAACCATACAGTCCATACTTTTGTATTGGCTTTATATTTCATTCAGCATAATTCCCTTACAATGCATTCAAATTGTTGTGTTCATTTTTTTACATCACCGAGTATTACATTCTGTTTAACCATTCACAAGTTGAAGAGCATTAGTTGTGCATAGTTTGGGCTATTATGAATGAAAACGCATGTAAAGATTATTGTGTTTTCTTATCTCCAGGACACCACCATGAAAACGCATGTACAGATTATCGTGTTTTCTTATCTCTGGGATAAATGTTCAAGAGTGCAGTTGCTGGATAGTATGATAAGGAAGTGTTTGGATTGTAAGAAGTCACATATTACTTTCCAGAGTGGCTGAATTATTTTACATTCCCACCAGAATTGTTCAAGTGACCTGTTTTTTCTTCATTATTGCTAGCATTTGGTTTTGTTATTATTTTTAAAGTTACCTATATAGAAGCACATTGATACCTCATTGTGGTTTTAATTTGCATTTATCTAATGACTAATGATGTTGAAGTATTTTAATGTATTTGTTTCTCATCTGTATATTCTTCTCAATGAAATTTCTTCTATCTTTTGACAAATTTTGTCAAATAAACATTTGTTTTTATTTTTTATACTCTAGATAGAAGTCTTTTGTTGCATATAGGTTTTTGTAAATATTTGCTCCCAGACTAAAGTTTGTCTTTTCAATCTATAAACAGACTATTTCACAAAGCAAAATTTTTTAATTTGTCTGAGGTCCAGCTTATCGTTTTACTTTTATAAATTGTGCTTTCAGTGTTAAGTCTAAACACTACACCTAACCCCAGATTATGAATATTGCCTTCAGTATTTCTTAAACATTTTATAATTATACATTAAGTCATTGATCCATGGGAATTAATTTTGTATAAGGTGTGAGGTTTAGATAAATCCTTATATTTTTGGCCTAGGTATGCCAATCTGTCCCAGCACCGTTTTCTGGAAAGGCTATTTTTTCCTCCATTGAATTGTTTTTGTATCATTGTAAAAAAAAATTGAACATATTTTTGTGGTTCTATTTTTAAGATCTCTGTCATGTTCTATGGACCTATGTGTCTATCCCTTCTCCAATACTCTACTGTCTTAACTACTGTAACTATGTAGCAAATGTTAACATCAGAGAAAGCAACTTCTCCCATTTTGTTCTGCTTTTAAAATTTATTTTATTTTATGCTGTATGGCTTTCCAAATTATTACAGGTTTGTATAGTCTACAAAAAAAACCTGACATTTTGATAGATATTGCATTAAAACTAGAAAAAGAAATGACTAGTAATTATTATTTTTCTATGTTGAGTCTTCCAATCCATAAACGTGATATGTTTCTCCATTTTTTTGATTTTTAAAAAATTTTCTTCAAAATCATTTTGTGATTTTCAGGATGCACATTTACATGTTTTGTTAGATATTCACCTATCATTTCATATTCTGTGGAGACACTGTAAATGGCATTCAAGTTTTTATTTGATTTCCACATGTTTGTTAATATATAGAAGCGTGATTGATTTTTTTGTGTTGATCTTGCATCCTGTGACCTTGATAAAGTCACTTTTTAGCTCTAGATGTACATTTAGCAGATTCCGTTGAATTTCCTATGTAGATAATCATGACATCTATAAATATGAATGTTTTATTCCTTTTTATTATCTTTATGCTTTTTCTTTTCCTTGCCTTTTTGAACTGGCTAAAACATCCAGTACTATGTTAAATAAGAATGGCAAGATTGGACATCATTTCTTTGTTCATGATCTTAGAAGGAAAGCATTTGGTCTTTTTCACCACTAGATATCAGGTAAGCTGTAGGCTTTTGTAGGTGCCTTTCATCAAACTGAGGAAATTATCTTCTATTCTTAGTTTTTAAGAGATGTTATTGTATATGGGCAATGACAGTCAACATTTTTTGTCTCCTTTTTAACATGATTGTGTTGTGTTTTTCTCTTTTTTAATCAATATGGTAAATTTTGTTGATTATTTTTCTATGTTAAATGAATATTCATTCCTGCAACAAACCCTAGGTGGTCATGATGTAAATTATTGTCTTATTTTGCTGGACTTGTGGATGATGGTATATATTTTCATAAGACATATATCTGCTGTTTCCTGATTTTTATAGTGTTTTTATCTGGTATGGTATGAGGGTAATGCGGCCTTATGACATTATTTAAGAAGTCTTCAATACCTTCTATTTTCTGAAAGAGTTCAGATTGGACTAATTTCATTTCTTGCTAAACAGTGTGATAAAATCCACCACTGAATATAGTCCAACATCTGGAACAAAAGTTTATTTTGTTGGAAGATTTTAGTTACAGGAACTATAGTGATATTCTTTACCTCTGAACATTAATAATGTGATTTTTTTTCTTGATCAGTCTGGCTAATGTTTGATTATTGTATTGATCATTTCAAATAAACAGCTTTGTGCATTCTATACTGTTTGCTCATTTCCTATTTTATTAATGCTATGATCTGAACATGTGCCCCCGGATTCATGTGTTGGAAACTTAATTCCCAATGCAAAAGTGTTAGATGTTTAGGTCATGAGCAATCCATCCTCACGAATGGATTTACGCCCTTATAAAAAGGGGGCTGTAGGAGTGGGTTGGTTCTCTCTTGACCTCCTTCCATGTGAGAACACAGCAAAAACAAACGAACAGACAAAATCCCTCATCAGATCTCGGACTTCACAGCCTTCAGAACTGTGGGAAAATAAGTTTATGTTTTGTGTAAATTATCCAGTTCCAGGTATTCTGTTATAGGAGCACAAAACAGATTAAAACAATTTCTAATCTTATTTTCAGTATTTTTTCTATTGAATTTAGGATTTTTCTCTTATATTTCTAGTGTCGTAACATAGACTCAGATTTTGATTTTAGTCTATTTCATTCCAAGTGCTAGGTTAGTTACATCTCACAAAATTTAATATTTTCTGTGGTAAATTTTATTTTAGTAGTAATATTTTCAAATTTTGATTATAATTTCATCTTTCACTATTAAGTATTTAGGAGAATATTGTTTAGACTCCAAGTATTTGGGGATTTTTCTGGAAATTATTTGATTTTCAATGTCTAACATAATTTCATTTTAGCCATTTTCCTAAGACAATATCCTTTTATGATTTTTAACTTAGTAAATATAACATGACTTGTTTTATGTACCAAAATCTTGTCCATTTTGGTGAATATTCCTGTGCATTTTGAACGAATGCCTACTCTGCTATTTGAGGGTATAGTGTTTTATAAACGCCAACATGATTAAGCTGGTTATGTTGTTCAAGTCCTCTAAATACCTACTGATTTTATGTATATTGATTCTATCAATTACTGAGATAAGAGTTGAAACATAAATTTCAACTCATATTTCAATTTCAAACATATTTGCTGACTAATATATTTCTCTTACTAATTTAGTCCATTTTTGCTTCAGGTATTTTGGACATCTGTTACTAAGTTCATACATATTAAGGGAACACCATATCAAGTTGATGACTTTACTCTTCTTTTAATATTTTCTTTTTGAGACAGAATCTCACTCTGTTGCTCAGGCTGGAGTGCAGTGGCGTGAACATGGCTCACTGCATTCTTAACCTCCTGAACTCAAGTGATCCTCCTGCCTTAGCCTCCCATGCAGCTGGGACCACAGGCATGCGATATATATATATAATATATATATTATATATATATTATATATATATTCCATATATGTATGGAATATTACTGAGGAAAAAGAGAAACATATATATATAAATAAGGAAAATCATATATATATCAATCTGTATATATATAGATGATCTGTATATATACAGAATGATATATATCTATATACAACATATATGTATATATCTAGGTTGATATATATCGATATATATACACAACATATATATATGCATATATACACAACATATATACATATACACACACACACACACACACACACGCACATATATATATATACGCAGATTGATACCACTTCACAAATGAGGGTTTGGGTCATCTTGCCAAGAAAAAAAACACGACCAATGGAGGTGCATACCAAGTACAAAGGGAATACAACATTGGCAGTAGAAGATGATGATTAATAAATATCAGCTATGACCACATAACCAGTTCCAGAAATGGAGACTGTAATTGTCACCAGCTTTTCTTCCAATTTTGTTATGAGTATGTTTGTGTATTCATGTATAAGACATTTTTTGTTTTCTCTCTTTTATTGTCTTACCATGTAACATAAGATGCATTAACTTTACATCATAGTAATTAAGCCACTGGATGTCAAAGAAAAGAGTGAACGTCACTTAATGATTTTGCATCCTCACTTTGCTGGATTATGGTGCCTAGTTGTTTAGTCAAGCGTAAGTCTGGTGTTGATGTGAAGGTATTTTTCAAACGAGATTAACTTTTAAATAGCAGACTTTGAGTAAAGCAGTTTACCCTCTATAATGTGATGAACCTCATTCAATCATCAGAAAGCCTGAGGTATCCCAAAATAAAAAGAATTTGCCTCCAGATTGTCTTCAAACTCAAGACTACAATATCAACTCCTAGTGGAATTTCTAGCCTGCTAATTTGCTCTGTGGATTTGACTTGTCAGCCTCCACGATTGAGTCTGCCAAAATCATATATACAGTCATGTACCTCATAGCAAAGTTTCAGCCAGTGGTGGACCGCATATACGACTGTGGTTCCATAAGATTATAATACAGCATGTTTACAATATCTTTTCTATGTTTAGATATGTTTAAATTCACAAATTCTTACTATTATGTTACAATTGCCTACGGTATTTAGTAAACTAACCTGCTGTACAGATTTGTAGTCTAAGGGCAATATCCATAACATATATCCTAGGTGTATAGTGGGCTATACCATCGAGGTTTGGGTAAGTACAGGCTATGATGGTCACACAATGACTAAATCACCTAACACCGTATTTCTCAGAATATATCCCCATAGTTAAGTGATGCATAACAGTTTATCCAATAGGATTTGCGTGTGTGTGTTTATATATACACACACACATACATATATAAAATGTATATTATATACTACATATATATTATATATAATTTATATATTATATAATATATATTCACTTGTTACCCCAAATTACAAAGATTATGCAAAAGTTTCTCAACGGTTCGTCAACATATTTGACTAGGATAAAGCCACCTGACAGGACTGTAGATTGAGCATTTCAGAAATAACCCAGCTGGGAAACAGGAATCCAGTTTCCCATTCTTGTAGTCATGATAGCTTCTTTGCATGTTTTTTTTTTTTTTTTTTTTTTTTTTTGTCAGTCTCCCTGACCTATCCTGGCTTAGAGTAAGGGAAAGACTCAGAAATGTGGTATTCTTCACAAACGCTGTTACTCTCAACTCTCACTCTCTAGTTAGGTGTTTGTTTATTTTATTTTATTATTTATTTATTTATTTGAGACGGAGTCTCTCTCTGTCGCCCAGGCTGGAGTGCAGTGGCGCGATCTCGGCTCACTGCAAGCTCCACCTCCCGGGTTCACGCCATTCTCCTGCCTCAGCCTCCCGAGTAGCTGGGACTACAGAGCCCGCCACCACTCCCGGCTAATTTTGTTTTTGTATTTTTAGCAGAGACGGGGTTTCACCGTGTTAGCCAGGATGGTCTCGATTTCCTGACCTCGTGATCCACCCGCCTCGGCCTCCCAAAGTGCTGGGCTTGGAAGCGTGAGCCAACGCGCCCGGCCATGACATGTCACTATATTGAATATTATGGGCAATTATAACATAATGGTATGTATTCGTGTATTTAAACATGTCTAAAGAGAGAAAAGGTGCAGTAGAGATACAGTGTAAAAGATTTAAAATGGCACACCTGTATAGAGAATTTACTAAGAACGAACCTTGGAGAAGTGCAAGTTGCTCTGGGTGAGTCAGTAACAGACAAGTGAATGTGAAGGCCAAGGACATAACTGTATACTGCTATAGACTATAAACACCGAATACTTATGCTGCACTCTTTCTAAGAAACCATTTTTCTCTCTTCAATAGTAAATTAACCTTAAATGATTGAACACAGCTTAAAACACAAACACATTCTATAGCTGTACAAAAATATTTTCTTTCTTTACATGCTTATCCCATAAGATTTTATCTATTGTATTTTTTTTATAGTTTTTAAACTTTTTTGTTAAGAACTGACATAAACACAATCATTAACCTAGGTCCTTACAAAGTCAGGATCATCCATAGGACTGTCTTCCACATCCACATCTTGTCCCACTGGAAGGTCTTCAGGGGCAATAACACCCACGAAGCTGTTGTCTTCTCTGATAGCAATGTCTTCTTCTGGAATATATCTTGAAGAACCTGCCTGGGGCTGTTTTATAGTTAACTGTTTTTTTTTTTTTAATAAATAGAAGGAGTACACTCTAAAATAACAATAAAAAGCATAGAATAATAAATACATAAACCAGTGACATAACAATTTATCAAGTATTATGTACTGTACATAATTTTGTGTGCTATACTTTTATATGGCTGGCAGCACCATAGGTTTGTTTACACCACCATCACCACAGACATGTGAGCAATGCATTATGTTATGATGCTATCATAGTTACTGTATCACCAAGCAATAAGAATTATTCGGCTTCATTATAATATTATGGGACTATCATCATAAAGGCAGTCTGTCATTGACTGGTCTTTGTAAGGTGCATGACTGGATTTACATAGTTTATTAAAAATAAGAACATAACTGGCATTCTCATCTTTTTCTTTCTCATTTAATAATATATTTTGAATGTAATTTTAATTTAATTAATGAACTTTCAGAATATCATTATTTTATGGCTATACTATATCCAATTGCCTAGAAGTAATGGAGTAAACGTGTTCCATATCTGTTTTAAAGCATTTTGGTCAGAGTTTTCCAGATATTCAAAATATATGTAGAAAAGCCTAGTTGTATCTACCTTTTATGACGTCTTTACTTGTGGTCACAGGGCAATTTCACAGAAAGACAAGTGTACAGTCCAATTATATGTATATTATTCAAATTAATAAATTATGATTAATTTTGTTTTAACAATATTGCAGTTATTGTGAGCTAAGTAGATGTGGCCAAAAGACCGTTAAACATATACGCTAAAGCTCCCAAAATAGAGGCAAGATACACATAATAGACCACACGATTGTTGACGTGATAACTCAGGGAAGGCAAGGGAAGCGAAAGAACAGAGAGGAAGAAGGACAAAGAGAAAACTTTAGGGATAATCCGCATTTAAGACAAGAAAAGGGAACTGGTAAGGTAAGTGAATGAGATGGTGTACTTTCCGTAAAGTAAAAAAGAGAGAGTTTCAGGAAGGATGTGAACAATAGTCTGAATGATGTATAAACATTAAGGAACTATGAGTAGGCCATATGTTCAATCATTGAGAGTCTTTTTTTTATTCAACAAGTATTAATTGAATGCCCATTATATATTAAGCACCTAGAGAAAAGTGCAAAGATAAACCAGAAATGCACTCTTCTTTTCAAGAAGCTTAGAGTCTAACCATTCCTATTAAAACAAGAATGCAATTAACTCTAATACTAGAGAGAAAAGTAAATGTGGCAGAATAGTGACACTATTACATAGTCAAGGAATTCTGAGGTCACATAAAGGAAAAATATTTTAAATAACATTAATTCTTTTGAATAAATGTTTGGTATCCACTAAGTAAAATCCTCCCACTTAACCAGTCAAACCATAGCACTGTCTCACAATTTTATATTTCCCCAATGACAAGCTTTCCAAAATACTGTTAACTGATTTATTGATTTATTGTATTAACTTACTGTATTATCAACAACAAATCTAATGGTAATGCATTCATTGAACAACTGTAAATGTTACTGAATTGTAAAAGGTCATGAGTTTACATAAAACAAACTGAACGTATTGGTAAATGAGCCAAAAGAGGAGAAAGTCAGTGAAAAAAAGTCTAAGAAATAAATTAATAGCATAATTTTAGATTGATTTGTCTTGTGTTACATTTATTAGATGAGTCCCAAATAGATTCCATATTATTTGTAGGTAGAATTTATATATATATATGTATGTATATTTTATATATATGTAAGTATGTATTGAGAGAGGGTCTGCTCTGTCACCCAGGCTGGATTGCAGTGGCGAAATCGTAGCTCACAGGAACCTCTGCTTCCTGGGCTGAAGCCATTCTTCCACCTCAGCCTCCCAAGTAGCTGGGACTACAGGCATGCACCACCAGCTCCGGCTAATTTTTGTATTTTTTGTAGAGATGAGATTTCACCATCCTTCCCAGGCTGGTTTCAAACTCCTGGGCTCAAGTGATACAACACCTTTTTACACATCTTAAAGTTTATTGTTCTTTCTGAAAGGCCTTTTCGGAGAACTATAAAAATGAGTGCTCAAAAACCAATTATAAATTGAAGAAAAGTAATTTCAGAAAAAAAATGCACCAAATCTTCACTGTTTCTACTGTTTGGATAAAAATAATTCTCATTTGTCAGTGTTTTTTTTTTAATATATGAGAAAATAATAAAAATAAAATAAAAACCAAACAAACCCCTCTAAAAACATTTGAAAAGATCCCCCAATATTTGTGATTTTTACATTCACTGTGTTCTCTACCCTCAATATTTTAATTTATTTTTTAATAGAAATAGTTTTTGCAATATTTTATTCTTCCAGTTACATAGACTCAGGCAAATAGATGCTTATATTTTCATTTTTCTTAAGTTATATACTTCTGATATTACTCTACAAATCAAAGCATTAAAAAATAAAATTTTTGAGGACAAGTTATACTAATTTTTAGGATCGAATTTTTTAAAACTACTCTCACTAACATGTTAGTTGCTTAAAACTTTGCCAGTGAAGTGACTGATAAAGTTCCATGTCTCAAGTGACATGCTTTGGAGCTTAGCTGAGAAATTTCACAGGACTTACTATGTAACCTGTCAGCCTTTTGGTCTCGAAGCACAGTACTTATCAAATTAACAACAAAAGAAGAAGATGTTTAACATTCTGAGAATGGGGAAAATAGGAATTTTTTTTACAAAATGTGTTTTCTTTTTAGTAACCGTAAAATGGTTTTAGACTTAGATCCATAAACCTAATTTTGTGGTTCTTTGTTATACAATGTGTCGTTTGTTGTGTGAAGGAAAAAGTAATGCTTTGGGCTTGATTTTAAATTTTGGACATGATATAACTTCTATGAATACCAAAGTAAAGATATTTTAACAAAATTTCTATTTCCACAACAAAACTCTTAAAGAATAATTATTGACCACTTGTTGACAATTTCCCTTGCCGGCATCTTCTCTCATGCTTTTTAACTAATGTGATAAAGAAAAAGAAAAATCAAGATACACAATGATTTCCTGAAAACTTTTGTATTCTCACACAAGACCTACTGAGAACTAAGGGGAGATTCCATCCCCAAAAGGAATTACAGCATCCCCAAGACAATATTTACCAGGAATTGCACACTTATAAAGTGGGGAAGGTAGAGTTTGAACCAAGCAATCTGGCTTTAGAGATGATATTATTAAGAAGAGTTCCACAAAACCCTCAGTAAAAATCTTTTTAGTTGATTCACTTGTCCTCGTTTATTCACAAATTATTTGTAAGGTTTTGAAAATGGAACTTGACTTTGTTTCTACACTCGTCATATGCTTTAAAGTTAAGTTTTTATTTTTGCAGTCTTGGAAAATTGAGGGAAGATGTCTTAGTGAAGAACTCTTCTATTGCATGTTGTACAGCTAAATGCTACTTCAATATCTCTAATAGAGGTGTAAGTGTCGAAAAGCTCATTCCTTGATGTTTAAATATGCACTTCCATTACTCTTCTTTTGACAGATTCTTATCTTTAAAGCTAGATTTTATTTCTGCTATATATATTTTCACTTATGCTAATCTAACAGTGGGAGGGCTATCTTAAATCTTTAAGGTCAAAATACAATTCCAAACACCTATATCCAAGCTGCCTAAGAGACATGGCATTTTACCCCAGATACAGATATGTTTTTATATACTTAATGGCAAAGCACAAGTTTGAGAAAAAATGACCTACGTGTAATACATTGAAAAATAAAGAGAATACTTGACATGTTGGTATAATGTTCCAAGAGCCTGAATGAATTGTAGTTTCTAATATTTAAATTAAATAAACGTTTTTACATCCCCAAATTTTGATTTTAAAAATATGATTGTGATTTGCTTATAAAGATGGCATTTCAGATTTGTATGGAGTGTACTTCCCTTGCCAATCAATAATGTGTTGACTATTCTGACAATGTAATACTGTCATAAACAGAAATGTGCTACACTCACTTATATCACTGTATCTAATATTGTTTGTAAAATGCACATTGCATATGTAAACAAGGCACTATATGTTGTAATAAGGGACATATTTACCCACTTTTGACTTGGATCTTAAGTTCTAAAATCTAATTATTTGTCCAAATCACAAGTTATTTTTACAAATGTGTAATTCTTAAAGAAAAGTGTACTCTTTAAAGAACACATTTTAGACATCCATGTTAATAAGTAGAAACATATGCATATTGAATATGCATGGTTTTAAATAAAAAGGAAAGCACTCAACAAAAATAGATTTTGTACAATGCTGATTTATGCTACCTAAATACATGTGGGGGAATTAGCACAATATAGTCTTCTGTTTATAAATAGAAATTTAAGTAATGATGTAATGGCTCACAGAATAGTTCACTTGTATTCTGGAAATATTTTGGAGAAAAGCTTTGACATGCTGCAGTAAGGTGTATAAACTATACTGCTGCTCAGGAATATTTAGAATATTTCAGATAGTAGAAATGGCATAGTCTTTGTGTATGGTGTGTCTTTAGTACAATTTAGACCACCATTTGTCCTCAAGTAGGTCTATTTAAAGTATAATTGACTGCCCTAGCAATTATTGTGAATAGCAGCTGTCTGCTGGTAAAAAGGCATATATATAATGGGGGAGAAAGGATCAAATACATGCAATAGAAAAGAAAAGCATAAAGAACATATCTATATGAGGTATTTTAGTCCAGATTTTATATTTGAAAGGGACAAGGCCTATTAGCCATTTCCAATTAAGGACTATAAAAAAATGAATGAAAGTACTCATCTATTTATGAAAAGCAGCTGGGACTCCCTAAATCCAAAACTAGCAAAAGTTTATTTGTTCTAAAATTGTTGCAGCTTACAGCATTTCATTTATTTTCATTAGCTATGTTAGGGCTTGTGAAAACCTTTCTTGTATCATGTACCTTCTGCAACACACAAAAACACCTTGCTTTGTTTTTCTCCTAAATAGCTACATAATTAGGTAGATTATTTCATGTGTCTGTGCCTGTGTTTGCTGAAGAGAACAAGCCAGATAAATTAGCACTTAGCAGAACTCACAATAGCACATAATATGTCCTTGTGTTTCATATAAAGCTTTATTTGTCATTCACGGCTGGTTGGCAAAACTGACTTTGCTTTTGAAAATGACAGGTGGTACTCTGGTGAGCTCTGTATAGAGAAAGAAACAACCTTCACCAAGACAGTTTCTGTCAATAGCTTCCGTGATTTCGTATTCAGTCTGGGCCTGTGTTTCTTCTAAAGTTCTGTTTCATTTGCATCTCTTAGGTCTGGCATCACCAAAGCTCTTTAACAATTGGGATTCTATACCACAAGGCTACAATGGCAGGCTTCCTCTCTTCTCCACAGGCCTGATTAAAAGACAGGTGAAGTTCAGTATATTTCAATAAGCCTCAACATTCCATGTCAGGAATCAATAGCCCTCCTTCTTTTTTTAGGAGTTATTAAATTGCAGCTGTAACATTAGCCTTCTTTATCTAATTGATTGTCTTTTCACAGGGCTAAGAAAATCAATAGCAGTCAATGGGACTGCCCTGTTTTTACCTAATAGATGTTTTCTCCTAATTGGCTGCCTGGGTGGCTTCACCGAGCTCAGTATGTTTTCAGAAGTCCACAGTATGTT
Source organism: Homo sapiens (assembly GCF_000001405.40). Classification (NCBI taxonomy): domain Eukaryota; kingdom Metazoa; phylum Chordata; class Mammalia; order Primates; family Hominidae; genus Homo; species Homo sapiens. The sequence goes on along the minus strand of NC_000005.10, from coordinate 52,043,345 downwards.
GCAACCCTTGTAAACTATCTTACCCTGTGCAACAGTTATTGATTTTATAATGAAATCTAGAAAAATCAATAGCAATCAGGAATATAGATCGGGATTCCTAGGTACGTTATGACAAAGGGCAAACTCACTTTGCTACCACTTCAAACTGTGATTCAATTAAACTTGTCCTTAAAACATTACGTTTCCCAAAGATTTTGATCAAAGTCACTTGATTAGTTGTCCAAGACCTGGCTCAAAATCTAAGACTCAAAAGATGCTGATTTAAAAAATAACATACAAGTTTTTAATGGACTATTTCCTTACAAAATGAGATAAGTCAAAATTATTAAGGGTAAATGATACATTTTCTAGGGAAAATGTGACCTATCAAAAGTCATTGTACACAATATAGTTAACTATATTAATTCCTGAGAGTTAACAATAAAATGTATAACTTTAAGAAAAAAGATTTGGTTGACTTGCCAAATTCCTTACATTTATATGATCTCAATGAGCAACACCGCCCCAATATGGCGAAACACAGGTGTTTTCCAACTGGTCTGACATTACAGAATCTGGGTGGAATTTGCATTCCTTCTCTGAATATTATTAGATTTTTGCCTCTGAATTTAGTTTGAACACTTACCTGTATAAGTAAGACAATGTTATAAGTCTGTGTTATAATCAGACTGCAAAGTTCCTAAGAACACAACTGTTTCTATTAAAAAAAAAAAACTTCACAAATTAAAACACATAAATATTAATTATGGCTTTAAAAATGTTCAGTTTCCCTCTGGAGAGAAATAAATGGTCTCTACTCCTAACAGGCAAGGAGAATTGCTAACTTGTTATATTTATTCCTGCACATCTGCTTTGCAATTGCTGACTTCTATTGTTTCTTGCTCAGTTTTATGCAACTCTGATTTTGCAATCTCATTTTTCTTGACATCTTGAACTAGGCTGGATATATCTTTCAGATATATTCTTAGTATTCATTTTTATTCCCACTCTGGATAAAATTTTCATGTCTATTCTTAAATCCTACTGTTTTTTATTCATATTTAATAATAAACCAAAGAGTAAAAAGGCAGACATTTCTATATAAGGCCTGCAATTTTGTAAACAATTCTCCTTTTTCTTTTGTCATAATAACAAACTGGACATTGTCATATCTCAAACTAGAATCCTTGGCCGCAAAGCAGTTTCATAATACTTTCCAGATTAGCATGCATGTAGCTTAGTCTTTATCATTCTTCACTGACTTGACATGCCCTGCTAAAGAGTCATGCCATTTAATAGGCCTAACCATGATGGGGATGACAGTTCCATAGTCAGTGACAGTCAACCCATATCTGTGGAGCTGTCTCCTGCTCTAAAATCACACATTTATGGTGTATTTCGATTTGACCTCAGCTCTACCAGTTTATTCTCCATTATCTGGCATATGAATAATTAATTAAATAAATAGCACCATAAACAAACACTCTTACAAGAATAGGACTTTCACTCATACATACTATCCTGAAAGAATCCAGAATCAAGAAAATACCAAGTAAAAACCTTTTTATTTTATCAGGATTTATAGAAAGGGGGATAGGTGTTGAGGGTGGGGGAGAGCATTGATGATAATGATACCTTTCTCAAGCTTAACAGAGACAAATGTCAAAGAAAAGCACCAAAGTGTCAACCAGACATTGTCAATATCTTCTAAATGCCTCAGAAAATAAAGCTGGTTTTTCTAGTTTAAAGAGTAAATCAGGGTCCTTCCTTGCATTGCAGCGTGGACTAAATAACAGCAAAAATTGTGAAAAAAAAACCAGTTAATTTCCAATTTCCTTTCCCCTGCCCTAGGGCAGTTTTTAATACCCCTGACTTATGCATTATGGTGTGCTTTTGCTCTCCTGTCTCCTTTTTTGTAGATTCTTGGGACAGAGCATGATAAACTAATTCATGGCAAGTACGAATGACTGATAAATGTCATCTCTCCTAAGCACAGTAAGATTTAATAAGGATCAAAACCTAATGCCAAAAGTTGCATCATTAATACTGAAAGTTCAGATCTTTCATAGAAGGCTTGGTATTTTTCAGGCTCATTTTATATACAAACTATTAAGTTCTCATGGCATTTTTGAAGTAAGAACACAGTATAACTGTATTCAGAAGGTTACAACCAAGCGTAATAGAAATAAGTATACAGGAAACTAAAATACATCAGTTTTTAATGGGTTATATATATATTTATATATATAAAAATATATATAAATATATATATATGAGGTTGTTGTTTTATTGATCAAAGCTGCTTACAAATGTGTGAAGTGCTTTTTGCCTAAAATAATTTCTGACTTGGTTTTTATGCTAGTCAGGGCCTTACACATCATCAAATGTGTTAAAGTTTATGAGCCAGTAAATTAACTTTAATTACCCCAACATTCCTCCTCATTTTGATCAGTAAACAACAATGTGGATTCCTGAAGCAAAGAAAAAGCAAATTCTGCCAGATCCGATCATCAGTCTTTGCCATTAGAAGATTTTGGCTGGACCTTCTCTATTTCTTTCATTTATGCATGCAGTATTCAATAAATCAAACCTATTCCTCTTTTATCCCCAGATTGATGGGGGCCCTTTTCAAACAAAAACACTATTTTTAAACCTAAATCGAAATGGATTAAACATACATGTGGATGTGTTGTATGTATGTATACATATATGGGTATTTAGGTATATGTATATAGGTAAATATTTCACTAACTCATTGTATGCACATGTACATGCATATATTCATATAATAGTTACTTTGACTATTTAGACAAGACAAATTTTAAGGAGAAGTTTATTCCCCCTACATTTATACTGAAAAGTTAATAGCAAATACAAAAATGATATTATCAAGTTATAAAATAATGTTCACGCTACAGCCACTACTTCTCTATCTCCTACCCCTACTCCATTAACACCATTACTCTCACAATTATTGTTATAAATTCAATGTGATTAAAGTTTTAATGATAAGGATGGTGATTTCATGGCTTATTTCATTTGAAGGACTGTAGTTATCTTTTTATACATTTTCTCACATCTCAATTAACCCAACTCAAGAGACCTCTTTAGATCCCAGAACATAAAATATTTGTATCAGAGAGCAGGGGTAAATGAAGGGAAACACTCATCCTTGTTCTTTTTTTCTTCTTTGAGTGCCCTTTGTAGGATTGGAAACAAGTAAACTACATTGTAATCCAAATAATTGACACAATTTTAGTTGCTTTTTAAAAACTTCTCTACATACAAAAATGGATCATCACCCTTAAACTTTTATGGAATTGCATTTTCACATTGGAGGAGAGGAATAGTTTTAAACTAAGCAATTTTACCTTAAGCTTAAGTTGAAGTCTTATATTTCAAGTCTTGTGTGTCAGATCAGAAACACTATTTATTACTCAGCCATTTTATTTGTATTTCTAAAACAGGATGCTTATTATGCTTTTACCAGAAGCATATGAATTGGTGACTGTCACGCAGTTATTCACTAGTGCCTGCTTCACCATGTGAAAGAGCAGGCTCCAGAGTAAACAAGGTCATAGGAGGTGGCTGTAAATGGACAAGGTGCACAGCCAAGGAGATGAATGAGATGCCTTAAATGAAAAACCTTATTGCTCCTTCATAGAAGCTAAGTTAAAAACAGTGTATTCTATTTGGATTCTTTCCTCTTCTTCTGTTTCCTCCCTTCATATTCTTTGCTAGATGAAAGCCATAGGTAATTTGAAGAATATAATCATTAGAAAAACATGTTTATTATGCTGAGAACTAAGAGGAGAACCCTTAAAGAATAAACAAGAATAAGGGATTTATCTGCGATCTCTGGAAAAAAAAAAAGCTGGATAATTTAGGAACTGAGACAAAATGATGACAGTGTCGTGGCTAAATTCTAACCTCTGCAAGCTGGATTGTCACAGGTTATTGAAAAGCCTGTTGGCAATAACACAGTCTGTCTTGAGTTGGAAATAGTTACTGAATACAGGTCTCTCTTTGACAACATAATGAGCCATAATTGTTACAACACTTGGACTTCACATGAAAATTAGAGTAACCTTATGCAGTATCAATCCTGAAGTGGGTGTTCATGATTTTTAAATATTTCTTAGATTTTTGCATCCAAAAGAATTATAAATCATTTGTCTAGCTGGTGTATCAAAAGAGAACATGTTGGATCATGGCCCTTAAATGAACATAGGCAAGATATTAAAATAATAAAAATATTTTTTCCAATAAATTTCTTTATAATCTGCTTATATCACAAAGAGAACATGATTTCAAATGAAATTAATAGCTCCATTGGGATACAAGCTGTGACAAAGACACTTTTTGACACTATGTTGATGCCGTGTATATGTTGAAAATGGAACTAACACCTCCCAGAGAACTGACATTGAGAGATGTATGAGAATAACTGAAGATGAAAATCCATCCCACCTTTCATGAAAAATCATTTATTATTTTAGGGATTTGCTTCCATGTACACTAGGTTGGTGTGACATGTAAAGACAGAATTTCTCTTTAAATATGAAATAAAAATAAATGCTCTATCGAAATGAAAAAGAAAAGCCAACTCTGCTTCCAACAGGGAAAGTGACTGCCATGTAGTCTTAAACCCCCACCAGATCTATTATTCCTTGGATCTCTAGGGATTAGGACAAAGTGAAAAGAAGTGGAAAGTGCAGAAATAGTGCAGGGGGTCAGAGTAGGGCGGTACGATACTAGGGTAAAGTGAAATTCCCGATGTTCTCTTCCTTCTGAAGGGCAATCATTCTGCTTTAAAAACCTCAACAACTGATATTTTCCAGTGTGTTATTATATCTTATTATTGTTTTAATATAATTATAATGTTTAATATGTGTGATGATTTGGTGAAATATTTGATGGGAGTTCACTAGCATTATGTATTCATTCATTTAATATATACTTATAACATGCCTAAATCCCAGATACTCTTCCACATACTAGGTAAAGATCACAGTCTCCACCCTCATAAATCTTAAATTATAGAAGGTTATTGTGAAAAAGCATATTGTCATTATTAACAAAAACTCACTGTTCAATGACCATGAGCAAGTCAGTATGTCTCTTAGTCTCAGTTTTAGACTCTATGATATGTGAACTATTTTTCTACTCTACTTCAGCACATATTATTTAGATAAGTATGTATTAAGTATCTATGATATGTTAATATAACTCTATCTGGTAGTCAATCCCATCATCCACCACTTTGCCATAAGTCAGACCACTTTTCAGGTTGTTGTTATGGTATTAGTACTCTTCTGTAATCACACTTGCAAATCCCAAATTATTTGAAATTGCTCTCCATTTTCAATATCCAGAAGTCCATCAATGATCAATAACTGTTTATTTCTGTAAAATTATTTTTGTATTCCATTTTTATGGCAAACATCCTTTTCAAACATCATGAATAACTTCTTCAAAAGCCTCGAATTAGTGTCTTTAGAAATTTCAAATGATTTTTCAAGCAAGTTTTCTTTCATACTAAGCAAAATCTACCAAGCAATTGAGATATGCCTAATTACCTAAATTTTTTGTAACATGTCCTCTTTAAATAAATGAATATATTCTGTTTTGAATTTATTGATAACAGTTATTTTTATCTAATGGATATACAGATTCAGTAGAGGAAATTGGGAAAAAATCCCCTGAAATCTAGCAGAATCAAAAGTATCTATAAGAATACTGTGAATTAAAATAAATGTTCATTTTTAGTGAATGAATTCTTAGCTTAATTTTACACTTACAAGTGTAAAACTTACACTTTTTAAGTGTAAATTTTACAGTTAAAAAGTGTAAGTTTTTTGTAAAAACGGGGATTATGACATATATATGAAATGTTTAAAATGCACCCATTTAAGTAAGTAGATTGATGAATATTGAAAATTCTATATGCTTATATAACCATCATTCCAATCAATATCTAGAACATTTATATAATTTCAGGAAGCCCCCTTCTGTCATTTTTAAGTTAACACCCACTCCCAGGTTCTACCCAAGACAACAACTGATTTCCGTCACTAGAAAGTATGTTTGCCTTTTCTAGAGTTTATATAAATGAAATCATACAATATACATTCTTCTACGTCTGGCTATTTTAGCTTATAATATTTTGAGACTTATTCATATTGATGCATTTATCAATAGTTTGTTCTTTTTATTGTTAATTAGCATTCTATTATATGAATAGAACACAGTTGTTTATCCATTCACCTGTTGAAAAACATTTGCATTGAGCCAAGACTTGGTATATTTTATCTTCTAAATTTTAGCTATTCTGGCACGTGTATGTGGTTAATATACATTTTGCTGGGAACCAACGGAGTATTTTTTTGTGTTTATTGGACATTGATTCTTTTGTAAAGCATTTTTTAAAGTCTTTTGTCAATTTTTATTGCATTATCTGATTAATTTTAAGTACTATACATATATTCCAGAAGGAAGTTATTCTTTCAGAATATATGCTTTTTTTCAATTTGTGGCTAATCATTTCATCTTCTTAATAGTGTCTATTGAAGAGCAAAGGTTTTAATTTTGATGATATACAAAAATTTCCATTTTTTTGATTATTAGTTCTTTTTGTTTTCTAAGAAATGTTCTTCTACCTCATGGTTGTGCAGATTTTCTCCTATGTTTTCCTCTAGAAACTTTGTACTTTCTGCTTTATATTTAGTTATATGATTTATTTCAAAACTATTTACTTTTGCATATGGTGTGAGGGAGGGGCTGAGGTTCATCATTTTATTCCATACTAATATCTAGTTGTTCCAGTACAATTTGTGAAGAAGAAGACTTTCCTCATTGATTTTGACATGTCCCTTCAACAAAAATTAATTGACAACATGTCATATCCCTTGAATTCTCTACTCTGTCCCACTGATCTGTTTTTTTTTTTTTAAATAGTTGGTTATTTGCTGTCTTTTGAATGTCTATATATGTTTCAGAATCCGCATGTCAATTTAGAAAATTTTATTTTATTTTTTTATTATACTTTAAGTTCTAGAGTACATGTGCACAACGTGAAGGTTTGTTACATATGTATACATGTGCCATGTTGGTGTGCTGCACCCAATTAACTTGTCATTTACATTATGTATTTCTCCTAATGCTATCCCTCCCCCTCCCTCCACCCCACAATTTAGAAAATTTTAAAAAGCAACATGGGAACTTGGTTGAGATTTATTTTATTTTGCATATCAATTTCCAGAAAATTTGTACTTTAATAATATGGGGTTTTTCTAATCCATGAACACAATGTATTCCTCCATTTATTTAGATCTTCTTTATTTCTCCTACCAATATTTTCTATTTTTTAGTGTAGATGTTTGCACATAAATTTTTATATTAATTCCTACTTAATATTCTCAAAACTACTGTAAATTTTAAAATTTATCTTCAAAGTTTTGTTTTCAAGTTATAGAAATGCAATTGATTTTTGTATACTGAGCTTATATCCATTGACATTGCCAAATACCTTTATTAAATTTAGTAGTTTTTTAAATAGATTCCTTAAGATTTTCAACATAGACAATCATGTTATCTACAAATAGGGACAAATTAGAATGCTAGTTTTTCAAACTTTAATTGTTTGCTTTTATCATTATTTTTCAATGACGCACAATATTTATACATATTTATAGGGTACAGCGTGATAGTTAGAAACATAAATATAATATGCAATGATCAAATCAGGCTGATTAGCATATACATCACCTCAAACTTCTATCATTTATTTGTGTTGGGAACATTCAAAATCTGCTCTTCTATTTGAAAATATACAATAAATTGTTAATTATAGTCACTCTTTAGTGCTGCAGAAGATTAGAACTTATTCCTCCTATCTTACTGTACTTTATTATCTGTTAACCACACTTCATCTTTCCCTCCTCCATCGCTTTCCCTGCCTCTAGTAACCACTAGTCTACTCTCTACTTCCGTGAGATCAACTTTTTAGCTTCCACGTATGAATGAGAACATGTGGTATTTACCTTTCTGTGCCTGTTTTATTTCACTTAGCATACTGCCTACCAAGCTCATCCATGTTGCCAAGAAGGATATAATTTTATTCTTGTATGGAATAATAGTATTCTATTGTGTAAATATAACATGTTTTCTTTATCCATTTACCTGTGGATAGACACTTGGGTTGATTCCATATCTTGGCTATTGTGAATAGTGTAGACACTGCTTCAATATACTGATCTCCTTTCCTCTGGATATGTACTCAGGAAGGAGATTGCAGGAATATATGGCAGTTCTATATTTACTTTTTTATTTTTCTTTATTGCAACAGTTTAAACCTTCAGTACAATATGTAATGGAAATGTGAACAAACATCCTTGCCTTGTTCCCAACTACTGGGGCTAGATTTATAATTTCAATGTTAATTATGTAGTTTTCATAGATTCTTTTTATCAGTTTGAAAAAAAAAACCCTTCTTTTTTTGATTTGCTGAGTTATAAACAAGTGTTCAAATTTGTCAAATAATTTTCATGTGTCTTTTGAAATGAACACATTCTTCAATAAATGTGATGGAGTATATTGATTGATCTTAAATGCTAAGCAAACTTCTGTAGAATAAGTCTTACTTGCTTATGATCCATGATACTTTTCTATCTATGCTGGATTCCATTTTCTAATGTTTTCTTAAGGACTTTGTTTCTAGGATTATTAGAAATATTTGTCTCTATTTTTTTTTCCTGTTTTGGCTTTGCCAGATTTTGGTATCAAGGATATGGCAGAATCATAAAATTACTTTTGATTTTGATTTTCTTCTTAAATAGAATTATCTGGTGAAGTTAGCTTAGTGTAGAGTTTTTATGGGAAGATTTTTTATTATTAATTGTATTGTTTTAATAAATATCAAAGGTTTGGTTAAATTACCTAGTTTTTCTCCAATCAGCTTTGGAAAATTATACTTCTCAAGGATTTTGGCCTTTTCATCTTTGTTTGCAAAAATTGTTCATAACATTTTCTCATTACTCTTTTTGTGCCTGTCAGATCTCTAATGATATTTTCTCATTTATTTTTGATATAGGTAATTTATATTTTCTCTTGTTTTTCCCTTCATTGGTCTTTCTAGGGTCTTTATCAGCTTTTGCTTTGTTAATTTTATTTATTATCTGTTTTCTATTTCATTGCTTTCTGCCTTGTAATTATTTCTTTCCTTCTACTTCCATTGGGTTTAATTTTAATTTTCCTTTTTGTGACTGTGTTCTTCCTTCCCCTCTTTTTTAAAAATAATTTTCAATTGTTTCTCCAGAGCTAATCATATGCATCCCTAGCTTCCTAGAATTTATATAGAGTAAATCTTATCTTCCTTCACACTTCACTTCTGGCCCGTCTACCTGCCTGCTTCATGCTTCTCAGTTCTCAATGCCGACTTGACATTGCCCATTGTCCAAATGTAACAAATTTAGTGTCGGTCTAATGACAACGATTTTTCTCTTAACATTTGTTCATCAAAAAATGTTTTTTTCTTTCTCATTTTGAAAGATACTTTCTCTACATACAAGATTTTAGGTGACATTTTTAGCATGGTTTTTAGCAGTTAGACTAAGAATTGCTTAAGTATGGTTTTCTTTCTACTTTATGTTTTAGGGTTTTGCTGAAATCTTGAGTCAATCAGTTAATATTTTCGTCAAATTTGGAAAGAATTTGGGCCATTATTTATTCAAAATGTTTAGCTCAGTTTTTTATTCTTTTCACTATTGAGACTTTTAAAAACTTATGTTTTGACTCTTTTTGTATCTTAAGTGTCTGTTCATTTTTCTTCAATCTCTTTTATCTGTTTTTCAGATTAGAGTATTTCTATTGATCTTTTGTAAAGTTTAGTGACTCTTCCATCTGCTTTCTTCAATCTCCTGTTAAGCACTTTCAGTGATTTGTTTTTTCATTTCTGTCTTATAATTTTCAGTTCTGAAATTTCCTTTTGAGTCGTTTTACACAATATCTTTGCTGATATTCCCTGTTCCTCCCTAAGACCATATATTCCTTTAATTTTCTGAACATTTTATCCCTTATTTCTTTAAACATATTTATAATAGCCTCTTTAAAGACTTTTGTTGCTAAATCCAACGTCTGGGCTATCTCAATGTTGATTGCTACTGAATATTGCTATGAATATATATATATTTTTGATTCTAGGTCACATTTTCCTGTTTCTTTCCATGTGTTACTTACTTCACATTATACTTTGTTAATGACGTGTTTAGAAATTCTAGTTCTATTTTGTTCATCTGAAGGAATTTTTTTGCAATTGTCGGCCTATCTACAACTGACGATCATCTTGAACTGACTGCAGCCTAATTATGTTTTTTTTTAGGGCAATTCTATAGACATCTAAGTTTTCTCAAGTCCCTCTCACTTGAGGAACTAGATGTCCAGAATCTGTTTCCCCAAAGATTTTTCCAGAATTTGATTTTAGACTTAGTTAGAGAAGAGGTAGACTAGGCCTTACCTGAACATATTGTCTTTACTCTTTAATTCATAGCCTTTCTGGTTCCTAAGCTGAAGGCCCAGATTTTTCACAGTGTGTTAACCTAACAATGTATGCACACTGCATGCGCCTGAACTGCAAAGATTCCTAGCATTATTTAATCTGTAATACCTCTGTGCTATTCTGTTCCCAAGCCCATAGGAGACACTTTCTGTTAAGTCTTATGCAGTTTAGCGCTGCTTTTGGCCAACGACTCAGAGAAATTTTCTGATGCTTTTCTCTTCACAGATCTCTACCATCTAGAGCCTTGCCCAGCCTCTTAACCTACTTCAAACTCTTGAGGTGTGTTTAGGCTCTACTTTGTTGTGACATGGCCAAGAGATTGTTCCCTGGAGGAGTCTTGAGGATCATAGTCTTGTTCTTTCTTTTCCAGTATATTGAAGCAGATACCTCATGTAGTTAATCAATGTTATACTTTTCAGTAGGAGAGCGAGTCCCATAATAGTTACTGTCATAGGTCAAAACAAAAGTCTATATTTACTATTTGAACATTTTCTACTTGTCAAGAGATAATGACTATTTTATCCATGGCAACATGATTTTTTAAAGTTTGCCTACTATTCTATTGCAAAGGTGAACTCATTTATATATTTCCTCTATGTTTGGGTATGTAGGTTAAATCTAGTAATTTTGAGTGTTTTCTAAGTGCCATGCATTGAAACAAGTGTTTTACAGACACAAAAGCATGTAATCGTCACAACAAACCTGTGAAGTACAAGTATAATAGCATTCTTAACATTCCAGATGAGAAAACAAAAGCATGGAGAATTAAAATAATTTACTCAAAATCATCAAACTAGTAAAGTGAAGCTAACATTTAAGCTCAATTACAATATACAGTTTAACTCTTATATGTTCAACTATTAAGCTCCACAATCATTTTGGTAGATAAAAATAATCTCTCACATTTAATTAATAATTTATTAATGTTTAAAATTTTTTATAGTTTAACTGGCCCTAAGTGTTTCAAATTTTATGACTTAGATGTTTGTCTCATTTGATCAATGTTCCCTGGGATGTTCATATTTTATTTGTTTCTATGAGTTCTTTATATGTAAAATATTCACCTACTAATCATTTCTTATTTGCTTGTATACTATTTCTTCTTTTGGGGAAAAAAATGATCATATTGTGAAATTACATAAATAGTCACCAGCATATTTTTAGGGTATTTTTGTTTGATTGATTGATTTAATTTTTAATCTTTCTCCCCTCCCCCCAACCCCACATTTTTAGTTGATTTAATGTGATAACAATTGCATTTATAAACCATTTAAATATTTGTAGGTATGTTTCTAAGCTTTCTATTTTGTGTGATTGATTTGGCTATGTTAAGTCTTTAGTGTATTGTAGTACATTTTTTGATTTTTGTATTAATACATCATAATATCTGAAAGTAAATGTCCCTTTTCAGTAATTTTTGTCAAATCTTTGATTATTTTTGTCTTTTTCACATTTCATTTGAATCTGAGGATAAGTTTGTCAAAGTATCTGTATATATGTCTGGGCATTTCTTTATATTGTGTTTCATGTTTACATTTCTTGTTAAAGAATTAGCCTTTTAATTTCTCAGAGGAGAAAACATGCATTTCTTCATATACAGTATTCAATATGTTTTAAATTTTATTTATACATATCTGCCATTTTTATTAAGGTTATTCTCTAGTTAATATTTTTGATAGCTAAGATGAATGTGATTTTCTTCATTTTCACTTTTTACAGATAACTAATAGCGTGATGAAAAGTTATTTCATTTAGGATTTTAGTGATATAGCTAGTCAATTTACTGAGGACTCAATTTTTCTTTTAAATTTTAAGTTGATTGTCTTGAATGTAATACAATATATAATATTCCTAAATGAAACAGATTATATTTATAAATGTATTTTTAGCAGACACTCTATTTTTCTTACAAATGTGCAGTGGCTAAAACTTAGAAACATGTTTAATTACAGTTGTGGTAGAAGGCATGATTGTCTAATACAGTCATGTGTCACACAACAACATTTTGGTCAAGGACAGACCCCATATACAATGATGATCCCTTAAGATTATAATGAAGCCAAAAATTCCTATTGTCTAGTTATATCTTGATGATTAACTCTGTGTAGGCCTAGGCTAATTTGTGTGTTTAAGTCTTCATTTATTTCACGTTTAAAAAGTAAAACAAAAAAAAACTTTTGAAGCAGTTAAAAACTTTTATAATTAGGATATAAAGAAAAATATTATATTTGTACAGCTGACCAATGTGTTTGTTTTTTAAGCCAAGTATTATTATTAAAAAGTTAAAAAATTAAAAATTTTAATATAAAAAGTTACAGTAAGCTAAGATTAATTTAATATTGAAGAAAGAAAACTTTTATAAATTTAGTGTAGCCTAAGTATATAGCATTTATGAAGTCTACAGTACTATAAAGTAATGCCCTAGGCCTTCACATTCACTCACGACTTACTTACTCACCCAGAGAAACTCACAGTCCTGTAAGCTTCATTCATGGTAAATGCCCTACATAGACATACCATTTTTTAAAATCTTTTTTTTTTTTTGAGAAGGAGTCTCACTCTGTCGCCCAGGCTGGAGTGCAGTGGCACGATCTCAGCTCACTGCAACTTCCGCCTCCCAGGTTCAGGTGATTCTCCTGCCTCAGCCTCCCAAGTAGCTGAGACTACAGGCCCATGCCACCACGCCTGGCTAATTTTTTGTATTTTTTTAGTACAGATGGGGTTTCACCATGTTGGCCAAGCTGGTCTTGAACTTCTGACCTCAGGTGATCCGCCTGCCTCGGCCTCCCAAAGTGCTGACATTATAGGCCTGAGCCACCGCACCTGGCCTCGAAAAATCTTTTGAGTCATATTTTTACTGTACCTTTTCTATGTTTAAAATACTTACCATTGTATGACAATTGCCTACAGTATTCAGTACAGTAACATGTTGTACAGGTTTGTAACCTAGAATCAATAAGCTGTACCATATAGTTTGGGCATGTAGTAGGTTCTACCATCTAGGCTTGTGTAATACACTCTATGATAGTCACACAATAGCCAAATCCCATGATGACACATTTCTCAGACTGTAACCTTGTCACGTAGTGATGCATGACTGTATTTGATTTTAGTAAGCATGTTGCTAAAGTCATATTTATAAAGACAATGTAGGCTGGTAGTTTAAAACATAGTATTTACCAGGTTAAAAGTATATACCCAAAGGATTATAAATCATTCTACTATAAAGACACATGCACACGTATGTTTATTGCAGCACTATTCACAATAGCAAAGACTTGGAACCAACCCAAATGTCCATAATGATAGACTGGATAAAGAAAATGTGGCACATATACACTATGGAATACTATGCAGTCATAAAAAGGATGAGTTCATGTCCCTTGCAGGGACAAGGATGAAGCTGGAAGCCATCATTCTCAACAAACTAACACAAGAACAGAAAACCAAATACGGCATGTTCTCACTCATAATTGGGAGCTGAACAATAAGAACACGTGGACACAGGGAGGAGAGCATCACACAGCAGGGCTTGTCGGGGGGTGGGGTACTAGGGGAGGGATAGCATTAGGAGAAATACCTAATGTAAGTGACAGGTTGATGGGTGCAGCAAACCACCATGGCACATGTATACCTATGTAACAAAACGGCACGTTCGGCACATATACCCCAGAACTTGAAGTATAATTAAAAAAGTGTATTTTTATATATATATATATATATATATATTTATTTATATATATATATATATATATTTATTTATATATATATATTTTTATATATATATATATTTTTATATATATATATATTCTTCTCTATCTAGTTTCTATCATAATGATACATGAAACTTACTCAAATTCATTTCAGCATCTATTTGGGTGGTCTCATAGATTGACATCTTCTATTTTATGGTGTGGTTAATTTTATTAAAACATATGTTGGGCATTCTCAATGTAAACATTAAAGCTTAAAATATCCAAAATTTTTAAACAAAAATAAAATAATTTTATTTTTATTAAACTAATGAGTGTAATATAATGAAATATTATAAAATTAAATTACACATTGAAAAAGTCCCCTTCATATTTTAAGTATATCACTCTATGTTGTAAGTATATTCTTTTACTCTTTGTCGTTTATATTTTCTTTGTCAATGTGCTTTTTATTATATTAGTTGTTTAGTCTTTCACAATGTTTTACCTTTTACCAAAAATTATATCAAAGTGCATTTATCAATTTGTAGTATTGTCCTTAACCTGCTTTTTAATTTATACATCTTTTACTCCTGCTTCATTTGGGTTTATTTTGCTGCTCCCTTTCAAAGTTCTTTAGATGGATGTTTAATTATTATTTTATTTTAATGTATTTTTACTTGATAAAATATCACATTTGTGTCTTACAATAACTTTGTATCTAGCTCATAGATTTTATGTGGCCTTATTAGTTTTTATGTGTATTTTTTATTTGATGAAAAATGCTTGAAAGTAGACCTAACTATGAGAAGTTTTCTCTTAAAATTCATATAACTTGTCATTTTTGTTCATCTTCTTAATTCTTAATTTTATGTCACTAGTGCCCACCTAAGTATCTTGTAAATTTTGCTATTTGATTTTTGTGGCTTATTACATGCTCAATTTCTATAAATGTACGATGAGCATTAGCAGCAAAATTATACTTTCTGCTTGAAGGACATTTCATTCAAGTCACATACCTGAAATTTCAGCATGTTAATTAAGTTAATTAAATCTATTATAATTTTATTTATTGTTTTACTGCTTGATCTGTCAATAACTAAGAGAGCTCTAATAAAGTATTGAAGTATTACTGTTTCTATTATTTTCTTAATTATTTTTTTTCTTTTGCTTTCTATACTTTGCTGCTAGATTATTTAGGAAGATTGTGTGGGTAGTATAGCTTTCTGTACTTGAATAGTAGGAAATGTTATCTTCACATGGAAATGATTATTTGTCTAAGAGTAAGCTTATCAGTTTACAAATTTTCAGTTTGCACATGACCAAAATTTGTAGTCTTCTGATCTTTGCTGTTTTAAGTAGTAATTGATTTATCCATTAGGATGATAGATTACTCTTGTAATTTAATGTGTTTTTCACACTATGGAGACATTTTAATATTTCTGTGAGTATTATAACCATATTTCCAATTTCACCTCCCTCTTCAACCATATAGACCTCAAACTGCTCTTCACCTGTGACCCTGCAGGAAAGCCCTGTATTTGTTGCTCTACTCAGATCTGATCACAATTGCATGGAATTCCTAATGTAGCCAATCCCTCTAAGTCAAAGTTGATCTCACTGTTATCTGTGCAACACATAAATGAGTACAAAGAAGAAGAAATTTAGTGTTTTTTATTTTCTTTTTTTGTTTGTTTGTTATTTAACTTTTATTTTAGGTTCAGGGGTACCTGTGCACATTTG
This sequence comes from Homo sapiens, assembly GCF_000001405.40. Lineage (NCBI taxonomy): Eukaryota > Metazoa > Chordata > Mammalia > Primates > Hominidae > Homo > Homo sapiens. The sequence goes on along the minus strand of NC_000005.10, from coordinate 52,027,376 downwards.
TTACGTAGGTAAATTGTGTTCACAGGGATTTGGTGTACAGATTATTTCATCATGCAAGTAATAAGCCTAGTATCTGATATGTAGTTTTTTGATCTTGAGCCTCCTACGAACCTCCACCCTGAACTAGGCCCGTGTGTCTGTTGTTCCCTTCCTTGTGTCCATGTGTACTCAATGTTTAGCTCCCACTTATAAGTGAGAACATGTCGTATTTGTTTTTCTGTTCCTGTATTAGTTTGCTTAGGGTTATGGCCTCCAGTTCCATCCATGTTGCTGCAAAGAACAAGAGCTATTTTTTATTATTGCTGTGTAGTATTCCATAGTGTATATGTACCACATTTTCTTTATCCGGTCTATCATCCATGGGCATCTTGATTGATTTCAGGACTTTGCAATTATGAGTAGTGCTGTGATTAACATAAGCATGCATGTGTTTTTATGGTAGAAAAATTATACTTCTTTGGTTATATACCCAGTAATGGGATTGCTGGGGTAAATGGTAGTTCTGTTTTAAGTTCTTTGAGAAGTTGCCAAATTGCTTTCCACAATGGCTGAACTACTTTACATTTTCATCAGCAATGCATAAGCGTTCCCTTTTTCCTGCAACCTCACCAGCATCTGTCATTTTTTGACTTTTTAATGATAGCCATTCTGACAGGTGTGAGATGGGATCTCATTGTGGTTTTGATTTGCATTTCTCTAATGATTGGTGATGTTGAGAATGTTTTTATGCTTGTTGACCATGTGTATGTCTTCTTTTCAAAAGTATCTTTTCATGTTCTTTGTACAATTTTTATGAGGTTCTTTGGTTTTTGCTAGTTATTTTGTTCAAATTCCTTATAGATATTAGACCTTTGTCAGCTGCATAGTTTGCAATTTTTTTTTCCTATTCTGTAGGTTGTCTGTGACTCTGTTGACAGCTTCTTTGGCTGTCCAGAAACTCTTTAGTTTACTTAGGTCCCATTTGTCAATTTTTTTGTTATTGTTGTAATTGCTTTTGGCATCTTTGTCATGAAATCTTTGCCAGGGCCTATGTCCAGAATAGTATTGCCTAAGTTATCTTCCAGGGTTTTTATAGTTTTTGGTTTTAGATTTTAGTCTAATTAACCCATATTGAGTTGATTTTTGTATATGGTGTAAGGAAAATTTCTAGCTTTAATCTTCTGTATTTGGCTAGCCGGTTATCCCAGGACCAATTATTGAACAGGGAGTTCTTTCCCCATTGTTTGTTTTTGTCCACTTTTTGAAGATCAAATGGTCACAGGTGTGTGGCTTTATGTATGAGCTCTCTATTCTGTTCCACTAGTCTGTGTGTCTGTTTCTGTACCAGTACCATGTTGTTTGGCTTACTATAGTCTTGTAGTATATTTTGAGGCTGGGTAGTGTGATGCCTCCAGCTTTTCTTTTTTTGCTTAAGATTGCCTGGCTATTTGAGTTTTTCTTGTTCCATATGAATTTTAAGATATTTTTCTAATTCTGTGAAGAATGTCATTGATGATTTGATAGGAATAGCATTGAATCTGTAAGTTGCGTTGGGCAGTATGACCATTTTAACAATATTGATTCTTCATATCCGTGAGCATGAAATGTTTTTTCCATTTGTTTGTGTCATATCTGGTTTCTTTGAGCAATGTTTTATGATTCTCATTGTACAGATCTTTCATTTCCCTATTTAACTGTGTTCCTAGGGATTTTATTATCTTTGTGGCTATTGTGAATGGGGTTGTAATCTTGATTTGGCTCTCTGCTTAGATGTTTTTGGTGTTTAGAAATGCTGCTGATTTTTGTACAGTGATTTTTGTATCCTAACACTTTGCTGAAGTTGTTTATCAAATCCAGGAGATTTTGGGCAGAAACTACGAGGTTTCCTAGGTATACAGTCATAGTGTATGAAAACAGAAATATTTTGACCTCCTCTCTTCCTGTTTGGATAATTTTTATTTCTTTCTCTTGCCTAATTGTTCTGGCTAGGACTTTCAGTACTTTGCTGAATAGGAGTGATGAGAGTGGGCATCCTTTTCTTGTTCCATTTCTCAACAGGAATGCTTTCAGTTTTTGCCCGCTCAGTATGATGTTGGCTGTGAGTTTATCATAGATGGCTCTTGTTATTTTGAGGTGTTTCTTCAATGTCCAGTTTGTTGGGGATTTTTAACATGAAGGGATGTTGAATTTTAGTGAAAGCCTTTTCTGCATCTATTGAGATGGCCATGTGAATTTTGGTTTAAGTTCTGTTTATGTGTTGAATCACACTTATTAATTTGCATATATAAACCAGTCTTGCATTCCAGGGATAAAGCCCACTTGATTGTGGTAGGTTAGCTTTTTCATGTGCTGCTGGATTTGGTTTACTAGTATTTTGTTGAGGGTTTTTTTTTCTATGTTCATTAAGGATTTTGGCCTTAGACATGCACCATTGTGTTGATTAATTTTGTGTCAACTTGACTAGATTCAGTGATACCTAGTTAATTAGTAAAGCAGTACTTCTGGTTATGTCTGTAAGAGTGTCTCCAGAAGAGACTGGCATTTGAATCAGTGGACTGAATAAAAAAGATGTCCTCTCACCCAGTGTGGGTGGCCATCAAGAAACTGGCTGAGGACTCAAATAGAACAAAAGGACAGAGGAAAGACAAATTCACATTCTCTCTCTGTCTTCTGGAATTGACACTCTTCTTCCCCTGCTCTCGGACTTTAGAACTCCACGTTCTCTGGCCTTTGGACTACAGAACTCATACCAGCAGCACCAGTTTCTCAGACTTTCAACTCAGGCTTCTTTCCCTGCTCTTGGACATTAGAACTCCAGGTTCTCTGGCCTTTGGACTCAGGAATTCGCACCAGCAGCCCCAGTTTCTCAGACTTTCAACTCAGACTGAAAGTAACACCATCAGCTTCCCTGACTCTGAGGCCTTTGAACTTGGACTGAGTCATGCTTCTGGCTTCCCTGGTTCTCCAGCTTGCAGACAGCCTATGATGGAACTTCTCAGCCTCCATAATAACATGAGCCAATTCCCCTAATAAATGCTTTCTCATAGATCTATTTCTATATATATATATATATATATGTCCTATTGGTTCTATTTCTCTAGATAATTCTAATATAACCAGCATAGATAAATAATATGCTAAATAATTAATTTTGTTGGGTCTCCACAACTGGGGACTGGTTGCTTTTGAATAAAGGAGTATATTATGTTTGGAAGTCACATTTACTATTCCCAGGAAGAACGATCTTGTTAGAATATAGTAAAACACTCCAAAAATAATTTATGCCCTCTTGGTACCAAAAGGCTGTATTAAGGACCAATTTTTTAAAATGTATATGGTAGACAATAATAGGCCCTTAATGGGCCCAATGAAAAATCAAACATGAAACAAACTAACAATGATATAAGTGGAAAGTAAAGATATTAGGAACCCCCTTGAGTGATGACATTGTTCATTTTCCAACCTGAAGGTACAAAGGACAAAGATCGCTTTGATCTTTTCTTTCTGACTTGGAGAGTTTTTTCTCTCCATTCAGGTTGCTTTCCTCATTTAACTTCAGGCTCGGCTTCATGAGGAACAAAGGAAGAACCAGAAAACTGCTCCTGCTCCCCAGTCTCCATGCCTGGTGTATTTTACATGCACCACTTTGACATGACTTGATAACAAACCAAAGGAAAAATATCTTAATGAGAAACCTTGTGAATTTTAACAATTTTCAATGTAGGACCAGCCCATTATTGTTAGTCCTACATTAGAGCATTTTAAAATGTGATTTAGAATATTATTATTTTATATTTGCAATGTTTATAGATTTCTGATATGTACAAAACTATGTGACACGGTTGGTATTAGTTTTATTTCTGCTACCACAAAGAGAAGTTATCGCTATCAGTTTTGTATCATAACTCTGTAATTTCAAATATAATAGGCTGACCATTTGCAAACCATGTTTTATGGAGTCTACTGAAGGTTTACTGTTTGAGGTTCATGACAAGTTTTACAAATTTTGAATGAAGATATTTCTAAAGGGAGGATTTAAAATACTGGTGGTATACTAATATTTAATCTATTTTTTTCTTCTCTACAAATTACATTTTCATTTATTTTTACCAAGTAGTTGAACATGAAAGATTAAGCATAATATTCAACCTGAAGTAGACAAAATAATGCCTGCCCTCTCCCCACAAAAGATATCCACATCCTAATCCATGGAACCTGACAATATGTTACCTTACATGTCAGAAAGGATATGGCTAATGTAATTAAATTGAAGACTTAAAAAGGGAGGATTATCCTCGATTATCTGGTGGGCTCAGTATAATGATTTTAAGTCTTTAAAAGGAAAGAACCTTTCCCAGTTGTGGTCAGAGGAAGATGTGGCTATGGAAGAGTGGTTGGAGAGATACAATAATGTTGCTGGCTTTGCAGAAAGAGGAAGTAGGACATGAGCCAAAGAATGTGGGGAGCTCCTATAAATTTGCAGTGGAAAGGAAATGGATTCTCCTTCAGGATTTCCAGAAAGAAAGGCAGTCCTGTGCACAACTTGAACTTAGCTTAGTGAGACCTATGTTGAGCTTCTGACCTGGAAAACTATAAAAAAAAACTTGCAGTGCTTAGGCCAGTAAGTTTGGGGTAATTGGTTATAGCAGCAATGAAAACTAAATACATCACTATCAATAGAAAGTTTATCACATTTATTTAATAACTGCTCAATTTATATCTCTAATATTACCACATATTAAAATATTTTAATACTAATATTTTAATCTCCTTTCAACACTCATTTTCTACATAAGGATAAAAGGTTCTACATATAAAGGACCCAGTTTGGTTCAGAAATAATTCAGGTGAAAACACATGGTATTCAGGAGAAAGTGTTTCCTTGGTTGATAAGTGCTGTGGCTGAAATATTGCTGATCATATTGATAGACATGAATCCCTGCATAATGCAATAGTAAATACTAGATGTAAAGGGAATTTTCAGTGCCTGGTAAGTAGGCACTGAGAATAATGACTTGAAACATGCATGCAATTGCCACTTTAGTACAACCTGCTACATGGCATAGGATAAGATAGTCAAGTTTAAAAAAAAAAGTAAATATAAAAATAAACCATCCATGTTTTAACCCAAATGACATTTCAATAGGAAAGCCTTTCCCAATCCCTCCAACTAGATTAGGAACCCCGTTACATATTTCTAAATCATTTGGTACTTATTAAGCATATTTCTCAAAACTTCTACTTATTTGATTACATTTATCTTCTGTGACAGAATGTAAGTCCCATGAAGGCAGAGATAGCATTTGCCTTGCTTACAGTTGTATCCCCAGCATCTACTGTAGAATGGCATATAGAATGCACTCACTAAAAGACTTTAGTCTAATAGATTGACTGAGTCAAAAGACAGGGTTTCTAGTGCTGGCTCTATCAAAACATACATACATGAACTTTGGCAATACGATTGATTTTCTAAGCCAGTTTTCTGGTCAAGAAAATTACAGGGATTTGAAATGTTGAACATATTAATTCTTACTTATGTTTTATGTATAAATATATGTTTATCATGTAATTATACAATTATAATTTTAATATATAACTATGGCACTCAGTTCATAAAACCAATAGTATAAAAGTAAACATATTGAGAACTCAGAAATTTTAGGGCCTGACTTTTATAATTTTTTTCTAAATGCAAAGGTAATGCAGTTTGTTATAAAAATATTAACTGAATATAAAATTGAAAATATTTCTCACTCTCCATCTTTACTTTTTATAGATAAATATTATTAATTATAGTTTCTGTTACAGCCTTCATGAACAATCTCTTTGGATGACATTCTCAGAGAAAAATACTATAAGAAAATTCAAAAGACAATTTTTTCCTAGCAATTTGGAACTTTTTAAAAAGCTATAGATCATCTAGCTTAAAGATTTATGATTTCTTGTGTTTTGTGGTAAACATTTTGTGGTAAATTATACACTTTGGTAAGCTCTCTGTCACCAAATTTCTTTCTTCTTAAATGTGCATAGTATATAATATTAAACATTTAAATAACTATCTTTAATCTTTCGAGATTACTGCAAGTATAATATATGCAAAGTATATTCAATCAGTGGATGAGAGCAATGCAAGGTAAATGTGGCCCTGGATGACTACCTTGATGCATCAAAAATGGTGGCAGCTGAAAGCTGTCAGCTAAATTTGCTTTCTGCAGAAGGTTCTTTTGAGGGGAATTCTGAGCATGGAACATTTGTGGTTGCTTCATCCTAGGAAAATCCTTTTCAGAAATATATTGACTGGCAACATTCTGGATTGAGAATATAAACATATTTATTAACATTAACATGTAAGTTGTAAATAGTTCCTTTAAAATTCTATTTTAAGTATTTGAGTAATTTAAAACAATAATAAAAGCATGACACAAAAGTTGCAAAGAATATTTAAACATTGCCAACAATCTCCAATTTCATCTCAGGCAGAGAGCACTTTTTTCTCTCTGCCCAGCTACCAGTTCTTCTTTAGAGACTATTCTATCTTTCCTCGAGTCTTCATCTAGCTACTCCATTTACCTTGAAAACACATTTTCCCAACTCTTCCACACTGACATGACCCCCCAGGGTTGTATCACTCTCTCCTCCTTTGTTAGCTTTCATTCTGCAAAAAGTTACTACAAATGAAAAACAAAGTCAAATTCTAATACAATTCAAACATAAATATGAATGCAATAATGGAAAATGTTTTGCTGAAACCAATTACATAAGCACTTTGCAAAGGAATATTGTCACTGCAGTTTCCTTTCATCACTATTTTATAGTGAGTCCTATGCTGCTTTAATTCCTCCCACCCTGACTCTGGTCTATTTGATTTTTTGTGAAACTTTCATTTGCAGTGTTGGGTTGTTGTTTGGCCTTAATCCCTCATGTATACCACTCATCTCAGGTCTTTACTTTAGAGCCTGTGGTTATTAAAGAGTACTGATAAATTCCAATTTGATTAAAAATAAAATTGTTAATACAAACACTGACATCTGTTATAAGGTCACTAGCTGAATGATCTAGAATATGTTTACATATTTTAGTATTATCATTAATATTAAATAGATACAATGATTATAAATATATAAATAAAAATCTATAGCTATCTAATCATAATAATAGCATTACCTTACCGACTTCCCTCATGTTTTGCCTCTGTTACCTCAACAGCAGTAGCCCCATCATCTCTTTGATTTTAGAATTTGTTGCCTGCATAGAGTAGGCAACACATGCATGGTATCTTTTTTTCCAAAGTATTACCAAAACCTATACATTTAAATGTTTCTAATTCCTAAAAGTCATAAAATCCTAAGCTTTATCCTGGTTCTGTAACTTGTTTGGATTGACTCATTATTATTTGAAAAGTTTAGAGATTATAGCCATTTAATGATAAAATAGCGATCTTTAAAATTATCTATTTTGCCATCTTGTTCTACCACTGAGAAAGGTACGATGATATGCTTTTAAAGAGTCACAAATTTAACCTTTAGAAAAGGAGAGGCCAATGTCCCTGTCTCCTGTGACTCTTTTATTATACACTTGAGCCACAATGTGCAGTGAAATAATTCAAGGGAAGTAACAAACTTTTTTTTTATTATTATTATACTTTAAGTTTTAGGGTACATGTGTACAATGTGCAGGTTAGTTACATATGTATACATGTGCCATGCTGGTGTCTGCACCCATTAACTCGTCATTTAGCATTAGGTATATTTCCTAATGCTATCCCTCCCCCCTCCCCCCCATCCCACAACAGTCCCCAGAGTGTGATGTTCCCCTTCCTGTGTCCATGTGTTCTCATTGTTCAATTCCCATCTATGAGTGAGAACATGTGGTGTTTGGTTTTTTGTCCTTGCGATAGTTTACTGAGAATGATGATTTCCAATTTCATCCATGTCCCTAAAAAGGACATGAACTCATCATTTTTTATGGCTGCATAGTATTCCATGGTGTATATGTGCCACATTTTCTTAATCCAGTCTATCATTGTTGGACATTTGGGTTGGTTCCAAGTCTTTGCTATTGTGAATAGTGCCACAATAAACATACGTGTGCATGTGTCTTTATAGCAGCATGATTTATAATCCTTTGGGTATATACCCAGTAATGGGATGGCTGGGTCAAATGGTATTTCTAGTTCTAGATCCCTGAGGAATTGCCACACTGACTTCCACAATGGTTGAACTAGTTTACAGTCCCACCAACAGTGTAAAAGTGTTCCTATTTCTCCACATCCTCTCCAGCACCTGTTGTTTCCTGACTTTTTAATGATTGCCATTCTAACTGGTGTGAGATGGTATCTCACTGTGGTTTTGATTTGCATTTCTCTGATGGCCAGTGATGATGAGCATTTTTTCATGTGTCTTTTGGCTGCATAAATGTCTTCTTTTGAGAAGTGTCTGTTCATATCCTTTGCCCACTTTTTGATGGGGTTGTTTGTTTTTTTCTTGTAAATTTGTTTGAGTTCATTGTAGATTCTGGATATTAGCCCTTTGTCAGATGAGTAGGTTGCGATGATTTCAGATTTTTTTTGAAACAGGTTCTCACTCTGTTGTCTGGTTTGGAGCGCAGTGGTATCATCACTGCTCACTGCAGCCTCAGTCTCCTGGGCTCAAGCAATCCTCCTGCCACAGCTTCCCAAAGTGCTGGGGTTATAGGCGTGAGTCACTACGCCCAGATAACTTCAGATTTTAAAATTTTTATAACGACCCTTTGTGGTCAAAAATACGATGCCATTTGAGTTAATCTATTCACATTTTCTTAGTGCTTCCATTGTGATGAGAACTGCTGAGACCATACATGCCATTTAGATTCAAAATTCATTTTTAAATATTGTACCTTATACTGGGTTTTAAGATCATAATTACCATACCCAAAAGGACTGGCATGTATAAGATACATTTTTTCTCTATTTTTATCATACTTCTGTTTGGTAGACATGAGAGGAAAATCATATGATTAAGTTACTTCAAATCTAGAATGTAAATATATAGATGATTGCAAAAATAAATTTAAAAGGAGGATACTTAAGAATGTTTGTTTGCCCTGCCAAACTCCAGATATGTACTTGTATGTAAAATATAACACCTTCAGGTTATTGCTTAACTGATAACATTGACAGGCTGTTTTTTAATATCGTAAAAAAAATCAGATATCTGAAACAATTGAACAGCAAATAATTTATGCAAAATTGTATTTTATTCACTCATAACATATTAATCTAGTTTCTAGAAAACTTCATGTAACTGATAAAATCTTACTGTACAGATTATATTTGTTATGCAATATGAATCCAGAATATCCATTTTTCCCCTCCTGTCTCTGTTTTTTTCTATAACAAGGTCAACTGTAGAAGAACAGTAAGCTGCTAGTGTGCCTGCCAAGTTTTAATTGAAATGTTGTGATAAATTTCACTGCCAGGTCAGATGTTATTTTCTGGTTAAGGAGGGTCAAGTTGGTCTCTTAAAGAACCACTTTTGATTTTTATAGTGTCCAGTGATTTGTTCCTGGAAGTTGATTTACCACAGAGTTGACCTCTGTCCTCTCAGTTGACCTTTGCCAGCATTGTCAAGTCTCCAGTTCACCTATGGCCGCTGGTAGCAAAAAGTATTTTATTAAACGAGCCTTCCCATTTTATTAGTGTGAAAATAGGCCTTTCCTAATCAATAGGACAGGAAGCATTCACTTTATTGCTTTAGACTAGAGACTAAAGGTCATTTAACACAAATAGAATGAAGCACATAACAAAAACAGCAGTAAATACTTGATAAGTCAGCATAAATAACTTGGTTAGTGTAAAAAATGCCTGCCCTTTTCAATATATGTATTAAGTTAATAAAAATATTTAAAATTGTTGAAATTTAGAACAACTATATTTTAGATGATAATCTTTAAAAACAGTTTCTATTAAATCACAATTTTGGTTTGATTTTTGAATACATCGATCCCGAGTTCCTACTTAGGATTTAAATAACATCAATACTTACAAAGAAACTAGCTTCTATTCCACAATTTCCAAGTGCTTTATTATTATAAATACCATAAAACTTCCTTAAGGAGACAGCGTATTTTGGAGAACATGAGTAAACCATATAGTGAGAGAAACAAAGACGAAAATGGCAGTAGCTTTGCATTCACTGATGAAAATATTGTGGAGGTAACGTTAGGAAGCAAGGAATATGCCTTTATAATCTATGTCTTGGTGAAGTATTGCTCAAGGTTGGTGTGCTGGCTGTAATCACTCAGCGTCATCTACATCAATTTTACAGACTGGCTTTGCAAGACCTACATTGTTCTATCCCAAACATACATCTTAAGCATCTTTGCTTAGTAACATCTTCTTAGTAACATCTTATTAACATCTTAGTAACATTTTCAACTTTTCATTAACACTTGAAAAATCACTTATATTACCTGAATAACACCTTTACTTTTACCATTTTAAGACAAGTTATTTAGGTCCTCTGTATAACATATAAATGTATATAAATGCTAATATAATGACCACTTTAATATAAATTTACAATGTATTATCAATATTGTTTGGCACGCGATTTATTGTAATATCATGTGTGCATACACACTGTAGCAAAAAGTTTCTACAGTAAAGGTTTTAATCAGCAAGACAACAAAAAAGGATGATAGAAAGTACATAGAAAAGCCCCTTTTTGAATAATGGATAGAAGTTACTGCTAAGAAATGTAGACATTTTAAACAACTTACTTAAAGCTTATGATTCTTCTTAAGCAAGTGATGATGGCAACTTCAGAATACATACCTTTTAGAATTTGAATTTGAATGATTACTTCTGAATTTAGAATTACATGAGCTAAGGTACACAAAAACATAAAGAACAATCTGTGTGTTGTTATTTTTATGATTTCTTGGTGGATTTTATTCAGGATGCTTACTTACTAAGCTAAATGTAATGGTTCTTTCATTCCCTAGAACTGCAGTGTTTGCACTTTAATGCTGTTGTTATTTATGTAAATTATTGGCAGTCATAAAAAGATCAGAAAAGTTTACTATTCGACAGTATAGTAGTGAATAGAGTGCTGTGTCAGACTAATTCTTTTATCATGAAAGGTAAGCAAGAAATTTGACTGTATAACAAAGGAGCAGCATTTTACAGCCACTGGCATATGGTTCTTCAGAAATAATCAGTCTCTGAGGCTTCAAATATGCAAATTCAGTTTGATTAACTTCCATGAATTCCAAAATTAAAAAATAATTATGCTGGTCTACATGAGAGGACACATAAGTAACAATAATACATTTTTCATTTTTCACCCACTAAGCATGATATCATTACAAGCCTGAAGCATGTGGTGGGGAGCCCGTGGCAGCGAATAGGATGACCTTGGGCTTTATTCCATTCTGAGAGTGGGCTGGGCTGGAGGCCTAGGGAAGTCGGAGGCGGGAGCTGATTTCACAAGAGCTCTTATGGACATAAGCAGTTACAGGCATGAGGAGTGTTCTAGGCCCAGATGACAAAGTGTGACAGAGAATTAAGGAGGTATCCTTTTCTCCATGTCTGCTAGAATCCCACTACAAGAACAGGACGCTTGAATGGCCTTGAATGACAGACATTTGAGATCCTATAACAGCAGTGGCAACAGAGAAGCCTTTTCAAGTTACTTTGCCAAGACTTTATATAAAATAGGGTGAGGCAAAGTAGGAGGGAAAGTACATGGAGAGTGTCATGTGGTAATTGTAGTGGGCATACTGGTGACATTGTCTTGTAAGTAAACGTGAAGGTAAACTGCAAAGTCTCTCAGAAAAGCATGTGGAGGATTGACAGCATGCCATGTGGTGGCATCCATGAGCAGGTGGGGATTACTACTAATAATATTTACTATCACAAGTAGGTAAGGTCTCAAAAGGAGCTCAAAAATTCCTAAATAGCTGGTAATAAAAGCACATTATAGTACAGATTTCTTATGTTCCAAGCACCATTTTAAGGGCTAGTGAGTGACTCGGTTTTCCTAACAATCCTATAAAGTAGTTACAATATTTGTTCCCAGTGTTAAGGTGAGGATACTAAATCAGAGATATGATAAGTAACTAAGTAAATTGTGAAACTGTGATTCAAATTTAGGTAGTTCATGTTCTAAAGAGGTTAGACCTGTACATCTCACTTTTTAGGTGAAGAATATGAGTTAAGAAGTTTAAGTCATCTTTCAAGGCACACAGAAATAGCAACCCACAAAGCATGGACTTGAATGTAGGTCATTCTGAAATCTAAATTCACTACTTTTAACCATCCCATTATCCTGTAAGGCATGTGAGGAATGCCTGAAGCGCTGAAGATTCTGGGCCTCAGAGCTTTTGAGTGTCCTTGCCTTAGCTGATAGGGTATCTACTGGTGGAGAGTATGACTTGCTTACCTGCCCATACTTACCAAATCAGCTATGATTCAGCCCACTCTGTGTTTCTTAGTTGTCTTAAATAGCCAGTTGCCTCAAACATGAGTAATTTATTCCAATTGGCTACCAAAACCACTATTTACTGAAAGCCTAGTATGCATTGGGCACTATGTTAAATGAACGTACACATTACATCTATGACTTCTCACACCAATGCTGAGAGAAATGTATGATTAACTTTATTTTACATATGAAGAAATTGATTCTAGAAGTCTAATTCACCTAAGGCCATGCCCCAGGTGACAAGAAGCTAACCAGATCTATCTAATGATGCCATTAATGCTACATCACTCTCCCAAAGACACCCAAATCCACTTGATTAACTCCATGTCCTGCAATTGTATGGACATAGGATTCTATGACACAATCTCATCTGAGCTTGACATAATCGTGTCTGCCACTCCACTCCATTTAACTACTTTTTTTGGTTGATTTTCATGCATAATCAATGAAAATCAGAATAAAAAAGATAAAAACAAAATGAAAATACATATATACATATATACATATCATATATGAAATATAAGTATCAATATATAAATAACATTCTTATTAAAATTTCTTTTGTGCTATTATATTTCAAGGTAGGTCACAAATAAATAACATTCTTATTAAAATATTTCTTTTGTGCTATTATATTTCAAGATAGGTCACAAAAGCCAATGATTATTTTGAGAAATATATCTCATATTTTATTTAATTCATATTTATTTAATAAGGGACCTAAACAGTGTACTTCCATATTTTTCACCTGCTTTCATGTACTTTGTCCTCTGGCTTATCAATTAATAAATTACCATTTGAGAGCATGTCTTTTTCTTTTCTATTTGATGTTTAGCAGATGCCACCTGTTTCCAGAGGACAGGTTGTTTGTTGTTAGTAGAGCACAATAGTGAGTACAGAGCGTATAAACACAGTTGTTGGAGTATAATTACTTGAGCTCTTTATGGAGGTGGATCATCTCACAGTACAATGCTCAACAGGACAAAGTAAGGCCAACTGTCTTTTACAGCATCAGCTGCCACACTGAGTTTGGTGTTTTGCCACGACACCAAGTCCTTTTTGTTTATCAGGTAATTAACAGTAATGATGTCTTGCTGCTTGGCTTTGTTTCAGAACCAAGGTTCCTTCTTTGCAGATTTGGGTGGACTCTTAGGCTCAGGCCCATGGCCTGAATGTCATAAGCACCAGCAGGCAATTCTAGGTTTAATTACTTCCCTGTTTTGTTCTTTACATTGGGCAATAAACATCCAGTCTAAAGGCAATTTGTAGGAGAGAGGGGAGGGGAAAGGGAGGGGGTGCCTCCTCTCACAGCAATGCATCCATCAAGTAAACTAACTTAAAAACTGTTTTGACCTTGAGTTCTTAAACATTATTGTAATTCCCCATCTTATAAGGAAAAGCATTTTAAAGAAAGTTATTGAAATAAAACACAACCCTACAGATAGGCAGTCTGTTTATGAAATATGAGGGAATTCAATTACCCATGAATGGATGAATGGCTTTTTTTTTCCCTCTCTTTGTCTGGTCATCATTGTTACTGTGGATTTCTTTAACAAAAGATATCAAAATAAACAGAAATGTCTCCGATGAACTGTGAGCCTGCAGTTAAGTGGCATATGTATGGGAGAGTGCCTCTCTTGGATGTATTTAGTATAAGTATTATTTTTTTAATGGTACATTATTGAATTTTTAGCAAAATCACACTAAATAAAGAAATTACTACATAAGAATGAGCAAAGCTCTAGAAAAATACAACATGTAGATATTAATTTTTTCTTACACAAAGCAGGAACACATTTCATTAGAAGTAATATAAAATTTGAGATAATTTTGGTTAAATGTTGATTATAGATAAATGTATATGGAAATTATATACATTTGTTTTAGTACTTGTAATTTTTGAAGCTCATTGAGTACTGATTTATAGCTTTTGTGTTATGGAAACTGTATTTTTAAATAAACTTTAATATGCAGTATTTGTAAGTAATTTTCAGTGCTTGTTAGTGATACTTGGCACATTTTAAATGCCAAAATCCTAAAATTGTTGATGTAATTATATTAATTATATAACATTCTGACCCATATTATTTTTGCTAGATAGCTCTTTTGGATAAAATGATCAAATATTTAAAATGAAGTTTGCCTATTCTGTATTTACAAAGCATTTAATTATCCTACAAAGTATTCCATATTTTGGTCTCTTTTCTGCTTTATAAAATGTCTGAGTTACAAATACCAGACTAAAAGGTCCAATACATAGTTCAAATAGCAATAGTAATTTGAAGTATGTATTGGACCTTTATGATAATAATTTTTCATTACATTTGAAGAATTTAAGCAAACCATATGGAAGGTTTCATATGGAAAGGATGGGCATGGAAAGTAAGGAAAAGAAAAGAATGGGTATAAAAAGGTGATTTTTATGTTTTCTAAAGAAATTTTGCATTAAATACATTCAGTCTTGTGAAATTCCTCCAGCATAATTTTTTGGAAGTGTTCCCACTCCTTACAAATGTTCCTCAGATTTTTATGGATAGGATGTTCTACAGAGATGATGCATGACCTTCTCTCCAATATAAAAGCAAAGAAACTACTGCTTTCCTTGGCATTCAAGTAGTCTTTTCCATTTGTAAGTACATTTTGAAAAAATACATTTTACATGCTCTAGTAATTTTATTCCACTTTTATATGTGGATTGAAAAACAAATATTTAAAAAACATTAATGGCACTCAATTTTTTAAATACAAAATATCAGAAATATCAGATTTTCACTGATTCTGTAATTTACCAGGTTATAGTAAGACCACTGGGAACATTTATATTTATAAAGGGTTTAAATTATTTTTCCACTAAATTTGCTTATTACTGGGTTAGCATGTTTAAAATTGATTTTACTGAAAGAAGAAATGAATAGATTGATTTTTCAAGTGGAATAGTATGAGGAAGTATATAGTAGTAGTGATTTTGAGCATTCCCATAAAGGTGACAGGAGATTGATAATATACCAGAATTTGTCTACAGAACTCTTAAAATATAATGGTTCTCTTCCTGTTTTAATGTGAAAATTTTTCTAACCTCAAAGTTCGTAAAAGAACCAACGAGCCCTTCACACCATTTTTTCATGTTTCTCATGCATGTAACAAAGGGCTCAGACTAAACTGGCACTTAATAAATTATAGCTATCTAATTATTATTAATATCACAATGATTGTTATGATGTATTATTAGTTTCTTTGGGGAAAAAGAAGCATTATAATAATTATCATTGAAACTATATTTTCAACTGGATAAAATAGTTTTACATCTAAGAAGAATAGTTGTGACTCTTACCTCTTAGAAATAGCATCAACATCATTGTGGGTCTGGATGAAGGTTGGAAAGAGAAGAATGTAACTGTTCTTTTCCTAGGACCTATCAATTATTATGTCAATTGACATGATTCGAGCAGAGTTCATTTTTTTCACTCTAAAGCACAAAACAATACTAGGAATGGTAAAGGATGTCATAATTTTTAAACTAAGAACCTATAATACACTCTAAATGCAACAAAGAGGTCCCTAAACTCACTTCTACCTTAAGCCACTTTTTCTGAGCAACAAAATGTCTTGGCAATCAAATAATTCATTGAAACAGTAACAGCAGTCTAGTCAGATGAGGTTTCTTTGTTTAACCCAATTTTGCAGGATGAAACTGTTTAGACGTGGACTTAGTGACTTCATTTGAACCTTTGTAGGCACATGCCTTGTTGAATTGGATGGTAAGAGGAGATTCATATGCACCAAAGCCCATATTCACACTCTTATTTCAATATTTTTTAACTGGAATTTAATTTTAAACTTGAATAGAAATCTGAGAAAATTAACATGTGGTCAAGGTTTTAGGTGAACATAAAATTACCTAACTTGATGAGGACAGTGTACAAATTCTTGATAATCAGCAAATGTTAAGCAGAAAATTTGAGCACTGTTTTGGGTATTTTTTATCTCGTTCTTGCATTTCAACACCAAATTCCTTTAACATTTTTTTCACAAATCATGGAAGGAAAAGGAAATAATAATAATGATGGCAATGATCTATTTTGACCATCTTATTATTTTCACCTTATTCATCTGGGAGCTACAGTGCAGTCTTAACCATCCCATAAATACTGATCTAGCCAAAGGAAACAGACTGTATTTTCCCTCGACTCTTTGCACTGATATATTGAAATAGCAGGGAAGAAAAAAAAAGGCCCATAATGCTTCATTAGTTAATTGTGCAGAGCACAGCTCTTTAGGGGTAAACAAGTGAAGGACATTTGCTGAATGGCCCATCCTCGTCATGCATATTATGGCCTAATGATGCTAGTAATGGTAGGAGGCTCCTGGAGAGTCATCTGTCAAATTAGCACATTGAATTATTTATTGCCTCAGAGTAAAATTGTTGAAAGGTAGCAGCTGAGACATGGTTTTTATAAATCTAAAATTCAGAAAAAAATACTAAAAAACTCATACAGCTGCTTTGAGGGTATATTCGTTTTTTAACACTTGCATTTATGAACACAATAGTCTTTACTGAGTAAATAGACTGAGTTTGTTTCTACCTTTAAGTCTGATTTGTTGTGTGTTTGTGTGTGTGTATGAAGTCCTGAGTATTTTATGTCATTAGTGATAGTGTAATAACCTAAAATTCAGGTTAATTGTTAAGTCTTCATAACTCATTTCATCTATATCACCAATGATAACCATAAGACAAAATGCCAATTTTTACTAGGCTGTGCGCCCAGAAACTAACATGGAGAGTATTGTTCTTGACTTCCATGTCTCAATTGTTCATATTTTTGTTCTACCACAGTGTTGTCTAAGACAGAAAATCTGCCTTCCTAAGACTTAGGGGAAAAGGCAAACCTATGCTAAACTCTTAAAAAAAAAAAAACAGTAAATATAAGAAACATAAACTAAGAGGACTCTAAACATTACAAAGCCTAATACAGTCAAGGTCTTTCAAAACATATTAATTATTTGTTCAGTATTTACTTAGTGGATACCGACAGAAAGTGTTTTTTCTATTCATACATATTATGTACAGAAATAAATTCACTTACTAATTTCTTCCACTGGCCAATGAAGAGTCACTGTTCTGAAAGAAATTAAAAAAAAAAAAAAAAACAATTAACCAATTCTATGTGGTCCCTATTACCTCTTTATTTCTTTTCTTTTTTCTTTTTTTTTAAATTCCTGCTCTAAACAGATAACTAACTTGGGAAGACTTAACATTTTGATTATAAAATAGATCACTAATTTCAAATAAGCAGGGTTACACTATGTATTATTTGGCCTCAAAGTAGCAATGTAATGAATTTCTTAATAACATTAAATTTAAATCACTATGAGTAATTGAGAACATATATGTGTGTGTATATGTATCCATTTGGTCAGAAACAACTCCAGTTAATTCTAGTAATGTTCTGAGTGGTAGAAGAAACTGGCATCTGGCAACTTCTGGGTGGCTGGCCTGCTACTGGGAAATGATCATAGAGAAAATAGCATCAAATCAGGGTCTTGAAATATGAATGGGCTTTCAATACCCAGGGAGAAAGACAAAACCAGTTATCTTGGAGAAAAAACAGGTTGGAACAGGATATTGGGAAGATATAAAGAAAATTAATCTAAAAACCAAGTTGTATAAGATCATGGAAGGTCTTGACATGTTAAGAAGCATATAATTTAAGGGAAAAAATTCAAACAGATATAGAGAGATAGATTCAGCAGAAGAATCTTTAGAAAAAGTTTAAATAATGTTGGATAAATTCTAAAATAATATATATATTCTAGTTTTCATCATTATCACTACCATAAATATGGTATGTGGTTTTCCACATGGGAAAGGTGAAGAGAGAGAAAGAGGAAAAGTAGAAGTACTAAATTAAGTGGCCACTGTCCTGGGAGAATTGTGATGCTAATTATCAAGTAAAAGAATCAGGGAGAGAGGGTCAAATTTAATAATGAAGACAACAAAATTTCATTATTGACATTTGGAGTTGAAGATTTTGGTGAGGCATTTAAACCAAAACGTCCAGAAAGTTGTTGAAAAGTGAAAGTGTAGCTCAAAGAGAAGTGAGTTAAAAATTTACAGCTGATAAATGGAAATTTCTTTCACGTGGATAGAAAGTCATGCGAATAGCTAAATTGTTTATTTGGTGTGGTTTGGCCAATGCAAATGTTGTCTGCCTGCATATTTTACTTTCTTTTGATAATATGGGCATCGTGTTGAACAATTACTGTTTTTATTACCCCATCAATTTTCTCATCAAGATCTGATTTTTCTTATCGCTATTGCTATTTTAATTCTTTTCATCTCAGCTCTTCTTTCTGAAGTTCTTTTGTATTGACCTTCCTTTTCATCTTTATTAATTTTGTATTTTTCTTTTAAACTCTTTACTGAAATGAAAAATGTTTACTCTATATTTCAAGAGCTTCAGTGTTTCATAGATACTCTCTAACTTAATAGAAGTAAAAAGTATGGGGAAATTGTTATTCTCAGCTTGTAGCAGTTGAAGCAGACCTGCTGATGACCCAGGTCTATGCAATTCCAAAGTTTTGATTTGGCTTTTTTGTTCTTTCTATATCACATTGCCTCCTCCATAGACACTATCTCAGCTTTTTACCTTCATTTCCAATAGCTATCCTTAATCCCTTACTCCTATCCCATTTTCTCTTATCAGTCACCTCTCTTATTATGGATCTACTCCTCCAGTTGGCACTCTTCCTCATGCTGCTGTTCTGTGTCTTTAAATCCTCTTCTCACCTTTCCGTATGCTCATCTGCTCAAACCATTAAGTTTTATCAACCCAATAACATTTATAACAACTTTACCTTTAAAATTGATGATGGAGTTGTAAGTGGTCTCAAATTCACCCTTCATTCAATACTCAAAAGATGGCATTGAAATCCCTTGCTATGTTACAAAAGTCCACACTGTGACAACAGAATGGAAAAGTATAATTTTGGCTGTATGCCATTTGCCTAGACGAATCACCAACAGTTTTGCTGCTTATATGAATACATTTTAAATTGTAGTATTATTTTTCTTGTTCACAAACTTGTAATATGTGGTCAAAAACATATTTCAAAGGTGAACACTTTTTAGACAGTAAAACTGCTCCAAGCATTCAAATTTTTTAAATATCATGCTACTTTTTTTTCTTTTAGAGTGGTTATCTATTAGGTAATAGCTGGGTTTGATTGCGGCAGGATATCAACTGATGCCTACCTGGCAATTAAGAAAACCAGAACTTCGTCTATCATACCCCCAAAGAACTGTAGGATTGATACCTGGAACAGGGAGGATTAGCAGCTGACGGTTGGAGCAGGTCATATTGAGCTTACTTCAGAGGAAGAATACACTAATTTCATATCTAGGAGTTTGCGTTGAAATAAATGTGGGAAGGTATGTTATTTTAAAGGAGCCATATTTACATCGACCATAAAACCTGAGGGAATGCTGCTGGTATTCCAGTAGGTGGCAATCTTCCCCCAGAATATGCAGCTAACCAAGGTCCTAGTGCAGGTTTGGGATGTGCAGCTTGTCTAAATTAACACCAAGGATTCTGTCTCTAAAAGTTCAAAACTTCAACAAAAGAACAAACCTCTTTGTATATTAGAATACTTTCCATGCTCTTAGTAAACCAAATCTTAGTGGATTTACCTTGCATCACCAAACTAAATCAGGCATTCTTTGGGCCTTATCTTTCCTTTTCATGAGTTATATATGTACAGCGATATAAGTATACCATCTCCACTATCCTTCTCAAATTATTCGTGTATATTAGAAACTGCTCTTTGCCAAACATCAATTTATAACACTATCAAGACAGTTAATGAGAACCTGTAAAATGTTATCACCCTTGCAATATGTTTAAGGCAGAAAATTTAAATGATTCTGTGGACTACATGTGACTCTCCGCTATATCTATCCCATCAATTAAGGAATTGTAAGTTGAAGGTTTTGTAAAGGCTTTTGCAAAATAACAAGTGTTTCTCAGTGCAAAGTTTGAAAAATAGATTTTATGGGGAAATGCAAAGCAATCAGAATGCCTTATCTGTGGAGAGAAAGTTTATAGGAATATTTGCTATGCTGTGATACTAGATTTTTGTTGTAAAATCTTCTAAGTGATGTGTAATATAATGGTTACTGCTGTCATTCTGGGATTTTAATGTCATTCTTCCAAACAACCACAGCATAGGCTAGGTGCAGTCTTTGGTCTTCTCATGTTTTTTTGTTTGTTTTGTTTTTAAATAAATCTATTATTTTATTTTAAGTAATTATTTTCTAATTTGGCATATAGTCTCATAAATATGGACTAATATGGTAGCATTACTACTGTTAGGTAATATTAGGTTCTTCTTAACTTCTGAGTAAAAGAGAAATGTGTGTTTCCCTGTTCCCTTGATGTCATATGTGTGTGTGACTTACTTTAGCAAAGAAACAAGTGTGAGAGTGATCTATGTCACTTCCAAGCAGAAACATGGAATTGTCAAAATGATAGTTTCCAAACTGTGGCTTCTTCATCAGCCTCAATCATTTGGTGAAGTCAAAGTGGAAGAAAATCCCTAGTTTACCAGAACAGATATGTAGCATGGTCCAAAAATAGATCTTTATTGTTTTAGGCCACTGAGATTTTGGACTTGTTTGATAGCTTAATGTAACTTAATCAATCCTAACACTATAAAAAGGAATTAAACTTAGTACTATAAGATAGATGATAAGTACTATTAAGTCATATATTCTGCTCAACTCTCCTCTGTTAGGACAGTAAATAAATGTAATGCATGTATAGACAAAATATACTATGGAAGTATATACCTGGGCACTAAAATTATCTCAAACTAATAAAATGCTTTCCTAATATGGAGCCAGCTTCTACATTCTCCTCCTCTGGGTGAAAGCTGGACTCCTCTATAATTGAGAATCTTCTAGTAAATCATTTTCTAGATCAATATTAGAAAATCAAAGGTTTAACTGAAAGTGTAGACAAGTTAAACTTCAGGACTTTCTTAGGTAAAAAATGATTATAATTGGTATGTAGCTAATACATATGCTTTTCAGATCCCTACCAAGCTGTATCTCAACTGCAAGACTTTTCAGATACTTCAACATTCAACATTCATTGTGAATTTCCAAGAATGAAAGATAACATTACTGGCAAAGTCAGTTTATTATTGACTAATAATAAATTCCAGGAAATGTAATGCCACTCTGTCTTGTGCTTAAACAAAAATATTTCCTCATGTAAAAAACAGTAGTGCATTTAACCATTATAGAGACAATTTCCTTCATAATCATTTCCTTTTAGAAGCATACCTCTGAAGGAATTACAAAAAATTTAGAAATGATTTTCTTATTTTTTAAAATACATATTCATGGTTTATTTCTAAAGATCATAACTCTTACTCACCTGCATTGTGGTATGATTCCTGATTAGAAGGGGTAAAAGAGAGGAGTTGGGGATAGTACCACACCATCTTGGGTACACTTTTGCTGTATGTTGAGTATCTAAATCCCATCCTTCATACATCAGGACATTAATCAAAGGTTTAAACCTACTTTGTTGGTGCATGGCTTCACAGCTCTCATTGATTTCTATATTTGGTTAATAGTTGGTGGTCTAATTTACTCATTTACTCAACAATCCATTATTGCATTCCTAATAAAGACCAGGTTCTGTGTTATGCACCCAAGATACAAAGTTGAAAGTAACATGATCCCTGTTCTGAAAAAGGTCATTATTTATCAGAGAGTAAAAGTTATTTGAATGTACTATAAATGTCAAAAATAAGATATTTTCAAATACTTTGAATACCAAAGCAATAGAGCAATTAATGACATACCAGGAAATATAAGCAGAATGATCAGAAGCACATCGTCAAAGTTTATGTCGTATTTGGAGAACTATGTGTGATCTGGTATAGTTCAAATGACCCAGGGGCATTTGGAATACAGGACTTAAAAAACAATATTTATTTATGTAAAATAGTCAAATGTATAGCTTGCTTAAGATGAAACACTTTAAGCAATTAAAGGTAGACAATAAGGATATTTGAAAATCACCAAGTAATATGTCTTGTAAAATACTAACCTCAAATGGTCCAAATAAGAGGCAGATTAGAAAAGTAAGGTGGAAGGAAGGGGACATAGTGGAGATGAGGTGGAGAAATAAGTATTTATTGATCACCTAAATTTTCTAGGCATATTGGTGGTAGTTTTCACATATCATCACATATCTTATTCACAGCCAGCCAGTCAAGTAGGCATTACAATTCCTACTTCATGAACACTCTTAAAAGCTCTTGGACACAAAAATGAAAAAAAAAATTATTTTCCTTAAACTAGGAATAAAGTCCTTTTTCATAAATTTTATATTAGTTAAGTAATCTCCTTTTTTACTTATGATTCTTACACAATGATAATCATAAGTAAATGTAACTAGGGTATTGAACAATTTCAATGAAAAAAGTTAGCACTATATATTTTCATAGAAATGATGAAAATATATGTATCATATTTATGTTTCATTTAGTTAACCATATCTCAGAAATTCTTCTGGCCTTAAGTTAGCCTAAACAAACTCTTATGGGCAGAAATAGCAGTTACCTTTTTAGAAGTGGAAAGGTGTGATACCTTTCATCACCCATCATAAGGGTCACAACTGATACTCCTATGACAAAAGATTAATAAGAGAAGACTGTAACAAATGTATTTATTCAAAGTTTTACATGACATGGGAGCCTTCAGAAAGGAAAGACCCAAAGACCCAAAGAAAAACTGCCCTTTGTTATGCTTAGGTTCAATGACAAATGGATAGTCATGTAGAAATGTGATTAGACAAAAGGAAATAATCGAATGGTAATAGACTGAGGGGGGAACCAGGCAAAGCCTGGCTATTCATGTTCTTCTTGGCCTCTCTGTGTAGCATTCCTTCCCCCCACATATGGTATGGAGCAGGGTCCCTCTGGAACAAGGATCTTCAAGGGAGAAGAAAGAAGGGAGGAAGTGACCTTTCTAGGTTTTATGGATTGCTTTGGGGAAAAAGACTTCTAATTTCTATGATCCCCCTAGGGGAAGAGGAATTCTGGTTTCCATGACTCTCTTCTGATGGAAAAGAGAGACAGGAGACAAGAAGGCAGGAGAAGGCCAAGAGAACTTGCTTCTGAGGCCTTCTAATCTCCTTTAGTTCAAAGTACTCAGCATGCCAAGACAACGTACTTTGGGGTATCATGTTCTGAGCCCCACCACCTTCATAGACATACTCCTTAATCCAAGATACATTTTTTCATAAATATCACTCAACTCTATTTTTTTAATACATTCTATTTTTTTTCTGGCTAATATGTCTTGTTATTACAGTCATTGAAGCAGAAGAAATTACTGTTACCTATCTTACATGTTTTGATCCAATGTAAAAATCGTTCCCTAATAAATATCTACCCCCAAACTTCTGTTCAAGTTTTACAGAAACACATAGATATAAACCTTTCTGATATCAGACTAAGACTTTTAAGTTATCAGGCTTTTAGACTTTAACATTGGTAGATTGATAACTTATCCTCCATGTCTTATTCTCATTTTCTTCTACTCTCATTCACTGACTCCAATTCCAACCTGAAGCACGAAAACCTCCTGTAGGCAACACATTCCCCATAGTCACACAAACTTTGGCCATGGGTATCAATCCTTGTTTCACTGAAATGTCTTACCTTTGGTTAATGCATCACTAAAGTTGTCTTACCACAGCTTGCACACACTGAACAAAATCTCATGATATGTATAAAGTAATACCATTGGCTGATAGAACAGCCTACAGAAGAGGTAGTATCAAGTGGTGGTTATGGCTATTGACTGCCTCCACCATAAAATATGGCTTTATAGCAAAGGTGATAATAGAATTCAATAGTTTAGTTGGAGTAGTACCCTCCATACATAATCCATACACTGCCAAAGCAGCATAGCTCACGTGGGAAGACGTAACTATTTCTCAAGTGTTGCCTCTATGACAGTGAACTCCCTAAACAGTCAGTGAGCTCCTGGAGTCGAGATTCAGCCTCTATCTAGCTTCAGAGAAGATGCAACAAGATATTCCACATCAGGAACAGGTACTTAAAACCCTTAAAGTTTAAAAAAAAAAAAAAAAAAAAAACCAAAAAAAAGCAGCCCTTAAAGATCTGTTTGAGATTGCTGGAAGGTTTTGCTTGCACCAATAAATGTTTTTACAGGTGATACATATGTGTTTGTGGTACCTGATGAATCCCTGGAGAATGATGCCAGCCCACTTCATGGGCAGACCTATGAAAAGAGGACAAAGGAGATTCATACAGACGTTAAAATAGTGCACTAAAAATACAAATTAAAAACCTGATAATTAAATAATTCCCTCTGATTTATTCTTTCACAGCAAATTTAACACAGATAAGGATTACACAAACTGTCTCCCTTCAAACCAAAAAATAAACAGCAACCAAAAAATAATTTTATAACACATCACACTCAAATATCTAAATAAGTTATTGATAATAAGTACAAATTTGAACACTTCATTCAAACAAATTGAAAACAATTCAAGGAAATGATCGAACACAAGAATCTATGGCCTTGGGGAGCACTACAGGCCCTAAAACAGATTTCATAATATTGCTCTAAGAGATCTTGATTTCATGTGCTACACCATGCATTCCTCTGTGTTACTCAACTCTGCAAAACCAAATAACAAACTTTGGTGGAAAATAAATGCATAAACTGATTTATTTGTATAAGAAGGAAAACATAAAGTAAAAATTGCTGATCTTAGAACATTTAATCACCATTTACATTGCTAAAAATAAAAATTATCAATGGCATTAAATTAAGAATTTCTAATCACCAATATGCTGCAACAGCAAATTTAATTTCTACTTATTTTTAATAATCAAAAATATACTAGTTTCACTAGGGTTTATAGAATGGGTATGTCTAAAACCCCATTTTACTAATCAGCTACATTAGCCCAATGTACTATAAGAGTATAAAGAGGAAGGTGTGATTATACTGTAATAGGCAATTCTCAGCGTATTTTCAACAAATGTATTTTGAGTCCTTATTAAATACTAGCCTCAAAGGGACCTAAACTAACATGGACTAGTCCTCACTGGAAGCAGAGAATTATAGTTCAAATAGATATGAAATAAGTTTGATAAAGCTTATATTTGAGATTATAAACTGGCAGCCCACAGGCTATGATGGAGACTACAGATATTTGGTGGGGGGGAGGGGCCTATCAGGTTTTCAAACATTTGAATGAAATTTGAATAATGAATGGTTTCACATGCTAATCTGGCTTTCTGGCTTCTTTTGAAATACCATAAGATGACCACAAATAGGTGGATCTGAATAGCAGGCCACGTGCTTTCCAGTTTTCCAGTCTCTACTTCTTGCCAACAACCAGCTGATTTCACTCCTTTATATCACAGGCCTGGCCCCCTGACACACTTGAGTTTTAGTTCCTTGTCTTACATAGATTCTTTCACAAAAGATAAAATGAGTTATGCACCAAATATGTGTGTCTTCCTCTCAGGCATCTACCTCTGAAGGAATTTTTTCTATCTCTCCTTCTATCCCAATTCTCGTTCAAATATTCCCTAGATTAGAAGCTATATATCTGTTAACAATATATTCAAAAGTCTTCATGTGCTACTTTATAATTAAAATGAATTAAAGGTATTATCTACAAATTAGTTGAATATATGCTAGAAACAAAATCAAAATAATGTAATCTAAAGGTTTCAAGAATTCAAACTGATTTATCACTTTTTATTAATTATTTTTATCTCCATAAGTATTTTGGTGTAAAGATTTAATAGTTAGTTAAGAGTTGGATCAGGTTAAATTGCTTGCTGTATTGTCTAAAAATTTATCACTGCTGTCTTTTTCCTGCTTGTGCCCAGAGCTGATCCCAGAAGCAGAGGCTGCAACTTAAATCCTACAATATCAGGGGCAGTGGCAAGGTTGCAATTTCTCCTGAAATGTCCATCCCCAAACTTATTTTACACCTAAACCTTTACAAACATAACTTCGTGTGTAAAATTTACCGAAAGCACAGCTTTTTTCATGCCAAAAGTTAAATGCTTCATAAGTTGTTAGAGTGACTAGTGATCAACAGTAGATAGACACAGCAGGAAAGACTGAGACAGTGAACTTTATTCTGGAAACAAAGTTAGTGGAGAAACTTTAAAAAATATATATATTTGTCATTATACAGACAAGTCTAGTCAGATGAGTAGGTAGAGCTATGTATAAGCAAAGTAATGGAATACAGATTTACTTGCTCAACAAAAAGGAAAAAAGGTAGCCAGGTTGCGGTCGCTTATGCCTATAATCCCAGCAGTTTGGGAGGCCAAGATGGGCTGATCACTTGAGTCCTGGAGGTCAATACAGAAATTAGCTGGCCACGGTGGCACACACCTGTAATTCCTGCTACTTGGGAAGCTGAGGTAGAAGGATCACTTGAGCCCAGGAGGTCAAGGCTGCAGTGAGCCATGATCGTGCTACTGCACTCCAGCTTGGGTGACACAGTGAGACCTTGTCTCTAAAAATAAGAAAAGAAGAGAAAAAGAATGAAAGAAAAAAAAAAGAAAAGCAAATGACAATGACCAATGACCAACAAAAAAGAACAAAAAACTCAATGTTAGAACAAGTGAAGAGGGTGTTGCGCATCTGTGACAACAAAGAATAGTGAGATTAACAACTGAAGGGAAAATTAGTCATACAGCCCAGGCTGATCATTTCTTTTTTTTCTTTTTTCTTTTTTTTTTTTTTTTTGAGACGGAGTCTGGCTCTGTCGCCCAGGCTGGAGTGCAGTGGCGCAATCTCGGCTCACTGTAAGCTCCGCCTCCCGGGTTCATGCCATTCTCCCGAGCAGCTGGGACTACAGGCGCCCGCCACTACGCCCGGCTAATTTTTTGTAGAGACGGGGTTTCACCGTGTTAGCCAGGATGGTCTCGATCTCCTGACCTCGTGATCCGCCCGCCTCGGCCTCCCAAAGTGCTGGGATTACAGGCGTGAGCCACCGCGCCAGGCCGATCATTTTTTAATAAATGGAAGGAACAGCCAAATGGGATACTCAAAAAGCAATAGGAACTACAGGTATTCAGGTCACAGATACCACAATATAGAGATTCACAAAAGGTGGAGTTGAGTCCAAGGAAGCTGTGTAAGCAAAAGGGATTGTTGGATTTGAACACTATTTGGTATGTGTTTTATTCAATCTAACTAAATAGCAAAGTTACCACAACATCTGCCTATGTTCCTCTTCTTAACTTGTAGGCCAGTACAATGGATTTACTCCTGTGGAGCTCAAATAGCCACTTCCATTTTAGATTCATGGTAGGTATTGCAGATGCCAGAGCAAGGAAAGCAAAGAGTCTTCATTTTATCACCGGGTAATGAGAGCAACAGGTACACTGAGTACTAGGTTAGCAGGGCTTTTATGATTACTCATTGAT
This sequence comes from Homo sapiens, assembly GCF_000001405.40. Lineage (NCBI taxonomy): Eukaryota > Metazoa > Chordata > Mammalia > Primates > Hominidae > Homo > Homo sapiens. The sequence goes on along the minus strand of NC_000005.10, from coordinate 51,999,420 downwards.
GTCTATTATGAGTTTGGGACAGTCTCATGAGACACAAATGTCTGCTGTTTCAACACTAAAGGGTATTTCTTCCCCATTTGGAAATGATGACTCCAATCTGTACAAAATGGAAGAGAAGTGTAACAAAACACTTTGAATCTCAAAAATTATTCCTGCAGGATAGAACTGTTCATCTGATTCTTCCCTAGGAGCCTAGGGATGGGCTTTATTGGCTAAGAAAGTCTGAGTATCTGGAGGCAACCTGGGAATGAACTCTGAATGGAGAATAGCGTACAATAGGGAAGACTCGGGACATGGAACTTTTGCTCCCCCTACTTCAGGCTCACCTGTCACTGAAAGTACAAAAAGAAACATTGAGTCTGTCACCATATGTCTCCAGTTTTTAAGATTTTACCAATTGTATGTAGTTCTCTTTTGATACAGTGTAACCTTTTATCAGGAAAAATACTTACAGGAAAAACCTTTAAATTTAACATAAAATCTAATTTTTTTGCTCCTATTGAAGCTTGGAAGACTGGATCCTTATTAGAGTGCATTTCTACAAAGAGATAAACATTTTAAAAAAATAAGCATGAATGGAATCCAGGATAAAATGCATCCATTTGTGCAGGAAAATAGCTTTTACTGAAGAAAATGGCACAAATTCATCATATGGAGAAAAATGTCATTTCAAAGCCTGTTTCCAAGATCAAAATGCAGAACTTTTAATACACTATATTAGCTTTTTTCTTGTTCTAAATTTACAAATTTTTAAAGCCAAAGAGTTTTTAAAATCTTTTGGAAACATCAGCAGTTAATTATCCCTATTAATAGAGATTTGTCAAAACCAGTCTAAAACTGGTCAGGAATGTCACCAAAACTGCGTTCACGTTGCTGCATATCATGGACCCTACTTTGAACAATAGTTTCATCAATATATTTTAATTAAACTCTGTATACACCTTAGTACTAAATGCAAATTGCAAACTGTATGAAACAAACAATCATGTCTGTCCTACTAGTTATAGTCTCACTCATGTTGAATCCAATTCAACATGCCGTGACATATAGCTAATAAAAGGGCATCTGTGACAAGGGACTAAGTACCAAAATCAACAATTTGCATAGTGAACAAGGTTTATATTGTGGTGACTCATGTAGCCTTGTACCAAACAATAGGATGAACACTCCCTTATGGCCTCTAGTAAGTACTAGACATGTGGCCTTAGAAAAAGAAATCCCCTCTCATCCCACTTTTTCCCAGTGGTGCTTTGTTAGATCACAGCAAGGGTTTGACTTCATGCCCTGGTCTCTGTCTGAGAGGAAGTCCAGCTCAATTCAATTTGCATCTCTCTGCCTTTTAGTAATGAAACAGCATCCATTTGAGCCGGCCCCATGATAATGCAGAGCAGATGGGCAGAGTTTTGTCTAATTAGATTGTGGGCGGCCTGTTTGCTATAGTAAATGTGCATGTATTTGCTTATTTCACACTTATTTCAGTAACAACAGGTTAGTGGAGACAAGACAGAAATAAATATAGGTAGACAGACTCAATAAACAGATTCTTAATACAAATCAGTAATTTTAATTCAATTACTATGTGCTATACTCTAATGAGTAGACTGATTGCAGGCTTTTTAATTTTTTTTTATTGCAAGCTTTTTATTTTTTATTATTTTTTAGATTGCAGGCTTTTTCATTTTTATTATTTTATAAAATATTTACATTATATTTATAAATTATTTAGAAATTCATTATTTATGAAATAATAAATTATTTTATGCTTTTCTCCTTCCTTCCTTCCTTCCTTCCCTCCTTCCCTCCCTCCCTTCCTTCCTCCCTCCATCCCTCTCTCCTTTCTTGCTTTTTCTTTCTTTTTGGTCCAAAGATTATTTGTAAGGCATTTGGGTCTGCAATGTTTATAGTTAATTTTAAAATCCAATTAAATTATCTATTTTTAAAAATCTAATACCAAAAGAGCCACCCTGTTCTTTCTACTTTTAGATTTCTCAAAAGACATGTGTGGATATTACAAAGTATACCTACAGACTTATATTTTATACATCTATCCAATTGATACTTATCATCATCCCCATAATCATCACTTTCAGTTTCCCTCTGGTGTACCCGTTCACTATCCTGTCCAGTGAGAGAATCATCAAATAATGTACATTCAGGTTGTGACAGTTTCAGGGGTTTATAGTTTCAGAAACAGGATTTTGAAACTCCTGTTCTTGACCTTTTCCCATTAACCTTGCTGCATTTTTATATTTCCTAAACTCTTTATGCACAAACACACACACATGCAAAGTCTGGAGACTTAGACTGAGAGATAATAGAAATAATGAGATAGAAACAAAGTTTATATTTGGGAGATTATAGTCTTATTTTCACTCCAGTTGTCTCCCCTGATTCATTGTCCCCTCAGGTATCCATGGCCTAAGGACTTTGTCCCTCCACCTTTTCAATCAATTGCATCGTAATGTAAATTTAAATCAATATCTTAAAGGTAGAAAATTAAAGACTGTATCCTTGTATTGCATAATAAAAACTCACACCTAAAATAATTTTATGCTTTAAAAGGGTCATATATAAAGGTTTTAGGAAGAGAATCTTCTGGATAAAATCTTACCACATAGTAATGATTTGATATGTCTATGAAGAAATGACACATACATTCAAAAATACACATTGGAAAAGCCAGATGTTTAATTTGGATTATGGCTATTGAATCACAAGAGAAGATCTATTTCCTGAATACCTGAGGGCCTACAATACAAGTATGATCCTTCTGAGTTGCTTATCTGTGAATATTCTCAAATCCACTGAGCTGACAACATTAACCAGATCCTGAATTTCAAATGCTCAGCTCACCTCTCCTCCCTGTGGGCTCTTTCAACAGAGAACTATAAATAACTAGCTCAATTCTAACAACACCACCGAAAGAACAATCAGTGGTACAAAAAAGTACAAGACTAGTTCAGGAATCCAAATATTCCTCATGTAAATAAAAAAGATGAAGGGCCCTAAAGCAATTAAATTGCACTACTGACCCTGGTAAAAACTAAAGGAATCATATTCCCATACTGCATCTTTGGATGCAGAGAAAAACATAGACTAATTGCCCTTCCTTCATCAACTTGAAGATGCAGAGCAGCCATGTCTCTGGAAATGTCCTATAGAGCTCAAAGTAGAGTGCTGTTTGCAACTCATTTTTAACATATACCAACATGAATTTATTGTCTGCCCCTCTTCCACCTGAGAACTGCTTCTCTTCCAGTCTTTCATATCTTCCCAAATGACACATCCATTTCATGTCACACAAACCAGAAACCTTCCAGTCTTCCTTGATAGCTTCCATTCCCTCTCACTTTCTCCCTCTATCACATCACTTCTTTCTGGTGATTTAACCTCTTAAACAGCTCCAAAATCTGTTTCTGTTTCTCCATGTCCTCAGCCAGCCCGAGGAGGTCCTCATCATCTCAGTCTCTCATCAGAAGAGAGCGAGATTCTAGGCAGCCTTCTCACCCCTTCACTCTCAGATTCTACCACAAAATTAACCTTTCTAGAATGTAAATATAATCCCGTTATTCCCCAGCTCTACAGCGTTCACTGGCCCCTCATTGCCTGTGGAACGAAATCTGAAGTTCATATTATCTTCAGCATCTTCCTTCATCTTCTTCCTCTCCAGTAGTTCCTCGGTACTGGGATGCTTGGATCTAATGTCACCAAATTTTTCAACATGACTCAGAATACTCCCTAATTTTGGTTTCCTCATGGCTGCAAACACTGCTATGTTGCCTTTTAAATGTTTTTTTTGTTTGTTTTTTTTTTTTTTTAATTTCTGGCATGGTGAGCTCCTATTTTTTTTTTTTTTTTTTTTTTTTTGAAACGGAGTCTCGCTCTGTCGCCCAGGCTGGAGTGCAGTGGCGCGATCTCCGCTCACTGCAAACTCCGCCTCCCAGATTCACACCATTCTCCTGCCTCAGCCTCCTGAGTAGCTGGGACTACAGCCGCCCGCCACGAAGCCCGACTAATTTTTTGTATTCTTTAGTAGAGACGGGGTTTCACCGTGTTAGCCAGGATGTTCTTGATCTCCTGACCTTATGATCCATCCGCCTCGGCGTCCCAAAGTGCTTTGATTACAGGCGTGAGCCACTGCGCCCGGCCTCCTATTAATTTTTAAATCCCATCTCGAATAGACCCTTTTCAGTGACAATTTCTCTGATTTTTACTTCACCAACTTTGTCTTACTCACAGCTTTGTGCTTATAATATTGTATTTGCAATTGTTTACAAGGACAGATAAGCTCTCAGAGACCCTGAACAGCGGAGATTATATTGTTTCCATCACTGTACTCTTGATGCTTGGCTAACTGCACAAGGTAAAGAAGAATATCTGAAAGTGTTTGATGAATCAATGGATAAATTATATCAGTGTCTCCTTTCTAAAGTTTTCTTTCTTTGTTAATATTGCCACCCTGTTATTAATCAGCCTAGCAGAGAATCATGCAGTTGTTTTGTGGACGAACATTTTCTTCATGGCCCACATCTTTGCTGTCTCTCTTTATCATCTTAAATATTCTTTCTGACATCCAAGGCTGTCCACACTTCTGAATCAGCCACATTTAATGATTTCCTCAAACTTCCACTTAAATTCAACTTTCCTCTCCATTTTTACTGCCCCTGAGTTGATAAAAGGGCACTATTGCCTCTTGCTGGAATCACTCAATGTTCTGCCATATCAAATCATCTGCTGCAGATGCTGGAATTTCACTGGTACTTAGGCAGGGTCCTCACCATTCGTGTTCATCCAATAACACACTGAGTTCTTTCCTTGACGTGTTAGATGTTTTTAAACTTATTTTTTTCTATAACATTTTTCTCCTAAAATATAGTCATTGCCTTCTTCTGCCTGTCATGGAATCTACTTACCAAAAATACTTTCTGTTTCTATTTGCCTATCTATATTTTAATACAAACTTAGCTTTCTTGGGCAAACATTCTCAGGAAAGGCTCCATTCCTTGTCCTTTTTCTTTTCTGAAGTATATGTGCAAAAAATTTATAACTTAATTGTCCATTGTTCTATATGCAAATTCTTATAAATGATAATATATTCAGGACCATCAAAATTCTGCAATATGTCGTGGACAACCTTGGATATCAGAGGACAATTTGCTGTGCCAGCTGGCCATTGATCCCAGCAAGAGACAATGGTGCCCTATGATCAGTTATCTTTGGTTGTGCTCTGTCTATATCCTCTAAAGTCTTCCACAGATAAAATGAACTTACTTCCTTTCATCATTAAGGGGAAATTGCCCACCCAGCACATGAATTGAAATAGTCCTGTCCATGGATGCTTTCCACTTACTCTCAGATTTTTTTTTTTTTTTTGAGACAGAGTCTTGCTCTATCGCCCAGGCTGGAGTGCAGTGGCATGATCTCAGCTCACTGTAACCTCCGTCTGTGTTCAAGTGATTCTCCTGCCTCAGCTGCCTGAGTAGCTGGGACTACAGACGTGCGCCACCACACCTGGCCAATTTTTGTATTTTTAGTAGAGATGGGGTTTCACCATGCTGGCCAGGATGGTCTTGATCTCCTGACCTCGTGATCCACCTGCCTCGGCCTCCCAAAGTGCTGGGATTACAGGCATGAGCCACCGTGCCCAGCCTACTCTAAGATTTATTGTAGCCTCTAGTTCCTTAGTTCCTTTAAAAATTTAACAAAATTCCTAACTCTTAGTAAGACTAAACTTCCTCACGGTTCATTAGTTTGTTTTTCTGTTAAAAAAAAATTTAAAGGCTTTGTTAAAATTATTAGCAAAACCTCAAGAAGAATCGTAATCGACATCTAATAACATTTCTGGAGTAAAGGATAAAATTCCTCTTTTTATACTTTTAAAAAGATATAGACTTCGTTTTATTTGGTATCCATGATAGAGACCAGGAGACATTTTCTTCTGGTCAGAGGGAAGTTCTTGGCTCAGGGAAGCTGTTTCTCTGAGTCATTTCTGACTCCTTAGCCCACTCCCTTGACCCTCTCCCCACATTACCTCACCCACGAGGTGTGACACTTTATCTTTCAGAGCAACTGATATTTATTGTGAATAGATGATTTGCTCCTTCCAGCTTTTTCTCCTTGCAACTTAGATTAAAATAGCCCTACTACCAAATTAATTTGACTGCTTAATATCAACAAATAAATGCCAAACTCTTTAGCCTGTCCTGTGGAAGCACTCCCTGATCTTTCCTTTATTTGACATTTTAGCATTACCATTTTATCTCTATCTGTCTGTCTATCTATCTGCATATCCATCCAAGACTACAATCAACAAGATTACTTACCCTGTTCCAAATATATCTTAGTTCTCTTCACAGTTTCCCACCTTTGTTTATACTATCCACTCACTTTACCCGTGTGCCCTCTTGTATCCTATTTTTTAAATTGCTATATAATTCACACACCATAAAATTAAACCTTTTAAATGTACACGTGGTTATTAGCATATTCGTAAAGTTGTGCAACCATCACCACTATCTAATTCCACAATATATTTATCACCTCAAAAAGAAACCCTGTAACCATTACAGTCACGCCCCACTTTTCCTTCCTCCTAGTCTCTGGAAACTACACATCTACTTTCTGTCTCTTTTTTTTTTTTTTTTTTTTCTCATTTCTTGAGACAGGGTCTCACTGTCTCCCAGGCTGGAGTACAATGGTATGATCTGGGCTCACTGAAAACCCCGCCTCCCAGGTTCAAGTGATCCTCCCACCTCAGCCTCCCATGTAGCTGGGACCACAGGTGCACACCACACCTTGCTAATTTTTGTATTTTTTGGTGAGACAGATTCTCCCTGTTGCCTAGACTGGTCTTGAACTCCTGGGCTCAAGTGATCTGCCCACCTTGGCCTCCCAAAGCACTGGGATTACAGGTGCAAGCCACCACACCCGGCCCTTTCTGTTTCTATGGATTTCTCAACTCTAGACCATTCAAATAAATGAGATCTTACAACATAGGGCCTTTGTGTCTGGCTTCTTTCATTTAGCATAACGTTTTTAAGGATCTTGCTTGTTATAGCACGTATCAGTACTTCATTTCTATTTATGGCTGAATAATATTTCACTGTGTGGATATTGCACATTTTGTTTATCCATTCATCACTTCATGGACATTGGAGTTATTTCTACTTTGGGGATATTTTAAATAATGCTAATATAAACATTTATGTGCAAGTTTTTGTGTGGGCAAATGTTTTCAATTCTCTTGCGCATATGCTTAGGAGTGAAATGCTGGGTCCTATGTTACTCTATTTTTAACTTCTCGAGGAATTGAAAAGCTGTTTTCCAAAGTGGCTACACCATTTGGTATTCCAGAAGCAATTTCCTCATATCCACACCAATGCTTTTCATTGTCTGCATTTTTTATTTTAGCCATCCGGGTAGGTGTGATGTGGTACCTCATTGTGGTTTTGATTTGCATTTACCAAATTACTAAGATGATAAGCATCTTTGTATGTGTTTGCTGGTCATTTGTATATATTCTTTTAGAGATACCAAGCCTTATTAGAGAGAGATTTTGTAAATATTTTTCCCTATTCTTTGGGTTGTCTTTTTATATTCCTTATAGAGTCCTTTGAAGAACAAAACCTCCCAAATACCATATCAATTAAAATTCTGCTTATCCTTCAAGACTATTTCTAAACACCACATATTTCTTGATAGACTTTTTAGTTCTCACCAATTAATGCTATCTCTATATTTTTGAGTGGGCAGAATACTTGATTAGTACCTGCTATTATATTTATAAAATATTAACTTCTAGATGTGTTCATTTTCTTTATATTTGGATGCTCAAGATCAGTGACTATATTTTATAGACTTTGCATTCTTCATGGTATCTTTGCTTATAACAAGAGCCTCACAACAAATTTTGTTTATTTATTAGAGAAGCAAGAGCCAGTAGAGCTAAGACAGGTAGTCTACATATGGTGATATAAAGTTCATATAGGTCTGGGGAGCATGTTTAAACAGATGTCTCCACATGAATGAACTTTTATGAAAACTGCTTCTAGGGTGGGGACGTTAAGGGGAGAAAATTACATTTACATACTCTAAACGAAAATACCACCAGGAATTCTATTAACTGACATTATTTAGTTTATTTCTCAGCTGGACTTTTTTTTTTAAGTAAACACAGTTAAGAATGTTCTATTTATCAGCACACAACACAAACTGCTCTTGGCATGTTTCTAATCACATGTTCCTATAATTGAATTTTCTTTTACTGTTCACAACTAGAAATTTGCCTTCTTTAAACGTGTGTTTTTAAAACCACAAGTTCTTGATTGCTCACTTCTCAGGGCTAAATTAGCATTGGTCTTCTTTCCCTTATGACTAGGTATTACTGTACTAATGAAAAACAGGGCCTCTTTATTTGTAATGGCCTTGGGGTCAATTATCAATTTATCATCATGTCCTGCAGATTTAAAATAAAATATGCTGTGCAGTACAACCATTGTACAAAATTGACATTAAGTAGATTCTCTGGGTTTGGACTTAATAAAAAATACAAAGAGTGCTGCCTAAAAGGTTTCTCCAACTATAAATTCTATTAGGTAGCTTTTAATACAAGACAGTAGGAAACTGAACAACTAAATTAGAGGGATTTTTTTCACTGCTGTTTTGTGTCTCATGCATTTGAACAATCATAGGATAGTTGGCTAATTCACAGAAACAATATTTCATATCTCCATAACAGTAATTCAAAAGCTGCCTACATTTTTACTTATGTCAATTCTGTATGTCTTAAAATATTTATATCCAGTGTCAACTTATTTGCAGAAGACATTTGGTTAACCATAAGGAATATGTGCATGAAATATGAGGAACATTTTTTTGTGTGTCAAAAATAACCTAATTCCTGTACATTTACGAGTTAATCCATGAACACTAGCCTCAGACCACTTTGAGACTAGCCACCTGGAAGGTGGTAAGATAACATAAAAGTTTCTATTTTAACTCCTGTTGCAGATAACACTAATTTCCACATGGCTATGTTACTACCCATGCTGAGACAAAGGTCTTTTTTATGGGTCATGAAGATCAGTGTATCCTCTCCGTGCATGTGTCACTGTCCACACAACTTAAAGCCACAGACTCAATGAGAATGTAAAGAAAGGCAGACACAGACTTTAAGGTTAATTGTACATTTGAGAGTCTAAGACATTTTTCCAATTTCAAGGAAAGAATCAACCTGCTAAGTCCTACCTAGTGAAGACTGAGGGTATTCTAGGTACCCTGTGTCCATCCCTCAGTAGCATTCATCCATTTCAAGTGCTCAGTAGGCACATATGGGTGTATTGGTTCCAGCATTAGACAGCAGAGTTATATAACACTTTCATCTTCACAGAAAGTTCTACTGGACAGTGCTGATCTGGAAAGCAAGGGATCAATTCCTTATAACTTAGGATCCATGATATCTTTAGTGGTCTTACTTAGAAGAGTGACTTAGTCTGGAAGTGGAATTGTTCATTCTACCAATTTTACATCCCTGCTTGTGCCTTGCAGTTAATACTCTTTGGGGGTAAGAGAAGAAGTGGAATGTAAAAAAGAAGCAGAAGGAAAATGAAGGGCAAGATATATTCAATATGTTAGCGATGCTGATGGACTTTGAACCTTGGTAATTTTTTGTTTTTTTATGAAAAAAAATAAACTCACTGAGCCCCAAAAGATCCAACTTAGAAGTAAAAAAAAATACATTGAGTTATTGTGTTTGTTAGTTTTAAACGTCTGACAAGGCAGACATATATTCTCCCAATAACTGGTTTCTTGTTAATTCTTCTTAATTTTCACATTAATTTAAATGATAAAATATAAAGCATAAGTAGATACCTGTGTATATAGCCCTGCCATAGGAATATAAATAAAATATCAGGTTTCCACACTCATATCTTATTTAATTGGAAACACTGAAAATATGTTAACATAATTTGGTTTTTAGATTCTTTCTAGAATTCAATTTCTAATAAGCCAAAGTTTTTAAGTATAGTAACATTGGAGTAAAACCAAGTCCTCTCCAGACCAAAAAAAAAAAAAAAAACGATTTCAAAGAACCACTTCCAAAAATCGATACATCATAATGAACATCTAGAATTTGTGAGGAATTGTCTAGAAAATGGGTTTAAATGTTAACTACACAGTTAAAGCTCTACCCCTCACTTTTCCAAAAGCAGCCTAGTTAGGAACTAGCTTTGGTTATAAATGTCTATTGCTTTTGAATATCTTATTTCACCATGACTTTCAAAGTAAGTCTTTTAAAAATTATCATAATAATGTCTAACCTCTCCTGAAAGAAAGGCTTTATAGATTAATGGGGGTAGGAATTGGGAGGAGTCGTTCCTTGAAGGAAATACCCATTAATCAGTTTCAGTTGCCTTCTGGGTTCAAACTTTGGGTGTCGTTTTGCAAAGAGCACCAACAGGTTGTCCAGACAAGGAAGGTTTTCTAGTAGCACCTTCTGCTGGGCCCGTCCACAGCAAGGCACGCCCCAGCTCCTGTCCAAACGACTGATGAATGTACTTCAGGCAAGGCTAGGACACAGCTCAGTACAGTTCTCTAAACGGTGATAAATGACCACCTTTGTGTGAAATGGGTTAGGTGGGAGGGCCACCCTTTGACAAGGCAGAAGATGAAATGATTACTATTGGATTCTATTGACCTGTCTGGTTAGAACAGTTGTGCCTCTTCGTAGAGGTTAATTGGACTTGAACTCAAGAAATTAAGAGGTCAGCTGGGGTCACAGTGACAGCAGGCCCACTTTTAACTTGCTGCTAATAACATTTGGCAGAAGGAGGATGAATCTGGGAATTTTAGCCTAGATACAGTTCAATCTCTTTAAGAGTAATGGTTTATACAAATTATTAAGTAAACCTTAACTTTGTATCACATGTAAAAATCCAATGTGTTTTCAATTCCTATCAAGACCTCTTAAATAACTATGAATCTTCTTGAAATATAAACATTAGAATACATGTTGTCTTGGTTTAGTTAAATATGCACACACATTTAGACTAGAAGTAGTGAAGACTCCATCAAAAAATTAAGAAATTTGGATTTAGAAAAGATACAGAAAGGCTTGAAAATAACATTCTAAATTACAAATGTAAGAAAACAGAGAGAATTAATATTTTGTAATATATACAGTAAGGCATATCCAAATACTGTGTAAACTCTCTGATTTCAGAAGTATATTTGCAAGCTTCACACATTTTGAGAATTTAGTAAAACAATTGAATTGTTACTGCTTCCTGAGAAGATATCTAAATTTAGTGACACAAGACTTAACTTCAGCTTCGCTGTTCTTATCTTGGTTACTTGACACTTCAGAGTCTTTTCTGGACTAGGACCTTGGCACTTTCCCTTGTGCCACCTGCTTAACCACTGAACCCCACAATGAGCTCCAGTGTAGGCAGGATCACAGAGCACTTTGCAGGGGTTGAGAGCATGGTACACAATGCCAGGAAGGAGAGTCACAAGGGAGACTTGGGCTGGGACTGGGCCGTGACATCCAGATGGTGGGGAACAAGGGACATCACCTAATTAGTGGTGCTGTTCCAGCAGCTGTGTAACTAGGGCAACAGCAGGAAGGGAAGGAGGAACACTTGGAAATCCACAGCCTTGAAACTACTCTCCAGTCCTCCAGCTTTTTGGAGATCAGCTGATGCCCATCAGCTACCTGTAGCTTGTACCTAAGAAAGTTGGGCACAACAGAGAAATGGTTTTGCTTCGTTGTGCTGGGATCAACCTCAAAGAATAACACAGCATTTAAGATCATGTACACAGCCCCTTTTTCTAGTAAAATCATTTATTTTCTCTTTTATCTTAGGGTTGCCAAATAAGAGGAGTACCATAAATAAAGCTCTAGGAATACTATCATATCAGAGGAGCATGGTATGCTAACCAGACTCTTTTAACCACCTTGACACTAAATCTCATTACTAGTTAACTTAATAAATTACAAAATCTCTAAAACAATCATAGAAAATATGCCAGGTTTTGATTTATTTAGTAGAGAAGAAAGTGCTCTGGGCTAGGAATCAGTAAGCTCCTGTTCCAGCACCACCTCTGCCACTTACTAAAAATGATCCTAGACAAATCATTATTACACTATGCTGGTCTTCATCCCCAGCTGTAAAATGTGGGCATTGGTTTAGCTGATTACTAAAAGCCCTGACAGATTTGAAAATCTGAGGGACTATAGCAGTGGGGCTCAACCTTGCCTGCACATTAGAATCACCTGGGGAGCTTTAAATTGAATTAATATCCGGGAGTAGACCTGGGCATTGGCATGTCTTAAAAGTTCCCTCGGTGATTCTAATGTGCAGGCAGCATTGTGACCCACAGCTGTATGATATCACCAAATCCAGGCCCCATGCCTATTATACTACTCACATTTATAGAGCACTTAGCGCAGGCACTGTGCTTATCATCAATTATCTAAATTATGTAGGCATTGCAACCTGCTATGGATTGGGTATTATTGGCCCTGTTTTACCCCATTTTACAAATAAAAAAACTGAGGCTTCTATAGATGAAATAAACTATCAAGAATGTCCAGCTAGAGTCTGGGAGATCTTGTCTGAATCCAAGCCTGGTTCAGACACCAGAGCCTGCTCTCTTAACCACTGCACTTTTACAGCCTAGGAATATTTCTAATCTGTTTCTCTACTACTTGGTACTGGAGAATCTGCAACTGAAGTACAAATGTCTGTGACTGGTGTCCTACATTTCTCCATGCTGATATCTCCAGAGGCAACCTCCATCCTTTACTTAAGCCACCAAACTTCACAGCGCCCCATTTGAGCAAGAGGATTTTAGAAGCTGCACAAATGAACTATGAGATTAAGGGGCTTTCCTCTGCAAAGGGATGTCCTCCTGCTAAAATCCTTAGGATCCCTGGTTACAGGGCTGGAGATACCTAGTGATGCTATATTCCTGATTCCAACTGCCCACCAATGACAGACTATTAAGCATCTAATTAACTTTTTAATTTACTATTTAAAGCAGAAATGCATCAGATATAGTCAGGATGTATCTTAACTAATTGTAAAAACTCCACATTTTCATCATGCCTATTCAGATATAGCTTCTGAAAATTAGATTAAAACATGTACAAATATAGGCACATTTTGCATTTAGAGGCCCAGTAGTCCAGTGAATATAGCAATTAAATTCACATCACTGAAATATATTACTTGAAAAAAAATTTCCAACATTTTCTGAAAAACATATAATTAAATCACCCAGTCTCTCTTTAGAAATAATGTTTTGATGTCCCAGAAGCAGTGTGAGACTTTTAAAAAAATGTCTTTCAAGTTTTTTGCTTAAACAGAAAAGTGAAATTATATCAAGAGTAAACAAACCTGAACTCAATATTTGCTAGCTTGTTCTCCAGGTATCACATGGAAGGAATGCTTGGAAATTTTCTTGCTGGCTGTTAAATAACATCAATCCTCAGCTGTGTTGTTGTTCTTTGTGCCAGAGGGTAACCCAACTGCTTTACTAAATCCTGACTCACTTTAGAGAGAACTGTGGGCTTGCCATCTACTCAGCTGGATGCAATTCAGAAAGAAAAGCACCAACTAATATTTGAAGTTAGGCCCAGGTGGGGACAAAGAGCTGTTGACACCCTTGCAAGGTGCAGATCTTCCACAAAGGAAAGTGCAGGTAGATTCCTTTCCTTTGAACCATAATTCCTCTAATTTATACTGTGGCCTGTCAACAAAGCATTAACATGTATTTTACCAGAAGGCCTGTTTGAAGGTAAGACAGCAGGCTACAGCCACCATATATACATACACACACACATACAATATATATACATATATATGTATAGTATGTATATATGTATACACACACATATACATACACATACATACATACACATACACATACATACACATACATACACATACACATATACATACATATACATACACATACACATACATACATACACATACACATACACAGTCAAAAGCCACATAATGATGTCTCGGTCAATGATACATGATGGTAGTTCCATGAGAACATAATGGAGCTGAAAAATTCCTAACAATATGATGTTGTAGACATTGTAAGATCTTTTTGTGACATGTTTGTGATAATGCTGGTGTAAACAAACCTACTTTGCCTCTAGCCGTATAGCACATGCAAGTATATACAGTACATAATATTTGATAAAAAATGGCTTTTATGGTTTACATATTTACTATTCTGAACTTTTTATTATTATTTTGGAGTATACTCCTTCATATTAAAAAAAAAAAGTTAGCTGTAAAACAACTTTAGGCAGGTCCTTCAGGAGATGTTCCTGAAGAAAGCACTGTTATCACAGGAGATGACAGCTCCACGCATGTTATTGCCCCCACACACCTTCCAGTGGGATGAGATGTGGAGGTAGAAGACAGTGATGTTGATGATCCTGACCCTGTATTGGCTAGGATAATGTATGTATGTGTCTTAGTTCTTAACAAAAGTGTTTAAAAACTAAAAGATAAATTTAAAATTTAAAAAATAGTAAAAAGCTTATAGACTAAGGATACAAAGAAAATACTTTTGTACATCTGTACAATG